>NC_000009.12:111345552-111970552 GCF_000001405.40 Homo sapiens
GATTATAGAGATAAATGAGTCTTTTGAGTATTTCTCACAAAACCAAACAAAATAACTTAAAGGAAAAAAATGCTATGTAATAACAAAACGTATACTTCAGCCACTTCACCTTTCAGAAGAGTGGCACGAGGATCTCCCCTCTGAGTTATGTGGCTCTTTTATTTAGGAAAACACCTCAAGGGATCTGTTTTATTATGAAAGCAGGCCCTGGGCTAGTTCAAATGGGGAAAGATATTGATAAAGATAACTAAATTATTCTATTTAATACTGATCTTATAGGATTTTAACATTCATTTCTGGCTTCTTGAGGAGAAGCTTGGGACACTGGGAGAGAAAGTAGAGAGGGAATTAGAAAGAGAAGAAGCAGCCCAGAAACCTTGCAGGAATAGGGAATCCAAAGACACTAACAAGAGGCAGGGAAAGGAAAGGTCCATAAAAACAGTGAGGACTCACATTGAAATTTAGGTTGCTGGCTGCTTTCAACTATTCTCTATTCCCCTGTCTGTCATTCCCAAACCTTCAGGTAAAGTCATACAAATACAACGGTCTTGGATAATGGAGCTTTGATTACAGAAGAACAGGACTAGCTACCAGAATGGAGGACTTTTAGGTGCAAGGCACTTAGGGACATCTCTGTTCAGTCATTAGCTGATCACCCAGCTAACTGAGCAGAGACTTCCATGGTCACATATAAAAAAGAATTGAAGACTTTGCAGAATTAGTTTAGGAAGTCACTTTAAAAAAAAATAGCAACAACAACAAACCCTGGAGTGGGAGGGAAATCTGGTTTTCATTTAATATTTAAATATTTAATATATTTTATTTCCATTTAAAATAATATGTAATTATATTATATAATAGCATATTATTTTAAATATCTGATTGTCGACAAAAGATTATAAGACGTGAAGAGACAGGAAAGTATGGTCCATATTTTTATAATGATAAAAGTGTCCCAGCCTGCCCAACATGGTGAAACCCCGTCTCTACATTTAAAAATACAAAAAAAAAAAAAAAAAAAAAATTAGCCAGGCATGGCAGCGCATGCCTGTAATCCCAGTTACTTGGGAGGCTGAGTCAGGAGAATCACTTGAACCCAGGAGGCAGAGGTTGCAGTGAGCCGAGATTGCAGCACTGCACTCTAGCCTGGGCGACAGAGCAAGACTCAGTCTCAAAAAAAAAAAAAAAAAAAAAGTATTGATCCACAAACAAGACATAATTATAAATGTATATACACCTAAAGCAGAGCTCCAAAATATTTGAAACAAAAACTGACAGAATTGGAGGGAAAAATAGACATTTGAGCACAATAGTTGGAGATTTTAATGCTGCACTTTCAATAACTGGTAGAACTGGACAGAAGATCAACAAGGATGTAGAAGGCTGAAACTACACTACAAACCTACAGACCCCAGCAGCTTCTAGAGAATACCCCATGCCACTGCACACACCCACTCACTGCACATTCTTCGCCAGTGCTCACACAATATTACCAGCTGATTTGGTGCCCATGCCCGTCAGTATGTTCTTTCTCCACAAAGGTGACTGAGAATTATTCTATTTCCTATGTTAGTTTGCCTGTTATTGCATTTTTAAAAAATGGAATCAGGGCAGGGGTAGTAGCTCAAGCCTATCATCACAGGACTTTGGGAGGCCGAGGCAGGAGGATTGCTTGAGTCCAAGGAGTCTGAGACCAGCCCAGGCAACACAGTGAGATCCTGTCTCCGCAAAAAATAAAAACATTCATTGGTACGTGACCGAAGTCCTAGCTATTCGGACGCTGAGGTGGAAGGATTGCTTGAGCCTGGGAGGTTGAGGTTGCAGTGAGCTGTGATGGCACTACTGCAGTCCAGCCTGGGTAACAGAGTGAGACCCTGCCTCAAAAAAAAAAAAAAAAAAAAAAAAGGAAGCATATGATATGCATTATGGTATGTTTGGTGTCCTTCTCTCCACAGTATGCCTGCAAGATTCATCCATGTTGACATATGTGGTTGCAGCTTGTCCATATTATTGCTGTTATTGTCTATTTTATAAACAACACACTTTATCTGTTGTCCTATTGTTAGACATTTGAATTGTCTTCACTTTTTGGCTATTTCAACAATGTCATTATAAACCTGCATGCATTTGCCTTTTGGTTCACATGCATACACATTTCTCTCAGGTGTATACTTAGGAGTGGAAATGATAGGTGATAGGACATGTTGAAGTCAACTTTAGTAGATAGTGCTAAATGATTTTCCAGTATGTTATGAAAATTTACACCCTCAAGTAAACCTCAAGGTTTCCTACTGATGCAAAACAAACTAAATCAAAATTTAGTGACTTGAACAATAGCCATTTTCCTATATATCATGGATGTCTGAGTCAGAAATTCAGACTACTTAATGGAAGTATTTGTGAGAGATTGTAGAGTATAAGTCTGGCAAAGATTTTGGATTAGAAACTTTTTTTCACTTTTTAAACATTTTTTATTTTTGTGGGTAGATTTTTTTTTCTTTTAGGAGTTGGTTCAACTGTGGTCAGAGCTGATGAGCTAATCCTCAGAATTAAAAGGACTGGTAAAACTCCCGAGTAACTGGGACTACAGGCATGCGCCACCATGCCCGGCTGTTTTTTTTGTTTGTTTGTTTTGTTTTTTGTATTTTTAAATGTAGAGACGGGGTTTCACCATGTTAGGCAGGCTGGGACACTTTTATCATTATAAAAATATGGACCATACTTTCCTGTCTTTTCACATGTCTTATAATCTTTTGTTGAAAATCAGATATTTAAAATAAATGAAAATGAAAGGAGAAGATTCATTCTGTGAATAAATATTCTCTAGGAGAATTATCTAAGAGAAAGTTATTTCATGAAAGAATTTATGGTCTAGCCAGACGCGGTGGCTCACACCTGTAATCCCATCACTTTGGGAGGCTGAGGCCAGTGGATCACTTGAGGTCAGGAGTTTGAGACCAGCCTGGCCAACATGGTGAAATCCCCTCTCTACTAAAATACAAAAATTAGCTGGTCATGGTGGTGCACATCTATAATCCCAGCTACTCAGGAGGCTGAGGCAAGAGAATCACTTGAACCCAGGAGATGGAGGTTGCAGTGAGCCAAGATCGTGCCACTGCACTCCAGCCTGGGTAACAGAGTGAGACTCCATCTCAAAAAAAATAATAATAATTTATTGTCTAATATTAGGAGTTACATGTAAAAAGAATACCTAAAAGAACACCTCCAATTTTGTATCTTTCATGATGGAATTATGTGAGCATAAACATACAGAGGGGTCATGGAGGTGACAATCTATAGGTCACATCTGGCAGACTCCCAAATTAACTGCCTGGGGAAAGTCTATAAGTCTTTGTGGCCTACATCCTGTTCCCTGAGTAAAGAATCTTATCGTGAGTTCCTCCAACTGTTGACATACTGATTAATACATAACCTATTGACATTGCAAAGAACACTGATTTGTTTCTGAATCATGCAATTTTACTGCTTGTCCTGCACATAGAACATTTTAGCCTGTACGTTGTAATCTGTAGCCAATGATTGCAAACTCTTTATTGTAATCACCAATGAAAAAAGATAACTCCCATATAAGGAGTCCCTCTCCCTACTCCTGAACTTTCCCAGAAAAGCCTTTCAAGTTGTAGCTGACTCCGGAACACGGCCAACTTTGACAGTGTGCCTCCCCAAGTTGGTCCTTACATTTGACTTCCAATAAACCTTTATCAAATTATTTCTGCCTCAATCTCCTTAATTTTTGGTTGGCAGAGGCTTCTCTCCAGATCACCCCCCACCAAAAAAAAAAAAAAAAAAAAAAAAAAAAAAAAAAAATCCCAAGCATACACTGGAAATAAAGGTGAACAAGGAAGTTTCCAGAGCCTTATTTTCTAAACACGGAACTTCTAGCTTAGCACATTTTTGCGTTTGAAAGTTGTTTTGATTGTCAAGACAGATGAAAGCATAAACTTATTTATGAGATAAGACTTCAAGCGTAGGCGGTACTGACATCATAAATGGGTTTAATGCCATATTAAGTAAGTTGAAATTAGTTCTGGGACAATGGAGAACTGTTTTAAATAACATAGAGATATAATTTGGTTTATGACCAAATCAAGATGTAGAATATTCTTGAATCAAGAAGTTCCCTCATGCCCATTTACAGTCAATTATCTCCCCTGACCCCATGCCCCCAACTACAGACCTGACTTCTGTCACTATAGTTTTTCCTTATCCAGAATTTCACATAAATAGAACTATGTATAGTATGCAGTCACTCTACTTAGCAAGATGTTTTATGTTTATGTAGTCATTTCTTTTGTTGCTGAGTAGTATTCCACTGTGTAGATTTACAACTGTTGATATACTTACCAATCGATAGACATTTGGATGGTTTTCAGTTTTGACCTATAATGAATATTTACTTACGAGTCTTTGTGCAAACATAGATTTCCACTTGTCTTAGGTAAATACACCGGTGTAAAATTTATGGGTCATAGTACAAGTGTATGCTTAACTTCGTATGATATGTCAAACTGTTTCTCAAAGATGCTGTCCTATTTTGCTATCCCATTAGCGATATAAGAATTCCTGTTGCTCCACATCTGTGTGAATGCTTGATTTTGTCACTCTTTGATCTGTCATTTCAATGTGTGATGTCTCATGTTGGTTTTTCTTTCAAGGAAATATGATTTACTAACATATTTTAACAAGTAGTGTGTATAGAAAATAACCAACACGTTTTTGTATCTATAAATTATATTCAAAAATGCCCCAACATGTTCCAAATGTTTTTTAAAAAGTTTTATTGAGATATAATTCATATACCATACGATTTACCCATTTAAAATATACAATCCAATAATTTTAAGTGGATTCACAGAGTTGTACAACTATCAGCACACAATCAATTTTAGAACATCACCCTTAAAAGAAACTCACACTCATTAGCAGAAATTCTCTATTTTCCCCCAACCCCTTAACCCTAGCAAACTACTAATCTACTCTGTTTCTATAGATTTGCCTATTCTGGACATTTCATATAAATGGAGTCACACAATGTGTGGTCTTTAAAGCTGACTTCTTTCCCTTATCATATGTTTTCAAGATTCATCCAAGTCATAGCATGAATCATTATTTCATTCCTTTACTTGCCAAATAACATCTCATTGTATGGATATCCATATACAATGAGATATTTGGCAAGTAAAGGAATGAAATAATGATACATGCCAAACATCTCATTGTATAGATATGCCACATTTAATTTTTATCCAGTCATCAGTTGAGCATTTGGGTTGTTCCCAGTTTTTGGTTTTTATAAATAATGTTCCTATGAACATTTATCTATAATTTTTTGTGGGACATATGTTTTCATTTCTCTTGAGTATATGTTACACTTTGTTTAAACATTTGAGAAACTGCAAAACTGTTACCCAAAGCAGCTGTATCATTTTACATTCCCACCAGCAATGCTTGAGGGTTCCAATTTCTCCACTTCCTTATCAATACTTATGTGTCTTCTTTTTATATAGCCATCCTAGACAGTTTATAGTGGCATCTCATTGTGGTTTGCATTTGCAATCCCCGAATGGTTACTGATTTTTAGCAATTTTTATGTATATATTGGCCATTTATATATCTTCTTTGGATAAATGTCTATACAGATCCTTCACCCATTTTAGAAATTAGGTTGTCTTTTTGAGTCATAAGAGTGTTTTTTTTTAATATATTCTGAATACAAGTTCCTTATCAGGTATAGAATTTGCAAATATTTTATCCCAATCTGTAGGTTGTCTTTTTACTTTCTTGATAGTTTCCTGTGAAAACACAAAAAGATGTTAATTTCAATGGAATTCAATTTATATTTTTTTTTCTTTTGTCACTTGAGCTTCTGGTATCATGTCTAAGAAATCTTTACCTAACCCAAGGTTAGGAAGATTTACTTCTAGATTTACTTTCAAGAGTTTTACAGTTTTAGCTCTTACATTTAAGTCTGATCCATTTTGAGTTCATTTTGTGTGCAATGTGAGGAAGAAGTCCAACTTCATTCATTTGCATGTAGATATCCAGTTGTACCAGCACCATTTGTTGAAAAGACTATTCTTTCCTCATTGAGTGAATTTGACACCCGTGTTGAAAGTCAATTTGCCATAAATGTAAAGGTTTATTTCTGGACTGTCAATTCTATTCCTTTGAATTGTATGTCCAGTCTTATGCCAGCACCACATAGTGTTGATTACCATAGATTTTTAGTAAGTTTTGAAGTCAGGAAAGAGGAGTAATCCACTTTTGTTCTATTTGGTTTTTTTTTTTTTTTTTTTTTTTGTGAGACAGAGTCTCGATCTGTCGCCCAGGCTGGAGTGCAGTGGCCCCATCTCAGCTCACTGCAACCTCTGCCTCCCAGGTTCAAGCGATTCTCCTGCCTCAGCCTCCCAAGTAGCTGGGACTACAGGTGCGTGCCACCATGCCCAGCTAATTTTTTGTATTTTTAGTAGAGATGGGGTTTCACCGTGTTAGCCAGGATGGTCTCAATCTCTTGACCTCATGTCCGCCCACCTCGGCCTCCCAAGGTGCTGGGATTACAGGCATGAGCCACTGCGCTAGGCCTACTTTTGTTCTTTTTCAAAATATTTTAAGTATTCTGGGTCCTTTGCACTCCACATAAATTTTAGAATTAGTTTGTCTATTGAATCTGTAAATCAACTTGGTCAGTATTGTCATCTTAACAGTATTAAGTATTCTGATCATAAGCATGGATGTCTTTCCATTTACTTAGCTCTTCCTTAATTTCTTTCAGCAATATTTTGTAATTTCCCAGAGTGTAATTTTTGCATGTTTCATTAAATTCATTCCTAAAAATTCATTTTGAACAAATAATTTTCTATTGCAAATGAAACAGTTTTCTTAATTTCATTTACAGGTTGTCCATTGGTACAACATAGAAATAAGTGATATTTGTAATTAACTTATAAATTCAATTATTAATTGATCCTCAACCTTGCTGAACTCATTTATAGTTCCAATAGGTTTTTAGTGAATTCATTAGGATTTTCTATATACAACATGTTATCTGAAAATATTGTTATTTTACTTCTTTCCAATCTCGATGCCGTCTGTTCTGTTTACTTGACTAACTTTCCTAGATGGAACTTCCAGCATAATGTTTAAAGGAAGTAGCAAGAGTAAACACCCTTATCTCATTCCTGAGCTTAGAGGGAAAACATTTAGTCTTTCTTCATTAGGTATCATGTAACCCTATTAGGTACTATCATGTAGTCTTACAGTGTAAACTATGTGTTTTTTGTAGATCCCCCTTATTAGCTAATGAAGTTCCCTTTTATTCCAAATTGTTGAGTGGGGTGTGTGTGTCTGTGTGTGTGTGTGTGTGTGTGTGTAAAATGAAGGGGTATTGGATTTTATCAAATGCTTTTTCTGCATCTATTGAGATTATAATATGGTTTTTCTCCTTTATTGGTATGAGGCATTATATAATTTGATTTTCATGTTAAACCAACCTTGTATTCCTGAGATAAATCCCTCCTGGTCATGATGTATAATCATTTTTCTATATTGCTTCACTCAGTTTCTAGTATTTTGTTTGCAAGTTTTGTGTCTATACTTGTAAGAGAAATTTCTCTGTAGCTTGTTTAGTTTTTTCATCTATGTCTTTGTCCAATTTTGGTACTAGGGTAATACTGGTCTCATAGAACAAGTTAGGAAGTACTCCCTCTTCTATTTTTCTGAAGAGTGTGTAAATAATTGATATTCTTTTGATACAGGCATAACTATTATGTACCCATAATTTAAAATTAAAAAATTAAAAATTTTAAAAAGAACTGGCATTCTTTAAAAATGTTTGGTAGAATTCACCATCTGGGCCTGGACTTTTTGTTGCAGGTAGCTTTTTGAGTACTAGCTCAATTTCTTTACTTGCTGCAAGTCTATCCATACTTTCTATTTCTTCTGAGTCAGATTTAATTTTTTGATTTGTAGCTTCCTGGGAATGTGTCAATTTCATCTAAGTTATCTAATTTGTTGCCATACAGTTGCTCATAGTATTCCTTTATATTTTGGTTTATTTTTTAAGATTAGCAAATAGCAATATCTCTTTCATTCCTGTTTTAGTAATTCAGGGGGTTTTGCTTTTGGTCAGTCTACCTACAGATTTGCTGATCAACAATTTTGTTGATCTTTTCAAAGAACCAACTTTCAGTTTCTTTTTTTTTTTCTTTCCTATTCTCAATTTCATAATTTCTGCTCTGATCTTTGTTTCCTCCCTTCAGGTTTAATTTGCTTTTTCTTTTCCAATGCTTTAAGAGAAAGGTTTGGGATAGGTTTTTTGTTTGGTTTGGTTTTTTGAGTCAGGGTCTCACTCTGTCACCGAGACTGGAGTGCAGTGGTGCAATCATGGCTCACTGCAGCCTCGAAATCCTGGGCTCAAGCAATCCTCCTACCTCTGCCTCCCAGGTAGCTGGGACTACAAGTGCATGCTACCATGCCTGGCTAATTTTTAAAATTTTTCAGAGAGACATGGTCTGGCTACACTGCATAGGCTGGTCTTGAACTGCTGGCTTCCAACAATCTTCCCACCTCAGCCTCCTAAACTTCTGGGATTACAGGCATGAGCCACTGCACCTGGTTTTTATTACTATTATTATTATTACTCATACTCTAGTAAGATGGCTTTTTTTCAGTTATAAATTCCCCTCTAAGCACTGCTTTAGCTGCACTTCATAAGTTTTGGAATTTTGTGTCATTTTCATTCATCTCAAAGTATTTTCTAATTTCTTTGGTGATTTCCTCTTTGTTCCCCTGGTTATTCAGAAGTGTGTACTTAATTTCCACGTTTATAAATTTCTCAGTTTCATTCACTTATTAATTTCTATTTTCAATTCATTGTGATTATAGAGTATATTTTCTACGGTTTCAATACTTTCACATTTTGATAGGAATTGCATTGAATCTGTAGATCAACTTGGGAGTTGTGGCTGGTTTTACGGCCCATGGACTGTTAATCCCTGCCCCAAGACACGTGATAACTATATGTCAATGTAAGTTCATCAATTGCAACAAACACACCACTGTGGTACAGGATGTTGATAGTGGGCGAGGTTGTGCATGTGTGAGGAAAGGGAGTATATGGAAATAAACCTCCCTTTTTGAAAGAAATATTCTAAAGGTGTTTTTCATACTTTTCTTCTTCCCTTACATTTTTTATTTCTGGAGAATAGTTCTCAACAATGTAAACCTTCATTTCAAAACTCTATTTCTAAAATTCCTGAAATGGCCAGAATAATTCAATGTCAAATTAGAAAGATCATATCAGCAAAGAATAAGCTAGAATCCAATACCTAGGAATCCAAATGAGAGAAAGCAGAAGTTACAAGTGCAAATAAATATACCATATTCCACACTCCATATTTGAAGAACTAACTTTTAAAAACCTGAACTCTCTCATTTTTTGACCAGAGGCAAAATTACCTACCCATATTCTCCTCTTCACTTAAAACTCAAATGTATTCCAGGTGCAGTGGCTCATGCCTGTAATCCAACACTTTGGGAGGCCAAGGCAGGTGTGTCACTTGAGCTCAGGAGTTCGAGACCAGCCTGGGCAATGAACATGGTGAAACCCCATGTCTACAAAAAATACAAGAATTAGCTGGGCACAGTGGTGTGCGCCTGTAGTCCCAGCTACTTAGGAGGCTGAAGCAGGAGAATCAATTGAGCCCAGGAGTTTGAGACTGCAGTGAGCCATGATCATGCCACTTTACTCCAACCTGGGCAACAGAGTGCGACCCTGTCTCAAAAACAAAACAAACAAACAAACAAAAAAAAGTGGTTCAGGCCTTAATCCCAACACTTAGGGAGGCCGAGACGGGTGGATCACCTGAGGTCAGGAGTTCGAGATCAGCCTGGCCAACATGGTGAAACCCCATCTCTACTAAAAATACAAAAAATTAGCTGGATGTGGTGATGGGCACCTGTAATCCCAGCTACTCGGGAGGCTGAGGCAGAAGAATCGCTTGAACCCAGGAGGCGTAGGTTGCAATGAGCTGAGATGGCACCACTGCACTCCAGCCTGGGCAACAGAGCGAGACTCTGCCTCAAAAAAAAAAAACCTTGTTTTTTTAAGATTTATCTAAAACATAATTCAAACAGGCATTACTTTTTAGAGAAGTTTCAGGTTCAAAGCAAGATTGAGAGGAAGGTACAGAGTTCTCATATGCCCCCTACCCTCACACATGCACAACCTTGCCCACTGTCAACATCTTGTACCATAGTGGTAAGTTGGTTGCAACTGATGAACTTACATTGACATACAGTTATCACCTGAAGTTCATAGTTCGCCTTCGGGCTCACTCCTGGTGGTGTACATTCTATAGGTTTGGGCAAATGTACGACGACATATATTCACAACCGTAGTATTATACGGAGTATTTTCACTGCCTTAGAAATCCTCTCTGCTCTATTTATTCACCCTTCCCTTCCCCCAACTCCTGTCAATCACAGATCTTTTTACGGTCTCCACAGCTTTGCCTTTTCCAGAATGTCATATAGTTGGAACCATACAGGATGTAACCTTTTCAGATTGACTTCTTTCACTAATATAAACGTATGTTTTCTCCATGTTTTTAATGGCTTGATAGCTCTTTTTAGCACTGAATAATATTCCATTTTCTGGATATATCAGTTTATTTTATACTTTACCATTCACCTACTGAAGGACATCTTGGTCGCTTCCAATTTTTGGCAATTATGGATAAAGCTGCTATAAATATCCACGTGCAGATTTTGCATCGACACAAGTTTTCAATTTGCCTGCATAAATACCAATGAGCACAATCCAATGGTAAGGGTACGTTTAGCTTTGTATAGCTTTTTAAAAACAACAAATATTCTCAAACTCTATGTCCAGTATGGTGGAGTAACTTCCCAGAAGACTGCCTTGCATATAGAAACTATAAACACTGCATTCAAAACAAAACAAAACAAAAAAAACCCAAACAATTTTCTTAAGGCTCTAGAGTCGGAGTCGGGTAGATTTCGGCGGAGAGCCAAAACATGGAAGGGGCCGGCAGGGGGTGAGTTTTGGGGCTTTGTGGCTTTGTCCTTAGGGTAAAGCACAGTCAGCGTGGCACAGAACGGTGGAAGCTCCCACTGAAAATCACCCTCTCTCCAGCCTGAGGCAGGCAGAGCCCACTACAAAGTAAGGGGAAAATCCTGGATATAAAACAGCAGAGAAGAAGAACCCAAGTTTCTGTGTGTAACTCTGCCCAAGTCTGTGACTAATCTCTGAATCACTTACGTTCACGGCAGACTGCAAAAAGCTCAGCCAAAAAAAAAAAAAAAAAAAAAAGAGCTGAACTGAGATCTGAGCCACCTACCAAAGGGGAGATAGTTGGCAGTTTGAGTTTAACCATGTTCACTGCCTGCTCAAATTGAAAAGCAGCTCTTTGGAGGAACAGTCCAGAGTCTCCACGACATAACATGCACAATGTCTAAGAATGTTGGGTTACAGTCCCAAAATACCGGATATACAAAGAACCAGGAAATGATGTTGGAGGCCTGGGGGAGGCAATCAAAAAAGACCAAAGCCAAGATGATCCAGATGTGTAAGTATCAAATAAGAACTCAAAAGCAACTATAATTATGCTTCATGATGTTTTTTAAAATGTGAGAAAGATTAGAAATTGAAAATTTTAAAAAGAACAAATGGAAACCTTAGAATGGAAAATTAAAATATCTGAAATAAAGACTCACTAGATGGGCTTTAATATCAGAATAGACATGGTAGAGTCAATAAATTTAAAGCGAATTTTTAAAAAATGACTAAGACCTGTGGAACAATATCAAAAGATCTAACATATGTTTAACTAGAGTTCTAGAAAGAGAGGAGAGAGGATGGCACAGGGAAAAAAACATGTGGGTAAATGGCCAAAACAAAACAAAATTCACAATTCAGTAAAATTCACACATTTAGAAATTCAAAAATCGAAGCAAAACTTGAGGATAAATATGAAGAAAAGCACACCTAGGTACATCATAGTCAAAGTGCTGAAATCCAAAAATAGGAAAAATCATGAAAGCAGACAGAAAAAAACTACACACCACATCTAGAGAGCAACAATTTGCTCTGAGAACCTCAGAAATCATAATGGAAACCCTGAAGGCCAAGAAACACTGGGGCATCTTTACAGTGCTAAAATAAAATAAATACTCAAAAATACTGATGTTCAGAAAAGATATTGTATTTGAAGACTGTTCTGGAATCAAAAGTAGCGTAAAAGAATTATACATCTAACCACTAATACCCAACATTGGTCTTAAGAGTACTCTTTTCAAGAATACCCAAACAAACACAGATGTTCCTATTACCTGTTTTCTCACTGTCCTTTATCTTTTTCATAAAGGTTTTTTCAATACTACTTGAATGTAAAAGAAATGTATCATTTTTAAAGGTAAACACTTAAAACTTTGAGAAACTATCGTTTGAAAGGCTGTTTCCAACTTTTGTAGCATTATGGTTCACTTAAAAAAAAAGTTACTCTAGCTCCCTGGCTCCCACCTGTAATCCCAACACTGTGGGAGGCTGAGGCACATGGATCACCTGAGGCCAGGAGTTTGAGACCAGCCTGGCCAATGAGGTGAAACCCCATCTCTACTAAAATGCAAAAATTAGCTGGGTATGTTGGCAGGCACCTGTAATCCCAGCTACTCAGGAGGCTGAGGCAGGAGAATCCCCTGAACCTGGGAGGCAGAGGTTGCAGTAAGCTAAGATCGCACCATTGCACTCCAGCCTGGATGACAGAGTGAGACTTCGCATTTTAAAAAAAAAAAAAAAAAAAAAAAGTTACTGTAGTAAGCTAATTTGGAACCTGCTTGAAAGGAAAAAGAAAAGCATACCAGGAGGGAACGGCATAGGCTTGTTGGCTGCTCCAGAGAATAAGCAAGGTAACTCACTTTCACAGTCTAAATATTAAGATACATGGCTATGAATGTAAAATGTCAGAGGTACAGGCATATCCTATACTGTAAACTGCCAAGCAAATACTTAGCCATCTTCCACAGTCTAAACATTTGCTTGGCAGTTTACAGTATAGGATGTGCCTGTACCTCTGACATTTTACATTCATAGCCATGTATCTTAATCTTGGTCAAAAGAACTGTCTGTTGTTTTTGTATGTTCCTTAGGGGTTACTTTTATGAGAAAATCAAATGTTTCCATGATACCTTTCCTCCAAGCATCTGACAGCAGTTGTTCAGGGAGTCTTCCTTTTGTTTCTGCTTTGTCTTGCAGCTCCTAAACACTTAAGCCAGCAATTTCTACTTACCGGAGTTAGCTCAGAATATGGCAGGCAGTTGGGTTTTTAATTGTTTTTTAAGTATAACTAGTCAATGCCTTGGCAGTTGAGCTATTTTCCTGGAGAATTAATAAAAATTAATGCACTACTTCAAAAGAACAGATCATGCAGCTTTTATTTGCCATTTAATATCTTCTTGGGCATGGATGGGATTTTCCTTTCAAATATCTATCAGACACTTAGCTAGCTGGGACATACTGCAGACGATTCTGTGAAAGTCACATATAAAATACAAAATTCTGTTACATATACATCCATTTAACAATAGTTTGTACATTACAATAAGGCCAATGTCAAAGTAACTCCCTGGACTTAACAAGCAGCATGAATATATTGTGGCAGCAGCAGGTAGAAATGCCCCATGAAGGGCAGACAGTGTGCGCGCAGTGCAGTTGCTACCAGAGCGAAGACCAACAAGGGCACATCTTTTTTCTTTTCTGTCTTGTTAGTAAGTACGCAGTAAAAGATGGAAGGGGGAAGCAATGGGAATGCGGTGGCAGTTTTGCTGTGCAGGTAGACTGTATTACAGGGAGGCACATGGAATTATAAATTCAACACAAACTTCATTAAGGAAACAGCTGCTCTTTATCACCAAAAAGACAATTATATACTACTTTGATGATTCTGATTTCCAACTTGCCACACTCTGGGTATCTCCTTTTCACATATCAGTACATTTAAGACGATACATCTTGTGAACTAATTCCAGGAATAAGGAATTCAGTAGTAGACCCTACCAATCAGTTGCTTGTATGACAGGTAACACTATTTCTAGGGAGAAAAGAATCAAAATCTGTTTGGGGGAGCTCTGGAAAACAAAGGCCGATGATATAAACTTGCGTGAGTCCTTCTGCCATTTGTTCACCAGCGAACATTCCACAATTACAAGCTCTGTTATTAACCCTTTTAAATAAATATAGGTACACATGCACACCAAAGATAAGGGGCATTGTGAGACAATAATTTAGCATTACTAGCTGTGTGAATGATTAGGCTGGTCAAGATGAAGGCATTAAGTGTACAAATTAGAAATGTGCTTAGAAAGCTAATGTACAGGAATTCAATAGCACGAAGCACAAAGGTTCGAGTGCCTCAGCACCATTCTTAGCACCAAGGGAAATTCCCAATATTAAAAAACAAAAAGCTTAAAAAGCGTAACATTTGACAAGGTGTTAACATTTGATATAGACTAAGAGCGTAATTCTTGCCTTTATAATCCTACTTTCTGAAAACATCCAACCTGCATTGTATTCTTGCCAAGGAAGAATATCCCAGGTACCATAAATGAAAGTCAGGGAGTACTTGGTGGAGGGGGAAATACTGATATGAAAAACACCAAGTCCTAAAAGACGCCATAAGCTTTCTAAAAAACATCCGAAGTTGATTTTTCCCCAAGCAATAGCCATTCTCAAATGAAAATCCGAGATAGATTCCTTAAAATTCATGATGCTACTAAAACTGACGTTCAGTATCAGCAAAGAGGATGTTTTTGTAATAAACACTTAAATTTTTATTTGTAAACTCCCTTTTCAATCAGAAACAAATCCCCAGCATATTCAGCCAAGTCTAGGTGCTATCTACGGCAGTGTTGTTTAAACTGTAAGTAGCAACCCCGTTGTGAGTCAGGAAATGAATTTAGAGAGTCTGAAGAGCATTAAATCAGGGGGCCGGGAGCAGACACTAAAGGGTATCACACAGTTATGTATTATTTCATGAAATGTTTTAAAGATTTTGTATTTAGGCATGCACATATATACACACACAAACACACATGTTCTGGGTCGTGATGTAAAAAGTTATTTTTATTATGACTTGCAGTCAAAAAAGTTTGAAATACATTGGTCAATAGAGACCACCAAAAATAATAAACATGGAGTTTCCACGAAAAATAATAAACATGGAGATTCCTGGTGTTAACGTCAATAAGGATGAGTACTGAATGTAAACCAGTCTTCTGCTCTGGAATCCAAGGTAAGCTACAGAGTTCTCAGTTTACCATCAACACTAAGGTTTTACTTGTTTTTCCTCTTACCCTACACTTTCAGGCAGGGGCATGGGCAACAGAAGGAAGGAGGAAAACCCCTAGTGGCAATGATTTACTTGGAGTGGTATCATGTTCTTTTGAGAAAAGGCATTTTTTAAAAGAGTAATTCCCAGGTGGCTAATTAAAAGGCTTTCCTTCTCCCCTATAAAGTCATACTGGTAGCATAAAAGTGAACAGAAATTTGTCATTACAGTTTTGACATTATAAATGGTCTAAACCACGGCAGTCTGCGATTTTGTTTCTGGTTTTGCAAAATATGCAGCCACAGACACAGATAGAATGTGTGATCTTGTCCTAATCTACTTTATCCACCTGTAAAAGGAAGACGATTGGAATTATCCGAAGGAGACTGACTCTGTCCTCTCCATCTGTAAAGATGCTAAACAATCATTTTCTCCAAATCAACCACCTAAACACATGACAAGACAATGTTTAGCTTCTGGCTTTCAGAAACCCAATGGTAAGGGTCAGTTTAGTTCTGGCACAAAGACTGCTGTGTGCCACCCTAAACGTACCTCATCTTGGAAGTTTCTTGGGTAAGCCGGGGTTAGCACTGATTTGGCAGATGGCCATAAAAGAAAGTATCCAGGGCCAGACATTAAACACCTGGGTTCTGACTTTGGCACAGGCCTCAGAAAGCCTCTGAGATGACACAGCTTCCTATTTCTTCAGGTGTAAGAGGGAGGTTAAAATAAGTTATTTATAGGGCCCCTTCCTGAAATAACTAATTTGAATGCAGTTCTAAGATTTTTATCCAGCTTGCTCTGCAACTCTGTCTATTAATTCCTTTAATAACAGCTTGAACTCTTTTAGTAACTATTTCTGCCAGTTTCCTTTACAACCACCCCTCAAACATCCAAGGTTCCATTAAGCTCACTCAGCCCAGATACTTTAAAAACATAAAGTAAAATAAAGCTAATAAGGAACAAAATTTAAGGCTTTTTCTTTTTATTTCAGCCAAGGAATGATGCATGCTACAGATTAATCTTTACTTTTTCCCACTTGGTTTTTCAAAGAACACCACCACTTCAACCCCCAATGAACATGGCACTTGTTTGTTTCTTCCCCTTCTAATTTATTCCAGATTTTCAAGTGTTTTCTTCAGTAACGCTGCTTTCTCCTGCAGTTCAGGTCTGCTGTCTGGCTCCATAGTAGCTAAAGACTCAATTAGGAGCACTCTGCATTCAGATGTCAAACATTCCCACTGTTTAGATTCTGCATGAAAAAAAAAAAACAAAAACAAAAAAAACAAAAAACAAAGCAAAAAGAAAAAACCCCAAAGAATCCTTATAGAACAAGCAAGAAAAAAATTTAAAAATATCCTATCCCCCAAATAAATGCAAAGCAACCTCTTGATAACAGATCAGTATATAATTATCATTACATACTGTCAATATGTGTCTCAAAACCTAATTCTTGACAGTAGCGTAGAGGCACATCAGGGAGTTTCCTCTCCTTCCCCCAGTATCAGTGGGAGTAAGAGAAATAATTACACTGAAGCATAGTAGGAAGAAGGAATTATCAGGGCAAGGCACACTGCAGCAAAAAAGTCATTTCAACAACACCATCGCAAGACCATTTCATAAGATACGGTCAGTTAAAAAAAAAAAACTTCTAAGAAATGTCATAATTGCAAGGTCAGATAAATAGATGACACTCCCTTTTCTTCGAGGAAAGCATCTGAGAACTACATGCACATTGAAATTTTTAGAAAATAAGAAAGTATATCAAATCTTAAATCTTGTTTACAAGGTTCTGTCACTTCCTAGCAATGTGGCTTCAGGCAAGTTTAGCTTGCCTTCAGCCTTATTTTCCTCATCTGGACTATATTAGTACATATCTGGCAAACTGAGAATTCGGTAATACGACTAAGTGCCTAGCTCTTTTATCTCAACAAGGAAAAAAGGGATTAGGAGATGTTTAGCGTTACTCAGTCTAAAAGTTCTGTTTGATGGAGCCCTAAGAGAGGTGTTTTAATTGCTAAGCAAAGATAGAGAAGTAGAAAGAGCAAATACACAAGGTTGCAGGAAAAACGTTTCCATCTTCTACATTCTTAATCCGTGAAAACAATTTGAGAGAGAGAGAGAAAAAAGAAGAGGGTCCTCCTTCTGAAGTCAGTAACAGATACACCACTGGAGAAAATGCTAACAGTTCCCCCCCACCCCACCCACTGATAGACCATTAGAAGAAAAAGAGGTTAGGGGAGAAGAAATAGGATTAAGAAAATTGCTACTGTCAGATTTGATGACTCAGGTAGATAACTGTTAAAAATGTTTTTCCAACTCCACTTTTCAGTGTGTCGTTCTGCTTATTTACATGTACACATGCCACTGTCAACCAATTCCTGTAATTAACCAAGATTAAATCAGGATTCACGATGAAAACAAAAACTTTATTACTTTAAGACAACTATAGCTTAATAATATATTAAAAATATATAAAAGTGTATCAAATTTAAATATTTAGTAAAATTTAATAGTTTTGGCTTTGTCCATTCTTCTTGCATGTGCATACATACTGATTTGTATTTCAGAGTATATGCTTAAGAGTATAAGCAAAAACGAAACAAAAAATTTCTAAAACATATGCCACATGGCTTTATGGTCCCCCAGTCAGAACTAACAACAACTTACCTTCAAGTTTTTTAAGCAGCAATTCTATCACAGATAAAGCTTCTGTTCTCACAGATGAGTAGGTCTTATTTTCTAAAAAGAAATATCATACAGTTCATATGGCCTGCCTGAAAAACACAACCTCCAAGATTAAATTTGTGTTGCTGAAAGAAAGATGTCCAGAAATTACAACTCTAGGGAAGGGTATATCTGATTTTTTTTTTTTAAAGGAAGCTTCCCTTTGCTAAGTATCAAATACTTGAAATGTGTGCTAATGTCCACAGTCTTTACTTTGGAAAAACAAAAACCTGTCAGCCAAGTATACCAATCACCACAACAAATGGCAATATTTAAATGATCCATTTTAGAAGTGGGAGATGAAAAAACTATCTCAAACACAAAATCATCTTCGTATCACGGATAAGAACGATCCTTAGGTCTACATGACCCTCCTCATTTTACCAAAGAACATTATATGACCCAGTGTTTAAGCCGATCAGGGACACCTGGAACTCAGCAAAGAGAGGTCTGTTGGCTGCCTGTTCTTTATCCATAAAAGGATGCTGCTGCCAACAACTGCGAATGAAACATGCTTCCTTGGCATCCACTCTTTGACACGGCGTCTGGTTCATGGTGAAATTGTCTACCAAAAAAATCAACACACAACCAAGCCCAAAGCAGGGTAGGCATGAGATGGGCCTTATCATCTTGTTATGCTACAAAGTACAAAAGTGCTACAAAGAGTGACGGTGACCTGTCAAAAGGACACAGGAGGCAGCTTGAAAGGGCTTCCACTGGCCAAATCTGGGACAACTGGAATAACGAATTAGATTTAAAAAATTAAATTATAAACCATTTGAAGGGGGAAAGATTCCATGAATCAATGCCAGTAACAGATAAATAAAAACATGGGCAGAAGAGAAGAATCTTGCTTACAACAGAATTCCAACTATCAAATGGTGAATGTGGACAAAGTGCTAGAGTTGCAAAATCATCTTAGTAAAAATTGGTTCAGGGAAGAATCATCAATGCATGCTAAATATAGAGAAGAAATTTTAAAGAAGAGAAACAAATTACTTGAATGATCTTAAGATCTGTTCCCACAGGCTACTTATTAGACACAAAAAGAAAACATAGTAACTATCCAGTAGAGAAAAACTGATAGTACCTTGACCAGGTAATCAAAATTAACATCACAAATGATGACAGATGGACACTGTGTGCCTCTTAATGTGAGGACACATCACTTATGTATGTATCCCAACTGGGAATTCACAACCTGGATATAATCATGAGAAAACATCAAACACCAAATGAGAAACATTCTGTTTTTTCAAAAAGGGAAGTCGGGGGGACTTTATTCTTCAAAATTGTCAATGTCCTAAGACAAAGAAAGGCTGACGAAGTATTCCAGATTGAAGGAGACTAAAAATATATG
The DNA here is from genome assembly GCF_000001405.40 of Homo sapiens. NCBI lineage: Eukaryota > Metazoa > Chordata > Mammalia > Primates > Hominidae > Homo > Homo sapiens. The sequence goes on from NC_000009.12 coordinate 111,365,005, forward strand.
ACAATAAAATTCAATAAATAATCCTGGAGGCCAAGGCGGGCAGATCACTTGAGGTCAGGAGTTCAAGACCAGCCTAGCCAACATGGTGAAACCCCGTCTCTACTAAAAATACAAAAATTAGCCAGGCATGATGGCACACACCTGTAATTCCAGTTACTTGGGAAACTGAGGCAGGAGAATCACTTAAACCCAGAAGGCAGAGTTGCAGTGAGCCAAGATCACGCCACTGCACTCCAGCCTGGGTGACAGAGCAAGACCCTGTCTCAAAAATAATAATAACCATTATCATCATCATCATCATCATCATCATCATCATCATCACCTGGACTGGATTCCCTAATGGAGGGGAGGGGGAAAAAATCCTATAAAGAACATTACTGGCTGGGTGTGGTGGCTCATGCCTATAACTCCAGTACTTTGGGAGGCCAAGGCAGGTGGACTGCTTGAGCTCAGGAGTTTTGAGACCAGCCTGGCCAACTTCGTGAAGCCCTGTCTCTACAAAAATACAAAAATCAGCTGGGCGTGACAGTACACACTTGTAATCCCAGCTACTTGGGAGACTGAGGCAGGAGGACTGCTTGAACCTGGAAGGTAGAGGTTGCAATGAGCTGAGATCACACCACTGCACTCCAACCTGAGTGACAGAGCGAGACTCCAACTCAAAAAAAATAAAAATAAAAATAAAGAACATTACCGAATCAACTGAACAAACTAGAATATGAACGATAAACATTTGATTTAAAAAACTGCATCCATGTTTACTACCTAAAGTTGACAACTGTACCGTGGCACACTAAATAATTGAGGAACAAGGGGGCCTGAAGTAAGCAACATACTTTCAAATGGTTCAGGAGAAAAACATGTATATAGAAGTCCAAATGACAAAGCAAATGGCACAAAATGTTAACAAATGATTCTGCATAAAGTGTATACATATTGCAGAGTATTACATGTACTGTCGTTGCAACCATTCTGTAAGTTTGAAATTACTTTCAAGTAACAATTTTGTAAAAATACTTGTCACGAAGGTTTTTCTAAACTAGATGCTAAAATCCTGTTATAGTTCCAGATTTAAATATTCCAGTTAAGGGGTACACATGGAGTATAATAAGTAGCAGAGTCCAGTAGCTATTTCAGAAATTTAGTTCCTAAGACAAAGTAGGAAATATTTGAAGCTCAGCTCCTTAGCTTTAAAATTAGGACTCCCTCATCAGTTTTAGTTTACTACACTCACCTAAAGAATATGTGATTGATTTACAAGTTTCAAGCAGAATTTCAGCCAAAGCCTCAGGATCGGCATGTTCTTCTTCCAAAAGCATTAACCTATACAAATCAGAAAGCAAGGTACAAATGCCAATTATTAAGAAACAGTCTAAAACTTTCCTGTCACAATTTCTATCTGTATGTATCACTGTCACTTTAGCTACCAGTTTTTAAATGTATAAAAATTCCATTGATTATACATAAAATGCTGCGGGGAGGAACAAAATAAAAAACTGAGCCATGAAGCAATTTACCCCTGAAAAAAGGCATTCATTGATTGCAGGACTCCTAGCTGCACTTTCCACGTGCTGAGTTTTAGCCGTTCACACATCAGTTTGCACAGCTCCTGACGATAACAACCTGGGAAAAAAAGACAAGGTGGGACAGAGCAGGAGACAGTATAAAAGAACAAGAGATGGAATAAATGAGGGACAGGCAGAGAGAGCAAGAGAAAGGAAGAGGGAAAGAGAAAGAGAGAAGGTGGGGAGGATAAGAGAGAGAAAAGCAGGAAAAAGAGAAATAAAACAATAAATACTTTTAATTAAAGCCATTGAAATTTCCCCAAAAACTTCAGCATGACTTTGTACTCAATCCCCAAACAAATTTCCTTGATCAGAAACTGCCCCCACAAAGGTGCAATATAATTGTTCACAAATATTCACTTTCAAGGCATATGGTTCTCCATGGAACTGAGAAAGCACTTTAACCACACTCCCTTTGCCCCTCAAAACTCCCTGAATGACAGCCACAGAAAGAACTCTGGAGGCCAGAAGCTCCTCTCTAGATGCTCACAAGCTTCTGCAAATTGCAGGTTTACCAAGAGTCAACAGTGCTTTATTATAAACCTGTTATGCCAACTGCAACTGTAATTATAACTATATAATTAATATTATGCCAACTGATGAATCAGCAGAAAACTCAACAACGAAGTTATTTTTAATTACTGTAGGATTTAGTAGGGCTCAAACAAATGTAAAAATGGGGGGAGGCAATAAAAAATCTAGAATTCTGCACTAGGATTGTCTCATAAGAGCTTGAAATTTCTTTCTCTGTTTTAAAGAAACAAAACCCAGAAATTGTAGATATATATGAGAAGCCAATGTGTAACAGTTAAGTTCCTAAAGAAAAGGCCTTGGTTCTCAATAAATGCACATTTCTATTAACAACCTTCTATGTCTTATATTAAAATAAACTGCTTTATGTTTGTATCATCTTTCTCATATAATTCCCTACTTTAGCTTTCTCTACCTATCAAGGAAAAGTTAATACTCTTTATGGCATCATATTAGTGGACTTCCATGGCAGTCTATAACATAATATTAAGAAATAAAACCACCTGCAAATTTGTATCTTCTGGGAAACCCTTCCTATAAACATAGCAAATATATAAGTTCACACAAAGGATGACAGGGCTCAAAGAGAACCTTAACTGATTCTAGACATATCCAATCACAAATAATCAACAGTACTTTTTATAACATTCAATAATATTGTCGCTGGGCATGGAGGCTCATACCTATAATCCCAGCACTTTGAGAGGGAGGCCAAAGTGGGAGGATCACTTGAGCCCAGGAGTTTGAGACCAACCTGGGCAACATAGCAAGACCTCACCTCTTCAAAAAAAATTTGCTGGGTGTCGTGGCATGCACTTGTAGACCCAAATACTTGGGAGGCTGAGGCAGGAAGATCACTTGAGCCCAGGAGGTAAAGGCTGCAAGAACTGCACCACTGCACTCCAGCCTGGGCAACAAAGCAAGACCCTGTCTCAAAAAAAAAACAAACAAAAAAAAAACGAATACTAAGATCTTCAGCAGGATGCACTGTAGGACCCAACACAAGGCAAGCTTAAAGGGTAGCATCATCACTTCTTGGCCTTTTGGCTAAGATCAAGTGTAAAGGGTAGTATCATCCCAAGGTTAAGGCCCTGTCAGGGGACTCCAAACTAACTGCAACCTCATCCAATAATAGAGGTTTACTGTTCATTTAATCTTTGGGAAATACATGTCCAGTTCTGAAAATTGTCCAAATAGTAATGAGTTTTTCACTGAAACAGGGATTTCAGTTGCTTACTGAACACTTGGTAACAAGACCATTCATTTCAGGATAAAGAGACCCTGCTAATAAACTTTGTGCATTCCTCTGAATAGAGCTATGATCATCAAGAAGATCAGTAGAACTCGTCTATCAAACTATCTGCATAAAATGTATCATGGTTATTATAGGTGGAACTGTGCCCCCAAAATTCGTATGTTAAAATACTATCCCCCAGTACCTCAGAATTTGACTGTATTATTATTAAATAGAAGACAGAGCCTTTAAAGAGGTCATATGAGTGGGCCCTAATCCAGCGTGCCTGGTGTCCTTATAGGAAGAGGTGATTAGGGCACAGAGACACCAAAGACCACGTGAAGACACAGGGAGAAGACAGCCATTCCCAAGCCAAGGAGAGAGGTCTCAGGAGAAACTAACCCTGCTGACGCCTTGATCTCGAAATCTCAGACTTCTATCCTCCAGAATTGTGAGAAAATAAATTTCTGCTAAGCCACCCAGTCTGTGATACTTTCTTACAGCAGCCCTAGCTACAGCGGTACAATGATCAGTGAGATCACAGACTCATGTAGACAAAAAACTTTCACTGGATAATTCTCATTATTAATCAATCAGGCTCGATAAGAAACAATAACTATAATTTGTCATAGAGAAAATTCTTCGCTCTCATTAAGTAACCTCTGGTTACAGCACTTCAAATGCAGTTTCTGGTGCTTACGTTGGGTCTCCGCGTTTCGCGGCCAGGCTTTGCCCAGGCTTTCAAAGGCACCCAGCAGATATTCCAGCTGGAGCTCCTTTTCCTTTTCATTCTCCTCTTCATTTTTGGTTGTCCGGACCCCACTGCTTTCAAGTGAGTTCTAGGATATATCAAAGAAAAGAAAATGTAATATTTTCTTCTTCAAAGTTACAGGTATACTATTAAAGCTATCAGGGTACCAACCAAGGCAGGAGATATTAACCAAGAGTTAAATGATAAATTCTCTACCATAAGTTTCCCTATTTACAACAAGAATTTATAACCAGAATACTGTATCTCTAATAAATTTAGGCAATACTTTACAGGCATCTGTAAACAAAAGCTAAAAAATACTGCATATGTAGTCTTTTGAGCATAACATGAAAAGACTTGCATTAGAATCAGATTTTAAAGATGGAAGAAACTCAGTAATGATCTAAATCCAAACTCTTTCTTGATAGAGAAACAGAGGCTAAGAGAAGCAACTGGTCCAGCTTGCTAGTGATGTAATCAACTTAAAACACAAGTCTCCCAAATCCATATGCTATCACTATGTTTGTAATGGAAATTATTTAAATAGCCTTATTACTGAAAGAAAACAACTGCAATTTAGGAGCAATAAGAAATAAGAATGTTACTTAAAATATTTCATGTTTCACAAATAAACAGGGAAACCACACCCTTTTTTTTGGGGGGGGGACCAGTGCCCAACTTTTAAAAATGAGTATTCCATTTTCCACATGAAACTTGAGTCTTTTTTTGACCCAAATCCTCCACTATATGGCAGAGGCAATTCACATGGCACACTGAGCTTCTTGCCTTTACTCTAGGATGGCTGGGGTGGCTTAGCTTATTAGCCAAGGCAAAGCTTATTATGACATAAACTGTTCATTCACTACCAAATCCACTCTCCCCTTCTCCCATGGAGGGCAAATGGACACCCAGAATGAAGACTCAGTCTGCTGCCAGGTGTGGCTAAGTACTGACCAACAGGATGGCTATAAGTCAAAGTGCCATCTAGCGGTGCCCAGGAACTCTCCTCAAGAGAGACATGGCATGCCCACTGTATCCTTCATCCTTGCTTCATCTCCTCTGCATTCCTGCCTAGAACACAAACACACTGTGGACCATGAGGATGATGACCACACCCTAGAAATGGCAGAGTTCAGAGCTGTAAAGAGACGGAATACCTGAACACTTTGTGATGCTCCCAACGCTTTGTGAGAAACATAGCATTGACTATCTTGTTTAAGGCCGTATTTTGGAATTTCTCTGCTACTTGCAGCTAAACTAATCCTAATAATCAGGACATAGGGGAAAACAATTTTTTAACTTTTTCTTTTTAAAGTATAAACCAGAACTGAGGATACAGGTGGTATTACCTTCTTGATGAGAGGTATGACAATGTTAGAGAACTCCTGGAATCTGTCCTCTTTGGTGGCCTTCAAGATATCAGCTGCACAGCTGATTGCTACAATCTTGTATTTGACATTCTCTTTGCTACATTCCTTCAGAACAGCTTGAAGAATTTCATTTGTGCTGGGTTGATTGGGCACAGACTTTTCCAGCTCTGCACTACAGGGTCCATACAAAAGCATCAGAAGTTAATAAAGGCTGCAGTTTTCGGGTCCAGTTTAAGAAATGGCATCTTCATTGAAAGAACATTTACCTGCAAGCTGTCACCACACAGGCAATGGCTTTCAATAGCTCCTCCTAAGGGGTTGAAAGATGAGGAAATACTATTAAGCCCAAACATGTCATTTACACTGTCTAAACCATGATTACAATTACCTTAGGAATTTTTGATAACTATGACAACAAAAATTAACAACAGTCACCTTATCTTTAATGCATAATTTTAAGCACATCCACCAAGTTTTACTCCAAACCATGGATGTAGGATAATTATCTTCACCTCCATTTCATAGAAGCCTAAAGAACTGATTCGACCCAGGTCTCACAGAAAACAGTGTCAACCACAGAATTGGAATGATGTCTGACTCCCAGTCCGGTACTACTTCATTCCTGCATGGGCCACTATTGACCTTTACAACATAAAGATCATTAGGTTACCACAATCTCATGTTCCCCACTGAGTGTTCACTGTTAAGAATCCTACTAAAGCTCTTGTGTAAAAAAATAACTGTTACTAATTCATAGGTCCCAGAGATGGGCATCTTCAGCCCCAGGTTTAGAGGCAGGCTACCTTGCTACTCTATTTCACATATGCCCAATCCTGATCTTTCTATGCCCAATCCTGATCTGTTCATGAGGTCAACAGGTACAAAATGCTGACAAGTTGGTTTAAGACGTAACTTGGAAGGCTGAATATGGAAAATGTATCTATCTCCAGCATTACTGTCCATTATGCAAGGCCACACGGGTTGCAGTTTGAGAGGAAATACCACAGTTAATCAGGCAAGGTTTACCCAAAGCTTCCACTGTCTAGGAAATCTAGTTCACAAAAATAATCCATTGGAAAAGTTACACAAAACCAGATCGTTACTATTATGCAAAATGAAAGATGAAGTCAGAATCCCTTTAACTGGGTATGAATGGTTCCTTTACCTTTCCTGCCCACGTTCTTCCAGCCAGGCCTTGCAGCAATGCGGTCAGTATCATTCCGAGATATGGAGGTACTAGAGAGCTAGTCTGTTTTGCAATTGATGCCATGGCAATTGCACCCTGGGCTTTCATTTTCCAGGACTGAGACTGCAAAGCCTTCTGGGTAATAGTAATTAACTCCTGCAGGTATAATCGAATGCCACCAAAGGATCCTAGGAAAGCAAAATTAAAACAACTTTTAAGTGACAAGAAAAATTAACTGATTTTTCTAAACCTGAAAAAAAGTCAGTGACCAACAGTCTAAAAGCAGTGACTCTCAACTGTTAAAACACACCACTCTCTCAAAGGGAGAGAAAGTGTGTTGGTGTTGTGACTTATTCTCACAATAGTAGAACTTTACGAACTTGGGTGCCCACAGGAACGTATCACACAAATGGGCATCATCAATTAATATGCGACAAGGTGAAAAACACATTTAGAAAACTACTCTAAAATACTCTAAGGCCACATAAAATCACACTCTTAATTAAAAATGTAAAGCTCTCCTTGCTCACAGGGTTTATATTCTCTCATGTGGGCAGTGATGAATGAGTAAAGACAAAAATCCTGAGTGCCAACCTTGAGAACTCAGCAATTTGGATGGGTTCAAAACTAAATGGGATGAGCAATTTGGATGGGTTTAAAACTAAATGGGATGCATATTAAGGTCCTGGGAAAGTAACTTCAGAGGAGTTTATGAATAACGAATGCAAGTAAAAAATTCTAGCTGTGATTCCTAAGAAGCAGGTTTAACTCAGGCCACACTACTAACCAGGTACGTTTTCCTGCCACACTTCGGTCCATAAATTACATTCTTCTTTTTCGGATTTCTCCTCATCAGCAATTTCATGCATGCCTAAAAATGCCAGAGGCAGGACTTCTTTTGCATGATTCTTTAATACATCAGGGCTGTATCGTCCAATAGCATGAATAGTCAAAGCACAAGAGGTCTTGTAGATAGGTTCTGAAAAGGAGAAACCAAAATCTTTACGATATTTATTGTTTTTAAGGGTAACTGATCTAAACAGGCTATTGTTCAACTCATATAATAGCAAAACAAACAGGTAAAATCAATTAGAAATGTTTCTAGCAGGCTGGGTTGTGGTGGCTTACACCTGTAATCCCAGCACTTTGAGAGGCCAAGGTGAGCAGATAGCTTGAGCTCGGGAGTTTAAGACCAGCCTGGGCAACATGGCGAAACCCCACCTATACAAAAAATACAAAAATTAACCAGGCGTGGTGGCACGTGCCTGTAGTTCCAGCTACTCAGGAGGCTGAGACACAAGAATCGCTTGAGCCCAGGAGGCTGAGGTTGCAGTGAGCTGAGATAGCACCACTGCACTCCAACCTCAGCGACAAAGCCAGACACCATCTCAAAAAAAAAGAAAAGAAAAGAAACAAATGTTTCTAGCAAATCACATAAAATCATGGAGGGTAAGACCTAATTTGTACTGTTTTACTGGGCTGTTAACATCTAAATTTAAAATGACATAAAATAGAAAAAGAAAGGTACCTTCTTTCTCCATATACCACCCATTGAGCTTCTGCAGGAGTTTTTCAGTGCTGCTATCCCGTGAGGTCTGAAAAAGAAACAATCCTAAGTATTTCTTTATAACTGTCAAAGAGTTTTATTTAACTAAGCAAGAAATTTAACTCACCCGAACTAAATGGCCCATAGCAAATGCACAAGATTTCTGAATCACACTGTTCCGATCTGTCAGGCCACTCAGCAAAGCACTCATAAGTTTACCTACCAGAAATAAAGAGAAAAAAATCTGATACTTGGTTGACCAAATGTTCCACTCTGTTCCCAGAACCCAAACAAACCTAACCCTGTAATTAACATCTGATTTACTCCACAGTAGTTTAGATTTCTGGATGTTATATTTATATATCCATTTGCTTCCTTTTACATGATATAAAGTTAAAATTAAACTAGAATATCGTGGAAAAAGATGCAAAATAAGAACGAGGTATATAAAGAACACTAGTCCAGTCTAGAAGCCAATCTAAGAAGAGAAAAATGCTGATGTAAAATCAGCTATCAATGGTAAGTCCTGTGGAAAAGAGGATACTTTTACCTCCTTATACCACTAAGGAATAATCAAATGTTTATGAACAGTGAAAAGCTGCTAAACTTGATAAACTCTGCACCTCCTGCAGACAAAGAAATGAAGGAGTCAGGGGACTGAGGGGAGAAAAGGCACACAGCATCACAAGCAGGTCTGAATGATAAGTATTTTTCCTTTTTAAAACTCTGTCACACAAGACAGGGCTGTGCAAAAATATCACCACACATCCCTTGACAAACTCACCTGAGTAAGGTGTTAGGTCCTGAGGACACTGAGTAGTTAATGACACAATGACACTGGCACAGCCACCCTACAGGGTTACAAAAGCAAAGGTCTAAATCTGATGGTCACAATGTTCTACCTACCAAACCATTGGCTTAGGTGCCAAAAATTTAAACATATAAAATACATGAAGCCTAATACCCCCTCCAGGACTCAATATAGAAAAAGGCAAACTCTTAAACTAGTAATGCAGCGATTTTTTTTAAACCTCCAAGAGAAAGATGGGTGATCTCAGACATTGTGAAAAAGAAAGAAAACTGGTACAATCTTCTGGAAAAGCAAAATATGTCATCTTGTCCATCACTGTGCTAACATTTCCATTTCCAGAAATTTAACCAAATATCTTCAGGTGTGCCTGAAGACACTCATCACAGTGCTTTACTATTTTTTTCAAAAACTGAAAACAAATCAGATGTTCCTTGATGGAGTAAAATAAATGATGTTACATCCATACAGTGGAGTATCATACGGCCATTAGAAGAGGACACTGCAGAAGATACATGTGCAGAAAAGACTGGAAGGAAACACTTCAAAATATTAACAGCAGTTATCTCTGTATGGCAAAATTCTGGACAATTTTTATTTTAACTTTCTCCTAATCTATAAATGCTAAAATTTTAAAATACCAGCAAGTGTTAATTTTGTCATAAGAAAAAATGTGAGTTATTAATTTGTTGTTAAAAGGGTGGTAGGGGGGTGTCTGATCCTTCAAAGATCTTGAAAACTAGGACATTTTTCTATTCAAACACTGCTGACCCCTCTGTGAAAAATGCAATTGCCACCTAAAACAATCCATGCCCTAATAACTGGATGTGCATTTCCATGAACTGCTAATGAATGACAACCCAGAGGGTATGTACACGGCAACCAGAGAACAGAAATGATTCCACTAAATAAGTTAATACTTACTGGAACAGTTAGATGTTTTATTTCTTGAACCAGTTACATGTTTTCAGTTATCAGTGCAACCACAGAAATAAAATGGTTAGTGTATAATATTAGATTTTGTGGTAAAACATGAATTTCAAACATGATGGCTGTTATATCCTTATGGCCAGAACTAATGAAGATGCACATTTCCTCTTGTGGAAAGTACACTTACCTTAGTTCCAAGACCTACACCACTTCTGATCAGTTCACACAACCTAGGAACTAGCTCGCCCAGCACTGACACATCAAGGTATTGCAGGCACTTTTGAAAAAGGACAAATATAAAGGTAAGCCTTGGCAAATAAGTCAGGACCACATCTTCAATTAAAAACTGCCCTTGTCAAACGTGTACCAACTGGATTTGACATGAAGTTGAAAAATCACTGCTTGCTTCTGCTCTGATTTCAATATTAAAACCACTATTGTACTACAAACAGAAAAATTATTCATCAGTGATTCAACACTAAAAACAAACAAAAAAATGAAAAACATCAATTTGCTAAAAAAGAAAAATAATGATTACTCAAGAATGAAGAATCTTTCTGGGCCTACTTCCTCTTTATCAATCCATGTTTAGTATAAAAAACCTAAACTAAATATTGATCTTCTACAGTGGGCCTACCCTACCAAACCCCCTCTAATGAGTCAACTTCTTAGATGACTTTTCCTATAAATTGCTGGCCTTTATTTTTGAAAATGCAATTAACATGTTTTCTATTACTAATGAATATAACTAAATGGTATTCACTAACTATTCCTATTTCTTTAAATTTTTATTTCCCCCCAATAATCCAACTAAGACATAACATTCTTAGACCAAATTTTGGTAATACTCCCCCAGCAGGCACTAAAAAATAGCTACTTCTCTTCACCAGTTTAACATAGTTTTTTGTACACTTCAGTTTTTTTAGGGGTTGGATCTATACCTTCAGAGTCCTGCTAAAGGTACAGATCTGCTTAGCAAACTAATTTCCAGTAAACACAATCATAGCTAACTAACCATTACAGGGAATGCACAACAGAGTAACTTTACCAAGACTCCAGGAAGTTTAGAAATCAGAACCTCAGAATGCCAAGCAGCCCTTTACTGCAAATGCCTTCCTATGACTAAAACAACATATCGACATTGCCCAATCTCTTCACATACCTTTATGTTACCTACTTCATTAAATACCTCCACAGCTTATAACTTTCCTAGTTCCTCCCAAAGATAACTATTAGGCACAGGCACAACTCTGAACCTTTCTAAATAGGCAGATCAAAAGACTACAGATGTAAATTTATAGAGAGCTCTTGATATGTTGTTGTCTCTTGTAATACAAATTTGGACCAACTGTTTCTGGTATTTGGGGAATTATTTATTCCACTTAGTAACAGAGAAGAAAAGAGAAATATACTAAGAAAAAACTGGAGTCACAACAGCTGCTTGACTCATCCCATAAGTCTCTGCTTCATTTAACATAGCCTGAAGACTTTGAAGAATTACACTTTCAGGTAAGCAAACAAACCCTCTCATTATTATTTAAGACACTCACCATGTTGATTGTTTCCATCATTGGAGAAGATTTGGCAGCACTAAGCCGAGCACTATCCATCGCAGCCTAAAGAAGAGAAATTAAAGTCACCCGGCACATTCAATTAATTAGGAATAATCCGCACAAACACCCATAAAAGACTTTCACTTCCAAGCTAAAGAACTTTAAAAAAAAATAATCCGTAGCTATAACAAAGGCAAACATCAAGTCTAACTCTAATTTCTTTTGACCTACACTCAACAATTTACCAGGGGAACCAGCACCACACTACAGGTGAGAAATTCAGATAACAGTTAAGAAATCAGCATAGTATGGCTCTGGGCAAGTCATCCAGCCTTCTTGAGCCTGAGGTTCTCCATCCACTAAATAAAGGAACTGACTAAACAAATTTCTAAGGTTTTTAAAATTGTGTCTAAGCAGTAGAAAATTTTATACGTGCAGTTCTTTAACTTTGTAATTACCCTTCGTATCTATGAAGGTATTTTAATCTAACAACTGTGCTGAAGGAGAGGTTAACACTATCCAGATATGATAAGGGAGAAAAGTAAGGCATACACAAGTGACTTGCCTAGGGCTACAAAGTTTAGACTAGAATTTATGTTTCCAAATTCTCAATGCTTAGTAAACATCCTATGGGCACCCAGGAAGGTGCAAGTCTACTGCTGAAAGAGGGAAAAATAATGAATGAAGAAGAAACAGCAATATTAGAGGCAAAGGGTAAAGAGAGTAAGTTATTAGAGAAGTTTAGGCAAGTTAAAGATCAAATAGTGAACAGAGGAAACATGTTGTATATAACAGGGTTTAACAGTTCTAATAAAAATATATAAATTAAAAAAACAGTCAAATAGAAAAATAGACATGGAACATAAACACAATCACAGAAGAAATATAAACGACTAATACAATATTGAAAAGGCAATGGACAATGCTAGGAAAAGAGTGCAAATCAGAAAAATGAGATTCTTGTTATCACACATACGTTATTCAACAGTGCCAAAGGTACGGAGAAAAAAAGAACACTTAAAACCTTTGATGTTGCAAAACCTCTCCATCAAAAATTCAAAATCACCTCACTGTAGAACACTATACATACATTAAAAAGAATAAGTGTATATATAGACACGATATACTGTTAATTTAAAAAACAAATCACAGAACAACATTCACGGTCTGATACTATTTTTAAATTAGTATGTTTGTTTGGTTTGGTAGCCTATGACTAAAAAGGAATTTGAGAGAAGGCACAGGAAACTTTTGACAGCAGGTGCTCCTCAGGGAATGATACTGTGGTGATTGGGAGACCTTCTATGGGATTACTTTCTATCCTTCTGTATTAACTTTTCACAATAAATATGTTTCATCTGAAGTTTTAAAAAATGACTCTGATCAGGCTGGGTGCGGTGGCTCACGCCTGTAATCCCAGCACTTTGGGAGGCTGAGGCGGGTGGATCACGAGGTCAGGAGATCAAGACCATCCTGGCTAACATGGTGAAACCCTGTCTCTACTAAAAATACAAAAAATCAGCTGGGTGTGGTGGCGCTCACCTGTAATCTCAGCTACTCGGGATGCTGAGGCAGGAGAATCGCTTGAACCTGGCAGGCAGAGGTTGCAGTGAGCCGAGATGGTGCCACTGCACTCCAGCCTGGGTGACAGAGTGATGCTCCGTCTCCAAAAAAATAAAAATAAAAATAAAAATAAAAATGACCCTGATCAGAGACCAGGTGACTCCATTACACCTAAAAAGCAGAACAATTTTGAGATATGCCAAAGTCTAGGTGCAAATACTCTTTGCTTACAGGGCGAGGGAGCCCATGGAAGGACTCTGAAGGTATAGATCCAAGCCCTAACAAAATTGAAATATACAAAAAACTATGTTAAACAAATGTTAATTCATTTTTTAGATGGAAGTGTCAGTTTTCATCCAATTCACAAGACAGTGTATGAGCTGACAACCTCTCTCCAAAAAAACAGTAAAACACTGCATGTGGTGACAGAGGGTGAGTTCTGGTAACAGTAGTGACAGTGTCATTCAAATGAACCTTGGTATCTTAACAGGGCTCTTCCCTCATGATACTTACCAATATGCCTGCGCTATCCACTCACCTTTTCTTGCTCTGTCGCCCGGAGGCTCAAATAATTGAGAACTTGGGGCTCCAATACACTTAAGGACTCTAGCAGAGCTGGAATGAGTTTTGGTGCATGCGGTTTCAACATGGCTCCTGCACTTTTGCTGATCTTCACAAGGGTGTTAATGCTACAAACATATGGAACACAACTCCTGAGTCCTTTTAACAAAAGTGAGAAGACCTACAAATCTAACCATGAGGATGTTCTGCAGTTCACTGCATTAAAGCATATTTTCACATGGTTGCAGAGCCTGGTCTGGGCATTACTTTTTTTAACTTTTATTAAAGAAACCTTGAAGCATATATAGAGGTAGGTAGAATGATAAATGAAGTAGGAAAAGCCTACCTTCATTAATAGTAGGAATGAAGTTCCATGTATTTATTTATAGTAGGAATTTATATTTATAGTGAAATTTTATGGTAGGAATTTATAGTAGGCATGAAATTCCATGTATTCTCCACCCAGTTCAACAATTAGCAACATTTGACCAATTTTGTTTCATTTATACCTCCTCCATACATACAGCCGCTATTCCCCCCTGCCACTGTATTACAGTCATGTGCTGCATGAGACATTTCAGTCAACAACAACAGACCACAATGTCCAGCAGTAGTCCCATAAGATCATACAAGAATACCTTGGGGATACTGCAGGTTCTGTTCCAGACCACCATAATAAAGAAAGCCACATGAATTTTCTAGTTTACCAGTGCATATAGAAGTTTTGTTTACACTATATTGTAGTCTATTAAGTGTGCAATAGCATTATGTCTAAAATAAAGTACATTAGTTAACTTTAAAATATCTTAATGCTACTGATCATCTCAGCTTTCAGCGAGTCATTATCTTTTTGCTGGTGGAGGGTCCTACCTCAATGGTGATGCCTACTGACTAATCAGGGTGGTGTTTGCTGAATGCTGGCGTGGCTGTCGTAATTTCTTAAAATAAGTCAACAATGAAGTTCGCTGCATCAATCAACTCCTCCTTTCACAAAATAATTCTTTGTAGCATGAGATGCAGTTTGATAGCATTTTGCCCACATTAGAACGTCTTTCAAAGTTAGAGTCAATCCTCTCCAACCCTGTTGTTGCTTTATCAACTAAGTTTATGAAATATTCTAAATCCTTTGTGGTCATTTTAACAATGTTCACAGAATCTTCACCAGGAGTAGCTTGCATCTCATGAAACCACTTTCTTTGCTCATCGATAAGAAGCAACTCCTCTTCTGTTCAAGTTTCATCAGGAGATTGCAACAATTCAGTCACGTCTTCAGGCCCCACTTACGATTTCCACCACATATGCAGTGACTTTCTCCAATGACATCTTGAACCCCTCAAAGTCATCCATGAAAGTTGGAATCAACTTCTTCCAAACTATTAATGACATTTTGACCTCCTCCCATGAATCATGAATGTTCTTAACAGCACCTACAATGGTAAGCCCTTTCCAGAAGGTTTTCAATTTACTTTGCCCAGATCCATCAAAGGAATCACTATCAATGGCAGCTCTAGCCTTACAAAATATACTTCTTGAATAGTAAGACTTGAAAGTTGAAATTACACCTTGATCCATGGGCTTCAGAATGGATGTTGTGTTATGCTAACAGCCATGAAAACATTCATTTCCTTGTACCTCTCTATCAGAGCTTTTGGGTGACCAGGCACACTGTCAATGAGCAGTAATACTTTGAAAGGAATCTTTGGGGTTTTTTTTGGTTTGGTTTTTGTTTTGTTGTTATTTTTTTGTTTGTTTGTTTTTTGTTTTTGTTTTTTTAGCAGTAGGCCTCAACAGTGGACTTAAAATACTCAGTAAACCATGCTGTTAACAGATAAGCTGTCATCCAGACTTTGTTGTTCCATTTCTAGAGCACAGAGCAGATTTAGCAGAATTCTTAAGGCTTTAGGATTTTCAGAATGGTAAATGAGCACTGGCTTCAACTTAGTCACCAGCTGCATTGGCCCCTAACAAGACAGTCAGCCTGGCCTTTGAAGCGTTGCAGCCGGGCACTGACTTCTCTCTAGCTAGGAAAATCCTACATGGTATCTTTTGCCAACAAAAGGCTATTTCATCTCCATTGAAAATCTGTTGTTGAGTGTAGACACCTTTATCAGTGATCTTAGCTAGATCTTCTGGATAACCTGCTGCAGCTTCTGTATCAGCAACTGCTGCTTCACCTTGCATCTTTATGTTATGAAGACAGCTTCTTTCCTTAAACCTCATGAGCCAACCTCTGCTAGCTTCCAACTTTTCTTCTGCAGCTTCCTTACTTCTCTTAGACTTCACAGAATTGAAGAGAGTTAGGGCCTTGCTCTGGATTAGGCTTTGGCTGAAGGGAATTTTGTGGCTGATTTGATCTTCTATCCAGAATATTCAAACTTTCTCCCTGTTAGCAAAAGGCTGTTTTGCTTTCTTATCATTTGTGTGTTGGCTAACATAGCACTTTAAACTTCGTTTAAGAACATTTCCTTTACATTCACAACTTGGCTGTTTGGCACAAGAGGCCTAGCTTTCAGCCTATCTCAGCTTTCATGACATCCCTTCCTCACTAAGCTTAATCATTTCTAGCTTTCTATTTAAAGTAAGAGACAGGCAACTCTTCCCTTCATTTAGACAGAGGGCATTGTGGGGTTATTAATTAGCCTAATTCCAATATTGTTGTGTCTCAGGGAATGAGACATTTGAGAAGAGGGAGAGAGATGGGGAACAGCTGTTCAGTGGAGCAATCAGGACACACACAACACTGACCAATTAAGTTCACCATCTTAAATGGGTGTAGTTCATACAACTCCAAAACAATTACAAAATAACATCAAAGATCACTGATCACAGATCACCAAAACAGATATAATAGTAATGCAAAGTATGAAATACCGTGAGAATTACCAAAATATGACATAGAGATATGAAGTGAACAGATTTGTGGCAACCCTGCATCAAGCAATCTAACTGCACCATTTTTCCAACTTCATGTTAATGTGTGCACAACCATGAAATCACCTAACGACACATTTCTCAGAAATATCCTTGTCACTAAGTGACGTGTGACTGCATTTGAAAGCATATCCCTTAACTAAACTTCACTATGAATATCTAAAAGCAAAGGCTCTTTATCATAATCATAATACCATTTTCACACTTTAAAAATATTAATGATTTTTTCATATCAAGTATCCAAATTTCTCTGTTTCATTAGCTTCTTAAACAGTTGGCATGTTTGAATCAGGATCCAAGCTCACTCACACATTGCAATCTACTGCATTTCTTAAATCTTTTTTAACAGTCTCCACTCTCCTCTTTTTTTCTTCTTCGTCCTCTTTGATTGTATTCCAGTCATGTCATTTAACATGTTCCTCTTTCCCCTGCACAGATCTACAGGCTAAACTGAGTTCACGTTCAATTTTGTAAAACACACACACACACACACACACACACACACACAAAGAATCCTTCCTAGGCAATGCTGTGTGTCCTATTCCTCCTATTCCATCACATCACCATGCACTGGTTGTCTTTTTGTGCTATAAGGAGTGATTGGTAGGTTCAGGTCTGGTTGCCCTGAATCATTATAAAGTTCTCTTCAGCCATTCACCCAGTGGATTTAGGGGCATCTAATGATCACTACTTAGATTATTTTACTGAGGAGAGCAAAAAGTGATACTTTTTTTTTTTTTTTTTTTTTGAGACAGAGTTTCGTTCTTGTTGTCCAGGCTGGAGTGCAATGGCGCAATCTGGGCTCACCGCAACCTCCGCCTCCTGGGTTCAAGCGACTCTCCTGCCTCAGCCTCCCAAGTAGCTGGGATTACAGGCATGCACCACCACACCCGGCTAATTTTTTTTGTATTTTTAGTAGAGATGGGGTTTCTCCATGTTGGCCAGGTTGGTCTCAAACTCCCAACCTCAAGTGATCCGCCCACCTCGGCCTCCCAAAGTGCTGGGATTACAGGCACCAGCCACCAGGCCCAGCCAAAGTGACACTCTTAATTGCGTCATGCCTTTGCATTTGTTAGGTGAGTCCTTCTAAAAAAAAAACTCTTTCATCAACTATCTACTTGCCATGAAATACCACTGGCAGTATTATTAATAATTTGTTCTACTCTTAAGAGTGAAATAACAATGGAACAGATAAAGTTCCTAGACAGCACTGTACTTTAAAAACAAACAAAACATACAAACTAGAATCCTACACTATTGGTTTTAACTTAAAGTAGTCATATATTATATCAAAACGTGTAAGTACATTTTTTGAATATTTCATCGTTGCAGGTGGTAAACAGCTTCTCTTAAATCTAATAATCTGTGAAATATTACTAAATATTATAATGAACAAACATGCTCCTGAGGACCTACAGTGTAACAGGAAGACGTGCTTGTTGGGAGCAGAGGCTGATGACAACAGAACAACACGCTTGACTCAGAATGCTAGGCAAAAATAAGGTCTCATGAGAATGTTTCTGTGAAAATATTGTGACTCACAAGTTTTCACAAATGACCCAAGGGTCATTCTCCTAAACCTCTTTCTCCATATTTTCCAGAATCTAACCTTGAAAGAAACACAATTTCTAGGAACTGAGCAAATCCAATACATTCATTTCATCAACGGATGCACACCTGAGGGCTCGAACTTCCGTCACGGTGCTCATCATTCCTTTGTCCAGAAGGCAAGGCAGAAGGGCAGCGATGGTTCTCTGGCCAGCTGCTCCTTTGGCAGGGTCACACATTTTCACACAGACCTCACATACAAAGAGCATGGACGTTAGTGAAAGTGACCGCGCATCCAATAAAGAATTCATCTGACAAAAGACTTTCTACTTCACATATCTACAGGGAAGAATAAGTGAATCTACTTTCTCTGACACTACAGAGACACAGAGGAATGAGATCGGAGATTGAGTCCTAGGTCTGCCAAGAACTAAACAGAAAATTTGGTAATGCATTTCACTCTCTAAGCACTGGTCCTCCAATTTGTGAAATACAGAACAAAACAGATGATGATCAAACCAGGAAATATGTAAGAAAGCACTTTAAAAAAGGTTTAGGGCTGGGTGCAGTAGCCGGCGCCTATAAAGCCAGCACTTTGGGAGGCCGAGGCAGGCGGATTGCTTGAGCCCAGGAGTTTGAGACCAGCCTGGGCAACATGAAGAGACCCTGTCTCTACAAAAAGTATGAAAAATTAGCCAGGCATGGTGGCATACACCTGTGGTCCCAGCTCTCCAGGAGGCTGAGGTGGGAGGATCTCCTGACCCCGGCAGGTCGAGACTACAGTGAGTCGTGATCACGCCACTGCATTCCAGCCTGGGTGACAGAGTAAGACCTTGTCTCAAAAAAAAATTAAAATAAAAAATTAAATAAAGAAGTTTTGAAGTGTTATCATCATCATCATCATCATCATCATCAATAACGCTGGGTCACAGCACAATATAGTGGTCAAGATCACATGTGAAACAGGAAAACACCTGTATTTAAAACCTGGTTTTACTATTTATGTGACCTATGGCAAGGTTTGTGCAACTAGAATGTAAAGTTCCTGATATATCACAAAATCAAGTTCAAGTGGGAGATAATTTAGTTTCAAAAAGCTTTCCAACCTCACAAATATGAAAGGTAGCTTTATATATAAACACAGCAAAAGCAAGAGAAAAGACAGGTGTTGCTTGATCTGAGTGATGTGCTCTTCAGGGTTAAGTCGAAGTTTTATCTTAATTTCACCATTTAAAGAGACCACAGTATACTCTGTTCAACACACTAGTACTGCAGTGTTTACAGCACTCACTTTCTCATTCATTCTAAGAGCAGTGAACTACAACATGAAGCCAATTATACTGCAACTAAATGTCTTTTCCTATGACAGTAAGTAAATCATTGTCATGGTCACCCAGAACCCTGCTCCACTCCATTCCCAATGTAAGACGGGGTTTTCACCTTGCTCAGAGTTTTCAGAGCTAGTTCTGCCGCTTTTCGTACAGATTCCTAAAAATGACAAAAGTGTGACATCATACAAGTTAGAGAGTTTCACTATCATCTACTCTACAATTTGCAATTTAATTGCCTCAGGCCCTACAGAGATTTGGTGGAAAATCTTACATTTCATATCATGTTAAAAAAATTGGTATCTCATCAGACTCTCTGCCCATCAAGGAACACATTACCATGCCATACTATTAATTTTTAAACATTAACTGTAACCTATTTTGACCTTAAAAAATTTAGCTATTAACAGTTGAGAAACTAAATGTATTATAAAAGTAAATACATAAAGATCTATGTGAGAATTCTGAAACACTTAAAAGCCTCCAATAAATAAAGCAAAAAGAAAGGTAAAACTGAAGTGCCTAATTTTAATGGTAAAATACCAAAATACCTAAAATTAAGATTGCCCAAGAAAAATTCAGAGGAATTGGCCACATTACTTGAGAATAATTAATCCCATTTACAGAACTGATCAAAATACTGTTACTATGTCCAAAACTGTTATTTGTCCCTAATCCAATAGAATCATGAGATCTCTATTGAAAGAAGGTATACAGCCACCTTTTTTTTCCCTAAGTCTATTTAATTTAGATCTAAGGATACCCAACCTTGCAACTTCACAGACACATTAAGACTGAAACTTTGGGGGAAAACGTTGGTCTCTTAAAATTATCTGGAAATGGAATTTTGACATACACAACATAAATATTTTAATAATTCCAATTTAACTTTTTGTATATATAAATGCTGATTTATTTCTATAATACCTTGATATCATCTTGTACTCTAAAAAGCGTTTCCCAAATTTCTGGAAGTTTATCAATGATGTCATCTAAGGGTCTTCCTCTCAATAAATCATTCAAAGCTAAACAGCTGAAAATCAAAATTTCATTTCAATATATGATGAAAAAGGTCAGTATTTTACTATGAAACATTTATACTAAAAAAGAATACAGATTCTGCCTCTAATTCGAGTTCTCATCCCCTCACCCCAAAACAGCAATGACTTCTCTCCAGGTCCCTCAAATATACCATATATATATGTAATTTACAATTATAAAATGCTTGTTTCCCACAACTATAATACAATCCCTTTGAGATGACACATCGTTTTTTATTCACCAGTGTGCCTCCAAGGCCTAGCACACTGCCACATACACACTGGGCACCGAATGAATCTAACTTGTATACAGAAATGCTATACTATAAAGTCATGACAATACAAAATACATCTTGGTGTCTACCAATTTAACAGGTAATCTTCAACTTCTTTGATTTCATACTTACATAAACTATGACAATTTAGGAAAATCATTGACCAAAGCTTAAACAGTTAAAGAAAAATAACTAATGTAGCCAACAAGAAATATGCTTTTTGGTAGTTTTTTGTTTTGCTTTGTTTTGAGACAGAGTCTCATCTCATTCTGTCGCCCAGGCTGGAGTTCAATGGCACAATCTCGGCTCACTGCAACCTCTGCCCCCTGGCTGGGTTCAAGCGATTCTCCTGCCTCAGCCTCCCATGTAGCTGGGACTACATGCACATGCCACTGGGCCCAGCTGATTTTTGTATTTTTAGTAGAGACGGGGTTTCACCATGTTGCCCACGCTGGTCTTGAACTCCTCACCTCAGGTGATCCACCCACCTCAGCCTCCCCATGTGCTGGGATCACAGGTGTGAGCCACCACGCCCGGCCAGCTTTTTAGTAGTTTTAATTTATTCCTTTTGCACAAAGTATAAAACCTAGAAATTTTGAAGGGAAAAAAATTCAGTTTTATTTGACTAAACTTATATTCCTAAAAACGGTACCTGGATTCTCGAACTCGCCACATATTGCTTGTAAGGTTCTTAACCAAATCTTGAAGAATTTCTTTCAAATATTTATCCACCTAATGAAAGCAAAAGGATAAAATTTAAAATGCAAAATCCATCAATAATCAAATTACTCAACTCTTAACCACACTGGTTAACCACACTTAACCACACTGACCATGTTTCTATATTTTACGGCCTCCATGTCTCTCTAGGCCACTCAGCCCACAAATCTCTTCCCACTTTGGTCACTATAAAGCTGCCAGGTGATCATTCTAAAATGTACATTTGATGCTTTTATTTTCCTCAGTGCATGAGAATGAAGTCCATTCACCCAGGCATGCACACAAAGCCTTCCATGACTCATCCAGACCCAAAAGTACCATATTCTGTCTCACCTCCATTCCTTGGCACATGCCACCTCTCCCTACAATCCCCTTCCCAGGTCCTACTTGCTTGGCTAACTCCTACTTGTCCTTCAAGGTTCATATTAGCCATCCTTTCCCAGAGAAGATTAGCTTGGGTACTCTCCTCTCTGTTCCCATAGCACCTTCTGAAGAAGCATCACACAAAATCATACAATAACTGTACTATTTCACTATACTGCAGACCCTCAAGGGGGTCGGGTGCAGTTATTGTACAGGACAGTGCAGTTACTGAAGGACAGAGTCTCACTCATCGTCAGTGCAGTTATTGAGGGACACAGTCTCACTCATCATCAGTGCAGTTACTGAGGGACAGAGTCTCACTCATCATCAGTGCAGTTATTGAGGGACAGAGTCTCACTCATCATCAGTGCAGTTATTGAGGGACAGTGTCTCACTCATCATCAGTGCAGTTACTGAGGGACAGAGTCTCACTCAACATCAGTGCAGTTACTGAGAGACAGTGTCTCACTCATCATCAGTGCAGTTATTGAGGGACAGAGTCTCACTCATCGTCAGTGCAGTTATTGAGGGACAGAGTCTCACTCATCGTCAGTGCAGTTATTGAGGGACAGAGTCTCACTCATCGTCAGTGCAGTTACTGAGAGACAGTGTCTCACTCATCGTCAGTGCAGTTATTGAGGGACAGTGTCTCGCTCATCGTCAGTGCAGTTATTGAGGAACAGAGTCTCACTCATCATCAGTGCAGTTATTGAGGGACAGAGTCTCACTCATCATCAGTGCAGTTACTGAGGGACACTGTCTCACTCACTGTCAGTGCAGTTACTGAGGGACACAGTCTCACTCACCATCAGTGCAGTTACTGAGAGACAGTGTCTCACTCATCATCAGTGCAGTTACTGAGGGACAGAGTCTCACTCATCGTCAGTGCAGTTACTGAGAGACAGTGTCTCACTCGTCAGTGCAGTTATTGAGGGACAGTGTCTCACTCATCGTCAGTGCAGTTATTGAGGGACAGAGTCTCACTCATCATCAGTGCAGTTATTGAGGGACAGAGTCTCACTCATCGTCAGTGCAGTTATTGAGGGACAGAGTCTCACTCATCAACAGTGCAGTTACTGAGGGACAGTGTCTCACTCATCATCAGTGCAGTTATTGAGGGACAGAGTCTCACTCATCTTTTTATCCCCAGTACCTTACCCAGTGCCTGGTTCATGACTGTTCAGAATGAAAGATGAGTTTTACTTTTTAAGCCTCTGTTCTGTTTTGATATACACTTAGCAACTTGGTAATAATGACAAAATAATGGTAGAATCAGTCTTATACCAATGCTGACATTCTCAAAAATTTACGGCTTTTCCACTTTTGTAGGTAGGAAAGGTTTTGTTATCCTTACTTACATGTAAGAAAACCAAGACAAAGAGGTAAATAACAAACTGATGTCTTCCTATGTCTGCTTCTCTCAACATTCTCCATGGATGATCTCATCCACACTTGTGGCTTAATCCTTTCACTTATAGAGATGACACTCACGTCTCAAGGGTCTAGGCTTGTGTCCTGAGCTCAGACCTACAAAGCCCACTGGCCTACTAGATCTTGGCTGACCCAAAAGTGCCACATGTTCTCCTGGAGCAAGCAAAACTCATTGAGTCTTCAAAGCTGAACCCTCAAGTACCTACCACCAAGAATAGAAACATATTCAGCCTAGTACCAGACAGGAGAGACAGGAAGGGGCCACATTACGGGCAGGGACTTGTAAGACATAGTAAGGATCATGGAATTTATTTAAAGTGAGCTGTAAAGCTACTAAAGGATTTTAACCCAAAATGGCACAATCTAACTTGCATTTTTAAAAATTACTTTTGCTACTATGTAGATAATTAAATGAAGAACGGCAAAGAGGAAAAAAAAAGATGATGATGACCTATTCATCAGTAAAGAATTAGGGAAAGAAGAGAGTAGATTCAAGGAATACTTTGGAAGCAGAATCAACAGAATTTGCTACTAGATTCAATTGGGGGTGGTGGTGAGACACAGATCAAAATAAAGTATGACACCAAGTTTTCTGGCTTGGGCAAATAGGTAAACAGTGAGAGTAGAGGGGGAAGGTTATTTTTTAAGTCCTGTTCTGGGCATGTTGGGTTTATGGTATTCTGAAACAACACTGAAGTGAAATTTTCAAGTAAACAGTTACATATGCATGTCTAAAGTGCAAGTGACATCTGGACCAAAAGTGTAAGGTTGGGAACTTTCACAATAAAGATGACATTTACATGCCTTGGAACTGATTGATATAGAGAAGGCTCAGAGAGCAAAAGATACTCAGAGACAAGCCCTGAGAAATCTTAATATCTAAAAGTGGGACAGAACATGATTAACAGCCAGATGAGAGGACACCAACAGAGAAAACAAAATGGCAATTGCCTGCTTCCTTGTCTGTCTCCCCAGCTAACTGAATTCATTGGAGATGGGACTATGACCCATTCTCCATTCCATCAACAGTCCCTATCCACATTTACTATTCCATTTGTGTGAATACATAATCATTTCCTTAACCATCTTCCCAGTGGACATTTATATTGTTTCCCTTTTGGAGATTTCAATAAATGTTGCCATACACATCTTTGATACCTTGAAAGAAGGAAGAAAGCATGGAATGAAAGACAATTTATTTGTTTAAACAAGTAAACATAAAAAGTAGAAAGGAAGATGGACACTGGGTTTAAATCCTATGCATGACCCTGGACAGTCTACAGTGTTTTCCTAACACAGGGGTTCACAGACACTTACCATGGATTTGTCAGTGACCAACGCATTCCAAATACTTGTCATGGCCTGTCGAATGCCAAGGTTGGGATCAAACTGGTAACGATAAAGTCGAGGAACTAGCTGAGGCAGAAAAGGAGCCAGCTGCTCTCCAGCTCTGGTAGCAATTACATTAAAACCAAAAGCAGCACCCTAAAAATAATAGGCTGAAGTGACTCAGATGCACCATTATAGTAAAATATTAACATAGCAAAAAATTCTCCCTCCAAACTTATGCCTAAATACAGCCTGATTTATTGGTCTTTCCAATCAACAGCATTTGTGGGGTTCAGCTTTCTCATCAGGCACAGACTTTCACAAAATGCACTACATACCATTTGCCACTGTCTGCCAATGTAGCATGTTTGGTTTGCATGAAAAAAATAAATAATTGTCCAGTGATAGCAACTTACCTTCCTAGAGTTCCACATTGCATGATGGTTGGCTAAATTCATAAATTTATACACCAGATCTGGCTGGCTAAGATCACTTGCCAGAGAACAAAGTTCCTTGTAAGTAGAAAGGCCCTGACTTGGAAACAAAGAAAAAGAGGTAGGCAATAATACACTTCTCTCTCTCCAGCCTAAAAAATTACATCATCAATATTACTAGGACATACTAAAATCAAATTTTCACTCAATTTCTAATACTGAGTTATCACCATGGAGACAGAACACAAGTTAGTAAGAATATAAAAAGTCACCTAATTCAACTATTAGCAATTCCTAAGCCCCTCTACATTGCTGCTGATAAATGACCTAAATGCACCTCTAAGTCCATAGCCACGGTCCACTCACCACCTGGAGATGCAACTCAATAATTCTTCATTATGTTATGCATAATCTCACGTGATCATAAGAGAGTCATTGGAAGACAACATCTGTCTTCCCTAAGTCTTTTCTAAGCTAGACCACCCTAATTCTGATTGAGTCTTGTTAACTTTCCTCTGAACAAATAATATTGGCTCAAATATCTAATTGTTTTGTTATTTTGTAAAATGTAAGCACTTTTTTAAAAACTTAGAAGGAGTCTACAAGGAGAGTTAAGTACAATGAAAACAACTTTTGATGTGATAACAGTGTACTGTGGGGGAACGTCAACGATGGAACAAACTGCAGCTTTCTCCTGCTGCAGACAACAATGAAGCAGGCTCGTGTGTGACACCACAGCAAGGCCCTGCAACCAGCAAAGATTTGCCTAACGATCCGTAGAAATAAAGCATGATAAAATAAAGGCGGTCAAGCTCAAGGAATTTATTTTAAATGCTAAAGTAGTGGCCTCTAAGATAAAGAATTACACCCACCCAAAACTAGCGGCAGTGGGTGCACCTAGCTATGCTTCCAGGTGTTCTGCAGGACTCAGCTGCCTGAGAGCTGACAGCTGTTGGCCTAGTCAGTCTCCCACAACTGCCCTGAGAGCCCAACATCATGGGCTCCCACGCAGCAGCCCACCACCAATGGCTGGTCACTGAGAGGACATAAAGGGCCAGGCTCCATGCCTCAAAGCAGAACAACTCCGAAAGGCCACCTGTGCCAGCTCAGAGCTCCTCAAGAGGCTGGTATCCACTGAAACGATGGTAGCAGTTCCGCCCCTCCCTCAGTCATAGGCCCTATCCTGCCTCCTCATCCCCCCAGAGTGACCCCTAGGGCACTCCCCAGTAAATTTCCCACACAGAAATCTAACTCAGAGTTTGTTTCCCAGGACACTCAATTTAAGACGTCAGCCTGCCAGGCACAGTGGCTCACGCCTGTAATCCCAGCACTTTGGGAGGCCGAGGTGGGTGGATCTCCTGAGGTCAGGAGTTTGACACCAGCCTGACCAACATAGTGAAACCCCGTCTCTACTAAAATACAAAAATTAGCCAGGCGTGGTGGCAGGTGCCTGTAATCTCAGTTACCTGGGAAGCTGAGGTAGGAGAATCTATCGCTTGAACCCAGGAGGCGGAGGTTGCAGTGAGCCGAGATTACTCCACTGCACTCCAGCCTAGGCAACAAAAGTGAGGCTCCATCTCAAAAAAAAAAAAAAAGACATCAGACTTTTTTCCATGTAAGTTTTCTTCTTCCACCAATAGATAACATTTCCTAAGAGGGTAGAAATCAACTTCATGACTGCTCTATTTACCAGACTAATAAATGCATATATATATTTAAAGATGTTTACCATTCAATGGATTTAGCATACTTACCCATCTGGTGTTTTGCCAAGAGCTCCCCCTTGAAATACCACTGTCTCTCCAGAAACTTCATGTTTAACTCTAAACCAAAACAATAATTTCAATAAGCTTCAAGCTTTTCATACCAACATTCAACTAGCCAATACGATTCATTTACAAAGTGATAAAACTTCCTATCAAGCATTTACTGTGTACAAGATATAAAAGTCCTTTCCGGCCGGGCGCGGTGGCTCACACCTATAATCCCAGCACTTTGGGAGGCCGAGGTGGGTGGATCACTAGGTCAGGAGTTCGAGGCTATTCTGACTAACATGGTGAAACGCCATCTCTACTAAAAATACAAAAAATTAGCCGGGCATGGTGGCACGCGCCTGTAGTCCCAGCTACTCGGGAGGCTGAGGCGGGAGAGTCACCTGAACCAGGGAGGCAGAGGTTGCAGTGAGCTGACATCGTGCCACTGCACTCCAGCCTGGGCAACAGAGCAAGACTACAACAACAACAACAAAAAACAGCCCTTTCCAACAGGCTGCAAATTTTATAAAATGAATTCAGAATGAACAAATTAACAGATGAAAAAGACATTTCACATAATTTCCACTGAATTAAATGTGGTAGCACATGAAAAACTATCCTTCCTACAAGGGAGGCAACATGAAGCAGCAATCCCTTACACAGATGATTTCCCCTCACACTCTTCACGGGTTAGACTATGAATGATATGCAAGCTTCTTCTCCGTATCTTAACTTCCATTTAGCCAACAGTAATTACGGCATTTTTCTAACCCAATACATTATCTGAGACCATTAAACTTTCGACGCTTGACCTAGTGGCATGCTCCTAAAGTTAACAGTATACCCTGGAATAATTGTGCTATCCACAGCACAACAATTATGGACTCGCAACTTAGAAAAGGCTTCATAAACCAAAACATGGAAAGCCGAATCTTCCTTCTCCAGCATCTTCTCACTATGTGTAGAGACTTCCTCTATGGGCTTGAATCTAAAATTTTCAAGTTCACCATACCTTTTGCCAGTCATAAGTGTTTCCACAAGTGTAGAAACCAATTCCTGTTGATCTTGTTCATTGCCTAGTTCATAAACCAACCCAAGGCCCTTTGATGCAACATCTTGGCTAAGTTCTACAAGAAAGTCAGACAAGATTGTATCACTTTAAAAAAAATTTTGTCTACTTGCTATGAAATCAAAATTTTTAAAGTTATGTTGACACTGACCCAAAATGATATCAAAGTAAAGATATAAAAACAGAATCAATATGCCTATTTTGTTAAAAATAATAATCATTTCAGGGGACATGGCACCACACAAGTTACTGTAAATGAGAACCACATTCACAGAAGATCCAGTTCACAAATCTAGACAATACTGATGGACCTATACAGTGTCACTGGACAGTGCAGCGACAGATTATCCATGGGCTGTAAGTCATACATCAGAGATAAAACAGCCTCACAAGATCTCAATACACTCAGACCTAACTTTTAAAAGTCAATGCAAGACCATATGTTTAAAACAAGTTATAAAACAAAGCTTAGTACTGAAAGATTTAACACATATACGTTCACTCTCTCCTAGCTTAAATCAGAGAGGAAAAGTAACCAGAGGCAGAAAAAAGCTATTAGGAGAGATACTAATGTTAAAGAAGGCCTCGGCTCCATTTTAAAATGCAGAGTTGAGGAACATGTTCTAATGTATAAACCAATAAATGAGAAAGAATCTAAGTTTCCTGTATCCTAACTAGAAATTTTGGTTTCTAAACATTAACATAATGCTTATCCTTACTACTAACAAATAAGGTTTAATAATTGTTTTAATCACACAGCTCAAGAAAGTTTTCTTTCATGTTCATTAATCCAGGTTTTTGAACATTTAAAATACAAGTTCAATTAAGTTTAGAAATCAAATATTAACAACCTACCATCATTTTCTGATAGAACTGAAACAAATGCACTTTGAATTTCTTTAAGATGAGACTGAAAGAAGAAAAAAGGCATTAGAACACTGAAACTCTACCTCTTTGAGAGAATAAGAGTCTTGCTCTCACCGTGTACAAAATTTGTAGTCTTATTATCCAAGCCAGTTACAATCGCTGTTTTGCTCTCATCTTTACAGGTGGCCCAAATCACCTGGAGCTGCACCACTTACACGTAGTCTAACACATGCAAGCTGACCACTGCCCCAACTGAGCCTTCCTATCTCAAGCACTTCTGACTTTATTCCTTCAAGGCTAGAATCATCTTCCAGCCTATATACATCAGGCCACCATCCTTCATTCCTTCATGTACAATGTATTTCAAAATACCTACTATTGGTTAATGACCTTCACCCTCATATGCTTTCCTTGCTACTTATAATACTGTGGTTTCCAACAGGGCTGACCACATACAGCATGGCTCACCTTCACTTCTTTGTGGGTACTTAGCTTCCTGACAAGGGAAAGGAGCCAGATGCAGGCTGCTTGCCTCACGTGTGGGTTGGGGCTGATGATATGTTTATTTAAAATCACATCCAACACCCATGGAACCACATCATTCACTTTGGCTCCTGGGGAAAAGCAAAGAAAAATAACAAAGAATTAAAATAACTCAACATAGTTTCCTGAAAAAATTAAATTCAAATCAACATTTACTCAACAGAACAATCCTATATAAAAATCTAAATGGCTAAGGTGTTTAAAGTTGCTGAAGGAATCAATAATTATCCACTCTAGAACCTAGTGTAAACAAAATTACATTTCAAAGGTACTCGAGTAACTTTTTAGTTCCTGAGAATGAAAACTTATCCCTAATCTCTCTAGTGTCAGCAATTTTTGTCTACTAGATGTTTCTCATCTTCCATCTAAAAACTAACAAACTTATTTTGCACTTACTTTCCTCCTCCAGCTACCATACTGTTTTTCTCCTTTCCTTTATTACTCCAGGGTTTCTCAACCTCAACACTACCGACATTGTGGCTGGATAATTCTTTATCATACAAAGCTGTGCTATACACTGCAGGATGTCTAGCAGCATCCTGTGCCTTCACCCACTAGAGACCAGTGGCACCCACCCTCCCCAGTGTCTAGACATTACCAAGTGTCTAGGGGGAAAAATCTCATTCCTCCAGTGACAAACCAATGATTTACATTAAGACCCTTCAAAATAGTTGTTTAAACTCATGTTCAAACTTTGCTCTTCTCTTTTTTGAGCCCACTCCAAATCAGCCTTTTACCTTCTCTTCTCCATAGAAATTAGTCATAGAAATCACGAATGACTTTCCTGTTGCTAAGTCCAATGATGGTTTCTCAATTCTCACTTTAGTCGATCTATTGGCAGTACATGACATGGTCAATTCCCCTCCGCCCCTTGTCCCTTCATAACTCCTCATTGATCACATTACTCCAGTTCTCAGAGTCAGAATCCCTTCTTTTAATTCCTGTAACCACAACTCTAGCTGCCAGCAGTTCTGCTATCTGGGCATCTACAATTATAAAACCAACAAGTCCTTACTAGATTCCCATAACATGCCCAGGATATTATGTAGAGATGTTAAGACGGCTAAGACCTGGGCCCTAACTGGCTTCTCAAATGCTGTTCATTCTACTCACAGCAAGATTGGTACACTGTAACCAACAATGACATCCAAAGGCTAAGAAGCACTCAGATGAGAATGACATAGAACACGCATGATCAAAATTCACGTCAGAGATTCATCATCCCTCCCTTCTCCACAATATTTTATGTTTTCCTTTCCCAAAACAGACAAAAATAGAACTTCAACATTTAATGGACAATTGGAGATTCCTTTGCATGAGTAAAAAGCCAAGCAGGATGCAATCTTCCAAGAAGAGTTTGAGGCAATACAAGAGTTCAGAGGATGAAGACTGGCACAGATGCCTCTCTACTAACCTCTACTTGCTTAAGTCACTAGGTAAAAAACCCATGGAGTCAAAAACATGCCTCTCACAGCAAACCCACTCCTCAGTGTGAGCCCTCCCTGTTGTCAAGCCTCTGTTACCACCTCTCACATGCAACCTGAAAATTCCCACTTCAGGTTTGGTTGTCTTCTTGTTAACAATGTTGCTTCCCTTCCTTACCTCCTTCCTTCTATACAAACTGCTCCTTGCCTTGCTTCATGTGTGTTCAAAGAAAAACCTCAAAGAACTGACTCTGATTCAGCTTCCGTCAATCCACAACTCTCATTACAGTGCAAGCAAAAGTGTGTTTTTCTATTTCCTTTAAATCTCTTTAGGGTGGCTAATGAAATAATAGGTGAACGCATTACCGTGGAGTTAAATGTTAACTGTAACACTAAGTGCAATAACTAAATTAATGCATTATTCATGATGGAACACAATATACAATAAAATTGTTACCATGAGAATACTCTCTTTTAATTTCCTCACTTGAGAGGATAAAATATAAAAATGTGGTGACTTTTCCTTCTGTTTAAATTTTTTTTTATTCTAGCTCAAATACTAAAATATATTTTCAATTCCAAATTCAAATCAAACCACAACAAACTTGAAATCATAATATATAAAACATAAAGTCAGAAACCACATGTTCCCTCAACTATATGCTGTCACTAAAAGCCAGTGTACCTAGAGCGCTAGCAGAAGGCACTGAGGCTTCATTATGTAATAAAGGATTAGAGGACACATCATCTGGAAACAACTATACCTTGAATTCTGAAACTGGCTAAATACATAAATCCTCGTGAAAAGAGCACAAGCTTCAAGGTAATCCAAAGCTGACTCCCCTGCTTGCTTGCCAAAGGGTCAGAAAAAGAAGTTAACTAATTTCATGCTGTCTGCTTTTTATTTTTTGAGACAGAGTCTTACTCTGTCGCCCAGGATAGAGTGCAGTGGCATAATCTCAGCTCACTTGCAACCTCCGCCTCCCAGGTTCAAGAAATTCTCAGGCCTCAGCCTCCCGAGTAGCTGGGATTACAGGCTTGTGCCACCACGCCCAGCTAAGTTTTGTATTTTTAGTAGAGATGGGGTTTCACCATGTTAGCCAGGCTGGTCTCTAACTCCTGACCTCAGGTGATTCGCTCACCTCGGCCTCCCAAAGTGCTGGGATTACAGGCACTCATGAGCCACTGTGCCCAGCCTCATGCTGTCTTCTTCACTCAACTATTTTTCTTGACTGAATGAAATTGGTAAAACAGATATAAATATTTGAAAACAGTAATATGGAATGTGTAATGTTTTTGCCTCAAATGTGATAAAGAGAACAAAAAAAGGTTACTTGATCATTATAAATCGATTAGCTGAATATTTGGTACCAGCAGGTGGAGTATATTCCTCTTCAGTCATTTGCCAGGCATCTCGGGCAGCCACAGAACTAGTTCCTATTGCAGCACTGGTAATGGCTTCGCCAATAGTGAACTGAAGTTCTATCTGCTTGGCCTGCAACGAAGGAAGTAAAAACCATGAATGAGAAAACACATTTCCCAAAAACATCCATTTCTACAGAAAGCCTGCTTAAAAGTGTGGTTCTGAGCATGTTTTGTTTTCACTCTTTGCCCTAGTTTGCTTTCGGCTAATTCAATGGCTCAAAGGCCAGGGATGGTGAGGGAGTGGAGGATATAAGAATCCCTTGAAGATATTTTTCAAAGTCTTTGCTGCCCTCCTCACCCTCAGTAGAGAACCACTAAGCAGTGATTTATGATCTCTGGAAGCATAATATGGTTCACCTAAGGAAGACAGAAAACCCCATCAACTTTGAAGCCATGTAAGTCTCAATATAAATTCTAGCTATCTCTCACCACCTATAAACCCTTATTTAAACTTCTATGAGCCTCAAAAACTTCATTTGTAAAAGGGGCATAATATCGTCATCCACAGCATTAGGCTTTAAGAATTAAATGAGGTTAATGTACATAAAACTATTATATAGGATGCTTGATTGTGGTTACTCCACAATAAATAGTAGCCATTATATTTTATTAACATTTATTTAACAATTATTTAACTCTTTGCACTCTTAAATTATATGATATCTTGATGTTACTTTTAAGTGGCTCAGAAAAAAGAGAATAATAAAGCATATGTGAAATGTTAAAATTTGGTAAATCTGGATAAAGGGCACACAGGAGTTCTTTACACTATTCTTACAGCTTCACTGTAAGTTTGAAAGCATTTCAAAAGTCAAACATTAGAAAATTCTATATAGTACCCACTCAAGTGTTTTAAAATTTTATTCAGAAATGTTGACATGATTCACTAGTAGGAGTCACTGACCCAACATGTAACTACCTAGACCTGCATTTTCCACTTTTTACTGTGAACCGGAAGAAATTTAGGAGGAAAAGGAGAAATAAGGGAATGAACAGACAGCATGTGAGGGCTATAAACACGCTACTCTTCAAAGCACAAAGACAACAGCTGAGACTTTCCTACGCCAATCAACAAACGCTCTAGTTGTGATGAGGCATCACGTACTAATGCCACAAGCTTCCTAGTCTGAGGAAAAAAGATTTAAAGGCTTTAGTCCTACAGCTTCCCTGGTTAAAAGCTTCTCTTGGCAACTTCAAGCTGAAAAAAGGTATTTCAACATAATCCTTATTAGGGGTTCATTTTATGTACCTGTACCTGTTTTTGCATGTTTCCTGTAGTTAATAACAACACAGCTGGCATGAAAAACAAAAACAAAACTCCACAGCTACATTTATGAATAATATACTATCTGGACATTGCTGTAAATAATCCAGAAATAAAGGGGGGTTCAATAGAGAAAATATGAACAGATACATGGGGATTCATTATATTATTATTCTATTTTTGTGTATGTTTGAAATTTCCTATAATAAAAAGTTACAAGAGGGAGCAGGCGGCAGGGCAAAGTGGCTGAACGGGGAGGTGGAAATGGTTAACAGGTACAAAAAAATAGTTAGAAAGAATGAATTCAGGCCAGGTGCAGTGGCTCACACCTGTAATCCCAACACTTTGGGAGGCCACGGTGGGCGGATCACCTGAGGTCAGGAGTTTAAGACCAGCCTGGCCAATATGGTGAAACCCCGTCTCTACTAAAAATAAAAAAATTAGCCGGGCATGGTGGTGTAAGCCTGTAATCCCAGCTATTTGGGAGGCTGAGGCAGGAGAATCGCTTGAACTCAGGAGGTGGAGGTTGCAGTGAGCTGAGATTGCACCATTGCACTCCAGCCTGGGCAACAGAGTGAGACTCCGTCTCAAAAAAAAAAAGAATGAATGAGACCTACTACTCTTTGATAGCAAACTAGTGTGGCTATAGTCAATAATAATTTAATTGTACATTTTAAAATAGCTAAAAGAATATAATAGGATTGTTTGCAACTCAAAAGAAATGCTTGAGGGGATGGATACCCTATTCTCCATGATGTGATTATTAAGCATTGCATGTCTGTATCAAAACACCTCATGTACCCCATAAATATATACACCCACCATGTACCTACAAAAACTTAAAATTGAGAAAAAAAAAGCCCAACAGAATCTCATCCCCTCCCCATCTAATGCAGGAACATCAAACTGAACTATCCACCAAAAAAGCACCTTCATAAAAACTAAATCAGGTGAGACATCACAGTACCTGGCTTCAGCATAATAACAAGAGGAGACTGACTGAATAGAGTGGGAAGTACACACTGCCTATACCACCCCTCCCCGAGTCCCAGGCAGCACAGCTTGGAAAGAGAACCTGTGTGCTTGGGTGAAGCAGAGCAAAATGAGTGTGATACTTCACATTGCAACTCAGTAACACCCGGTCACAGCATCAGGCAGAATTCTGCCAGTGCCCAAGGAGGGAGCACTTAGACCAAATCTGGGCCAGAGGGGAATCAGCTTCTTCACTGAGAGGAACCCAAGTCAGCTGACTAAAATGGCCTCAGGCCCACAAATAAATTTCACCAGCGGCTAGACCACACTTGGAGGGAGGAAAAGCAAAAATACAGAAGACTTTGTCTCGCAACCAGGCACCAGCCCACCCACAATAAAACAAAGGACCAGGCAGAGTCCGAAAGCCCCACTTCCAGGATGCTGCTGTGGAAGAGCACTTCTAGACCCACCCCAGGCAAGAAGGGAATCTGCTCATGTGGCATGAACAACCTAAGTCCCAAGTCCTGGTTGGCTCCAACACCTGCTGACTAAAGCAGCCTCATCTTTGAAAAAGCATCAGCGGCAGTCAGGTGGCCACAGGCCTTGGGTGAGCCCTGGTACTGTGCTGGTCTGGGAGGCCATGGGCTTTGGGTGTAACCCAGCATGGTGCTAGCTGCTGTGGCCACAGGAGTGCCCACATTACCCTCCCCTAACTTCAGGCAGCTTATTGTGGAGAGACACTCCCTCTACCTGGGGGAGAGAGAGGGAAGAGAGCAAGAAACTTTGCCTGGGAACCCAGAGAATGTTCCCTTATCTTCCCCAAGTCCATCAATGCTGGGTATCTAGGTATCTGTAAGAGTTGCAGCACACCTGGGCTTAGGGTGCCCTCTAGTGCTGAAACAACTGCAGTGACCACAGGCTTAGGGAACTCAACACTCAGTCATATTTGAATTCTTGGAAGGCCCTCTGAAGGACAGGTACAAACAAGGCCAGACTGTGAAGACTGGAATAAATATTTAACTCTTCAATGCCCAAACACTGACGAATGTTCACAAGCATCGAGGACATTTGAGAAAACATGTTCGAAAAAACATTCACCCTAAACAAACAGACTAAGCAGGCACCAGTGACCAATCCTGGAGTGGTGTAGATATGTGACCTCTCAGACAGGGAATTCAAGATAGCTGTTTTAAGAATGCTTAACAACTTCAAGAAAACATGGAGAAGGAATTCAGAAACTTATAAGAGAAATTTAGTAAAGAGATTAAAATGGGGGAAAAAAATCAAATCTTAGAGCTGAAAAATATAATGGATGACTGAAAAATGCTTCAGTGTGTCTCAACAGCAGAACTGATCAAGTAGAAGAAAGAATTAGTGAGCTCTGAGACAGGCTACTTGAAAACACACAGTCAGAGGAAAAAAATGCAGAAGAATGAGATACACTTACAAGATCTGGAAAACAGCTTCAAAGAGGCTAAGAGTTATTTGCCTTAAAGAGGAAACAGAGAAAGAAACAGGTTAGAAAGTTTATTCAAAGAAATAATCAAAAGAAAACTTTCAGAACCTAGAAAAAGATGAACACCCAGGTAAAAGAAGGTCAAAGAACACCAAGAAAATTCAATCCAATTAAGATTACCCCAAGGCATATAATAAACTCACAAAGGTCATGGATGAAGAGAGGATCCTCAAAGTACCAAGAGAAAAGAAGCAAGTAAGATATAAAGGAGCTCTGATACGTCTGGTGACAGAAACCTTACAGGCCAGGAGGGAGTGAAATAACATATTCAAAGTGCTAAAAGTAAGAAAGAAAGAAAGAAAAAAATCCTTGCAACTGAGAATACTGTACCCAGCAAAGCTATCCTTCAAATATCAGGGGAACCAGCCCCCAATATTTCAATGTAGGTTCTTTTCTATTTTCCCTAAGTGTCGGTTGGTCTGAGAAATAGAAAGAGTAAAAAGAGAGAAATTTTACAGCTGGGCCTGCGGGGGTGCCGTCACATATTGGTAGGACCGTGATGGCGACCTTGAGCCGCAAAACCAGCAAGTTTTTATTAGGGATTTTGAAAGGGGAGGGGGGTGTACAAACAGGGAGTAAGTCACAAAGATCACATGCTTCAAAGGGCAATAAAAGATCACAAGGCAAGGGCAAAATTAGAATTACTGATGAGGGTCTGTGTCCCGCTGTGCACACATTGTCTTGATAAACATTTTAGCAGGAAACAGGGTTTGAGAGCAGACAATTAGTCTGACTAGAATTCACCAGGCTGGAATTTCCCAATCCTAGCAAGCCTGAGGGCACTGCAGGAGACCAGGGCATATTTCAGTCCTTATCTCAACCACATAAGACAGACGCTCCCAGAGTAGCCATTCATAGACCTCCCGCCAGGAATGCATTCCTTCCCCAGGGTCTCAATTATTAATATTCCTTGCTGGGAAAAGAATTAAGTGATACTTCTCCTGCTCACACATCTGTCTACAGGCTTTCTGCAAGAAGAAAAATATGGCTCTATTCTGCCCGACCCTGCAGGCAGTCAGACCTTACGGTTATCTTTCCTTGTTCCCTGAAAATCACTGTTATTCTGTTCTTTTTCAGCGTGCACTGATTTCATATTGTTCAAACACACGTTTTACAAACAATTTATACAGTTAACACAATCATCACAGGGTCCTGACATACATCCTCAGCTTACAATGATGATGGGATTAAGAGATAAAGTAAAGACAGGCATAAGAAATTATAAGAGGATTGATTGAGGAAGTGATAAATGTCCATGAAATCTTCACAATTTATGTTCAGAGACTGCAGTAAAGACAGGCATAAGAAATTATAAAAGTATTAATTTTGGGAACTGGTAAGTGTTCATGAAATCTTCACAATTTATGTTCTTCTGCCACAGCTTCAGCCGGTCCCTCCACTTGGGGTCCCTGACTTCCCACAACATTCAAATATAAAGGATAAATGAAGACTTTCCTGGGTAAACAAAAGATGAGGGAATTCACTACCACCAGATGTGTCTTACAAAAAATGCTACAGTTCTTCAATCTGAAAGAAAAGAATTCTAGCATGCAACAAAAAATGTAAATACACAGACAAATTCAAAATACTCTAATACTTTATAGAGTATTCTAAAGATACTAAAGACACTCTAATACTGCATTTAAAGATACTCTAATATTGTGGAGTATTAAGAGTATCTTTGTATTAGAGTATCTTCAGTATCCTTATCTAATACTCCATAGAATCTTTAGTATGAAGACTAAAACATAAACTTTTCAAAAATAATGACCACAACAATTTGTTGAAAGACTGGCAATATAAAAAGATACAAGTTGAGAAAACAAAGAGCCAAAAAATGGGGGTACTGGAATTAAAACAGAGTTTTTAAGTTTTTTCTTTGCTTGTTTTTGTTCTTTTCTTGTGATCAAAGTGAAGTTGTCATCAAACTTGTTATATTTTCTGAACCCCTTAGGGAAACCACAACTCAAAAAAGTCTAAACAGATAAACTAAAAATAAAAAGTAAAACATACTATGAGAAAAAATCATTTATCCACAAAGGAAGACAGAAAGAAAAAAAGAGAGGACTTCCAAAACAACCAGAAAACAAAAAACAAACTGGCAGTAGTTAAGTCTTTACCTAACAATAATAAACTGACTGTTGATGGACTAACTTATCTGATTAAAAGATACAGAATGGCTCAATGAATAAGAAAACAAGACCAACTATATGCTGCCTACAAGAAATTCACTTTGGCTGGGCACGGTGGCTCACACCTGTAATCCTAACACTTTGGGAGGCCACAGTGGGCAGATCACTTGAGGTCAGGGGTTCAAGACCAGCCTGGCCAACATGGCAAAACCCCATCTCTACTGAAAAAAAAAAAAAAAAAAATTAGCTGGGCATGGTGGCTTGTGCCTGTAGGCCCAGCTACTTAGGAGGCTGAGG
Organism: Homo sapiens; assembly: GCF_000001405.40. Lineage (NCBI taxonomy): Eukaryota > Metazoa > Chordata > Mammalia > Primates > Hominidae > Homo > Homo sapiens. Next base: position 111,403,265 of record NC_000009.12, read on the forward strand.
CAGGAGAATCTCTTGAACCCAGGAGGTGGAGGCTGCACTGAGCTGAGATTGCTGCACTCCAGCCTGGACAATGGAGCGAGACTCCATCTCCGAAAGAAAAAAAAAAAGACTTCACCTATAAAGACACAAATAGATTGAAGGTAAAGGTATGAAAAAGATACTTCCATGCAAATGAAAACCAAAAAAGAATAGAAGTAACTATACTTGCATCAGATAAAATAGATTTCAAGTCAAAAACTAGAAAAAGACCTAGGTCATTACATAATGATAAAGGGCTCAATTCAGCAAGAGCATATAAAGGTTATAAATATATATGCAAACACTATTGGAGCACTCAAACGTATAAAGCATAATAGATTTATTAAAGGGAGAGACAGACTGCAACACAATAATAGCTGAAGACTGACTTCAACACCCCACTTTCAATAATGGACAGGTCATTCAGACAGAAAATCAAACAACCCAAATCAAAACTGAACTACACTCTAGACAAAATGGACCTGACATTTACAGAACATTTCATCCAACTGCTATAGAATACACGTTTTCTCATCAGCACATGGAACATTTTCCAGGATAGACCATATGTTAGACCACAAAGCAAGTCTCAAGCAATTCAAAAAAAATCCAAATCATATCAAGTATCTTTTCTGACCATAATGGAATAAAACTAGAAATCAGTAATAAGTAGAACTTTGGAAACTACAGAAATACATGGAAATTAAACAACACGTTCCTGAACAACCAATGGATCTATGAAAAAATTAAGAAAGAAAAATTTAAAATTTCTTGATAAAAAAGAAAATAAAAACACAACATACCAAAATCTATGGGATACAGCAAAAGCAGTGCTAAGTGGGAATTTTATAGTAATAAAAGTACAAAGTACAGAAAAGTACAAAGACTTCAAATAAACAACATAATGATGCACTTTAAAGAACTAGAAAAGCAAAAGCAAAGCAAACCCAAAATTAATAAAGGAAAGAAATAATAAAATTCAGAACAGAAGTAAATGAAATTGAGACTAAAAAAACTACAGAAGTTTAATGAAATGAAAAACTGGGTTCTTTAAAAGATAAACAAAAAAATTATTAGAACTGATAAAGTAAGTTACAGGATACAAAATCAACATACAAACAGTTGCATTATATGTGATATGCTTTGGATTTGTGTCCCTGCCCAAATCTCATGACTGAATCGTAATCCCCAATGTTGGAGGAGAGGCCTGGTGGGGGGGTGACTGGATCTTGGGGGTGGACTTCCCCCTTACTGTTCTGACAGGGAGCGTGTAGCACCTCCCGCTTTGTTATTTTTCTCCTGCTCCTGCCATGTAAGACATGCCTGCTTCCTCTTCGCCTTCTGCCAAGATTGTAAGTTTCCTGAGGCCTTCCCAGCCATGCTTACTGTACAGCCTGCAGAACTGTGAGTCAATTAAACCTGTTTTCTTTATAAGTTACCCACTTATAGCAGTGCGAGAACAGACTAATATGCCAACGGCAAACAATCTGAAAAAGAAGTCAAGAAAGCAATCCTGCTTATAATAGCTACCAAAAAAAAAAAAAAAAAAAAACCTAGGGATAAATTATAACCAAAGAAGCAAAAGATCTCTGTACTGAAAACTATAAAACATTGATGAAAAAAATTAAAAAGAACACACAAAAGAGAAGACATAGCCCATGTTCATGGATTGAAATCGTATTATTAAAATTTCCATACTACCAAAAACGATCTACAGATTCAATATAATCCCTATCAAAATATCAATGACGTTCATCAAAGCAGAACTAGAAAAACAATCCTAAAATTGCTATGAAACCACCAAAGACCCTGAATAATGAGCAAGAAATACTGAGCAAAAAGAATAAAGCCAGAGGCATTGCATTACCTGACTTCAAAATATATTACAAAGCTATGGTAAGCAAAACAGCATGAAACTGGCATAAAAACAGACACATACACCAATGGAACAGAATAGAGAACCCAAAGATAAATCTACTGATTTACAGTCAACTCATTTTCAACAAAGGCATCAAGAACATATATTGAGGAAGGAACAGTCTCTTCAATAAGTTGTGCTGGAAAAACTAGATATCCACATGTAGAATAATGAAACTGGGCCCCTTTGTCTCACCATATCAAACCAAAATGGACTTAAATCTAAGACCTGAATTACAAGACTACTATAAAAAAACACTGGAGAAACACTTCAGGATACTGGTCTGGGCATAGATTTCTCAAGATCATAAAAGCACAGACAACTAAAGCAAAAATTGACAAATGGGATTATATCAAGCTAAAAAGCTTCTGCACAGCAAAGGAAACATCCAACAGAGTGAAGAGACAACCTATGGCATAGACGAAAATATCTGCAAATTATCCATCTGACAAGAGATTAAAATACACAATAAGTAAGGAATTCAACTCAATAGCAAATAAACAATCTGATTTGAAAAGGGACAAAAGATCTGAATACAGTTATTTCTCAAAAAAAGGTATATAAATGGCCAATAGGTATACAACAAAAAGTCTGGCATCACTGATCATGATAGAAATACAGAGAAAAACCACAATGAGATCTCATCTCACCCTAGTTAGAACAGCCATTATCAAGAAGACAGAAAACAACAGCTGATAGTCAGAATGTGAAGAAAGGGGAACATTCATACACTGTTGGTGGGAAAACAGTATGAAGGTTCCTCAAAAAACTAAAAATAGAACTATCATATAACCCAGCAATCCCAGTATGTATCCTGAGTATATATCCAGAAGAAAGAAAATCTGTATTCTGAAGAGGTATTTGTGCTCCAATGTTTACTGCAGCACTATTAACAATAGCCAAAACAAGAAATCAAGCTAAGTGTCCAGCAACAGATGAATGGATTTTTTAAAAGTGGTATATATACACAATGGAATATTATTCAGCCATAAAAAATAATGAAATCCTGTTGCTGACGGCAACATAGATGGAACCGGAGGACATTATATTTAGCAAAAATAAGCCAGGCACAGAGCAAATATCCTATGTTCTCACTTGTATGTGAGAAAACTGATCTCATGGAAGTAGTGAACAAATGGTGGTTACCAGAGGCCAGGAAAGGTACTGGAGAACGGGGAAAGAGAGCTTGGCTAATGGGAACTAAAATACAGTTACAAAAATTAAGTTTTAGTGTTTGGCAGCACAACAGGGCAACAATAGTTAATAAGAATTTATTGTATATTTCAAAATAGCAAGAAGGGAAAATCTGACATGCTCCAAACACAAAGAAATGATAAATGCTTAAAATGATGGATATCCCAATTACCCTAATTTGATCATTACACATTGTATGCTTGTATCAATTTAAAAAATTAAAAATGGGCGAGGCACAGTGGCTTATGTCTGTAATCCTAGCATTTTGGGAGATCCAGGTGGGAGGATCACTTGAGCCCAGGAGTTCAAGACCACCCTAGGCCACACAGGGATACCCTGTCTCTATAAAAAATTAAAATATTAGCCAGGCATGGTGGCGCATGCCTGTGGTCCCAGCTGCTTAGGAGGTGAGGTGGGAGGATGGTTTGAGCCTGGGAGATGTAATGTACTCCAGCCTTGGTGAGAGAATGAGATCCTATTGTAAAAATAAAATAAATAAAAAATAAAAACAGTTAAAAGAAACCAAAAAAACCTTCAGCACTGTGTCCTATTCGACTGTGAAGATATTCTGCTTCCGTTTCATGCTTTTCATTATTCTCATCATTTAATCTCTCTACCTTATTTCCATATTTCTAGCTTTTCATGTATTTCTAAACTCTTAAAATAATGGCATTAAAAGTAAGTTAAGAATCCAGACGAGCCTTCATTAAAAAAAAAACAAAACAGGCTGGGTGCAGTGGTTCACATCTGTAATCCCAGCACTTTGGGAGGCCGAGGTGGGCGGATCACCTGAGGGCAGAAGTTCAAGACCAGCCTGGTCAACATGGTGAAACCCTGTCTCTATTAAAAATACAAATATTAGCCAGGTGTGGTGGCGTGCGCTTGTAATCCCAACTACTTAGGAGGCTGACGAAGGAGAATCGCTTGAACCCGGGAGGTGGAGGTTGCAGTGAGCCAAGATCACGCCACTTTACTCCAGCCTGGGAGACAGAGCAAAACTCCATCTCAGAAAAAAAAAAAAAAAAAAAAAAAAAAAAAAAAAAACCTAGAAGAAACCCACCTCACTCAGGGATTCAAAAAAGGAAAAAGATGAGAAAACCACTATCATAAGTTTCTCTCCAAGTGGTTACAATGTTAATGACATCCCAGGAGACGTAGATTGTCTAAAAAAATTCACTTTAAAAATACTGAATTCAGAATCCAGACTAATAGCAACTCTCTTACTCGGGTGCCTCAGCCCTTAGCCTCAATTATCTCTTCTCCCTCCCATCATTTAAGGCCCAGCAGAAACCTCTCCTCCAAAGACATACACTAACTCTTCCTGATAGAATTACACCTTCCTTTGTGATTCTACTGCCTTACATGCAAATGTCTCTTCATCCGGTTACTTAGTCTGCCAATATTTACTGAGGTCCTACTATTACCAATCACACTGCTAGGCACTTGTTTTACAACAGTAAGCAAAACAGAGTCTGCATTCAGTCTGGTGGGCCATTAGAAACTGTGATAAATGCTGTGAAGAAAAAGAACAAGAGACATGATGGCACAAGTAACTAAAGAATCTACCCTAGTATGATGGGTCAGGGAAGGCTTTTCAAGGAGCACAGCAACAAGCCGAGAAGGAAGTAGGCGGCTTTCAAAAGCTCAGTGCAAGGCGGCCAAAGAGGCTGGTATACAGAAAGTGAGTGAATGTCATGAATCAAGGCTAGGAAAAGCAGGGCCAGATCAGGCCATGCTGAGATACTTAGTACAGTATCTTGGCATTTGCCTACTTGTAGGTCTTCTCCACTACACACTAGGCATCTAGAGGACAGAAGCTAAATCATCAGACTTGAAAACAACTGAAATACCAACTGAAACACTCAAGAACTACTGTTTTTTAGTGGCTCACTCCACACATCTGGCTGACGGGCTATGTGGATATGTTTCCCCTTCTACCCACACTGCACCGCACTTTGCTCAAAAATTTTAAGAAAAGGTCTTTCCCTCATAGGTGATTTAGTCAATGCTATACCTAGCACAGTGATGAGCACAAAACTAGTACTCAAGTATCTGGTGAATAAACAAGTAAATGCTTAATTAAAAATCTCACAGCATGCAAAACTGCACCTAAAAAAAAAAAAAAGACCAATGCCTTTTCTCTGAATAACTAACAATCAGGTAGCAATATAAATACCTCCACAGAATCCATCAGACCTTGCAAGAGGAGTTTCTGGTGAGGAAAATCTCCATCCCCAACTGGAAAATATCCCAGTGTTTGGATTGCTCGTTCTTTCATCTGGAAGAACACCAAATTTTTTTCTTTTAAACAGAGTATATAATAGCTTTACCCCAGTGCAGTATTTCCAAAATGAGATGACAGGGAAGCGCAGTCTATCTAACACATCAACGCAAAAGTTTTTACAAAAGCATCAAATTTTACAGTCGTATGTCTGTAAGTCATTGAAGGTAGAAACACACAAATGTGAGTCCACTAAGGATCCACAGCTGCAAAAGAAGAAGGAAGAAAGCCTTTAACTAGGCTTATTACCTTTCAAACTATAACGATTTAAAATGTGGGTTCTGGGCCCAGAGGACCTAGGACCAAATCACATCTCAACCATTTCAGCCTATACTGGTGTGCGACCTTAAGCAAGTTATTTCCCCTCTGTGACTCTGTTTCCTCATGTTATCTCACATAGAGATGACAACTGTGCCTATTTCACTAGACCTTTTAGAAGATTCAATCAATGCATGCAAAGCACTTAACATACTCTCCGGCACATTAGAAGTGCTTAACAATGTTTGGCAATGATTAGTTAATAGCTAATAAAAACTATACTGTATATCTTCTCAGAAAGTTTTAAACAGTAGCTAGACCAAGATTAAGATTATAGGAATTAGGCCAGGCTCGGTGGCTCAAGCCTGTAATCCCAGCACTTTCGGAAGCCGAGGCAGGCAGGATTGCCTGAGGTCAGGAGTTCGAGACCAGCCTGGCCAACATGGTGAAACCCCATCTCTACTAAAAATACAAAAATTAGCTGGGCATGGTGGCGTGCGCCTGTAATCTCAGCTACTCAGGAGGCTGAGGCAGGAGAATCACCTGCCTGAACCTGGGAGGTGGAGGTTGCAGTGAGCCGAGATCACGCCATTGCACTTTAGCTTGAGCAGCAAGAGCAAAACTCCATCTCAAAAAAAAAAAAAGATTATATCAATTAAACTTGTAGTAGTAAACTGATATTTCTGCTCATTAAATCATCTTACACCTCAAAATTGAGGTGTTTTGATCACAAAACTGGCTTTAGGAGGTTAGGATTTATATTTGGCCTAAAATAAAAAAAAAATCACAAAATTACTTAACATTTTATTATACACCTTTTGCATGACAAAAGATATTTCCTGATGAATTTAATACTTCACTCAAATCTTAACAGTTATAAAGACCTAAATTGGAATGACTGGGCCAAAAGATGTGCACACTAAGATTGTACACAGATAACCTCTAGCTCAAAAGTAAACACTTAAGACTTGCTTCTTTATCACCCATTTTTACATTAAATCCTTCCTCCAGCTGTAATGCCATCTATTCTCATTATAATCTGTTTTTGCTCATGTATGCATAGAAAGACCGAATTCCAGAAAGGGAAAAAATAAGAAAAAAACTTACCTTATTTGTTTCTTTACTGGAAGGTATTCTACTTAGTAAGCTTTCTACAAGATGCAATTTGGTAAAGCCAGATCCCTCACTGGGGATTGGAAGTGGACCATTTCTGCCAATTTCACCCAGGGCTGTGCAGGCAGCAATTGCCAGGAGGGGTGATGTACTGTCCAAAAATGAGCCTGTAAGCACATTTAGCCAAAAAGAGAATTACATACCATTATCCTTACGACCCAAAGCAACCAGTGATGTACTCAAGGTTTTTTTTAAGACGGCAAAATAAAATCAAAGTGTACGATATCTTCTAGTTGACAATTTGCCAACATTTATTCAGTGGAAAGACAACATGGTAACAGGGGATAGAGTAGTATTTTTTTAATGTATAAATTTGTTCCCATAATAGGATCATCTCTGTTTATAAAAACATGTAGGAAAAAAATGTAGAGAAAAAAAATAGAGTGCTTTCATTGCTTTGTTTTTTGCTTTGTTTGTTTTGGTTTTTTGAGACAAGGTCGAGCTCTGTCACCCAGGCGGGAGTGCAGTGGCATGATCACAGCTCACCGCAGCCTGGACCTCCCAGGCTCCAGTGATTCTCCCACCTTAGCTTCCTCAGTAGTTGAGGCTACAGGTACACGCCACCATACCAAGCTAATTTTGTTTATTTTTTTGTAGAGGCTAGGTCTCACTATGCTGACTAGACTGGTCTCAAACTCTTGGACTCAAGTCATCCTCCCACCTTGGCCTCCCAAAGTACTGAGATTATAGGCATGAGCCACCACACCCAGCCTTCGTTGTTACTAAAAATACATTATTTATCAAGTAAGTTTTTTGTGAAAAAGCTTGTGTCTTTTCAAATACAATGCCATAAAAAGAAACTGAAACGCCATATTAAAATTTAACATAATTCAAAAACTGCAACACCCAAATCGACATAAAGACATTAATTACCTATTGTTTCTGTAGCACTCTGAATGAGTTCCTCTTGATCAGGGAGGGTGTCAGCATTTCTCTCCAGGTCTTGTTGCTCTGACATTCTCATTTTCTTTTTAGCCAAATACCTTCCCACCGTGAATCCCAATGCAAGCAAGGATCCATGCTGTATCTCCGGGCTCTGAATTTAGCAAAAACAATAGCATATCTCTGGCTCTCTCTCATATACGCAAGAATACATGGCAGTAACTGTGTGTCGATTAGGATCATCTCTCCAACAAAACATAAGGCTAAAGAATAAAGTGAACACTCGAGGTTTCACTGGATGCTAATGCATCGAGCTTAGGGAACAAGAGAAACCTTGAGTTTCTAACGGAATTTTGAGAAGCTGAATCTTGATTCACTTTAAGATTTACATTCTGTAATTCCATGCCCACTCCAATTCCGGGTGAGATGACTTTCCTACATGCTCCTACATGCTCCCACGCCACTTTCCAGCTTACAGCACTTATGTAACTAGAATATCATAACTTTCACACATAATGTCTTCCTATTGCCAACAAAAGACAATAAACAGATCCTATTTCTAATTGCCAAAACCTCCAAACACAAGGTAACCAACAAACTATGTGAAGTAAAACTTGTTTTTTCACTGGCAGCAGTAGATGAGGAAGAAAAAAGGAGCTAACATTTCTCGCTTTCAGTACTCATCAGGCCCGACCCTGCTTAGTTTCCAAGATCAGATGAGATTAGGTGTGTTCACGGTGGTACGGCTGCAGGCTCTGAGCATCCTGTTGTACCAGGGATTCTCATGTATTTATGAATCACTGTACTCCTAGCACCTAAAACAGTGCTTATCAGACACAGCACCCGTATCTGTTAAGTGAGCTGACTGAACCAATGTATCACCTATCTCATTTACTCTTTATGGTCATAAAAGCAAGGAATTTGTAAGTTCATTTTACAAATGAGAACATAAAAGTCAAAAATAAGTTAGATCCTTTTATAAAACCCTATCTCCCACAAAAAAGAATGAAAACAAAATAACATACGTGATTGTCTTTTGTAGTCTTTATAAGCTGTTCTATCATTGATTTCAACTCATTCCCCGACACTGTTGATACCACTACAGAATAAAACAACGCTGCCAGTTCGCGCATTTCTTCTTTACTGTTATTCATCAGACTCTGAGCAGTATAAAAAAAAAACAAATATATACATGACACAGAACCACGTGCCTGATGACAACATCTTTTAAAATTAAAAGAACGTTCAATCTGTTGATGGATATTGAGAAAAAAACAAGCCATTATTTGAAAACAAAATGAAAGCTGAATGAATTAGATAACAAAATCTTAGGTCCATTTTCGTCAAAGATACACAAGTACAAAACAGGTGAAATTTATTCACAGATGATCTAAAACAAGGGTCAGCAAACTTCTGTAAAAAAACAAAAAGGCTTTATGGGCCATTTGGTCTCTGCTGCAACTACTCCACTCTGCCACTGCAGTACAAAGGCAGCAACAGACAATACACAATGAATGAGCGTGGCTGGGTTCCAGTAAAACATGGACACGACAATGTTTGTGTCATGAAACATTATTCGTTTCTTGATTTTTTTTTCCACATTTAAAAATGTAAAAACCATTCTTAGCTTGCAAACCATACAAAAACAGGAGGCAGGCCCTATTTGGACCTTTGACTATAGCATGACAACCTCTCATCTAAAACATCAAAGTTCAATAAAATCATTTTAAAATCAGTCAATATTCATAAGAAATAAAAAAACCTTTTTAAACTAAAAGCAATTTCATAAGACCAGACTATCCAGAAATGTGCAAAACTCACACCTCCTGGCAAATTTCATTCATGTTTTCACACTTAAAGACATAATTTTTACATTTTTACCATCATTCAAGCTGTATTTTCCAAAAAAAGAACCGCAATATGTAGCACATGGAGATACAGAAAACTGTATGGGCCAACACTTATACAAAAAAAAAAATTATTCATTATTTATCTGAAATTCAAATTTAACTGAGTATCTTGTATTTTTATTTTCCAAACCTGGCATCCCTTTTGGTGTGGCCATGGGACAGGGACACCCTCATACATGACTGTTAGAAGTGTACATTGGTACCACACACGGAGGGTGTGGCATTACCTATGAAAATTACAAAAACACATGTCCTCTGATACAGCTATTCCACTTCTAGGGAATCCATCTAAAACATATACTTCCTCAATATGCAAGATGATAGATTATTCATTGCAGCAGAATGGAAGTACTCTAAATGACCATCTATAAAGATCTAGAATACATGATAGTACATTCATACAATAAAAACTGAGGCTGTTAAAGAAGATGCTCTCTCCATAGTTGTAGTGGAATAGTTCTCTACTATTAAGTGAAAGAATGTATAAAACAGTATGAATAGTATGCTGCTTTTGATAAAAAGATGGGACAAAAATTTTAAATGCATGTTTTTATGTGTATGTACATAAGTAAACTCTAGAAAGCATGCCATATATAAGTGGTCACTTATATATGTTTGTCAGAGGGGAGAGGAAAGGACAAAAATTAGAAGGCTTGGGTAGGTTGGAGATGGTTACGGAAAGGAGACATTTTACATAGTTTTTATTTAAACTACACAAATCTATTGCTTATTTTTTCAAAAAAAAAAAACTTTTGAAACAGAAAAGGAACTTTTTTTTACTCCTATGCTTCTCAATTCATCTCCCAATCTCCTCCAGATGTGTCAATGAGACATAGTGACCTACATGCTTCCCAGTAAGTGTCTGATGATAAGAGAGTTTTCAAAACGACCTAAAGGCAGAAAAGGTCATAGGGATCCCGCTGGCAGGAAAAAGAAATCATGAAGTTAAGGTCTGAAATAGAATTTTTTTTAAAAAAAGGTACATGCAGAACATACCTTTATCCATTCTGTTTTGTCTACAAATTTGGTAGCCAGCTTTTCTGGATACACTGACACAGCTTCCAATAGACAGTACATAACCGGCAAACCTAAATAAGAATTCAGAATCACCTTAAATTTCAAGAAAAGTAATGAACATACAGGGATCACTAAATTCCTTTAAAGTATAAGGCCACTGCTTTAGCACACATTCTTTCGGTTCTATTAAAAAAAAAAAAAAGAAAACCTACACAACCTAAATATAGTATGTGATTCACTACAGCAAATTTACAGATGAGCTATCTATAAAAAGGATATCCTGTTCTTCACATCCACTTCCGAAGTAAAAATGTATTTATCTATTGTTAGCATTTCTTTCCGAAAAAAGAAGTAGTGTATCCAGAATGAATCAGGTAAGTTTAAAAAGAAACAAAGGCTAATGTTCAGTTACAGAAGAAAAAGAATAATTTTGCTATAAATTCTTAGCAAAGTTTAAAATTAGATTTTTGCTTAAGTGCTTCAGTATCTTTCCTTCGCGTCACATATTCCTACCTCCAACACCTGCTAACAGCTGCTGAAGCAGGCCAATGTAGATCTGGACAGGGTTAGTCTCCCCACTCTTGTTAGATGATGAGGGTGCCATCTGCCCGCTTGACATTAAAGTCCGTATGTAGCGCCCAATGGCTGGGGCATGATCCTGCATATCAGCCAAACTCTGAGAGGTGGGCACCACCCCCGCACTGTGCGCAAGGCACATGCGCAAGTACAGAACGATCTACAAACAGAACGGAGAGGAAGACTGCATAAGCTTCTCGAAAAGTCAGTGTGGGAAGGTACTCTTCAAAGTAACAATTTCTAGTTTTGATTCACCCACACTTCTTTATAAAGCTATTCCAATCCTCATGGAAGGCAGAAAATATGCCATAATGGAGCAAAATTTGTATAATAAGGTTTGCAAATCCAAAGAATTTTTTAAGATTGTTAAAATACAAACTGAACTTTTAAAGTCAGAAATTGGAGCTGGAGGCTGTTATCCTTAGCAAACTAACGCAGGAACAGAAAATCAAATACCACATGTTCTCACTTATAAGTGGGAGTTAGATGATAAGAACTTCTGAACGCAAAGAAGCAAACAACAGACACTGGGGTATACTTGAGGAGAGAGGGTGGGAGGAGGGAGAGGAGCAGAAAAGATAACTATGGGGTATTGGGCTTAATATCTGGGTAATGAAATAGTATATACAACAAACCCCCATGACACATATTTACCTATATAACAAACCTTCACATGTACCCTCGAACCTAAAATAAAAGTTAAAAATTATAATAAAAATCATTATTTTTTAAAAGCCGTGTGTGTGTGTGTGTGTGTGTGTGAGAGAGAGAGAAAGACAGAGAGAGAGGAAAGAAATCTGAAGTAAATGGCCTATTACTCCTGCAGAATTCCAGTTGTGTTTACTCCATTGACACAAGAATCTGAGAAAATGGGTTCAATTCATCTACAGAAAAATAGATATAACACCATAAAAACCTCTGATATAGACCAGACACAGTGGCTCACGCCTGTAATCCCAACACTTTGGGAGGCTGAGGCAGGAGGACTGCTTTAGCTCAGGAGTTCAAGACCAGCCTGGGAAACATGGTGAAACCCATCTCTACCAAAAAGATAACAGAATTAGCCAGGGGTGGTGGTGCACGCCTGTAGTCATGGCTACTCAGGAGACTGGGACGGAGGTTCACTTGAGCCCAGGAGGCAAGGTTGCAATGAACCGAGATCACGCCATTCACTGTACTCCAGCACGGGCAACAGAGTGAGACTCCTTCTCAAAAAAAAAAAAAACCAAACAAACAAAAAAAACAACCCTTACATAAACAGGCTGCCAAGGAGTCCATCCTCTGGAAGCTTTTTCATTGATCGTTAAAATAGGATAGGCAGCAAATTCACTGTGAATATTCTTAATCCGAACAAGATCACCTCTTGTAATTTACCTAGAGCAAGTCAATAATCTAAAAAACAGAATTTCCCTTAATAAGTGTGATCAATTTAATCCTCTCCAACCTTCAAAACTAAATAACCCTAACAACCTCAACAACAGGTTGGCTTTAAAACCCAAATCTAACTTGCTGCAAAATCCCAATAGTAATCACTACAGAACATCCAGTTTTTTCACAAAAAGAATCTCACTGAGATAAATATATTTACATACTTCACTATGAATTAAAATAATACCAATTTCCCAATACTTTTTTTTTAAATAAACAACCCGATGAAGAACAATGACACCACAATATGGGTTTACCTAAAACACAACAAAATGACAGACCCCTCTTTGGGTGTGGTGTGATCTTTTTAGAACACTTACAAAAAGTAAATAGAAATATATGAAAGTTCTACCTCTCCAAAGGCTGCTGGGTTAAATGGAAGGACAGTGGTCCCGGTCATGTACTTGACTGGAGTTTTCATTCGATGAGAAGCCTAAGTTTAAAAAGTCCAAAACAGACACAATTACTGAAAAATGAAGCATACCTGCCCTTCCTCAACTCAAAAACAACTGTGTTTCTAGCTACATGTCCTAAGTTTGCTTCTTTTTCTGATCAAACATTTTCCACTTTCCTATTAACCATGCTGATCGTGCATGTCCCTCACACACTAAAAGACAAGTGTATTGCCCTTTTTCCATGTTTGTTCTGGTTTGTTTAAAAATAATAAACCTATTCCAGACATCTACTAATATGGTCATCTCAGGTCACTGCATGCCAGTTATTTTCATTAATAATCAAAGTAGGAGGAAACTACAAGCAGAGAATCTTCTGACCACAAATAGACTGTGCTGCTATGTGGAAAACAGAATCATGGCCGCTGCATACTGACCTTCAACTCCCTTAAGGTGCCTACCTAGCAAAGAGCTAGGATCACCAGTGGAGGTAAAAGGTAGGAAGGTGTCCTCCGGCAAAGTGGGACAGAGTCAAGGCCTGGAGGGGGTGGATGGTCATTACTGCCAATATCCTGGATCTACTAGCAGAAAACACTGTGCAAAAGCAAAAACTTACAAAAGCAGATGGGATGCTCTCTTATGAACACGGTGGGAAGAACATGAACTGTTCCCTGAAGCATCCTTAAACTTACACTACCCTAAAGCGTGCCCTTAAAAATAAAAAGGAGAACCAGCGTGGGCAATATAGCAAAACTCTGTCTCTACAAAAAATAAAAAAATTAGCCAGGCACGGTGGTGCACGCCTGTAGTCCCAGCTATCGGGAGGCTGAGGAGGGTGGATCACTTGAGTCTGGGACGTGGAGGTTTTAGTGAACTGAGACCACACCACTGCACTCTAGCCTGGGTGACCAGAGCAAGACCCTGTCTCAAAAAAAAATAAAAAAATTTTAAAAAAAGGAGATGTATTTTTAAGCATGTCATATTAAGGGAAAAAATATTTAACACAGCCAAAATGTTGCCAAGCATGAAAGGAATTATAAGTAATTCAAGTTTAGGCAAAACAGATCAATTACAGGTGAGGATTACAATTTTTTTTCCTCACTTTGTATCTTCTTCTTATTGTAAGTATTAATGCTAGAAACTTTATGAGTCAGCTGGGCATGGTGGTTCATGCCTGTAAACCTAGCACTTTGGGAGGCCAAGGCAGGTGGATCACCTGAGGTCAGGAGTTCAAGACCAGCCTGGCCAACATGGTGAAACACTGTTTCTACTAAAAATACAAAAAATTAACCGGGCTTGGTGGCAGGCGCCTATAATCCCAGCTATTCAGGAGCTGGGGCAGGAGAATCACTTGAACCCAGGTAGTGGAGTTTGCAGTGAGCCAAGACCGTGCCATTGCACTCCAGCCTGGGCAACAAGAGCGAAGCTCCATCTCAAAAAAAAAAAAGAAAAGAAAAGAAAAAGAAATTTTATGAGTCAACATCTAGTGATTACATTTTTCACTTTAAAGATGTTTTTATTTTCATCATCCATTATGATTTAGACTAATTACCTTAAGTTGCATGCCATACCTTTTCTTGGATGTAATAAACCATTTCTGGGAAGGAAGGCATCTGCTCAGAAGTACTTTCTTTTCTGTTTCTACCTGGAAGACACCTTAATACGCGTTGTGCTTCTCCATGAACTTCTTCACGTCTTTCAGAAAAAGACAAATAAGAATAAAAAATAAATGTCACCAATGGGAAATGATCATTTGAAGAATAAGAACAGCAATTTTATTTGGCAGCTAGAGTTCTCAGAAAATGTCTTAAATACATTCTTGGCTATCTAAGCAGAGTCAACATAACACATTATAAGAAATCACTTCTTTTCAGAAATTGCATGAGGTCCGGGGACTCATCTGGCTTACATCTTTGAATTTGACTCACATTAAAAAACAAGATAGGGTACTTTAAGTAAATTATTATGTAAATATCTATGTGTATGCTTTACCTCGTAGAGTTAAACCATAAACAACTATAATACATATTTTAGAAGTCAGTGACTATCCAGTGGTCTACACACTCCACCCAAAGTCTTACATCTCTATGTATTCAGCTACAATTCTGTACAACTAATAACTCATAAGTGACATTAAAGTGTAAAAATATAAACCCAACCAATTTCAGACCACCTAGAGACTGATCTCAGCAATAGTCTTATCCAGATACCACATAAAGGCCTTTTAATTCTTCAATTGCCTCTGATTGTGTCTCATTTTCCAAACAACACATAAAGGGCCGAAAAGAAAGAATTAATAAATAATTCCTTAAGTTGTCAGAGGATTTTCATTTGACCTGAATGGTTCTAACCTAAGAAGGAAAACTGTTGAATTAGTTATGCTTTGTTTTTGGTTTCTTAAACAAAAACAATTTTCAGCACTTACAGAGTAAGATACAGCAGTTAAGAGCTCTATTTGGAAGTCCAACTCCCTAGACTTAAATCCTTGCTCTAACATGAACTGACACCTTGGCTGCCAGGCCCCAGTACATCTGGCCTTGGTTGGGAAACTAACGTAAAAAAATTAAGAAGCAACAGAGCACCAGAATCAACATTAACAATCCAAAGCCACTTTAACCAGATTGAAATGTGCTCTATGAGAAGCAGCAGCCAAGATCAGAAGTCAAAAACCAGCACCTGGTAATAACTTGTGATGTCCAATTAAAATACCAACCAAATAAATAACAGCAAAATATATACAACTTATAGTAAAGAAAATAAATGGCATGAGGGGCACACAGCTGGCCAACTAGAACACTGAAACAGTTATCAAGGAATTACCCATTTTTAAAAAATGGACCATAAAAGTTTATGGGCAAGGGTGTTCAAATCATCACAGAATGCATAATTTTATTTAAACTATTCCTCAGAATAAATGAAGCTTTTCATCTCCCCAAATAAGGCTATCCCTGATAACAAAAAAGAAAAACATATACAAGAATCTCACTTAAGGGATGCAAAAATTCTAAACGTTAAATGTAGTAATGGTTTATTATGAAATAGATTAGAATGCTGCATGGATTTTAAGATGGCATTGACTGTAAGACATATAACAGATTTGAAAAGAGTTGTTTTAATATGTCCACATATATTTCATTATATGTACATGACTTTTAAAGGCATGTCCCAATTTCAAAACCATTTAAACATTCTTTTAAAAAGCATTACACACTCTAGAAAATGCAGTAGTATAATTCATTAATATAAAATGCAACTTATACCTCATTTAAAAATATATTAGATATAAAATGATACTCCATATTTAATAAAATATTAATACATATGTCAAACCATCAACATCAGCCTTTTTTCTCCTTACATAGGGCTTGTTTTTAGATATATAATTATATTACACACGCAATCATATAATTTGCTTTATTTACACTTGACCATTTCATAACCATTTTCTGTATTAGCTATATATCATATATTACACATATATATCTACATAATGTATATTATATAGATATATACATGTAATATTTATATTACTATATAAATATATAGGTATATGAGTACAGGTCTATATCACATCAAGAGCCATACTTTCTTTAATAAATAGCTTCTAAATTTCATAGACCAACATTGTAAACAATACAACTTTTAGTAATTTTCAAATAAATTCAAAATAAACCAAAATTCAAATTAACACCTTTTGAAACTTACGGATCTCCTGCAGCCAGTAGCAGCAAATATCTGGAAGGGATATGATCTGAGGGAAACACCGTACTGGCAAATTTCACAGCCACTTGTCGAACTTGAACTTCAGGCTATTTCATGTGTAAACATACACAGACCACCCCGATCCGAAAAAGGAAAAAAAAAATCAATTACCAGCCATTCATTCCAATCAAGATGAGTCTTCCTAACTGTAAACAATTCAAAATTCTAAGGTGACATTTTAATAAACGTGTATCTAAATTAAATAAATCATTTGTTCAAGATCTTTAATCATGTTGTTTAAGTCTTTTGGATGGTGGCATTACTTAAAGAGTATTCTTATAATTTTAGAGGATCCTCCAGGTGAAGTAGGAAGACCTCCAAGGACCATAACTAGAGAATCTCTGCGCATCCTCAGCCCAAACCTTGGGACCACGGTCACTGTGACAGTTTCTAGCCATCACCTCCGCCACCCCAACTCTCAAACTGTCAGTCACATGAGTGAAAGTCAGGTATTTGGCAGAAATTACAAACAGAGCCTACTTGGAATCCCCACCAATTTGAAGCTAAATACTTCAAATTGAGCTTCTCAGATTAGCTCAAAGCAGTTTCAACTACAGAAATATATTCAATTAACTAAGATTAATAATCTGTAACTACAAAGTTCAACCAGAAAAGTAGTTTTAGAATCTACTGATCCTGAAGCTTTATTCTTACGTACCTTCCCCAGGTCACTCCTCTAGCCACAAACATAAGTGAAATAAGAGAGACATTAAAAATATATATATTGTCCCACTCATTCTGGCATTCTTGCTATTTAGCAGTCCTTGAACTACATTAAAGAGTGAGGATATTAAAGACTAGCCTAAATTACATAACTAACCTAGAGTTTGGTTGCTTTAAATGTTGTCTGTGAAAAGAAATTAGCTTTGTCTTGGTAATAGTGTTACATGATTTGATCTGTGTGCGTAGAACCAGTATCTGTGTTTATTCAAGCATCACACTTCCTTGTAAAGTTACCTAGAGAAAGTTTAAAGTATTCTGTTCTAATGAGCTTCCAAATACGCCTACACACCTTTGTCCATAACATATGACCATGAACCACATGCACTGCACACTAAGAGCACTTGACAATAGGACTCCATCATAGTAAGCTTTCTGAATGTATATAATAGCACATTTAACCCTGTCATATTTTAATAGGAAGCAGATACCTTTCTGAACATTTAAAATTCCCTCAAAATATTAAATCATGTCAGTCTAATTCCATTAGGACACAATTTATATTAATCTGACTGACACTTTTTAGTATCATTCTGTCTTCCAATCTCCCTTTCTACTCCTAAAAATGTGGGACAAAGAACTGACTAAAGCAAATATATATTACATATTACATATATGTGTGTGTGTGTGTGTGTGTGTGTGTGTGTGTGTGTGTGTATCTACAGATATTCAAAATCCTCCTACAAATTCCCATGAAAACCAAATAAAGAGGAAGAAGAGCATGTATGATAGTACTGGCTCACTTCCTAAAGACTCACTTTGACATATGGAATTTGTCTTTCATCCCTTCTGCTTTTCTCTGAAAATGTTACCTATCAAACTCTACCCCAGCGGACAGTAGTGCTCAGCTACCAGTTACAAAGACAAAACACTTCTAACTCGGAGGACATGGCATTAAGAATAGTTTTCCCACATGGAAAGCTCTAAACATAAGCATCGCTATGAATACTACCACTCCTTCTCCCCTAAAGTCAAATTTTCATCATGAAGAATTAAAAATAGATCCTAAATCACAGCCCAAGTGAAAGCAAATACTCCTCTTATCAAAAGTTAAGTAGCAATTCAAATTTTGTTCTTAAAAATGTAAACCGTATACTACCCAGGCTTTGTAGTTCACACGGACCTACCTTTATTAAGTACGAAGCCACAAGTGCCTCCATGAGAGTTCGCTGTGCCCCTTCCAAAGTACTATACGCTCCAACCATCATAGATAAAGCTTCTTGAATAGCAAGTCGAGTCTCAGGCTCTTCCTATAAAGATGATAAAAATGTTTCCCTCCTTGTTGGGTTCCCAGGGGAACATCCAAACACAAAGCATAAACTTAGCAGCTGTTTCCCTACCTTGCAAAGGGCTTCAAAAAGCTGCTGCACAAGCGCTATATCCTTAGTGAATAAATGTGGCATCCGACTGCAAAAGAATGTAAAAATATTGTTACTATCATAAATTTCCAAGAGATGAAAAAGGGAAAAAATGAAACTAAACACAAATTTTCCTGAACTCTCTGAAGACAATGTCAGCATCATTACCCGCTCTGAGAGCCAAAAATTTTTCCAAGTATTTAATTCTTTAATCCAAATAACCCTTGATTAACACGCACATCTTCCAAATATCCCCTCTATAATATTCCATGCATTCAGTTAACATTTCTGATTTTAACATGAAGAAATTAGGTAAGACCAAACTGTGATCTAAACTAATGACTGTCGTGGAAAGGGGCTTTGTTACTTCATGCCAACAGACAAGGGACAAGGTTGGCTGACAACCCTGCACTATATCCACTGATCTGGGGTGGCTTTCTTCCAAACCCCAAAGCTCCTTTCACTGTAGAGAAGAGCAAGACCTGGTCTACACAGGCCAACACAAAACCTGCACTGGGCGTGGAAGCAGCACATGGTGCCACTGAGAATGCTTCATCTCTATCTCCCTGCTTTCAAATACAGTGAAGGAAGATGAAGCCAGGAGGAACTGGAATGAGGAAATCACATTGAGAAGAAAAAAAAATCTGTCAGGGCCACTCAGAATCATAAACACCATTCTCAGAAAAGAGAATCACTAGAAAAACCTTGATCACTGGGTTTATAAAGATTAGTGCCAAGTAGCAACAAAAACACTTAAGGTCAATCAAAAGTCTCTAGGGTACAAAAAAAGTAACCCATTATGACACAATTAAGTTCAAACTCTCATTTCAAGACCACCATTTAATACAGTAACATACCTTCAAATGTAAATTAAAATGTCTCACATCTTTTTCCTTCTACACAGAAGACATTTCTAAACAACCTATGACCATTAAATACATTCCCTTTCAGAATCACGACAAATTTATTCTCCGCCATTATTAAATGCCACATAATTTTTCTCTGTTTACCAACACCATATCTCTCACTAAAAAAGAGTTTACTCACCTGGAGAGTTTTCCAACAGCTGAATATGCCATTGACAGTAGTTTAGGGTCCTTGAAATTAAAAAAAGAAAAGAAAGAAAAGAAAGAACAAAAAACAGACAAAACAAAAAATACAGTAAACAGTAAAACCTTTTCGCTGCAATTACATGCATTATTTTACTCCTTATTAAACCTAGGTCTCACTCTGTCTAACTACATGGTGTTAGCACCTGAACAACAACAAAAATGTCCAAACCCAGAATCCATCACACTAACTAAAAGGAAAAACAAGACAAAACCTTGCATCCCCAATCGCTCCAAAAAGAAAATGCAGTGGTCATAGATATGAAAGGTTTCTCTTAGCTGGTGCTGAGTTCAAGATATTTCAACACTATGTAACCTCCAAACACCAAAGTTCATCTTCAACACACTAAAAAACATTAACTCATTAGAAAATACATCACCGGTCCAACAGACTAGGATCCTCCGTCTCTCACCAAAATTGCAATAAACTGTAGTGTGATCTTCTAAAAATCTACACTGTAATGAACAGCTTTCTATCATATTTTCTACCATAAAAAATTAAGAGGGTCATAATCACCAGGTGAATTAGTGAGGTTCTCTCCTCAAGATACAGATAGAGTTTTACATGGTTTTACAAAAACTAATAATCTGATTACTCAGAACACAATAAACTTCTACCAGTTAAAGTTTATGTGTTTATCCTAGGATTTGCCCTTCCACATCTAAATGGCTACTCTTATGGATTCATCTGTTGGGAAGACATGCAGATGTCACCTGCAGGTAAGGGGACTCACACCCTGTGGTTTGTCTGGCCTCTCTAACTTACATTTAAATATACAGCTTCTCCCCAAGAGCCCCAGAACATTTTCATTTCTACCAATGACTCTAAAGCATTTCACCATCTATGCCATAAAATAATCTGAGTGGTCCCCTAGATCTTAACCATGCAAGCATCACTCAATAGGAGAAAGAAGCTATGAGAACCAGGCCTACTTACCACCCCAAAGCACAGCTGCACAGTAAATAAAGTGCCTTTCACTAATAATACCTACTAACGTGCCTTGACTATGGTGAACAATTTAGGTAGATTAACTCATTCAATCTTCACAGTAATCTAATCAAGCAGTATTATTTTCATTTTTCTAATAAGAAGGTGCAAAGAATTTAAGTAACTCACCAAAGAACAAAACTAGGATTCAAACTCAGTTCTAATTTCAGATGTAAGATCTTGATCTCACTATACTACTGCAAACATGCATTCATGTTTAGCTTAGACTGGGGAAAATAATGCTAATGAATTCTTGAAATATTACCTTTTTAAGCAAATTCCTTTTAAATATTGGAGATATTATAGTAAGAGAAATACAGCAGGGAAAGGGATTCAAAAATCCACAGTCCAAGGAATCCTCATCCCATTTAGCTTAAGGAATCAAAAATTTACTGAATGCATGTTTTGACAGAATTTTGAATCATTAAAATCTCAGCCCCATTATTTACCAGAGAAAAATATAAAAGAAAAAAAGTATCTTAGCCCCTGAGAATTAACAGTTTCCCAACACAAGCCAAATCCAAATAGTCACATAGGGAAATCAACATAAATTTCAATTCCTTTAATTCCATTTTTGCACAATAGCTAGAAGTAGCACAAAAGGTGCTGGCTGAAAAAATGCTATTTAAAGATACAGCAGGCTGGGCATGGTGGCTCATGCCTGTAATCCCAGCACTTAGGGAGGCCGAGGCAGGCGGATCACCTGAGGTCAGGAATTCAAGACCAGCCTGGCCTTGAGACGGCCAGTAGAGATGGCCAACCCATCTCTACTAAAAATACAAAAAATTAGCTGGGTGTGGTGGTGGCAGGTGCCTGTAATCCCAGCTACTCGGGAGGCTGAGGCAAGAGAATCACTTGAACCAGGAGCCGGAGGTTGCAGGGAGCTAAGATCATGCCATTGCACTCCAGCCTGGGCAACTAGAGCAAAACTCCATCTCAAAAAAAAAAAAAGATATAGTAAGACCTCATATCAGTTTTTAACAGTTATTTCCCCCCAAAAAAGCAAAAAAGGGCAGTAATTTCTGAAATTTGTACTATTTCAAGTAAAATGTTAAGGAACAGTGAAACTTTAACAAACTTTTAACTAACTACATTGACAGACCAGAAATATTATAGAAAATACTTTAAGATATAAAATGTTGATAAAATTTAAAAGACAAGTCACTTACCTCTTTGTATTCATTGATTAGCTTGGTGAGGCCATTCAAAAGCATTGGACCTAATGGCTTAATCTTGATTTCTGGACAGCTTTAAATAAAACACACATACACAAAGCAAGATAAGAATCTCATGACTACATATCTTTACGGATGATTACATAAAATAATGAGAGACATAACCGAAATAAGTTAAATAATCTATTAAAATACAAAAATTTTTAAAGATGAGCAAACATGTTTTCTTTCTAGGTAAGATGAGTAAAACGATACACTTGAAGCACTCAATCATTCCAGCAGCTTGAAAACTTTATAGTTAAAATAGTTAAAGACTTACGTTATACAAATATGATGCACAAATTGCAGGGATAATGTTCTTAACTTTGAATTTGTATTTGTACCAAAAAGTCCATCATACACCACCTATGTAAAATGAAGAGTTGAGAACATCAATTAATAAAAATAAGAATTTAATATTTTTGAATAGTAATCAGAATTCAGCAGCAGACCTTTCATACTACATCTCGTTCTTCAACATTAATGCAGATACACATTATTAGCTGACCAACTTAGAAAGCCAATCAGAAGCTCCTATAAATAGTCTGTGGAGTAACAAACACAATGGTTGATCGCACAAGTCTGCAAAGATTGTGGGTCTACCACAGTGAGGAAACGAAGAGTACACACTGCAGTGGGTCACCACTCAGCTATTCCCTATGTTTCTTAATTATATGATTCAGGACAAATTCTAATAAAAGCTTCAGAGAAAACATACAAATGGAAATATTCTACAAGTGTCCCATTGGGGTAAAGGTGCTTCAAGTATTATGGAACCACATCTAGAAGGCAAAAAGATCATGCAGATGAGTCCTGTGCAGCATCCAGCAAGTTCAATATTAACCAACAACATCAAAAATATCTAAATCCCTCAAGTTCCTTTTTATGACAAAGATTACTTACACTAAAAAAAAAAAAAAAAACTCTATACTCTTGTTCCTAAAACTGCCAGCAGTATTCTGATCTTATTTAACAATAACATGTGAGTTACAGACTAGTATTGAGTATCTGCTTTATAATTGCCACTGTGCTAGGTACTAAGAGATATAAAAAAGAACAAGCACTCAATCTTGTTGAAGAGTTAAGAGATACACACATTAAAATGATACATAGCCAAGCATGGTGGCTCACACCTACAGTCCCAGCTACTAGGGAGGCTAGGACGGGAGGATCACTTGAGCCCAAGCATTCAAGGCCAGTCTGGGCAACATAGCAAGATCCTGTCTCACTTCAAAAAAAAAAAAAAAAAATCCCAGCACTTTGGGAGGCCAAGGCAGGAAGATCACTTGAGCCCAGGAGTTCTAGACCAGCCTGGGCAACATAGTGAAACTCCATCTGTACAAAAAAATACAAAAATTAGCCAGGCATGGTGGCACATGCCTGTAGTCCCAGCTACTTGGGAGGCCTGGAGATGGGAGAATCATTTGAGCTTGGGAGGCAGAGGCTGCAGTAAGCCTAGATCACACCACTACTGCACTCCAGTCTGGGTGGCACAGAAAGACTCCGTCTCCAAAAAAACCACAAAAAGATATGGGACAAAATATAATCAAGTGCTACATTATTTGAAACAGACTTTTTTTTTAGCTACTCGGGAGGCTGAGGTGGAAGGATCACTTCAGCCTGGGAGGTAGAGGCTGAGTGAGACAAGATTGTGCCACTGCACTCCAGCCTGAGCAACACAGTGAGACCCTGTCTCAGAAAAAAAAAAAAAGCAATGAAAAAGAAAACAGACTGAATGTGGGCCAAGACTAGAGGCAGGAAGGTAAGTTAAAAGAATACTGCAATAACCAAAACAAGAAGTAATAGTTTGAATTAATAGCAGCATTATAGGCATAGAGAAGTGAAGACATTAAGATGAAATCAAGAGGATTTGGCCACTGCCTTCAAGTGAGCTTTCAGTTAAGGATGACTCAGCTTTGTCACTTAAGTGACTAAGTTGCTAATGATACCATTTTTGGAGAAAAGCCACACATAAAAAAAAACCTTGTCTGAAAGGGATTATTACCATACATTTAAGATAAATGGAAGCCAATATAGCATAGGTTAAGTGTTCCTTACTGGAAATGCTTAGGATCAGAAGTGTTTTGAGATTTCAGATTTTTTCAGATTTTGGAATATGTGTACATACATAAAGAGATATCCTGGGGATGAAACCCAAATCTAAAGATGAAATTCACTGACATTTTCTATACACCTTATGCACATAGCCTGAAGGTAATTTATACAATATTTTAAATAATTTTGTGCATGAAGTAAAGTTTTGACTGTTTTAATGCAATCCATCACATGAGACCAGGTATGGAATTTTGCACTTGGAGCATCATGTCAGTACAAAGTTTTGGACTTTGGAGCATTTAGGATTTCAGATTTTCTAATTAGAGATGCTCAACCTATATATATTTTCTGATAATTTTTTTAAAATCATATTGCAGCAAATTTAAGATAGAAAAAAAGAATCTCATTAATCTTGTTATATACATCAACCTACCCACTGAATATCCATTAACACAGTTCTTTCTCTAATTAAATAGACATAAAAGTTGCAGACAGGCCAATATTCTCTGGAAAAAACAAATTACCTGAATGTTGGCTGGGAACGTTTCAGCAGCTTGTCTAGAGCGGAGGAGATGGGGGACAATCTTTAACTTGACTCTTGTACTGACAGGGTCCCTTTTCAACTCTGGCTTCAGAACTGCACCCTGTTGAAAATATGCTTGATTATAACTCAGCAATTCAAAATTATTTTGAACTGAAAATGTCATGAGAATTCATCTTAATCAGTGGTCTCTCAAACTTTGTTTCAAGATCCCTTTACACTCTTAAAAATTACTGAACTCTCCAAAGAGCTTCTGTTTATATCTGTGTAACCTATCAATATTTACTATACGGGAAATTAAAACTGAGAAATTTTAACATATTTGTTTACTCACAATTATTAATAAACTCATTATTTTCAAAACTAACATTTTTATAAAAAATAACTATTTTCCAAAGCAAAAAAAATTGTACTGAGGGAGAAGCACTGTTTTACATTGTCTACTAATCTCTTCAATGTTCGCCTTACTACAAGAGAAATGAATTTTTATATATTCTTCTGTATTCAATCTGCTATAATACATTGTTTTGGTTGAAATAAGTAACAAAAACCTCGCTTGCACAGATATGTGTGGTTGGAAAAGTGGAGATGATTTTAGCTTTCTTAGGTAATTGTGGACATTCTTTTTTCATACTACACCAAAACTTGACAAATAATAATTTCTTAACAGTTAATTGCTTATTTTTAAAAAATGAAAAAAAAAAGGTTAGTTGCAATTTGGAGTTGAAACCATATCAATGAACTTTTGTATACTCTTATACTATATTCCACTGGTTATCTTACTCTGAATGGCTCCCTTGTCCTTATATGCTTTTGTAACATCATTCTTCATGTGCACAATACTGGCTCACTGAGTTAAGCAAATGTTTCTTCATACATACATTTTTTTTCACAAAGCCTGTGCTCATATCACCTGTGTTCTAACGGCATCAGAAAAATCTACTAAGTACTGATAAGCTATCAAATCACTGTGGTGAATACAAGTTTCTCAAAACTCTAATTTTTGCTTGAAAGCTAACTTTTATCATTGCCAATAAATCATGTTGTTTTTCTTGAAGTAACAAGCTCATTTTTTTCCCTTTTAGAGAAAGTATGCACCAAATACCCATCTCGGTAGCTATAATTTGCCTGTCTACTCTTCAAGTAAAGTCATTTTTACTGCTTCATCAAGGATGTTCTTAAGTAAAGCTGAGTTTTATTCTCTTTTTTTTTTTAAATGAGTACATAACACTGAAGAATAGAATAACTGTTAGTCATCTGGTGACATGGCTTTGATATGTGGTAGGAACCTAGCAAGTACACTCACCATTGCTTTTGTACCATGAGTGCAAATATTGACACAGTACAAAAAGAAAAGGCCTTCACAGACTGCCTAAAAGGTGTTTTGTGACCCTAAAAAGGTCCATGGACCACACTGTGAGAACCACTAATCTAATCCAACCCCTTCATTTTCTACATGAAGAACATGAGGCCAGGAAAAGTTATGTGATCAGCCAAACCTTTCCTCCCCAGCACATTCATGTGTACAGCCATTTGGGGCTAGAATTCATAGGTCCTGATTCCCAATTCATTGTTATTTCTGCTTTACCACACTCAATCTAATCTAACCAGGGCTAATATTGATTTTTAAAACAAGTATTTATGGTTTAAAAAGCAAAAAGGCAGACAGGTGCAGTGGTGTGCACCTGTAGTCACAGCTACTCAAGAGACTGAGGCAGGAGCACAGCTTAAGCCCAGAAGTTCAAGTCCAGCCTAGGCAACATAGCTAAACCCCAACTCAAACAAAAAAGAGCAAGAATGCAAGCATGCAAACAAATAATCCTTGTATATCTGGGTTTGGACCTGGAATACTTTTAAACACAGTGAACTAAAAAGAACTCACGTTAGTAAGGCAAAGGTCTTACTTTGAGGCTTTAGAAGGACCTATCTTTTGTTCTAGATTCTAGACCAGAAGTCTGCAAACTATAGCCCACAGTCCGAATCTGGCCCACCATTTATTCTGATAAGGTCTATGAGTTAAGCATCATTTTTACATTTTGTAATGGTTAAAAAATATCAAAGGAATATATTTTGTAATATATGAAAACTACACAAAATTCAAACATCAGTATCCACAATGTTTTACCGGCACACAACCATGCTCATTCGGTTATGTATTGCCTATAGTTGCTTTCATGTTACAAGAGTTCAGCAGCTGCAACCTGAGAGACCATAAGGCCTGCAAAGCCTACAAAATTTACAGAAAAAATTTGTCAATCCCTACTCTAGACAGTTTGTCATTGTTATTTAGGAATCTGAATTTACAACACAAGATCCAGTAAACTAAATTACCAGGTTTTAATTCATCTAAACTAGCATGACTTAAAACTAGCATTTTGTTATAGCACAGATTCAGCTTAAATGAAACTAGAAGAAAATGTATAAATACGCAGTTCATGTCAACAAACTACTTTTTACGCTGATGTGAGAATAAATCAAAACAACCTACCTCTTTTGTCTTCAGTGGTATATCTCCAAGGTACACCTTGTACATCTTATTAATGATGGCAGGATTATTCCAGTCAATTAAGCTATGGAAGGTTTCAACACAGGTTGTTAAAATTATTTTTCCCCCTCCTTCAGTGATTTCAAAAAAATTATAGCCCCAACATTTCTTAACAAAAGAAAATGTTAGAAACACACAAATGAAATGGGCAATTGACATTGTAGAAGAGAAGGAAAAGAAAGGGACTAATTTCTATCAAAGTATGTTTTTAAACCAAAACAAATACAAATCACTTATCCCACCCAGACTCAACAGATTATTGTATCCAATGGCACAATTTGGTACCACAAGAACACTGGACACTGTTCCTACATAGATGGGTTCTCAGGCCAATGGCATGGAGCAACTCCAACAGAGCAGAGCTTTACTACACTTGTTCAAAGAGGCCTGGGGCAGGGTAGGATTCGTCTGTTTAACCATTTGGCAGTTCAAAAGTGATAAGGAAAGTGACAAAAAAATTTTTACCCATGAAATTAAAGCCACATCTAGGAAGCTTGCAAGCCACCGTATTTCTCTAACGTCACTGTGATTCCCAGCATCCCCCTCCTTCCTTATCTACCAGTACACACTTGCAGTTTTAATTCTGCAGAGTAGTTATGCTATCAGTCACTAAGACTTAATTCTATTTGGGCCCCACAATAAGGTGAATTCAGATATAAGGTGATTGGTGACAGCTGGGCATGGTGGCTCACACCTGCAATCCCAGCACTTTGGGAGGCCGAGGCGGGTGGATCACCTGAGGATAGGAGTTCAAGGCCAGCCTGGCCAGCATGGCGAAACCCCATCTCTACCAAAAATACAAAAATTAGCCGGGCACGGTGGTGTGCACCTGTAATCACAGCTACTCAGGAGGCTGAGGCACGAGAATCACTTGAATCCGAGAGGGGGAGATTGCAGTGAGCCGAGATTGTGCCACTGCACTCCAGCCTGTGTGACAGAGCTAGACTCTGTCTCAGAAAAAAAAAAAAAAAAAAGATGATTGGTGATTCGTTCCCACCCTCTGCAGCAGATCCCACCCACTCATTTCATAAACCTAGCAATAATGTAATCCTTCCTTTCATTTGACTGGTTTACCATACTATATTCTCTCTGCCCTTTGACATTGGTTCTGCTTTCAAGCTATCCTGTGTTTGTGCAAACACAACAGATGAAGCTACTTTAACTGCTTTTTGGATTTATCTTCTTTCATAGTTTATAAATATGCTTCTTCTTAGAATAGCCACAATTCCGCTATCCTCAGAGGCATTCTACAATTCTGTTTTAGATATGATTCACCTACATCTTTCCTCAGCTGATTGCTACTAACTAATCCTCAAGCTCCGCCGTTGCTTTTCTTTCATAATACTTGTGGTTTAGAGATTTCAGACAAAACAAACACTTTAGTAAAACAAACTAAAAACTTAGTAGTAATTAACTTCATTCATATTTTGGCAAATATATAATATTCCATAAAGATACATACAGTAATTTACTTAACTATATCCCCATTATGGAAAACTGAATTTGTTTTCATATTTTAACAATGATAGAAAATGATATAATGAACAAATCTATAAAATTTTTCTAAATCTCTTTCTGCTTTTGAATAATTTCCTTAGGATAAATTCCCAGAATATTGAGATAAAAGGATAGAAATATCTTTATGATTCATTACTTATTGCAAACTGCTTTCCAAAACTTCATTTCAATTTATAATGCCAATCAACAGGGTATAAAAATAGCAGTTTTGGCCAGGCGTGGTGGCTCACGCCTGTAATCCCAGCACTTTGGGAGGCCAAGCTGCGTGGATCACCTGAGCTCAGGAGTTCGAGAGCAGCCTGGGCAACATGGTGAAATCCCATTTCTACCAAAAATACAAAAATTAGGCAGGCATGGTGGCCAGCACCTGTAGTCCCAGCTACTTGGGAGGCTGAGGCATGAGAATCGCTTGAACCTGGTAGGTGGAGGTTGCAGTGAGCTGAGATCGTGCCACTGCACTCCTGCCTGGGCAACAGAGAGAGACCCTGTCTCAAAAAATAAATATATAAATAAAAATAAAAATCGCAGTTTCAATAGAAACGTAAATGGGTTTAACCACTGCTACTGGTATCCCATTCATTTATTTTTCATTGACTTCATTCATTTATTTTTCATTGACTTTATTTCTTATACAGAATATTTTCTATAAGTCTATTTCCTATCTGTATCTCCTCGTGTGTGAATTAGAATCTATTCAGCAACTCTTTTCATGAATGTAATTTTCACTGTATTAACCATAATACATACATAGTCTTTATTAAAAGTAATCTCGAATGGTTTGAGACACAGAAAAAAATAAAAATTAGTTTCTTGGAACTGACACTTTTCTTAACATCAATTCTTTAAGTTCATCTACCTAGCCAAAAGTCTCATTGATTGTGATGACATTCCTAACCTATTGCAGCTATAAACAGCATCTCCACACAGATTTTCTTCTCTGTCTTACACAGAATTCAACTCTTTAGCAAACTTGATTACAAACTAGGTATATTTAATAATCTCCTCTAAGTTGAATGCCTCATTACAAAAAATCCTTAAACAAAAAATGTGTCAAGTAAGTTTTTAGAAATGTAGTCCTTTCAATCTTGAAAGTTTACAGGGAAGTAGTTACCTCTGTTTGCTTTTCAATTCCAGGTCTGCTGCCGTTGCCACACTGTGGCGTGTATCACTAGAGGCAATCACCAAGTGGAGAACAGCTTCAAGTTCAGGCACCTGTTCAGCTTCTATGAATTTCACGATTCCCAATTTGCACTGTAGATAAATGAAGGGAAGGAGAAAGAACAGTCAGGGGAGCAAAGGACACCCACTGAAAGTACTGCTTAACATATCAGTGTGGTCACAAGCCAAAGATGAGCAGTAACAACAGTAGCAGCTCCTACTTAGGCTTACAATGTGCCGGGGACTGTACTAAAGCACATATATTCATAATTTCACTTAATCCTCACAATAATAAATCAATCATTATACCCATTTTTTAGCTAAAAATACCGAGGCAAGGCTTAAAAGATTAAGACACTGGTAAACGACGATGGCAGGATTCAAACCCAAGCCTCTCTGACTCCAAAATTATTATGATACACAGCCTCCCTAGTGAGGTTACACAGCCTCTCTAGAGTGATGAAGTCTTGAAGTCCAAATTTGGGGCCTCCAGATAAGAGGGTGGTACACTAGGAATATAGTGCTCCATGGATTTTTCTGACAGTTCAAAAAAGAACTAAACAACTCACATTCCATGGAGTTTCACTCTATTGCTTACATACAAAGGATATGACTTCAAATGTTAGCTACTCAATGCAAGTGAAATTCTAATCAAACAGTTTTCAATTTAATTGACTGGCTGAAATGAAACAGACTAGAGAGATTCTGCTTAGAACTTCATGCAATGTGAAGATGCTATGAATTTCACTACAAATGACTCTATTTAGGATAAATACACCTGAAAAAATAAAGTTTCATTTTCATCTTAAAAAATCAGTCACATAACAGTTTTTACATATACTAGGATTAATAAAGTTTACAATTATTAAATGAGAAAAAAATGCAACTTAAAAAAGCATAACAGATCAAAAAAGGGCCTGCCTTCCCTCCCCTGCTCGATACAACTTACTTTTAACAACAGCTACAACAGAAAAGATTCAAACATTTGTACAGCCACAAAAAGGACACATGGAAGTCAAGTACACAAAGATATAAACTAAACAAAAAATGTGTAAAGAAAACTGAAAATGATACAGATGTCCATCAATAGGAGACTGGTTAAAACATATCACATATAATTGTAAACAAACATTAAAAAGAATTACTTTTTTAAAAATCCAAAATATTATTCAACATAAAAAGCAAACTACAAATAATGTATTACATGACAAGTAGAAATGTATTGTTTAAAACGGTGAACACACACACATGCACAGAGCAAAACTGTAGACAGATGACAAACTAGTGTGACAGGATTCCAGTTAACTTTTTTTTTTTTTTTTTTTTTTGAGACAGAGTCTCCCTCTGTCGCCCAGGCTGGAGTGCAGTGGTGCAATCTTGGCTCACTGCAACCTCTGCCTCCTGGGTTCAAGCAATTCTCGTGCCTCAGCCTCCCCAGCAGCTGGGGCTACAGGCACACACACCGCCATGCCCGGCTAATTTTTGTTTTTGTTTTCTTAGTAGAGATGGGGTTTTGCCATGTTGGTCAGGCTAGCCTCGAACTCCTGACCTCAAGCGATCTGCCCAACATGGCCTCCCAAAGTGCTGGGATTACAGGCATGAGCCACCACATCTGGCTTTTTTTTTTTTTTTTTTTTTACACAGAGTCTTGCTCTATCGCCCAGGATGGAGTGTCATGGCACAATGTCAGCTCACGGCAACCCCCACCTCCTGGGTTCAAGTGATTTTCATGCCTCAGCTTCCCAAGTAGCTAGGGTTACAGGCATGCACCACCACGCCCAGCTAATTTTTCTATTTTTAATAGAGACGGGGTCTCACTCTGTTGCTCAGGCTGGTCTCGAACTCCTGACCTCAAGTGATCCACCCACCTCAGCCTCCCAAAGGGCTGGGATTACAGGCCCGAGCCACGACACCCAGCCCCTTAATTTTTAATTTCTCTACTATTCTTAACTACTTGAATATTTACATTGTTTATAATTGGAAAAAACATGTTTTCCTTGGAAGAAAAAGTATAAAACAAAGAGATATTTTAAAATTAGAGGAAAATAGCTTTCATCCCTGAAACTAAACTGTTCGTTTCAGCACTAGATTATGAAACTGACAAAACACATACAGAGGCATATTGGCAAATAATGACCAATTTAAGATTGTAATTGAACAATAACAATTTTTCTCCAGCATTTGTAGCTTTAACCCTTAGATAATCCTAGGTTCAAAGCCTGGTACTAAAAGTGAGACCCTGGTAAATCTCAAAACCTCCATGCCTTTCAGAAAATGGAACTAACAATTTCTATACCTTACTGGGTTGCTCCGAGGGTTAAATGAGATATTGTATTCAAAGTACCCGGTACGGTGCCTGTCACATAGATTGCACTCAATAAAGAGTAGCTTCAGTAAATCTTTTTTTTTTTTTTTTTTGAGATGGAGTCTTGCTCTGTCGCCCAGGCTGGAGTGCAGTGGCACGATCTCGGCGCACTGCAAGCTCTGCCTCCTGGGTTCACGCCATTCTCCCACCTCAGCCTCCTGAATAGCTGGGACTACAGGCGCCCGCCACCACGCCCAGCTAATTTTTTTTTTTTTTTTTTTTTTAAGAAGAAACAGGGTTTCACCATGTTAGCCAGGATGGTCTCGATCTCCTGACCTCATGATCCGCCCACTTTGGCCTCCCAAAGTGCTGGGATTACAGGCATTAGCCACTGCGCCCGGCCTCTGTTAATTCTTTACCTTTCTTACTTACATAATAGTTTAAGGAGGAAAAAAAAAAAAGATCCATAAAACATGAAGAAGGAAATCAAATCAATTATATCCCTCACTCAATAAAACATTCTATAAATTTGTGAATGGCAAGAATGCCCCACTTGCCTCTTTTCCCCTCTCCTGGGAATACTGTTTTAATCAATGGTCACTTACATTTCCCAAAAAAAAAGGGATCAAATCATTTAGACTGCCATGGAGAAATAAAGGAAGGATTAGAAGACTAACCCATGTTGCTTGAATTCCAAAATAATTACATACTGATCTCATCTGTTCTTCCCTGAAGTGCCTGATGACACAGACACAGTAAGGCACCTTCTCTGTAGAGCACCAGTCATTTTTAAAAGCTGCTCAGAGAACATCTGTGTCCTGTTTAAATCCAGAATAAAATCCTTAATGCCAATTTTTAAATTCCCAAGAAGTAATATAACA
Source organism: Homo sapiens (assembly GCF_000001405.40). NCBI lineage: Eukaryota > Metazoa > Chordata > Mammalia > Primates > Hominidae > Homo > Homo sapiens. The sequence continues at coordinate 111,436,466 of NC_000009.12, forward strand.
GGGAGTCATGCTTTTCCCCACATTGTCACCTGTGAAGTGCTGGGGCTCCTCACTTTACATAAAACGTACAGCCCTTAAAAGTTGAATAATGTAAGAAAAATTGTATTTTAACTGCACCATAAAAGCTAGATGAAAATTAAACCTATAATTAAAAAATTAAAATTACAAAAGTTAAAAAATAAAAAAAAATAAAATGACAAAAGTTAAACATATTCAATTTATAAGTGAGTTGTGCTTTATACTTGACATATGTAAGCAGTATTAGAAAAACTAAACAGTATGTCCCACTCCTCCCTGCCCCTAGGGCTTAATAAATAACTAGCATGAAAAGAACACATTACATCAACTGCTTCTTTCAAACATATTTCACTGGAGAGCCTGAATATACTAGAATTATGTTTTATACGGTTCATGAACTTCATAGGGGAAAGTGTCCACAATCAACTACTATTATGAGCAAGCCTTGTGTGATACCTGTTCCAATTGTTCAGGTGTCCATGGGTTATCACCAATAACTCGTTTGGCTGCATAAAAGCTCATTCCCGGAGGAGGCTGTGGGATTCCAGAACCTCCGCCACTGTTTGAAGAAGAACCCTGTGCTGAAGATGAATTTTGGCGACTCTGGGATTCATTTAACACGTAACTGGAAAGGAAATAACACTTTAACCCTCTATAAATACAAAAGCATTTACAACTATATATGTATACAAAACATTCAATCATATACTGTCCTCCTACTGTATTTTACTAGAAGAATGAACACTTGAAATTAAAATTTCATCATAAAAAAAATTTTAAGGTATCTAAAAAAGATGTATCTTCAGCAAATTAACCAGAGAGCACGTCATTTAACTTGGTTACAAATGAACTACAACCATTACCAACAATGAATATAAATATTTTCATCACTCTCAATCTATAAATGATTGCTCTAATGGCTACTCCAGAATCACATTTTGAGTTTTGAGCTGCCAAATATGAGGAAAAGTTTGTTGACAAAGGGGACTGGGAGGAGCTATTGCACTATACCCAAAGGAGAGTATTTTTACAGTCATTCTCATTTCTACGAAGTTGTAATTCACCTTCAATCCTCCCTGAACTGAGGTCTTTATCCCTACATTAGAAAATCCACTGAAACCTCCAAACGGCCACATAAGCACATAAGCACGTACCACATAAGCACATAAAGTCCCTAAAATGAAAAAACTCAAAAGGGCCCAAAGAAGAAAAGTTACACAAGAACTGACTTTTCCCATTACATGTTCAAAGCCCTTTGCACTGCCTTGGTTAATTTATCATCCCTATTTCATTTTAGCTTCTATAGAGGAGAAATAAGACCTCTAAGAAATTCATTTTGATCCAATTAAACTGGTATTACTCATCTACAAAATGAAGTTTTTGATATAAATATTAATTCAAATCTCTTAAAACTAAAGATCTATGATGATAAATTCCATTATCATATTGGATATTATAATAAAATATCCACTATAATAAAAGTTCAAGAAAACACTTAGAACCTGATAGGATAGTAAGTTATTCCACATTACTTACATGTCATATTCATTCAATTCCTAAATTTATCTATTTTTTAAAAATCTCTTAAGGAATCGCTTTAATGTTATTATATAAATGACCCAAGTTCTCATTAGTAAGAAAAATGTGAGGAATCACTGGCTTGGTTACATCATGTTCCTAAGGTAAATCTGAATTTCAAGGTTTATCTACCAAAGCCATCATCACCTGTCATTCTGGCTGCCTCCTGATTTAACAAATATAAAAAGAAGTTTTTTTATTTCTAAGTTATAGCAAGACTGGTGGCATTAAGTAAATCAATCAATAAGTTAATACATCTTAATACTGCATAAAACACCCTAAGGCTGGGTGTGGTGGCTCAGGCCTATAATCCCAGCATTTTGGGAAGCCAAGGTGGGAGGATCGCTTGAGTCCAGGAGTTTGGTGACCCCCTATCTCTACAAAAAATACAAAAAAATTAGCTGGGTGTGGTGGTGCACGCCTGTAGTCCCAGCTACTCAGAAGGCTGAGGTGAGAGGACTGCTTGAACCCAGGAGGTCAAGGCTGCATTGAGTTACCACTGCACAGTAGCCTGGGCGACAGACTGAGACCCTATCTCAAACAAACATCATCCTAAACACAAGACAGAGGAATATAAGGAGATGTAAGATCGAGTCTCTGCCATCTGGAGTAAGCTGAGACAGTAACAACCTAACACATGTAATAGCATCTGCCATTCTATCAGATGCAAAGAAACTGCTGAGAAATAAGAAATGATATAACAGGTGGTGACAGTGAACATGGAGTGACTGAAGGCCCAGAAAATTGGGCTTCCAAACAAGAGGGGCAGGAGGAGAACAAATTTGTTCATCACACCGCATGAACTCTCATTTCTGGATTGAGAAACAAATGATATGGAGCCCCACATGCCTAGCTTACCATGTACACATACTTTTGTGATCAGGAAAGAAAGAAGATGAAAACAGCATTTTGGAAAAATTTATCTGGCAGATGGACAAAATAAGTAGACCAGAAGTAGATCACAATCTGGGCTCCATGCCAGAGACCAAAGCTACATGAAATAGGTCTCGACTACAAGGGGCTCACCATCTACTAGGGGAGATGGAAATGTCTACAATGCAGCAAAAACACACAGTGGCCATATAGGCGGGTGTTTTGTGTTTTTATGACACAGAAAATAGTGCAGTTATATCTGTCTAAGGCAAGAAATTTGTCAGAGACAAACGGAGTTGACCTTTAAGCCAGTTTGGGATGCTTTTTTCTTTTTTCCTTTTTTTTTGTTTTTGAGACAGGGTATTTGTTCTGTCACCAGGTTGGAGTGCAGTGGCATGATCATAGCTCACTACAGCCTCAACCTCCCAGGCTCAATCAATACTCCAGCCTCAGCCTCCCAAGTAGCTGGGACTATAGGTGCATGCCATGAGGGCTGACTAATTTTTGTATTTTTTGTAGAAATAGGATTTTGCCATGTTGCCCAGGCTGGTCTCAAACTTCTGGGCTCAAGGGATCTGTTCGGCCCCCCCTTCCCAAAGTGCTGAGATTACAGGTGGGAGCCACTGCACCTGGCCAGGATGCTGTTTTTCAAAGTGTCTTTTTGTTGTTTTCTTTCTTTCTTTTTTGAAGAAGCATTCTAGGCAGACAGAAAGGCGTTCTCTTAAAAATAAACAGCAAGGACACATAAGCGTGCATGAAATGCATGAGTGTATTAATGACTGGATATGAGAAACCAAGGATTTTAAGGTGTTGCCTGATGAGATCTGTGTTTTGCAAATCGGGAAAAGCATAGAGAGGGGGTGTAGAGAGATTTGAAGAAGTGGAGCCGCTGGGAAAGAAATTATGACAAGAGTTGAAAAGAGGCAAAACTAGATGATAGCAGTGGGAAGAGTTCCAGACACAGCAAGGAGAAGGAAGGAGGCATTATGCAAATGATATTGCAGCAACAAAGAAGAGAAAAGCTGGAGACAATTTATCATTGTATGGCTAGGTGGCAAAGAGAACCATCATAGCATTAATAGTAAATTTAAAAGAGAAACTTTTTTTTTTTTGAGAGAGAGTCTCGCTCTGTTACCCAGGCTGGTCTGAAACTCCTAGCCCCCAGTAATCGTCCCACCTTGGCCTAACAGGAACTATTTTTATGGGGAAAGACTGATTTCATCTTAGGCAGGTAGAGTCTAAAATCACAATGGCAACTCAGCATTTGTAAAGCCGATAAGCAGTGGAGCTGAAGTTTAGAAGAAAAAAATCTTTGTAAACGTAAATGGATGTTGAGATGCATTCATTTACTAGTGAGAGTTTAATCATTTAAAATAGTACTTAACTCCCCGTAGTAAAAGCAGTCAAGAACAAGGTTGCTTTTATTTTTTAACTCACCCATAAGGCATCAGAAGGACATCTAGCATGAAGTCCAAAAGCAGCTGCACAGTCTTTGGTTTCTCAGCAAGATTAAATGGAGAAGCTGATTTTGATGATTCAACAGGGTATTTCATGTGAAAAAGGGTTGGTATTAAAAGATGCATTAAGCTGAAAAAACAATTACATTTATTGCAACTACTTAAAAAATGAGATTTTTATACATGCAAAACACAGACAAAACAAAAATCACGTAACAAAAACTGGCAGTTTTAAGCAAGAGACATTCCTTTTCAACACTACTAATTTACAAAGTCCTAATCTAGGGACTGGCCTAGAATTCTTTTTTATTGAAAGCTCAGTATATTGAGTGATGATTAGCATTTAGCCAATCTGGCTCATGACTAAAATTACCTGAAAAAAATACATCAAATGGGCTCAGTGTTAATATCTGAAGTTTCCACAAGAGATTTTATATGAAACCTTAAGTAAAGTTCAACTTACTTGTCTTTTCAAAAAGAATTATTTTCCAGGCTGGGCGCGGTGGCTCATGCCTGTAATCCCAGTACTTTGGGAGGCCGAGGCGGGCAGATGACGAGGTCAGGAGATCGAGACCATGGTGAAACCCCGTCTCTACTAAAAATACAAAAAATCAGCCAGGCGCGGTGGCGGGCACCTGTAGTCCTAGCTACTTGGCAGGCTGAGGCAGGAGAATGGAGTGAACCCGGGAGGCGGAGCTTGCAGTGAGCCGAGATCAAGCCACTGCACTCCAACCTGGGCAACAGAGTGAGACTCCATCTCAAAAAACAAAAATAAAAATAAAAAAATAAAAAATAAAAAATAAAAATTAAAAAAAAAAAGAATTATTTTCGGTCAGGCACAGTGGCTCACACCTGTAACCCCAGCACTTTGGGAGGCCAAGGTGGGCAGATCATCTGAGGTCAGGAGTTCAAGACCAGCCTGGCCAACATGGTAAAACCCCATCTCTTCTAAAAATACAAAAAGTTTGCCGGCCATGGTAGCAGGCATCTGTAATCTCAGCTACTCAGGAGGCTAAGGCAGGAGAAACACTTCAGCTCGGGAGGCAGAGGTTGCAGTGAGCCAAGATTGCGCCATTGCACTCCAGCCTCGGCAACAGAGTGAGACTCTGTCTCAAAAAAAAAAATTATTTTCCACAACTAAAGTTATTCTAAAAATTAAAAATCAATCATATTAATATTTTGAATACAACATTAAAATTTCCACTGCATGAATTTAAGTAACAGGTCTCAGTAATTCCTTTCATTAACACCTTTTGATACTCTTAAAACATCTGACAACAATTACAAACAGTACTTGTAATGTCTATTAATTTTACTTGTAAACTTCTTCTGTATTACAGTATTTTTTAAAAAATGAATATGCTCTAAAAGGTGAACTGAAAACATGATCTAACTCCATCTCTTTCCTCTACATTTCTGCACTCTTCATCATGATTCTCACTATGACAGAGCTAGAACAAAGAACTTTTGCCTAAGCCTAGAAACAAATGATGTTATCTAAAACCCTTTTCACCGCACCACTTCCCAAAATAATACAAACGAGTGCTCTGTTCCTTAGGAAAACCACTGTGAAACTTTATATCTTCCAAGATAGAATTGTTTTGATGCAAAGGATTTTTAATTCTAATTTTTGCAATCACATAAAATTAACTGCTTCAAGATAACTAGCCAAAAAAATGCACAGACTTAGATAAATGTTAGTTCTGCACATTTTTCAATGTTCACATCAAGAAATTTTATGATAGTATTAACAAAACGGTAACTTTGAGGTACCACGGAAAATTCTATTATTTGTCAGCTAAAACAGCTCAAGACCTCCCATTTGCTCAAGTAAAACCAAATATGTGAATTAATATTTGAAAGGCAGTTGTTGACTCCTGTAGGAGGGAAATTAGTTAATTGAGGAAATCATACCTATCCTGCTGTGGCTGAGGCTTCCCTTCCATGGCAGTAAGAAGCGTAGGGGCCAGTTCACATTGTTTTTCCACTGGTAGGCGAGGATAGCCCATTTTAACATAAATTATAGTAAAATTCTAATGCAATAAGAGAAAAGCAAGTGAGTGTGAAGGAAATACTCTATGATTTCAATGAAAATATATGATTGATAACTTAGAGAGTTATGGTTACAACAAAGACATTGTAAACGTGACTCATCCTCCCTCCACGTTTATTGCACCTTTACCAACTACTGTATCTCAGAGGAAAAATTCCAGTCCAACTTAATCAAAATGCTTGCTTTAAAGTAGGCCTAATGTGAGGTAGCATGGACTAATCTAAAGCATTCATATATGCAATTTCTTATCATGAAGAAGAAAGAAATAATCAACCTATTTACACCTACACACTACATATTAGCACCAGATCTCCCAGTCTGTTGCATTAATCCTTACAAGCTAGGAGGAGATCAGGTGTTGACAAATCCTAGGCTGCCATTTCCCACTGGTCAAATGACTAAAACAAACTTAGTATACTGCAGCACTCTGTGGTTCCTCACTCCAGTAACTCACCAATGCATGATGAACCAAAGGAAACTGAGTACTGTGTGTTTCTGCAAGGTCAAGCATCCCAAATTTGAAAATCTGAAATTCGAAATACTACAAAATCTGAAACTTTATGAGTGCCAACAAGACACACAAAGGAAATGCTCCTTGGGGCATTGCAGATTTTGGATTTGGGATGCTAAATCAGGTAAGTATAACGTAAATATTCCAAAATCCAAAACATTTTTGATCCCAAGCAATTCAGATAAGGGATACTCAACCTGTATCACTATAATCTGTGTGAATACTGGATTTTAAGCAAACCCATAAATACGTATCTGGATTTACAGATAAGATTAAGATTTGCTTTTCTGAAGCTTTTTCATTTTTTTCCCCCAAGACAGAGTCTCGCTCTGTCACCCAGGCTGGAGTGCAATGGCACAATCTCAGCTCACTGCAACCTCCACCTCTGAGGTTCAAGTGATTCCCCTGCCTCAGTCTCCCAAGTAGCTGGGACTACAGGCACGCGCCACCACGCCCAGCTAATTTTTGTATTTTTAGTAGAGATGGGGTTTCACTATGATGGCCAGGCTGGTCTTGAACTCCTGACCTCATGATCAGCTGGCCTCAACCTCCCAAAGTGCTGGGATTACAGGTATGAGCCGACGTGCCTGGCCTCTGAAGAATTCTTTACTAAAGTAAATGGGCTTCATAAGATTACTTCTTCAAATAAATTATATTTGGCATTTTTATTGGCACACAGTGTTCCTATTTGCTTAAAGAAAGGAAATGTATAATTGAGCCAAATATCCAGAACAGACATGGACAAAATGACGTCTGGACCAATAACAGGCTCCAAAAGGTTTGTGACTCCAGATGTTAGGTAAGATTCAATCGATTCTGCCTCAGTGCTAGGAACTACAAGGACCAGGAAAAAAAACATCACCTGCCATCACACAGCATCAACATATTTTACATTTAATTTTTATGAAGACAACACTTTAAAAGGAATGTTTCTTACCAGACTCAGATTTACTCCACTTTATAAAAAAGATCTTTCTGAATATACACATCAAAAACACAAAAGATTTTTTTAAGTTCACTTTCATGTATCTTCTTGCCATTTTACTAATTTTTTCTTCCATTAGGCTTTATTCGTGCCCAAGCCGTATAACATTTCCCTCTATTCAGACCCATTTCATACAGTCTCCTACCAAAAATCAAATCATTCTTTTATATAACAACATACCTGACAAGTCATTTCACCAACATTCCTTTGCCCAAAGTAAATAGCCATTCATTACCCTGCTACTGTAAAGCAGCATTTCCTCTGGATTGGTACTCAGTGGAAAAACAGTGTGTCATTTAAAAAAAAAAAAAACTCATGTTTCATTTAGAAGTGGTCTAAGGTGAAATTCTAAACTTGCCAATATGTTGATGACATCTAATAAATGTTAGGAAAGAAAATTTGCTGTAAGTCAGAAAATATTCCAATACAACACTCACTGTGACAAAGGAAACTGCAGCAGGGTCCTGGTACTGAACCAACAGTGTCTCTACTGGAAGTTGTATTTTGGGGCGGCTTTTTATACGTTTATTCAGATGGACCAGCAGTTCCATTACCTAAAATACAGAGAGATGGGAACTAAAGTTATTGATCATATCTTAAAAACCACTCATCTTAAAATTCATTTATCAGATGTTATCTATGTTAGTGAATAGTAGCTACTTTGTTCTTTTAAAGGGTATAAATTTTACATCCCAGAAAGGGAGTATACACTACATGAATCTTGTTCAAAAATACTGTCTCCCAAAAATCTATGCACTAGTGAATTTCTCTTTTTCTTTTTATTTCCCAAGACGGAGTCTTGCTCTGTCGTGCAGGCTGGAGTGCATTGACACAATCTTGGCTCACTGCAACCTCCGCCTCCCCGATTCAAGCAATTCTTCTGCCTCAGCCTCCCAAATAGCTGGGATTACAGGCGCGTGCCAGCATGCCCGGCTAATTTTTGTATTTTTTCACCATGTTGGCCAGGCTGGTCTCGAACTCCTGACTTCATGATCTGCCCACCTCTGCCTCCCAAAGTGCTGGGATTACAGGCGTAAGCCACTGCTCCTGGCTTTTTTTTTTTTTTTTTTTTTGACATGGAGTCTCGCTCTGTTGCCCAGGCTAGAGTGTAGTGGTGCGATCTCAGCTCACCGCAACTTCTGCCTTCTGAGTTCAAGCAATCCCCCTGCCTCAGCCTCCCGAGTAGCTGGGATTACAGGTACCCGCCATCACGCCTGGCTAATTTTTGTATTCTAGTAAAGATGGAGTTTCATCATGTTGTCCAGGCTGGTCTCAAACTCCTGATCTCAAGCAATCCGCCCACCTCGGCCTCCCAAAGTGTTGGGATTACAGGCGTGAGCCACCGCGCCTGGCCAAGTGAATTTATTTTTACAATGTCCTTTAGTTAAAGTTGAGATCCAAGTTGGGCCTAGACTGAAGCATGTCCCTCAAGAAGAACAGATTATTGCAACACACCATGAATACTATGAAAAGAGAGACATACAAGATACAGTGGGTTTCCAGAAGACAAAAGTATCTGCTATATCAAGAAAGACTTCACGGAGGAAGTGACAGGAACACTGAGTCCTTAAGATTTAATGAGTTCCAAGCAGAGTATCAGTTATAAGAAGGTATGGGGCACACTGCATCTGACTGAAGCCCAGAACGATAAGAGTTCATAAAAGCAAGGTCTGGATTACAAAAGGATTCTGGCAAAATACTGAGGCATTTTTATTTTTGTCTGGGAGTTGTTTTTTGTTTGTTTGTTTTTATTATACTTTCAGTTTTAGGGTACATGTGCACAATGTGCAGGTTTTTACATAGGTATACACGTGCCATGTTGGTTTGCTGCACCCAACAATTCATCATCTACATTAGGTATTTCTCCTAATGGTATCCCTACCCCAGGCCCCACCCCCCACAACAGGCCCCAGTGTGAGATGTTCCCTGCCCTGTGTCCACGTGTTCTCACTGTTCAACTCCCACCTATGAGTGAGAAGATGTGGTGTTTGGTTTTCTGTCTTTGTGATAGTTTGCTTAGAATGATGGTTTCCAGCTTCATCCATGTCCCTGCAAAGGACATGAACTCATCCTTTTTTATGGCTGCATAGTAGTCCATGGTGTATATGTGCCACATTTTCTTAATCCAGTCTATCACTGATGGACATTTGGGTTGGTTCCAAGTCTTTGCTATTGTGAATAGTCTGAGGCATTTTTATTGTATTCTGAATATCATCTGATACTATCAAATAATTTGTAAGAAATAACAAGCTTCCTCTCCTTTAAGTGGGAAAAGAGAGCAAAATAGGAATTGACAAGTCAACAGTTTGCATGGATAGAAAGGGATGTACAGAGGCTCATATCAAATGGCCTCAATTATACTACAATAAAAAGATTTCTGCCAACAGAAAAGAAATCGAGCATTGAGAAATAAGATTTTTAGAAGGCCTTGCCTAAGAAAGACTCAAGAATTTAAGATAAATATTCTGCAGGGCCAGGTTTACACTATTCTCCCTCATTTCTGAAATTCGTGCTCTAGCCTCAAAGCATGCATAAAGAAAGCTGTAGAGATGTTTGACACCGACAGCAAAAAATTCCAAGAGATCTACAGCAATAATGAAATAGGTGAATTATGTTTAAGAATAATAACAACTCTGTAATCAATGTTTGTTGAATGAATGATAAATAGTAATATTAAAATAGCTAATATTTATCACAGTTTCTATGCACTCTTCCCCCAGGCATTCCTTATCTAATACGATTCTCACAACAACCAGTGAGGTGGTGTCATTCCCATTTTACAGATGAGGAAGCAGAAGCCTCAAGTAACTTGTCCAAGGATACTGGGCCAGCAAATAGCAAAGTCAAAATATGACTCCAGAGCCCATTTTTTTTAACCTTTTCAAACACTGATATTTGAACTCACATCAGCGAAAGTGTTTGTCAGTGAGACATGATACCTTCCAAGAAGCTAGAAACTTGCATTGTCATCCATACTTCATCCGAGCTTCCTACCTGTCCTGGATCTGTGATACCGCTAGGCGACAAGAGAAAACAATCAGGAGGAACTAGTCTAAAGGAAAGAGCCCTCTTCTGACATTGTAATCTAGGCTGATTCCTAGAGGGACTCTATAGAAAATTATTATCGATGGAGACAGAGAATCTTGCCCACAATTGCATGCTTTTTTTTAATAATAAATTTATTTTGATTTTTTTTTTTTCCGAGACAGGGTCTCACTCTGTCACTCAGGGTGGAGTTCAGTGGCATTATCATAGCCAACTGCAGCCTCGAACTCCTAGTCTCAAGCAATCTTCCTATCTCAGTCACTGCAGTAGCTGGGACTATAAGCACATGCTACCATGCATGGTTTTTTTCTTTCTTTTTGGCATAAATGAGATCTTGCTATGTTGCCTAGGCTGGTCTCAAAAGATCTTCCAACCTCAGCCTCCCAGAGTGCTGAGATTACAGGCATGAGCTACTACTGCACTCGGCCTATTTTGAATTTTAAATGGATTAATTACTTAATTTTCTAGTAGCATTATTGTCATGTTAAATATCGGCGAATTTCCTAAATATGGTTATATCTTGTCTGGAATCCTCCATAAACCAAGAAAGATTTAAAAATAACTTGTGGAATTCAGATAACATTTCAAAGGCTACTGTAAAGATTAAATGAAAAGATAAGTCAAAGAGTTTAGCACAATGCTTAATATATAACAGGCTATTTTAGCTGTTTGATTCCATTTCCCCTATTCCAAAAGTTTTCCAACTTAACCAATTTGACATGCACAAATAAAAATGCTATTTTATTAGTATAAATTAAATATATTAAATATATTAAGTTCAAAATGATTACATTTATCCTTATTACTTTATTCTGCATTGCTTTTTAAAGTTATAATAGAAAGATACATTTATAATAATAAATCAAGTGGAAAATCTAAAGCATCCCTTTTCCCTTGTCCTTTCACAGCCCCTTGAAGACACCAGTGTTGACAGTTTGATAACGAGAAAGTGAGAGAAGGAAAGAAAGGCAGAGAGGGAAAGGACAAACAGACCAACTGATAAAACAGGTTAATAATCATGTATATTTCAAAAGAGCTAGAAGATCTAAAATGTTCCCAACCCAAAGGAAAAATAAATAATTAGGTGATGAGTATCCTAAATACTAAATTATTTGATTACATATTACATGCATGTATCAAAATATCACATGTACCCCCATAAATATGGTATAATTATGTATCAATAAAATTTTTTCTTAAAACTTTAAAAATAGGTTAATAATCACAATAACTGATGTAAATGCCCTCAACTCAAATCTCAAAAATATGTGACATTTCCATTGTACTAAGAGATACAGACAAAGTAAATAAGGTTAAAATTGCAGGCTGGGGCAAATATTTTATCAAGCAGACAGAAGGAAAACAATGGTTAACAATACTAATTTTGGATAAAACAGGTTTTGGAGAAAAAAACCTTAAATGGAATTCAAAAGATAAAAAATAAACATAAAATACTATAATTATTAATAAAGACAAGATGTTAAACTTGTACATCAAAATGCAGCAAGCCAAGATTATTAAAACTGAAAGAAAAATCAGAAAAACTGTAACAGCAGTAGGACATTATACTTTAGTACTACCAACTTATAATAGGACTGGAAGACAGGTTCAAGACATGAATGCACAATGTTACTAATGAATGGCCTTAGCGCATGCTGAGCTCCATATTCCACAAACAGGAAGTATTCTTTTTATCTTCTGAAAGGCTTTTCTTACAAACATTAGAATACACTTTGAAGGACTGTAACATTTGCACACTATGGTCTCTGACCAGAATGCAATAAAACCAGGCAAATTTTATATCAAATATTTTGAAACTAAAAACAACACTCTTATAAATAAGTCAAAGATAAAATGACCAAACTGCACATCAACATAACTATTACATATAACTAAAATAGTCATCAAAGAGAAATTCATAAGCTGAGGTCATTTTTGGTTCTTTTTTTTTAACATACTATAAATAAAGAATAAAGCATTTAACTTGATGACCAAGCTTACCTTTTGAAGTTCAAAAGCCCTGGGTTCAAATCCTGGCCTGACCATTTGTTATTTGACCTTAAACAAGTTCATTAATCATTCCAAGCCTCAGTTTCATCTGTAAAATGGGGATGCCTACTTCACATAATCTCATGAGGATGTAAGTCCTTAGCACTTTTCTTGACACATAAGAACCATTGCCAGGTTATTATATAAATTAAAACTTTACACAAGAAAAACTTATCTAAAAAAAGAAATAATTTGAATAAAAATAGAAAAAAATACAGTTAAAAAGGGAACATTAATCTAAAAGCTGAGTTTCCTTTTAAAATGACCCATTAAAAGGTTAAAACTTTGGTAGTAATAAAACCAGAAACAAGAATAGAATTTCCCATTTGAAATAATGATAACAGAATATTAAGAATAGCATAAAATTATGTGAGAGAGATATGCTCATTTGCTTCAGTAAACATTTAAAATCTGTATGTATTCCATAACATCATGTTGTAAACGTCAAATATACATAATAAAATTTATTTTTTTAAAAAAGAATAATAGTATGATAGAAGTGAATGATACACAACTGAACATTTAAAGTAGATGGACAGAGATGAATGACTTTCTATAAAAAAATAAAATACAAAGAAACAAAAAAAAATCTAAGATAAGTAAATGAGTTAAAAACTACTGACGATACTAAGCCTGGACTAATGCAAAAGTTCCCTGTTTGCTCTCCAGGTCTCCACTCTTGGCCCCTACTCCAAGTCTTTCTCCAGCCAACAGCTAGAGTGATGGAGGCACTACCATCAATACCCTTTCAAATCAGTGCCCCTGGAATACCTCTTTCCTCCTATCAGGCTTCGTCTCATGCACTGGGGACATCACTGTGGCCTTCTCCAATTTCCTGAAGGCATCACACTCTGTCCCAGCTCAGAACACCTGCACAGGGTCTATCTTCAATGGTCTCCCCCACCTCTTGGCCTGGCTACTTCCTGCACACCACAGAGGCCTCCCCTTATACCCCACACTTAGTCTAAATTATATCCCAAATATATTCTTTCATAAGAATATATTTCCTTTTCCATCTTGGCATGTATCACAAATTTCAACTATGTACTATTTGCCTGACTGTTTTATACTGATTTCCCCAACTAGGTGTTGTCATCATTCATCACCATATCCCCAAGACCTGGCATATAGAAGGCACTCAGTAAATATTTGCTAAATAACAAAACTGATAAGGCTAAGAAGTATACAGAAATCAACTCACGAAGGGCCTCTTAGACCTTGCTATCCTAATAGTAAGAGAAGGCCACAGAAGGGTTTTAAATAGAAGAGTGACATAATCAAATGCACGTCTATCTCAGCAAAGAAGGATTAACTGCAGACATGCCAAATATATGACAAGAATGCCCATTCCCTCCTGTAAAGAGATATAAACATAAAAGACATTCCTAAAGATTCTCTTTCTGCACTGAACCCAAATCAGACCTTGGAATCCCTCTCAGGGCAGACCTCCAGGAAGTCACTGCCAATTACTGTGGCCCAAGGAATAAAACCTGACCATAGCTCAAAGACTGGATGACCTATTATAAATATACTGGAAGACTAATGAAATATTCTACAAATCAAGGGGGAAATGTTCCATGTAGAACAGTTTCGTTAAAAAATGAAAATACTGGCCAGGCACAGTGGCTCATGCCTGTAATCCCAGCACTTTGGGAGGCCGAGGCAGGTGGATTGCTTGAGCTCAGGAGTTTGAGACCAGCCTGAGCAACAAAGCGAAACCCTGTCTCCACAAAAAATTTAAACATTAGCCAGGCATGGTGGTCTGCACCTGTAGTCCCAGCTACTTGGGAGGGTGAGGTAGGAGGGCCTAAGCCCAGAAGATCGAGGCTGCTGTGAGCTGTGATTGTGCCACTGCACTCCAGCCTGGGTGATAGAGTGAGACCCTATCTCAAAAAACAAAAAAAGAAAGAAAATGAAAATCTGATGTGACAGTTATCCAACTTTTTGTAAGAGTACTTTGCAGAATCCTGAAACAGGAGCTATAAAATTATTTTGCTTAAATTTTTTTTTATTTTGCTTACTTTTAGTTAAGGTTATAATCATTGTCAACAATTAACTAAAGAATATTTTTGCCCCATTACCACATGCCTTTCATATTGGAATCAATGGCATGGATTTCAGATCATGCCTCCATACATTCCAGGATAATTATCTCAATTATATTATCTGACACTGATGCCAAGTAGACAGTTGGTGCTAAATGCAGCTGTGCTAAGGATACAAGAGCTACTTTTAAATCATAAAAGCTGGTTCTAGACTTACTCTCCATTTTGAAAGGCCATAATTAAGATCACAAACCTAGAACTCAATAATGGGAACAGAAAACTCACTTGATAATGTATATTCATTTATTCATCATTTAATTCCCCCAGCTGTCCCAACATGCTTACCTTTTTACGTACTCCTTCTTGGGTGCTAGAGAGTTTGAGCAAAACAGGAGGAAGGAATTTAGATATAATATTCTGTAATTGTTCATCTGTTTCAGCATGGCCAAGTCGTAAAAAGACCCGTTCAAGCTGATCTATAATATAAAAAGAAAAAAAGAGAGAACTTAGCAAGCCAAACACAACCAAGACCAATTATTTTTATAGCTTATTCTTTTTTTCTGTACTGCAATCCTTCAGTCAGGACTTTAACCACAGCTAGCCCTATACAGATATTTTGACACAGCAACAAACCACCACCAAAAGGTTAACTGTTCTACCCTGGTCTACCCTTTAGAATGGAAGAAAACAAAACCAAGAACAAAAAGTTCTCTCCCACATGCAACGTTATTCAGTTTTAACTGGATACTGGAAAGGATACAAGATTTCTAAAGGCATCTTCTGGAACTAGTTAGTAGAGCAAGGCAGCAAAACTTTAATCAGATACCATCAGTTATTAGGGACAATATATCTATCCCTGGTGAAATCATCTTACTGATGAAGTTTCTCCAAAGACAGGATCACTGCCCATTACTGTATTAGGGTTACCTAGTTAGAAAAATAGCCAAGTTTCCCCAAGAAAGCCACTATGAGAGACATATGTTAAGTGACACCATGGGGATACTCTCAGCAAAACCCAGACTGTGATAAACTTTAGACAAGGTAACTTCTTCAACCAGTACACTGCAGCGGCAAGCAGGAAGATGGGAATGAAAGGGGAGCCTATGCAAACAACTAGATATTTGATTTTAAGGAATTACTGTTAAAATTGTTTTAGGTACTATAATGGTATTGTGGTTAGGTTTGTTTTTTAAAGGTCCCTACAAAAACTGTCATGGGAATTAGGGAGTTTTCTAAAGAGCTAAAAATGTTCTATATTTCGATCTGCGTGATTATAGAGATAAATACATTTATAAAAATTCATCAAACTCTACACTTTCATACCTTCTACTGTATCTACTATACTTCAATTTAAAATATATATTTAAAGGAATCTTTTTTTAGAGATAAAGATGGAAATATTTGCAGGCGAAATAACAGCTAGTAGAATTTTCTTTAAATAATGAGGAGACACTGGGGAGGGGTTATGTAAGTAAAACCAAAATTGCCACTAATTGATAATTATTCAAGCTTCATAACAGATACTGAGAATTACTATTGTGTTTGCCAGAAATTTTCCACAATAATTTTCTACAGGAAGATAGATTAGATAGACATAGATCACTCAATAGATGGATCAATGACAGAGACGTAGATAGATACATGGATAGACAGACAGACAGATCAACAGATTGATCGATCAATCCTGAGAGGGGCAGAAGCAATGACATCCTAGTAGCAACAAGCATACCTAACACCCAGAATTGATCTTGTTTTTCAATACCATTCTCCAGGAAAAGGAACCAAGCTCCTTGGAAAAAGGTCTGAGTTTAGGGATTGGGGCAGGTCAAAAACAAGATGAGCCTGAAGCGTCTTGTAGTGCCTAAAAGGAAATGGAACATGGGGTCGAGCACAGTGGCTTATGCCTATAATCCCAACACTTTGAGAGACCAAGGAGGGAGGATTGCTTGAGGCCAGGAGTTCAAGACCAGCCTGATCAACACAGAGACACCCCCATCTCTACAAAAAAAAGGAAAAAATTAGCCAGGCATGGTGGCGAGTGCCTATGGTCCCAGCTACTCCAGAGGCTGAGGTAGGAGAACTGCTTGGGCCTGGGAGGTTGAGGCTACAGTGAGCCATGATGATGCCACTGCACTCCAGCATGGGTGACACAGTAAGACCCTGTCTCAAAAATAAAGAAATGGAACATGGAACAAGTCAAAGGGATACAGGAACCAACCTGAAAGAACGTCATTGCCCAAGCAATGACGATAGAAGGAACAAAATAAATAACAGCATTGGATTATAAGCCAAAATGTCAATCTACATGAGTCCATACTGATGGAAATAATTATTGAATGATGAAAGAAACTGGGGGGGAAGAGGCAAATTTTTCTTATAGGAAGAATTCAAAATAATATATGTGGCTATTTCCCCCTACAGGAGGTGGAGCTTAATTCCTGCCCACCCTCCCCCTTGAGGGTAGACTAGATTTAGTGACTACTTCTTTAGAATACAAAAAGGGAGAAATGTTAACTTCACAGTAGAGAAAACTGTCAAATACTATCTTAGTCCAGTAAGAAGGTAAACCTCATGATGTCGTGCAGATATCACGTGTCCCTGAAATGATGTGACAAGAAAGGCATTTTACCCCTCTGGTATTCATAACAAAAACCCATAACCCAAATCTAATCATGAGTACAACAACAGAAAAACCCAAACTGGGGGACATTCTATAAGACACCTGGCCAGTACTGCTCAGGACGTTCAAGATCATGAAAAATAAGAAAAGACTAAAAAACTGTCTCAGACCAGAGAAAGCTGGAAAACATCACAACTAAATGGTCCCTTGCACAGGATCCTGGGGGGGAAAAAAGGACATTAATGAAAAAACTGGTAAAATCCAAATAAAGTCTCAAGTTTAGTTTAAAAAATTAATAATAAAAAGAAAAAAGGGAGGGAGGAAAGAAAGGCTCAATCTGAGACTACCAGTGATTCTATTTGATAAATGCTGAATGCTGCTGTAAAAGAAGTTCTCAGGAATGCTGAGTTCAACCCACAGTGTTTGCAGAAGTTACAGGTAAAGGAGCAGCTCCTTAGGGCCTTACAGCTTTTAGGCCATAGAAACTACAAATCTGAGCTACAGAAACTGTAAAAGAAGTGTTCTGTGGACAAAGGCAGAAAATTAAACTCTTCATAATAAACTGACCTAGAGAATCTCTGTCAAAGTTAAAGAAAACGGTGGGGGGAGATGGGGGGGTGGGGTGCGGCGGCAGGAGGGTGTGGAATATCCAGTCCCTGTTCCTTTTCATGCAATCATTTGGATGCTTCTATGTATGCCCAGCATAGCACCTAACATCTTCTCTCCCTCACGAGACAGGCAAATATAACATCCTAAACACAATAAAATTATGAGAACATGGGAATGGGAAGAAAGAGCACCAACCACCATGTGAGAGGGTCCTGCTAAAACAGGCTGGCTACACCAGAGGAAAAGGTAAAGCCTTCTACCTTTGAGGTGAATCAATCTAACACTGTTACGTCATCTTTACAGACCCATCTATACTTAAATAAAAGATAAGCTTGTTCAAGTTTCACAAAAAAGAAGAAAGGTCAACATCTACAGATATAACTGCTATATTTTTCTTTTCCTTTTTTTTTTTTTTTAAATAAGACAGGGTCTTGCTGACACCCAGGCTAGAGTGCAGTGGCGCTATCCACAGCTCACTGCAGCCTCAACCTCCTGGGCTATTCTCCTACTTCAGCCTCCCAAGTAGCTTGGACTACAGGCATACGCCACCACACCCAGCTGATTTTTTTATTTTTTGTAGAGACAGAGGTCTCTGGTCTTGAATTCCTGGTCTTGAATTCCTGGCCTCAAGACAGAGGCTGGTCTTGAATTCCTGGCCTCAAGCGATCCTCATACTTTGGCCTCCCAAAGTGCTGGGATTACAAGTATGAGCCACTGCACCCGGCCTAAGTCTTTTGAGTATAGTTAAACTTACCATTCCTTCCCTATATGACTTCGGAGTTTCTAGGCATGCTTAGAAAAGTCATTTTCACTGCAAAATACTTTTAAATATTATATTGTGCAGAGAAGAGTTTACACAGACCCAGGACTGCTACCTGTAGAAACACTTGCTTTCGGCCTGGCACATGGTTCACGCCTGTAATCCCAGCACTTTGGGAGGCCAAGGAGGGCAGATCATGAGGTCAGGAGATAGAGACTATCCTGGCGAACACGGTGAAACCCCATCTCTACTAAAATTTCAAAAAATTAGCCGGGCGTGGTGGCGGGTGCCTGTAGTCCCAGCTACTCAGGAAGCTGAGGCAGGAGAATGGCATGAACCCAGGGAGCGGAGCTCGCAGTGAGCAGATATCGTGCCACTGCACTCCAGTCTGGGCAATAAAGCGAGACTCTGTCTCAGAAAAAGAAAGAAAGAAAGAAAGATGTGCTTTCTAGCTGAGGCTGGCCCATGGCTGATATCTGGAAACCTGGATTTCAGCAGGGTTCCCACCATTCCCAGAACTGCTAAGAGTGGTTCATTGTGCCTGTCTGTGCAAATAATATTGTTTATGCTGAACATCAGCTTCCCTTCAGGGCGGAATTTTGGTACATTTTAGGAAGAAGGTACCAACATGACCAGCCCCAAATAAAAACCTGAGGCACTGAGTCTCTGATGACCATCTCTGGTGGATACCATTTCAGAGGTGCTGTCACAACTCACTTCTGGAGGAATCAAGTATGTGCTGTGTGACTCCACCAGAAGATTCTTGGAAGCTTGCACCTGGTTTCCTCCAGATTTCACTCACATGACTTTTCCCTTTGGTGACCTTGCTACACTAAATCTTAGCTGGGAGTACAAATATATGCTGAATCCTGTGAGTCCTACTAGACAATCACTGAAGCTAGGGGCGAACTGGGAGTCTCCTGGCAGGTATATTTACCTATGTTTTCTTTCAAGTACACTTATGATTTTGCTTTCTGCATTCAAGTCTTTGATCCATCTGGAATTTTCTTTTGGTATATGGAGGGATGTAGGAAACAAGTCTTTGGTGGGTTTTTAAAATCTTCTTAACTATGTAATAATACATACAGAAAATCATTCAAAACATAAATGCATGGTTTAATGAATTATTATAAACAATCTTGTGACTACCCCCCAAGTCAAGAAGAAAATTAATTTTGAAGCCTGCATAAAGAAAGATTTGTACTGGACTGAAAACAGAACTGAAGAAGACTGAAAGATTATATAACGTAAAAAAGCACAGTGAGTTTTAAGGACTTGCCCAAGGTCACAGATTAATTAGCAGCAGAGTAAGAATAAGAATGGAGTCTTCTGACCTTTAGTCTAAAAATCCTTGCCTATACCATACAACTGTCTCCAAGAATGACCCTATTTTCTATCAGGTACACATACTGTACATACTACACCTTATACAGGAAGTTTTATTTGAAAGAATATCCAAACGTTCACTAGAATGTGTCTCATTCAGGCAGTATTTATTACAAAAATGGAAAAACATACAAATTCAAAGGTCAGAAAACAACACTAGAGGGAACTCACTACTATGAATAAGAAGCTAACTCCATATGTGACCAGCTGCAGTTCAACCTTTCTCCTCCTCCTTCCTGCTCATCAAAATTCTCTCCTCCTTCAAGGCCCAGCACCCTCCCAGTTTCACAGTCAAGCACTCATTCTCCTATCTAGGTCACTCATTCAAGTATCTACTGAAACTCTACCATGCGTAAGAGCTTGGTGGTCATGGGTAAAAAGAGTGGAGAGGGAAGAGGCATGGATGTTGTCCAGGCTTACCTCACAAGTATATGATAACTGCATGTAGAAAGAAAATAACAGAAGGCCTAGGACAGACTGTTTGCGAACAACAGCATTTAAATGCAGGAGAAGGAAAGTCTGAAAAAGGGAATGGTAGGCAACAGACAAAAATAAAAAGAAAACGTGGGGTCAGAATAATTAAGAAAGATTTTCCTAGGAGACAGCAGTCAACCATTTCAAATGATGCAAAAAGATCATGCAAGATAAGAATTGAAAAGAATCCAGTTAATTCAGCAATAGAGTTCACACCTGACCTTGGCTCAAGCAGTTTCAATGAAGTGGTAGAGAAAAAAGCAGACTGTACAGGGTAGAGGAATCAGTGGAAGATTAAAAAGGATGTGAGGAATACAGTAAATGACAACTCTTTAGAAACTTTTAGTTATGAAAGGGGAGGGGAACAGTTATTTTTCATTATTTCAATCAAATAAGAGCTCTGAGCACATTTAAATAGCAAAAGGAAAAAGCCACTAGAGAGAAAGAAACTGAAGAGGGAAAAAATTATTAGACTGTGACCCTGAGAATATGGGAGAGATTAGGATTCAGCACAAGGTCTGAGGAATTACCTTAGATAGGACAGGAAGGCCATCTCTGCCATTGTAACAGGAGGGAAACAGGAAGACTGCTGTTGATAAAATCAATCTTATAAATTTTATGGAAGGGCCTGAAAGAATTCCCTTCTGATGGTTTCTATTATTTCTGTAAAATAGAAGGCACAGTCTTCTTCTGAGATTTGGAGAGCAGAGGGCAAGTGGGCAGCGTGACAATGGTAGGAAAAGGCTTGCCCCAGAGTGAAGAAGAGAAGAAAATTGACTGGTAAAATGAACTACAAATGTGAAGAAAGTGTAAAGGACCCAATTGAGGTTAGTGAATATAAATTTACAGCAGCATTAATCCACACAGTCAAACAAATAAAAAATAAATCTCCTATCCTTTCTTCCCCCTACCCCTATAGCATTTATATCAGTGTCTAATCACTGAAAAAATACAAACATATACAGACAACGTTTTCCAAACCTTCAGTTATAAATGTGATTTAGGAAAATATCCTTTATTTCACATCAACCAACTAAGGAGAATTTCTGCTAAAAGAAGTATCTAGATTTTGTGTGCATATACATACACACATGAGAAACACACATTAAAAAAGTATAAAATTCCTCCTTTGCATATATTATGGGGACAATTCTAAATGGGCTATTATTTATAAACTATACATTATTAATATAGACTTGTGAAAGCCCAACTAATGATTCTCTCCGAGAGTCTAAGATATAAAGGAGCCAACGGACCTATATTTTCATGTCAGATACATTACTGGTTTTAGTTAGTAAACTAAACCTCTCTAAGGTTATTAATGAACTTGTCTATTAGGAACAGCATAAGATTGCTTCATAAGAATGTTGTGAAACATTATATAATGTTATATACGGCTATCATATTACAGATGTAGCTTTTATATTCTTGTGTAATAAAGAATTTAGGTGACCTCTGTCCATGTTCCTGAGAGGAAAGCACTAAACCCTTGGGATTTCCCCAGTAACTGAAGTGCCTTTGTTATTCATGGTGGGACCCTCTAATCACATTTGATAACTTACACTGAGGAAGTAACTCATAGTGGGCCCCAGATTGTTTACGCTAAGAGATAACTCAGGATGGGGGTTGATCACACTAGAAAGACTAATCATCTTGCAGGTTTTCAGCCAGGTGATTAGGGGAGGTGGACAAGGGGAAGGGTTGGAGAGGGAGAGGAGGGTGGGGGGGGTGTTAGAAATTGAGTCACATGGGCAATGATCCAATCAATCAATCACACCTGGTCAATAAAACCCTGGACACCAAAGTTCAGGTGAGCCGGTGAGCTTCTATGATCAGCAGTGCATTGTGTGTATTATCACACATTGCTATACTGGGAAAGTACCCTGACACAACACAAGCTTTGCATCTGGAACCCTCTCAGGCCTTGCCCTACATGTCTCTCCCTTTGGCTGGTTTTAACTTGCATCCTTTTCTATAAAACCATAACCATAAATACACGGCTTTCCTGAGTTCTGACTCGTTCTAGCTAATGATTAAACCTGAGGGGGTCCATGGAGACCCCCAAATCTGTATCCAATAGGTCAAAAGTGAGGGTGGCTCTGGGATAACAGGAACTTGTAGGTGGCATATGAAGTCGATTCAGTCTAGTGGAGGGCTATGCCCTTAACTGGTTAGGTTTGGCAGAGTAATTATATATGATATAAAATATTTTCCATATGTTATATAAATATTGTATATAATTATCTCTCAGAATACATTATTCCTTTAATTTTACCTTTTTCTTTTTTTTTCCCCTTAAGCTCAGTGGCAAGAAGAAATTATTATCTTTTTCTTTTTTGTATTTTTTGTAGAAATGAGGTCTATGTTGCCCAGGCTGCTTGTGAACTCCTGGCCTCAAGCGATCCTCCTGCCTCAAACTCCCAAAGTGCTGGAATTACAGGTATGAGCCATCATATTTGGCTAATTTTACCTCCTTTTTAAATAAAGCTGACTACTACTACAAAAATAAGTATTTTAATAAATCAGAAGTCTACGAAATATTTGAGAACACACATTCCATCAGCTGGGAGCAAAATATGAATTATTAGTAGAATCCCACCTAGAGTAGGAATCCTATGCTAGGTATGTTAATAACCCCATTTACTACCACCAAAGGAAAACTGAGCCAGGCCAGAAAGCTAAAAATCCCATGTGACAATACCTCAGAGACACAAGAGCTCATCATACGGAGGCATAACTTAGTACAAAGTCATAATTACATGATTTTAAGGGGCTTTTTTAATTACTTCTAAAGACAGACCACAATGATACAACTCACAATTATAAATTCTGCTTTAAAAAACTGGTTCATTCTAAATTACCACAAATATGAACTGTATTATTTAAAAACCTCCCCACACAAAAAAATGGCAGGACCTTATGAATTCGCTGGTAAATTCTCCTTCATAACTTCTTCCAGAGAAGAGAAAAAGGTGGGGTAAAGGGATGGCAGGGGAACACATCCCTGAATGTTAAGAGGCCAGAATAACCTTGATACCAAACAAGGGTATCCCCAGAAAGATAAAAGCAAATAAAAGATATTTCTCATGAATATAGACGCAAATGAGATAATAAAATAATATTTAAATCATAATACATAAAATAAGTAAAAAATATGAGTCAAATCCAGCGATACATAAAAAGGATAATACATCATACAAAAATTGGATTTATTCCAAAGATGCAAAGTTGGTTTAATATTGAAAATCAGTGTAATCTGCCACATTAACACAATAGAGAATAACAATCATATGATCATCTCAATATATACAGAAAAGGCATTTGATCAAATTCAACATCTCTTCATGCTAAATAGATGGGAACAAACTATTCATGTTGAAGAGACAAGGAAGAAAAGAGAACTTCCTTAATCTGATAAGAGATTTTTATAAAAACTTACAGCAAACATTATATCTAAAGGTAAAATACCAAACACTTTTCCTCTGAGTTCAGGAACAAGGTAAAGATGTTCACTATTACCAATTCTATTCAAATTTGTACTGCAAATTTTATTCAGAGCAATAAGACAAAGAAAAATAAAATGCATTAAGATTACAAAGGAAGAAATAATATTTTCATTATTTAAAGATAATGATTGGTACACAAAAAATCCAAAACAATCTATGGAAAAATTAATAGAATAACAAAATACACAAATCAATTGGTTTCCTATATAATAGTAATAAACCATTAGAAAACAAAATTTGAAAACACCTATTACAATGACATCAAAACACATCGAATAGCTGGGAATTAATCTAGGGAAAAATGTGTAAGACCTCTACACAGAAAACTAAAATACACCGCTACAAGAAATTAAGGAAAACTTAAAAGATACACCATATTCACAGATTAGAAAATATTAATAAGATGTCAATTCTCCCCAAATTGACCTATAGACAATATAATCCAAGCACAATCCATCAGATAACTTGGGTAACACTAAAAAGCTGATCCTAGAGCCAGGCACAGTGGCTCGAGCCTATAGTGGTTCCAGGCCAGCCTGGGCAACACAGGAAGATACTAACTATCTCAATCAATGAATGAGTGGATGAATAATCTTTAAATGTGTGGATACCACTAGAAGAAAAAAAAAAGTTGATTCTTTCTATAATTTAAAGAAATGCAAAGGACCAAGATTTGCCAAAACTATCTTGAAGAGGAAAAACAGCTAGAAGACTTTGGTCAAATTTCAAGGCTAACTACAGTAGGCTGGGCACAGTGGCTCAGCCCTGTAATCCCAGCACTGTGGGAGGGCAAGGCAGGCTGATTGCTTGAGCTCAGGAGTTTGAGACCAGCCTGGGCAACATGGTGAAACCCCATCTCTACCAAAAAAAAAAAAAAAAATTTAGCTGGGCGTGGTGGCGTGCACCTGTAGTCCCTGCTACTTGAGAGGCTTAGGTGGGAGAACTGCTTGAGCCCAGGAGGTAGAGGTTGCAGTGAGCCAAGATCATGCCACTGCACTCCAGCCTGAGCAAAAGAGCAAGACCTTGTCTCAAAAAAATAAACACATAAAATAAAAACTACAGTAATTAAAAGTATACTATGCTAACAAAAAATAAGTAGACCACTTGAACAAAATAGAAAATGTGTAAAAGACAAACAGGTATATAGTCACCTGGTTTAAACAGAGGTGTCACTGCAATGTAGTGAGTAAATGATGGTCTTTTCAATAAATGGTGTTAAATCAACTGTATTCCAATATGGGAGAACAATATTTAATCCCTACCTCACACCATATCTATTAGTCCGTTTTCATGATGCTGATAAAGACATATCCAAGACTAGAGAATTCACAAAGGAAAGAGGTTTAATGGAGAACTACAGTTCCATGTGGATAGGGAAGCCTTTCAATCATGGCAGAAGGCAAGGAGGAGCAAGTCACATCTTAACATGGATGGCAGCAGGCAAAGGGACAGCTTGTACAGGCAAACTCCCGTTTCTGAAACCATCAGATCTCCTAAGACCCACTCGCTATCACGAGAACAGCATGGGAAAGACTCACTCCCATGATTCAATCATCTCCCACTGCATCCCTCCCACAGCACATGGGAATTATGGGAGCTACAAGATGAGATTTGGACGGGGACACAGAGCCAAACCATATCATCAAACAAAAAGAAAATCAATTCCAGATGGATCATAAATCTAAATGTCAAAGGTAAAACAATAAAGTTTCTAGAGAAATAAAGAATATTCTCATTACCTCGAGATAGGAAAAGATATCTTAAAACAAGAAGCTAGATGGTAAGGGAGTCTGAAAAATATGATTAGCAGAATCTGTCCCAAAGAGTAGTTTATAACTGTGGAGCTGGAAATAACCGTCACTGAAAGAAACTTTCATAATCTGACAAAAAGCATCTATGTAAAATCTACAGCAAATATATCTCATACAAAATCAGAAACAAGATGTGCACTATCATCACTTCCAAGCAAATTGAACTGGAACTGCTAGAAAATGCAATATGGAAGTAGGAGATACTAAAAACTGTCAGTATTCACAGATTACATGATATTTATGGGATAGGGTATGTAAAATAAGAAAGTTAATTATGTTGCATACAAGATCAGAGTACAGAAGTCAACTGAGATAAATGAGAACAAAGTATCAATGTAGTTTTTAAAAACATATAATTAACAATGGCAATAAAACTACAAGTTATCTGGAAATAAATCTAATGAAACATGTCATAGTCCTTTACAGAGAAAATTATAATCCTAACTATAATTCATAAGATCTAAATTAATGGAGAAGCACAACATTCATGGAATTTTTTTTTTTTTTTTTTTTTTGAGACAGAGTTTCACTCTGTCACCAAGGCTGGAGTGCAGTGGTGCAATCTCGGCTCACTGCAACTTCTGCCTCCCAGGTTCAAGCGATTCTCCTGCCTCAGCCTCCCAAATAGCTGGGATTACAGGCATGCGCCACCACACCTGGCTAATTTTGTATTTTTTGTAGAGATGCAGTTTCGCCATGTTGGTCAGGCTGGTCTCAAACTCCTGACCTCACTCAGGTGATCCACCCACCTCAACCTCCCAAAGTGCTGATACTACAAGTGTGAGCCACCACACCCAACTACATTCATGGATTTCCATGTCAGGATAGGTTAGTGATAATAACCCCCAAATTTCCATGGCTTAAAAACAACCAACATTAGTTTCTCACTTAGACCATGCCTCAGTCATAGATCAGGAGGAGGGCTCTGCTCACTACAGTCGGCTGATAGAGCCAACACCATCTCAAACACCGCTAGTTAGTGCCATATCCTCAATCCTTCTGGCTCAATTCAACCCTTCTGTGGTGAAACTTCTGTGGTGAATCACATGTCTCTCACTGTGTCCCCAGCACTAAATTCTATTTTGTGCCCAAAAGAGAGAACTAGAAATATCTGGTAAACAGCACTAATGCTCACAAATAAACTCAATATTGCAAAGATGGGAAGCCCCCAACAGTCAAACATTCTCTACAGAAAACAGAGTGCTTTGTGAAAGCTGAAAAAAATTATAAAATTCCTTTGGAATATGAATGGAACAGAGTATGAAACAGCAAAGAGCCAAGAGTAACTGTCAATTTTCCATAAAAGTGCAGTAGGAGTGGCTCAATCAGATTTCAAGACTTATAAAGCTATGACAATTATTAAGATTGAGTGTGACAAAAGCACCGGTCAGCAAATAGACAAATCAATAGATTAAAACAGAGAACACAGAAAGAGAACTGGGAATACATGAAAACTTGAGATTGACAAAAATGCCATTAAGAATCAGAGAACAATGGACTACACATCAGAAAAAAAAAGATTCAAATCTAACAGTACCAAATGTTGGCAAAGATGGGAAACAAACCAAGAACTCTGGTCCACTACTGATGGGGTACATATTGATACAATCTCTGAAGAGCAATTCTGCAGTAAAGACATCTCTAGCAAAGTTGAAGAGGAACATACCCTTCCACCTAGCAATTCTGCCATTCAAGAAGCCCATCTACAAACTGTTTATCACCAGTCAGCAAAGAGATAAGGAACACTTTTTATTGAAAAAGTGCTTCTAGAATAAGAAGTGTTAAATAAATTAACAGTGATAGTTGATTTACATTTTGATGCAAGTTCCTTATTTGCAAGAAATAACTCCCTAATGCTCAGACAACACTTTATGTAACACCGTCCTAGAAAAAAACTCTCCCAGGGGCTGAGTGTGGTGGCTCACACCTTTAATCCCAGCACTTTAGGAGGCTGAGGTAGTCAGATCGCTTGAGCTCAGGAGTTCAAGACCAGCCTGGGCAACATGACAAAACTCCATCTCTACCAAAAAAAAAAAAAAAAATTAGCCAGGCATGGTGGTATGCACCTGTAGTCCCAGCTACTCAGTACTCGAGAGGCTGAGGTGGGAGAATCCCTTAAGCCTGCAATGAGTTGTGATCGTGTCCCTGCACTCCAGCATGGGCAACTGAGCAAGATCCTATCTCAAAAGAAAAAAAAAAAAAAAGAACTCTCCCAGGAAGAGACAAGCACAAGGACACATGTGTGAAAGTGTTCACAGCCCAGGATTAGTAAAAGCAAAAATATAAAAACAATCTAAATATCAGTCAACATGAGAAGGAATAAATTATGCAGAGTCACACAACGATGGAAATAAATAAACAAGGATTACATGTTACATGAGCCAACAAGACCATATCTGAAAAATCTAAGATCAAACAAAATAAGCTGCAGAAGGATATGTACAGTTTAGTCCCATTTATGGAAAGTTTTTAAACACAAAACATATTGGGTACGATACATCACAGTAATGACAATCTCTGAATGAAAAGGGAGAGGGAAGGAGGGGAGGAGGAAAGAGAGGAAAAAAGGGAAGAAAAGAAAAATGATATGATAAGGAGTAACACAGGGGGTTTGAATTGCATCTGCAATGTTTATTTCTTTAAAAAAATAAAATAAGGCCGGGCGTGGTGGCTCACGCTTGTAATCCCAGCACTTTGGGAGGCCAAGGCCAGTGGATCACCTGAGGTCGGGAGTTTGAGACCAGCCTGACCAAAATGGAGAAACCCCGTCTCTACTAAAAATACAAGGAGGCTGAGGCAGGAGAATAGCTTAAGCCCGGGAGGTGGAGGTTGTGGTGAGTCGAAATCATCCCACTGCACACCAACCTGGGCAACAAGAGCAAAACTCTGTCTCAAAATAAATAAATTAATTAATTAAAATAAAATACAAGACCTGAAGCTGATAGCAGAAAATGTAAAAATTTGACAAAGATGAGTCAGACATACATAAATGTTAATAAGATTACTCTCCAAGGCCGGGCACAGTGGCTCATGCCTGTAATCCCAGCACTTTGGGAGGCCGAGGTGGGTGGATCACCTGAGGTCAGGAGTTTGAGACCAGGCTGGCCAACATGGTGAAACCCTGTCTCTACTTAAAATAAAAAAATTAGCCAGGCATGGTGGCGGGCGCCTGTAATCCGAGCTACTCGGGAAGTTGAGGCAGGAGAATTGCTTGAACCTGGGAGAAGGAGGTTGCAGTGAGCCGAGATCGTGCCATTGCACTGCAGCCTGGGCTACAAGAGCAAAAAAAACTCCATGTCAACATTACTCTCCATACTTTCCTTCATGGTTGAAATAATTCGTTATTTTTAAAAGAATATATATATATATATATTCCATGATAATTTTATTTTATGATATAATTATATAAAAAGTGAAAGAAAATACATCAGTAATTTTTCTTAATACTTTTCAAATATTTTTCAGTGAAAATACATTTTTTGATTAGAAAAAAACAGCATACAGGCCAGCATATGCAGTGGCTCACTCCTGTAATCCCAGCACTCTGGGAAGCTAAGGCAGAAGAATCACTGGAGCCCAGGAGTTTGAGACCAGCCTCGGCAACACAGCAAGACCCCATCTCTACAAAAAATTGAAAAATGAGCCAGGCATGGTGGTGCGTCCCTGTAGTGCCAGCTACACAGGGGGCTGAGGTGGGAAAATCGCTTCAGCTCAGGAGGTTGAGGCTGCAGTGAGCTAGATCATGCCTCTGCACTCCAGCCCGGGTAACAGAGCAAGACCCTGTCCCAAAAAAAAAAAGTATACAGAGCAAATATTTTTCAAAAATCAAAAATCCATGTTTTAAAGACAAGAAAAAAAATTTTTAATCACAGAACTTTGAAGCTTGAAAGGAACCTTAAAGCCTATGAAAGAACAAAAAGAGGCAGGGCACGGTGGCTCACACCTGTAATCCCAGCATTTTGGGAGGCCGAGGTAAGTGATCACGAGGTCAGGAGTTCAAGACCAGCCAGGCCAACATGGTGAAACCCATGTCTAGTAAAAATACAAAAATTAGCTGGGCATGATGGTGTGCATCTGTAATCCCAGCTACTCAGGAGGCTGAGGCAGGAGAATCGCTTGAACCCGGGAGGTAGAGGTTGCAGTGAGCCATGATGGCGCCATTGCACTCCAGCCTGGGCGACAGAGCGAGACTCCGTCTCAAAAAATAAAAAAAAAGAAAGAACAAAAAGAACATTTGATCTCAAAGGAAAAGTATCAAAACCCTGAGAATCTTAAAATTCCAAAACAAAACAAAAATCCAGTTTAGCTCATGTTAACTATGACATTCTTGTAGGAGGAAAAAAAATCTACTAAAAATATAAATAACTAAATACACACACACACACACACACACACACACACACACACACACGTTTTTATTTTGGAGACAGGGTTCTGCTGTTGCCCAAGCTGAGGTGCAGTGATGCAGTTACAGCTCATTGCAGTCTCAAGCCATTCTTCCACCTCAGCCTTGGAAGTAGCTAGAATCACAGACATATGCCACTGCACCCAGCTAGTTGTTTTATTTTTTGTAGAGATGAGGTCATCCTATTTTGCCCAAGCAATCCTCCCACTTCAGCCTCCCAAAGTGCTGGGATTACAGGCGTGAGCCACCACACCCAGCTCATTTATTTTCCTTTAAATAATTCAAATTTATCTTATTCGCCTGTCTTTAGTTTCTCTATCTAAAGACGAAGAAGGAACACTCCCTCCTCCTACCCGCATAAAAAGAAAACGACCAGTAAAGGTTTAAAGACTTCAGCACATTCTTCAGATCTCTCTCAAAAACACAACTTTAACTTCTAAATTAGGGAGGAAAAGCTATTTTCTTACAGGACTAGAAAAAACAATAAACCTACAATTACTTATTTTTCCCTCACATCATTATTAATGGAAAAAGCATGTTAAAAAAGAGAAGAGAAAAAAGAAGAGAAGAGATGAGAAAAAAGAAGAGATGAGAAAAGAGAAGAGAAGAGAGAAGAGAAGAGAAATCAGTTTCCTTTCAGGACAACCTGAACATCAAAATAGTCCTTTAAAATTATACAAGAAAAGTATACTATCAAAAGGAATAGAGAAAGGATTCTATTTAAGGCAATGTTATCCCTGTTTGGTTGAATTTCAGAGGATTCTTTCTGGTTTGTTTAATTATGTGTCATTACTAACTTACTTCATGAGCACGAATTACTTGCGTGAATTTCTGAGTGACAGGTTTCAGGTTTTTTAAGGTTGCTTAAATTTTCTACAAAAAATATTTTTTTCCTGAATATGAAAGTAAATTTTAAAATACAAATCAGGTTAGAGGTCTTAAGTAGAAGCTGAAATTGAAGAGAAAGCTGAAAATACCTAAGACCACCGCTAACACCACACGATATTTTTTAAAAGATCTATCAAGTTACTACAGAAATATATTACACTATAATAGACGATTTCAGAAAGAAATATTCTCTCTAATGGTATTTACTTTCTTCTGATTCACAGATATAAGTATATAAAATACATCACAGTCACAAAGCAGTTTCACATGGCCTTCTGAGCCTCAGAAAAATGTTGTGAGGTGCACTTATAGATGCATTTATAGACTCACCACCTAACTGACCTGCCAGAGGTCACCATGTGAATGATACACAGATTCAGAAGCTGAACCCAGGACCTGAGGTCAGGAGTTCAAGACCAGCCTGACCAATATGATGAAACCCCATCTCTATTAAAAATATAAAAATTACTCAGGCGTGGTGGCATGTGACTGTAGTCCCAGCTACTAGGAAGGATGAGACAGAACTGCTTGAACCCAGGAGGCAGAGGTTGCAGTGAGCCGAGATCACGCCACTGCACTTCAGCCTGGGCATCAGAACAAGACTCAGCCTCAAAAAACAAAACAAAACAAAAACAAACAAGCTGAACCCAGAGAGGGCTTTACCCTCCAAGCGCACACTGGAACACAGTACCTGCCTGTAAAGAACTTCTAGTAAAGCAAGTAGTATTAGCTCCAATTTACAGTTGAGGAAACAGAGCCTTGAAAACATTCTGTTGACCAAGATTCCAAAACTACTAAGTGGCAGGGCTGATTCAAACCCTAGACAGTCCAATGCTCCTTCTAGCACACTAAATTATAACATGGTTTAAGCGAGAAAGTAGGTGGAGAAGATACTAAATCTTACTAGACAACTGTATACGACGTGACTCCAAACCAGCAGAGATGCAGCAGTTACTGCCGAGAGAAGGAAAGGAAGAGAACAGAAAAAGATGAAGAGGAAGGGGTGAACCAGTAAAAGGGCAGAAAATCAAGCACTCTTAAAACAAGGCCTTTTCCTAGGACATACCAATTCTGGGCAAAGAGAGTGAGTGAGAGAGAGAGAGAGAGAGAGAGAGCGAGCGTGTGTGTGTGTTTCATGTCCAAGCTCAAACGTGTGTGTGTGTGTGTTTCACGTCCAAGCTGAAACATTTTCAGAAGTGGGAGCCCAGAAACTAAGAAAAGAATAAGAAACTAAAGTATAGGGAATTCACAAAAATTGGAAATATCAGGCTGGAAGGTAGGGAAGAGAATGGACTCTGACAGTCAGTACAATTAGGAGTTTGAGGCTAAAACTATGGAAAAATAAGGAAGCCCTAGTTGGCATCTAGATTTTGTGTGTAATACTAGTATTTTCTGGTAGATCAATCCTGTGAATTATAAATCTAACCAGATACTAACCGGAAGTTAAAGTCCACTTCATCTATCTGAAATATCATCTCAATTCCCCAAAAGCCACGCTAATACTTGGCAAAACCCAAATGAGGCCAGCAGGATGCTTCTTTAAGAATTAATTAGCTGAGCGTGATGGCAGGCCCCGTAATCCCAGCTATTTGGGAGGCTGAGGCAGGAGAAATCACTTGAACCCAGGAGGCAGAGGTTACAGTAAGCCAAAATTGTGCCACTGCATTCCAGCCTGGGCAACATAGCGAGACTCTGTCTCCAAAAAAACAAAGCAGCCGGGTGCAGTGGCTCACACCTGTAATCCCAGCACTTTGGAGGCCAAGGCAGGTGAATCACGAGGTCAGGTGAATTTGAGACCAGCCCGGCCAACATGGTGAAACCCTGTCTATACTAAACATACAAAAAATTAGCTGGGCGTGGTGACGGGCGCCTGCAATCCCAGCTACTCGGGAGGCTGAGGCAGGAGAATGATTTGAACCCGGGAGGTGGAGCAGTGAGCCGAGATCCAGCCACTGTACTCTAGCCCAGGCGACAGTACGAGACTCCGTCCCGCCAGGCGCGGTGGCTCACGCCTGTAATCCCAGCACTTCGGGAGGCCGAGGTGGATGGATCACAAGGTCAGGAGATCGAGACCACCCTGGTTAACACAGTGAAACCCCATCTCTACTAAAAATACAAAAATTAGCTAGGCATGGTGGCGGGCGCCTGTAGTCCTAGCTACTCGGGAGGCTGAGGCAGCAGAATGGCGTGAACCCGGGAGGTGGAGCTTGCAGTGAGCCGAGATCGCGCCACTGCACTCCAGCCTGAGTGACAGAGCGAGACTCTGTCTCAAAAAAAAAAAAGACGCCATCTCAAAAAAAAGAATGTCTAGAAATGTGATCTCTACTCCTGTTTGTAAAGAGTTACCCCCATCCCCAGCCTTTTTTACAGAACTCAACAGATGCAAATGTACTTAAAAGGAGAATGTCAGGCAGTCTAGCAGAAAACATAAATATAAGTTGGGAGTGGGGAGAAGATCCATTACCAGAAAGAGACAATCCATCAAGGTTCCTGCAGGAGCTGCCTCTCTCCAGCCAGGGCCCAAGAGGTGGCAATGAGTACCTTCACAGGCAACAAAGTCCTGAGCAGGAGGTCCCTGCTGATGGAGTCCTTTGCTAGTAACTCTGCCCACCCCAGAATTAAGGCAATCAGACAGATTATCTTTCTGTTCCCTAGTCCACCAGTCTGTCCCCCAAGGGCCCAGGCAGATACCCTAATCTGGAAACCCTTGCATCTGGATCTACTACAGGCTAGGCTCTTTAAACAGGGAAGAGGAAAAGAGTCTTTCTTTCCCTGGCCTTTTTTTTTTTTTTAGTGAAGTCTTGCTCTGTCACCCAGGCTGCAGTGCAGTGGCGCAATCTCTGCTCACCACAACCTCCCCGTCCCGGGTTCAAGTGACTCTCCTGCCTCAGCCTCCCGAGTAGCGGGGACTATAGGCATGTGCCACGACACCCAGCTAACTTTTTGTATTTTTAGTAGAGATGGGGTTTCACTGTGTTACCCGTGATGGTCTCAAACTCCTGACCTCGTGATCCGCCCGCCTCGGCCTCCCAAAGTGCTGGGATTACAGGCGTGAGCCACTGTGCCCAGCCTTTTGCATATGATTCCAGGCTACTTCAAACTCCCTGCCAATCCAGCATAGCCCAAAACAAGGCTACCCCTCCCTGATCATATTGCTTACCACCCCGCACCCACTTCCCCACAACCCCATCATGTCCTCTCCTCCCGCCACACACACACACACACACACACACACACACACACACACACAGAGGAAGGGGAGGAAATCATAGGAGTAGCTTGGCAAGACTGGGCCAGGTGACAAGACAGAAGCCCTAGATTTAATGAGTAAGTGCTAGACTCCCAACACTGAGGTCCACAAGGCCCTTTCCCCCAGAGACAGCAGCTGGCAGAGATACTCAGTTAGAAATCGGTTTTAGGAGGTGACAAGCAGGAAAGATTACTTCAGCTTGTGAAAGCTAGCTTAGAGGAAATAATATATACTATGCAAGAGTTCAGACTGCATAAAAGTCTAATGTACGATCGTTAAGATCCACCCAAAGCAGCTAATTACTTAGAACAATGCTCATATGGGTGTGTAAGCCCTAGAATGTTCTTTATTTAAATCACTATTTAAATCCTAGCAGTTGTAGCTTCACTTTGCCTTCAGTATATCATAATGACATTAACACATCAATCACAAGCCCAAAAGCTCTAGGAGTTAAAGAATCTAGGAGAGAAGAAACAATGTCCTCACTGCTCTTCTAAACAATTCTTCCCATCTCCCAATTTTTCATTTCTCTAAACGCCCAAGGAATAAAGATTTGTGAAAACAGCAAAAACAGGCCAAAATTTATTTTAAAGTTGAATTCTGGTTTTAAAATTATCCCATCCCTCAAAATTTCACCTAAATGAATAAGACATTTTGTATCATCAGCAGCAATATATATACCAAAACATAGTAGAATGCATAGGAGGGGTGGGGAGAAGGGGTCTAACAGTTAAATTAGAAGATAGCAACAAAAAGCACTTTTGGATTGAAGCTACAAAATCCCAGGAACTCACTGGATATTGAGTCCATGATATCAGAGAATTACAATCTGAATTTACAGAGTTTCAATCAAAAGACCATCTGATATCATCCAAGAGTGAAAATGACACCATACTCTTATTCTGCCTTAGAATGAAGTAGAATTAAATGGCTTTTCTCAAAATCACAATGCATGACAAAATGGCAGAATTAGAAACATCCAATTACCATGAAGATGCCTCCTTCATACCTCTTCTCACAAATAGAACAACTGGCTGGGCATGGTGGCTCACACCTAAAATCATGACACTTTGGGGGGCCCAGGTAGGAGTATAGCTTGAGCTCAGGAGTTCCAGACCAGCCTAGGTAACACACAGAGACTCTGTCTCTACCAAAAAAAAAAATTAGCCAGGCATGGTGGCACACAACTATGATCCCAGCTACTTGGGAGGCTGAGGTGGGAGGATCCACTTGAGCCCAGGAGGTCAAGGCTGCAGTGAGCCATGATCGTGCCACTGCACTCTAGCCTGGGCAACAAAGGAAGACCCTGTGTCAAAAAATAAAAATAAAACAAAATGTAGTCCCAGCTACTAGAGAGGCTGAGGTGGGAGGATCGCCTGAGCCCAGGAGATCAAGGTGGCAGTTAGCCATGATTGTGCCACTGTACTCCAGTCTGGGTGACACAGCGAGACCCTGTCTCAAAAAAAAATTAAAAAATTTAAAAAACAAAAACCTCCATGATGGCATTCCTCGAGCATGTAAAATGACTTTTTGTGATTGTGGCACACAAAGTTGTTTGTAAACGATCACCCATCGTCTTTTCCTTGTGCACAGTGCTAAATAACATCTCCAAGGGAGGCTGAGGTAGGTGGATCGCCTGAGCCCAGGAGTTCGAGACCAGCCTTCATGGCAAAACCCCATCTCTACTAAAAATATAAAAATTAGCCAGGTGTGATGGCATGCACCTGTAGTCCCAGCTACTCGGTGGGGCTGAGGCAGGAGGATCACTTGAGCCTTGGGAGATCAAGGCTACAATGAGCCATGACTGCCCCACTGCACTCCTGCCTGGACAACAGAGTGAGACACTGTCTCCAAAAAAAAAAAAAAAGACTTCAAGTTTTATCTTTTTCTTCTTTTTGCAAATTATTTTTATGTTTAGCATTACAGAGAATAGAGGCTTCAGGCATTTGTAAATTAACATGAACTTCACCAATTTTCTCAGGCTAGCTAGAAAAGGAAAAAAAAAAAACATGAAGATCTTGGGGGGAAATTGCTACCTGATAACCTATGCATTTTTAAATGCTGCTACAAAAAAAATGCACACATCCTAAGGAACTAAATCTACTAACCTCTACAATCAATGTGATACATGGTTTATCCAATCTTGACAAAAATCCTCGGGATCACCAATGGTACGTTCATCCACTCGTACATATGCAATTGTATAAAGAATCTATTATTTAGAACACCAAAAAAATACAATTAACAGATGTATATGCATAGCTACAATTTTAAGAAAAAAATAAGCACTTTTCATTTCTTGTTAGATCTTTGATGCCCTGCTTTGCAAATTCAGTATGAGGAAAAAAAATTATAATGACTATCAAATTTGAGAAAGAATAAGGCCTATGTCCACAAACCAAATTTACTGAGAACATGCTAATACTTCAAAAAATACACTGATAATCATTTGCTGAAGACTTAAAATCTCTAATACCAATGCAACATATTTTATCATATATGTATATGTGTGTATATATATCATAAATATATAAACTGTTACATTAATTAGAAGTGTTTCAATTACATAATAGTTTTATAAGAAGTGTTACTAAACATGTATACATGTTTTTAGCACATTACATATGAGAACGCAAATGGCTGACAGACATAACCCCGGCCACCGCTGACCTCTCTTAGCACTCTTCATCTCCTTTCTCTGATTATCTTCCTCTCGCTCTTAAATACGTATACACGTGGCTCCCAGTCAGCTGACTGTGAACAATATGCCCATTCCCACAGCTCTACCATGGGAATCATTCCCACACTGTCTCCCTAGCTTCAGAACCAAGGTTCCCACACACCCGCAATCCATGTGCCAAGATGTGCTATCTCTTCCCATTCTTAAAACAATCCTGGCCAGGCACGGTGGCTCACGCCTGTAATCCCAGCACTCTGAGAGGCCGAGGAGGGCAGATTGCTTGAGTACAGGAATTTGAGACCAGCCTGGGCAACATAGCCAAACCCCGTCTCTACAGAAAATACAAAAATTAGCCAGGGATGGTGGTACCCGCCTGCAGTCCCAGCTACTCAGGAGGCTGAGGTCAGAAGATGGATTGAGACCAGGAAATTGTGGCTGCAGTGAGCCGAAATCACACCACTGTACTTCAGCCTGGGTGACAGAGAGAGACCCTGTCTCAATAAAAAAGAAAAGAAAAGAAAAAAATCTTGTAAGTTTTATTATCTCATTTTACAGATGAGAAAACCGAGGCCTACAAGTTAGGTCCCTTGTTCAAGAACACATTAAGAAGTATCAGAATCAGGATTCAAAACTGTCTCTGATTCCAGTTCCAGAGGTTTTAGCCACTACTCAAAGCAGTCTCCCTGAACAACATGGGGGCTCAATAATTCAACCCATTCATTCAACAAATAATCTTTCTGCTGAACACAGACTACCTATCTGTTGAATCTGTTCTCTCTTTCCTTCACTTTCCTAAATCTGTCTAGAGGCTACACTCTCTGTTACTCCTCCACCTTCTAGTCTCAGGTCAGATTTAGATTCATCTCTAACTCCTCCCTTCTTCAACAACCCTCATCTCGTCAGCCAACAATTTCTCCCTATTTTAGGGATTTTACATTATATTAACTCCTTGCCAAATCCACTTCCACTGTCCCAACTCAGACCCTAAGTTTCTTTTTACTTGGCCATTGTGATACCCTCCTAATTAGTCTTGCTGCTCTTGATCTCCGGATCCTTGCAATCAGTGTTACACCAATGCCACCTGTTACCCGTACAAAACAGACCTACTCATGTTACGCTCCTGCTTAAAAGCTCTGATGGTTCTCTACTGTCTACAGAACAAAGTCCAAACTAGTTCTGTTGGCATTCCTACAACATGCTGGTCCCAACCTATCTCCACAGCATCATCTGCTATTACATCCCACACCAAAAATAATAATAATTTATAAGAGCTTAAGTGTTTACACAGTACATTTTCACATACATTAATCCTAACAATACTATGAGTGAATCTTGTCATTCCAATTTTATGAGGAAGAAACTGAGACTTGCAAAGGTAAGGTAATTTGTCCAAGATCTCAAATCATAAAGGCAGCATGGGCCAAGTCTCAAACCACACAGCTGATCCCCTTTCCCAGTACTTCACACAGCCGTAGCACCCCCATTCCCATCATAACAGACTTACTCAGCTTTTTTTGTTTTGCATAATATTTCCCTATCTCCAAGTCTCAGCTCAAGCTATTTTTCCTTTAGCCTCAAATACCATTCTCATTTCTTGAGGTTTCCAAAGAACTGTGTTAGGCAGTTTACTTACCGTGCTTTGTGTATGTTATTTACATTTGCACATAAATCTGTCTCTGCACTGAATTATAAGCCCTCTGAGGACAGCACCATACATTATTTACTCAATTTTAAAAGTCTGCTTATTGAATTGAAAAAATACATGGGCAAAACAAGCCATATAAAATGGGAAGCATCAAGGCCAGGTCTGAAACGAGAGCTCAGCAACAGGGATCAAACCATCTGAGAACACTGGCAGTGACTTCAATTTTAACATCTATCTTCTGAACAAGGTCAATGCTCCTGTGCCAACTATTCTCACTGACAATGGCCTTGATCACATATTATAGTTTACTGAAAGCATAATTCAAAACAGAATGTGGTGGGCCAGGTGCAGTGGCTCAAGCCAATAATCCCAGCACTTTGGGAGGCCGAGGCAGGCAGATCACTTGAGGTCAGGAGTTCAAGACCAGCCTGGCCAACATTGTGAAACCCCATCTGTACTAAAAATACAAAAATTAGCCAGTTGTGATGGTGCACGCCTTGTAGTCCCAGCTACTCAGGAGGCTGAGACAGGAGAATCACTTGAACCTGGGAGGCAGAGGTTGCAATGAGCCAAGATTGTGCCTCTGTACTCCAGCCTGAGTGACAGAGTGAGACTCTAGTTTCAAAAAAAAAAAAAACCCAGAATGCAGTGAAAGTAAAAAAATCAGAATGGAAATTAATAAAAAATAGAAATATCCGTGGTCATTTTTCCATCTTAACTTTCCTATTTGGTTAAGTAACTAAAATTTAAATGATACAGGCTTGCCTTGGCCTTTCTACAAAGATCAGCTTGGAAGCCTGTATTCTGGTCATTTAAGCAATTAGCTCTTAGGGGCTATTTCAGTATGGTCACAGAATCATGTTCAACACACAGCTTCCCAAATCTCATCCTCTAAAAGAGCTACCAGGATTCCCAGCACTAGCAGAGGCTCTCTCAGAAGACACCTGACATGCTGATTATCTGGCCAACTTTTGCAACTGAAGTTTCCCATGGCTATGTCAAATGGTCAAATTGAATAGTGCATCCTTCAAGATTATAGGCTGTTGCTCCTTCATGAGTTGCCTTTATCCCAACGAAGATCAGATTCTAAGGATGCCTTATAATTATAAAGCCCAGAATACGAAACCACTAAACAGCTGACCAGGTGAAAAGTCTCAAATGCTTCCTTCCCTGTTGGAAATCTCTCAACCCACTCCTGAAATATTAACTATAATGTCAACTTTTCCATAAAGTGGCAGAAGATAGTATTAGCAGAAAAACTAGCCACATGTCTTGCATTGAATTTCATTTCATTTGCAATAGTTATAATCACTCTAAGCATAAGGAAAGAAAGCTACAGGCTCTGACCTAAACTAATTTACAAACTAGATTTCAGAACTGCCTTTAACAGTCAAAACTAATGGTTTTCTTTTTTGGCAACATACCCAAAAATCTACTATGTTCTGTTCAGTAACATCAGAATTTTTTTTTTTTTTTTTTTTTTTTGAGATGGAGTTTCACTCTAGTTGCCCAGGCTGGAGGGCAATGATGCAATCTCAGCTCACCACAACCTCCGCCTCCCGGGTTCAAGTGGGAGTCTCACTCTGTCACCCAGGCTGGAGTGCAGTGGCACAATCTTGGCTCACTGCAATCTCTGCCTCCCAGGTTCAAGTGATTCTCCTGCCTCAGCCTCCTGAGTAGCTGGAACTACAGGCGTGTGCCACCACAACCAGCTAATTTTTGTATTTTCAGTAGAGACAGGGTTTCACAATGTTGGCCAGGCTAGTCTTGAACTCCTGACCTCAAACCTCAGGAACTCTAAACCTCAGCTTCCCAAGTAGCTGGGATTACAGGCATGCGCCACCAGGTCTGCCTAATTTTGTATTTTTAGTAGAGATGGGGTTTCTCCATGTTGGTCAGGCTGGTCTCGAACTCCCAACGTCAGGTGATCCACCTGCCTCAGCCTCCCAAAGTGCTGGGATTACAGGCGTGAGCCACCGCGCCTGGTCCTTTTTTCTTTTTTTTCTTTTTTTTGAGATGGAGTCTAGCTCTGTCACCCAGGCTAGAGTGCAGTGGTGCGTTCTCAGCTCACTGCATCCTCCAGTTCCCAGGTTCAAGCAATTCTCCTGCCTCAGCCTCCCAAGAAGCTGGGACTACAGGTGCACGTCCCAACACCCGGCTAATTTTTTTGTATTTTTAGTAGAGACGGGGGTTTCATCATGTTGGCCAGGCTGGTCTTGAACTCCTGCTCTCAACTTATCCCCCAGCCTCGGCCTCCCAGAGTGCTGGGATTACAGGTGTGAGGCACCGCTCCAGCCCTGATTGCCACATCTTATACACTACAGAAGGTTCTTTCTGGATACTGCGCCTGGCCCCGATTGCCACATTTTATACACTACAGAAGGTTCTCTCTGGATACTAGTTAGACACACACACACACACAAAAAGCCATTTTGATCTTGTTATGAACTATATATTCTCCCATGCAGGACAGGAATAACACAGTAGTAGTAGGGCAGAATTAATACAAATTTTGCAATCAGAGAATCTAAGTTCAAGTCCTAACTGTCTAATGAGGGTAGCTCTACCCCTGAGACAGTACCAGTACCAAACTCACAGGGTTGTTCTGAGGATTCAATTAGTTGATACATGCAAAACAATTAGAACACACGGTAAACACACAATAAATAAACAGCTTTACTATTCTTCTATTATAATCACTGACTCAAACATGAGGTTTGTGAAAGGATAACAAATGCTAACAATAACAAGTCTCACCCCAAAATTAACCTGCCTATTTTTGGCAACTTTTTTTTTTTTTTTTTTGAAACAAGGTCTCGCTTTGTCACCCAGGCTAGAGTGCAGTGGTGTGATCTCAGCTCACTGCAGTCTTGACTTCCTGGGTGCAAGCCATCCTCCCCACTCAGCCTCCCAAGTAGCTGGGACTACAGGCGCATGCCAACACACCCAGCTAATTTTTATATTTTTTGTAGTAACAGGGTTTCACCATGTTGCCCAGGCTGGTCTCGAACTCCTGGACTCAAGTGATCTGACCACCTCGACCTCCCAAAGCGCTGGGATTACAAACTTGAGTCACCGCACCCAGCCTTCTGGCAACTTCATGCTCAATGGTATTACTCAAAAAAAATAAATAGGCCGGACACAGTGGCTCACGCCTGTAATCCCAGCACTTTGGGAGGCAGAGGTGGGTGGATCACGAGGTCAGGAGTTCGAGACCAGCCTGGCCAACATGGTGAAACCCCGTCTCTACTAAAAATACAAAAATAAGTCAGGCGCAGTGTCGCACACCTGTAATCCCAGCTACTCAGGAGGCTGAGGCAGGAGAATCGCTTGAACCCAGAAGGCAGAGGTTGCAGTGATCTGAGATTGCACCACGGCACTCCAGCCTGGACAACAGTGCGAGACTCCATCTCAAAAACAAAATAATAAACAAATAAATAAATAAATAAAATAAAAGAGAACCCTAACAGTCAATTTTGCTTCTCCTACAAAGTGTGGTAGCAGATATAACTGAAAGTTGCAGATTTCATTTAAATTGATATGACGTAAATTACTTCAAATGCAAGGCAGAAAATGTTCATTTGAAATCTATAGAAATGCAGTTTTACCAGCTACACATCTCAAAATAACAGACCTGGGAATCACATATGATATTACTTTAGTATTATCCATATCATACAGTCATATTTTGGTCCTTACTTATCTGTTTACACATATTCTTCCTCTTCCTCAATAGTATTGTAATTCCTTTGGTGGGCTTTGGTGTCTCTTTTGTACCCAACAGCAATGATAAACAACAGTCAAATGGTTGGATTAAGGTAACATCTAGCTGAGAATCTGGCAATGCATCTGATTTGAACTGTTCATCATACACACTCTGACTATGGTGCAAAGAGGTAAGATGGCCTCAAGGATGGCTGTGAGTGCATACTAGAGACTGAGGACACTGGGACTACTTTCCAGCTGCAGGACCCAGGGGACCTAAGAAGCCTGTTTCTCTCTCCATAAAGCAGCAATAATAATGTTACCTACCTTTCAGGGTTATTCTGAGGAATAATACATACAAAGCATTTAAAACAATGCTGGTGCTGAAATATTTAGGGGGAAGGTGTGTTGGTGTCACCAATTTACTTTGAAATGCATAAAAAAAGATGGAGTAATAAGTACTTAATACCACTGTACACTTAAAAACTGTTAAGGCAGGCAGGGCACAGTGGCTCACACCTTTAATTCTAGCACTTTGGCAGACCAGGAGGGGCGGATCATGAGGTCAGGAGGTCGAGACCAGCCTGGCCAACACGGTGAAATCCTGTCTCTACCAAAAAAAAAATTAGCCGGGCATGGTGGCGCACACCTGTAATCCCAGCTACTCGGGAGACTGAGGCAGAAGAATCACTTGAACCCAGGATGTGGAGGTTGCAGTGAGCCAAGATGGCGCCATTCCACTCCAGCCTGGGCGACAGAGCAAGACTCCGTCTCCAGAAAAAGACAACAAAAAAAATTGTTAAGGTGGTAAATTTTATGTTATGTGTATTTTACTACTATTTTTTAAAAAATAAAGTAAAACTAAAAAAGTTTAACAATTGGCCAAGCATGGTGGCTCACGCCTGTAATCCCAGCACTGTGGGAGGCTGAGGTGGGGGGATCACGAGGTCAGGAGTTCAAGACCAACCTGGCCAAGATGGTGAAACCTCGTCTCTACTAAAAATGCAAAAATTAGCTGGGCGCAGTGACAGGTGCCTGTAATCCCAGTTACTCAGGAGGCTAAGGCAGGAGAATTGCTTAAACCCAGGCGGCAAAGGTTGCAGTGAGCCGAGATCGCGCGCCACTGCACACCAGCCTGGGTGACAGACTGAAACTCCGTCTCAAAAAAAAAAAAAAAAAACTTTAACAATTTTTAAAAATCTACTGAGATGGACAAATGACAAAGTTTGCTATAATAGTAA
The DNA here is from genome assembly GCF_000001405.40 of Homo sapiens. Classification (NCBI taxonomy): domain Eukaryota; kingdom Metazoa; phylum Chordata; class Mammalia; order Primates; family Hominidae; genus Homo; species Homo sapiens. Next base: position 111,480,060 of record NC_000009.12, read on the forward strand.
ATATGATAAAGTTATTTGACTATCAATGATAGAATCTAAGTGGTGGGTACACGAATGTTCACTTTCAACTTTTCTGTGTGTTTGAAGATTTTTTACAATAAAATGTTAGTGGAAGAGAACAATGCTGGCATCTAGTAGTTTGCTTTTACTATCATCTACTAGTCATAAATGATAGAAAATATTTGGATAATTCTCTCCTTTTTTTTTAGTGGAATTCTTAAAAGCACCTTTTCTTTTTTTTTTTTTTTTTTTTTTTGAGACAGAGTCTAGCTCTGTTGCCCAGGCTGGAGTGCAGCGGCACAATCTTGGCTCACTGGAACTTCCACCTCACAGGTTCAAGTGATTCTCCTGCCTCAGCCTCCTGAGTACCTGGGACTACAGGCACGTGCCGCCACACCAGGCTAAATTTTGTATTTTTAGTAGAGACAGGGTTTCACCATGTTGGCCAGCCTGGTCTTGAACTCCTGACCTCAGGTGATCCACCCATCTCGGCCTCCTAAAGTGCTAGGATTACAGGTGTGAGCCACCACACCTGGCCAAAAGCACATTTTATCAGCATCTGCTATTTTATTATACCCATTCTAAAACTAAAAGTGGTTTATATGAAACTTCTTAACCAGTGTACATGTATATGCTTTCAAGTTAAATTATTCTAAGGTATCAACTGCAACGTATTCAGTCTCTCCTGAAGAAATACAGAAACCAAGTCCACCGATATCTGTGGCTGATGACTGACAATTTAACTGAACAAAACAAGAAGAAGGCAAGGATTGGAATTATTTGTTCCTAACTTTCCATTAGGTACTAGAGCCAGGAAATCCCTTAACTATCAGCATCTTAACCAGTACCTGAATGTATGGAAGCACACTGCATAGACACAAATACTTCAGCCACTTCAGAATATCCAATTCTTCCTCTAGTTTTGTTCCCATTCCTGCTATCAATTCAGACTTTAATGTGTTTGGTTCTACAACAGGAACTCAGATGTCATACAGCATAGCAATTGAAAAAAAATCAGACCACCTCACACCCAACAGGATGGTTACTACTGACAATATAGATAAGTGTCGGCCAGGATATAGAGAAATTAGAACTCTGTGTATTGTTGGTGGTAATGTAAAATGGTACAACCACTGTCAAAAACAGTACAGTGGGGGCCGGGCGCGGTGGCTCACGCCTGTAATCCCAGCACTTTGGGAGGCCGAGGCGGGTGGATCACAGCAGATCACAAGGTCAGGAGATCAAGACCATCTTGGCTAACACAGTGAAACCCCGTCTCTACTAAAAATACAAAAAATTAGCCGGGCGTGGTGGCGGGCGCCTGCAGTCCCAGCTACTCGGAGGGCTGAGGCATAAGAATGGCGTGAACCTGGGAGGCGGAGCTTACAGTGAGCGGAGATCGCGCCACTGCACTCCAGTCTGGGCGACAGAGCAAGACTTGGTCTCAAGAAAAAAAAAAGAAAAAAGAAAACAGTACAGTGGTTCCTTAAAAATTTAAAACTAGAACTATCACATGATCCAGCAATTACATTTCTGGGTATGTACCCAAAAGAACTGAAAGCAAGGTCTCAAAGGGGTATCTGTACACCCATGTTCACAACAGCATTATTCCCAATAGCTAAAATGTGGAAGCAACCCAAGTGTCCATAGACAGATAGATGGACAAGGAAATGTGATATATACATACAAGGGAATATCATTCAACCTTTAAAAGGAAAAGAAATTCTGACACACGCAACAACATGGATGAACCTTGAGGACATTATGCTAAATAAAGATAAAACCAGTCACAAATTCTGTATGATTCCATTCACACGAGGTAGGAAGAATACTCAAAATCACAGGGACAGAAAGTACAATGATGGTCGCCAGGGGCCGAAGGGAGGAGGGAATGAGGATTTGTTGTTTAATGGGTATCAAGTTTCCGTTTTACAAGACGAAGAGTTCTGGAAATGGATGGTGGTGATGATTACACAACAGTGTGAATGTACTCAATCCCACTGAACTGTACACTTAAAAAATGGCTAGGACGGGAAATTTTATGGTATGTGTACTTTTCTTCCAATTAAAACAAAACATGGAACTGATCTCAGAAGGCCTGGTGGTGCTTCCACGTGGAACCGACAGAAGAGCAATCTGTAGCCCGCTTCTCTCTCTAATCGCACCATGAGACCTTGTCTCCTCCGACTCTCCAATCTGCTCAGGATCACACCAAGTGTTTACTTCAGCTTCAAAAAAAGCAAACAGTACTCCTGCTCCACCAGTTCTGTGTCAAAGCAGCAAGGAACTTAATCTCTCCAAACCTGCCTCCTCTTTAAAACAAGGATAATTCCTACCTATCTGCCTCACAAGGTTGCTATGAGGGCAAAAGTGAGATCATGTATATAAAAGTGGCTTTAAACTGACAAGCACCAGAAAAACATACATTACGTGTATAACTACTTTCATATGGAAATTCAGAAGCGGCTTTAACAACGTAAGCTTCATAAAGCTTGCAACACCTCACCCATGCTTTATTCCATTTAAAACCCACATCATCTTCAAATAACACCTTTCTTGTTTTTGCCATAAACTGAAGGGCAGCATTGGGAGAAAAAAAAAAAGGGAAAGAAAGAAAACCCTTGGGGGGGAGAACACTCAAAACGCAATCAGAAATTATCTCACATGTCCTATGTCCTATGAAACTTCGGTATTTATGACCCCAGCGTGGGTCCGCGGCGCCCCGGAACTACACTTCCCACAAAGCATTGAGGCGAACCCCGGCGGCGGGCGGGGCGGCCTGGGATTCAGGGTGACCACCGCTCTCCCCAGACAGGGACCGCCGTCCCCGGGAAGGCTGCACCGCGTACGATCGAGGGGGCACTAACTCTCCTTTCTGAAAGCGCTGTCACCCCGTGGTTTCTCCTGCGGTTCGACCGGCGACCCTCTCCGCCCTCCCTGCTCCATCTGAGGGTCACCGCCTATTCGTGACCTTTCGGCTGATTACTAGAGTGTCACAAAAAGGCACCTTCTCCCCCTTCCCGAAAGCTCCATTTCTATAACTCAACCAGCCGTCGGGGACCCGGGGCCAGGCGGGGTCAGACGGGACGGGCGGACACTGCCCGTCACCCCGGGGCTCCGGCCCTCCCGCCAGCCGAGGCTCAGTGGGCAGGGGGCTGGGCTCCCCCGACCCCGGGCCAGGGCGGATCGCGGGCAGAGGTGGCTCCGCCCGGGGCTCCGGTTTCAATTTCGCAACGTGACGGTGCAAACCTGAGGCCTACAAACGCCAGCGGCGACGGTCCGCGCCCCGCCCGTCCGCCAGGCCCGGGCTCCCCAGCTCCCCGTACGCCGCGGCCGCCGCCCGCCCACCGGGCCTGGCGCCCCAGCCCTCATGCGGCCGCCGGCCCCCGGCACCGCGCGGCGCCCGTTCCGGCTCGCGGCCGCAGGTTCGGCCGCGGCACTTACTCAGCTCATCCTGGGAGGCGGAGGCGGCGGCCGCAGCCATGTTGCGCCGGGGAGGGAACGAGGGAGGGGCTGGGGGGGCAGGGCGCGGCCGGGGGGCTCGCGGCTCGCGGTGCGGCAGGGGCCGCGAGCCGCCTCCGTTCACTCGGCGCGGACCGCGCTGTGCCCCGAGGCCCGCCCGCCGCCGCCGCCTGCGTCCTCCGCGTCGCGAGCGTCGCCCTTCGCTGCCCCCGCGAGCTCGCGACTCGGGCGCTCCCGCAGCCTCGCGCCTCTGCGGAGCCGCTGCCGCTGCCGCCGCCGCCGTCTGTGCGGCCGAATCCCCGTGCGCCAGGCCCGCGCGGCGGCTCTGCGACTCCGCGCCGCGCTCGCCCAACTCACGCCGGTTTTATATTTAGAAAGAGCTGAGCCATCCTCCCAGCGGCCCCCCCGCCGGGCCCCTCGCGCGCCCGCCCGCCCTCGCTCGCTCGCGGCTCGTCCTGCCCACCTGTCGCCGCCCGCCCCGCGTGCGCTCCCCGCGCGGACTCGACACGCGGCGGCCTGTGCGGGCGGCCCGGCCTAACCGCGCCGCCGCGCGCGCAGGGCCAGTCCCCCGCGGCCCGGGGGCGGGCCTCTGACCTGAGTCGGAGCCGGTCTCCATGCCGCGGACGCTGCGCTCGGCGCCGCGAGGTGAGGGCTGTAGAGCGAGGCGTTCGGCGGGCCGGGCCCCGGGGAGCCGCGCGCCGCAGTCCGTGAGGGGCTGGGCCGAGCGGGCCCGGGCTGCCCTAGCGGCCGGGGGAAATCCTCGAGGCGGGGCCGGAGCGCCCTTTTCCGAGGTCTGCGGCTGTCACGTTGGCTGGGCCCGACCTGGGGAAACACGCCTGTCCAAAGGAAGAGACGTGGACTCAGAAAAGTAGAGCCGGGCTCGGAGTCGGCGGGAGGAAGCCCCGCCCTGCGCCTCCCGCCGAACTTCTCGGCCCCGGCGCTGACTCAGTCCCGGACGAGCCCCTGCGCCGCAGCGGCCCCCGACAGCCCAGTTCTGGTGTGGAGGTGGCTGGTGCTCCCAAAACGGCTAGCGGGAGCAGGGGGTCCACTCAGCCCTGCAAAAGTTAGATAAGGCAAGATTCCTAAAGTTCACATGGAAGTATCTATGCCTATGTGAGCTCTGAGATTTTGTTCAGATACCCTATGTTCTTTTCGGTAACTAGAGTGATTTATTTTCGATATGCTGATTTTAACTTTCTGCCTTCGCTTTGTCCGTGAGGTCATGTACACTTGCAAAATGAAATTCAAATTCAGGGGTTGCATAATTGCTGTACTTTAAGTGATGGTACTGTCATAACAAATTAGATACAAGATCAGATACTTTTTTTATATAAGAAGAAATCAAGTCTTAAATAGATTGAAATTGCATTTATTCCTTAAAGCAGAAATCTATAAAGCCCTAAGTAATGTCTTAAAAATGGAATATATGTCATTCCTGTTGTAACATAGGCCAAGTACAAGGTACAACACTGAAGACATTTTTATTTCCTTTATTGTTTTTGTTATAGAAATTATACATGATCTTGGGCCGGGCGCGGTGGCTCACGCCTGTAATCCCAGCTCTTTCGGAGGCTTAGGCGGGTGGATCACGAGGTCAGGAGTTCGAGACCAGCCTGGCCAACATGGTGAAACCCTGTCTCTAATTAAAAAATACAAAAATTAGCTGGGCGTGGAGGCGCGCGCCTGTAATCCCAACTACTCGGGAGGCTGAGGTAGGAGAATCGCTTGAACCCGGGAGGCGGAGCTTGCAGTGAGCCGAGATCGCACCACTGCACTCCAGCCTGGGGGACAGAGCGAGACTCCGTCTCAAAAAGAAAAAAAAAAGAAAAATTATACATAATTTTTGTAAAAAAAAAATGCAAATGATTTGGAGTATCATAAAATTAAAAGTGAAAGTCCTTCCTCCTAGCCCCACCATCCCACTCTGCAGAGAAATTATGACTAACAGTTACAGTTAAGTGTGCAGAAGACCTTTTCTCTGGACATATATATACAGCCCCATGTATGGCTTTGATGGGGACAGGTTTCTACAATAAAGTTCTGGATCAATTATTCCTTCACACACATTGTTCCATGTTAATTCAAAACACTGCACTACCATCACCCTTTTTTGTTTGTAACTTCATACTACACTAAGTTAACCAACCCCTTTTTTCATGTATGCTCCTCTTTTATTTGATGTTGCCTCCAAAATAAATACACAATGAACTACTTACAAACAATAGAGAGGTGTATACAGGTCTTCTCCCAACTGCATACCCACCATCCCCCCTCATCCCACTCATGCCCATAAATAATCCCTATTAACAGTTTGGTGCATTCAACCTTTCCTTACTGTTTCCGTGACTATAGAAAGTAGCTGCACCAAAGACTGGTTTGGGGAAATTTGACTTCCCATAATTTCAAATGGATCCTTCCAAAGCCACCCCAGATAAATACAGAATCTGAGTAAAAAACAATGGGTTTGTTATTTTATTTTATTTTTATTCATTTATTTATTTATTTTATTTTATTTTTTGAAACGGAGTTTCGCTCTTGTTGCCCAGGCTGGAGTGCAATGGCGCGATCTCGGCTCACCGCAACCTCCGCCTCCTGGGTTCAAGCGATTCCCCTGCCTCAGCCTCCCGAGTAGCTGGGATTATAGGCATGCGTCACCACGTCCGGCTAATTTTGTGTTTTCAGTAAAGACGGGGTTTCTCCATGTTGGCCAGGCTGGTCTCCAACTCCTGACCTCAGGTGATCCACCCACCTCGGCCTCCCAAAGTGCTGGGATTACAGGTGTGAGCCACCATGCCTGGCCGTTAGGCAATTTTAACCTCCAGGCAAGACTAGTTAACAAATCCTTAGTTCCTCCTATGAAGAAATTCCAGGTTCTCTGCGTGTACAAATCACATGAATGTGTGTACACAGATTTTTGTTAGTTTTGACAAAAATGGAACTCTACTTCCCATATTATGTAACGTTATCTTTTCACCAAATAATGTATTACAGGTGTCCTTTCATATCAGTAATGATAATAATGGCTAATGGAATAATAATTATGCCAGACACCATTCTAGTGTTTTACTTGGATGAATTCATCTAACCCCCACAACAATCTTATGAAATAGGGATTTTTATGGCACTGGATGGTTGAGGAACACATCTAATGTGCCACAAACTGGAAAGTAAGTGGTGGAGCTGGGATTTGAACCTGGGCAGTGTGGATTCAGAGTCAGCTTGCTTAATCACTAGGATCAGTATGTACAGAACTACCTCTTTTTTTTTTTTTTTTTTTTGAGAGGGAGTCTCGCTCTGTCCCCCAGGCTGGAGTGCAGTGGCACGATCTCAGTTCACTGCAACCTCCGCCTCCCGGGTTCAAGCGATTCTCCTGCCTCACCCTCCTGAGTAGCTGGGATTACAGGCATGTACCACCACGCCCAGCTAATTTTTGTATTTTTAGTAGAGATGGAGTTTCACCATGTTGGCCAGGCTGGTCTCAAACTCCTGACCTCAAATGATCCACCTGCCTTGGCCTCCCAAAGTGTTGGGATTACAGGCGTGAGCCACTGTGCCTGGCCTCATTTTTTTTTTAAATGGCTGCATGATAAGTACCAACAAAATGTATTTAACCATTTCCCTATTGATGAGCTGTTAGGTTGTTTACAGTTTTTTACTAAACAATACTACTGTAAAACATTCTTATACATATCTTTATGTAATCACATATTTCTAGATGTAGATGTGGAATTGTTAGGCAAAAAAAGATCTTAAAGTCTCATTACATACAGTAGTTTATAGCAACTTACAGTGCTACTTCTGATCACTACTGTGTAAAGCTCTAAGCTTTTTTATACTTGCTTCTTCCATCAAACTACTTGTAGTTCATTTTTCCCACTAAATAGCTTCATGTTCATATGAAACACTTAGGTTTTGAATAACAGCAGCCTTGAGATAGTTCCTGTCTAGAATTCACTTCAGCTGTCAAAAACAGAGGCAAGAAGGAATTGGGGTGAGGAGGAAAACAGGAGCCAGAGAAGAGGCTACTGAGAAACCAAAATAGGATATCATAGAATCCAAGAACTAAAAACCTGTCCCCTCTCCTCTCATGTAGGCTGTCTTCACATCAAACACATATACAGTTCTAACAAGATTTTTAAAAATCTTGTTTCCAGCGTTAAAGCAAAATATTTGAAAGCATTCTTCTTCTGGGCAGATACATGGATGACAAGTGCTAACAGACACCTAAAAACAAAGAAGCATACAAATTATTAAGCTAGGCTGGGCCAGGCACAATGGCTCACATCTGTAATCCCAGGACTTTGGAAGGCTGTGAGGCAGGAGGATCCTTGGAGGCCAGGAATTCAAGACCAGCCTGGGCAATCTAGCAAGACATGGTCCCTACAAAAAATCAAAAAGTTAACCAGGTGTGGTGGTGCACGCCTGTGGTCCCAGTACTGGAGAGGCTGAGATGGGAGGATTGCATGAGCCTGGGAAGCAGAGGTTGCCATGAGCAGAGATGGCACCACTGTACTCCAACCTGGGCAACAGAGTGAGACCCTGTCTCAAAAAAGAAAGGAAGGAAGGAAGGAGAAAAGAGAAGAGAAGAGAAGAGAAGAAAAGAAAAAAAAGAAGAAACAGCAGCTAGGCTCACACCTGTAATCCCAGCTACTCAGGAGGGTGAGGTGGAAGGATAACTTGAAGCCAGGAGTTCGAGACCAGCCAGGGCAGCATAGCAAGACCCCATCTGTACAATAAAATCATAAATAAATGAACATATAAGAACTCAAAATGTAAATTCTGGGTCGGGTGCGGTGGCTCACGCCTGTAATCCTAGCACTTTGGGAGGCCAAAGCAGGTGGACCATCTAAGGTCAAGAGTTCGGGACCAGCCTGGCCAACATGGAGAAACCCCGTCTCTACTAAAAATACAAAAAATTAGCTGGGCATGGTGGCACGCACCTGTAATCCCAGCTACTCAAGAGGCTGAGGCAGGAGAATTGCTTGAACCCGGAAGGTGGAGGTTGCAGTGAGCCGAGATTGCGCCATTGCACTACAGTCTGGGCGACAAGAGTGAAACTCAGTCTAAATAATTAAATAAATTTAAAAAATTAAATTCTGGGGGTATTTATAAAGTACGAAATGCACTGAGTCATTTCTCTTGAATAGATGGTATTCATGGTGCTAATCCTAACCTTATAAAACAGTAAAATTACGGCCAGGCACGATGGCTCACACCTGTAATACCAGTATTTTAAGAGGCTGAAGCAGGAGAATGGCTTGAGGCCAGGAGTTCAAGACCAGCCTAGGGAAATATAGCCCCTGTCTCTACAAAAAAGGAAAAAAAATGTAGTAAAATTATGTCAAGTATATTAGCATCAAAAAACCAAGTACGGAGCATATTTTAGTAAGCTTTTCATCTAAAACGATTGTAATAAGAAATTTTGGGTGCCTAAAAGGATTAATTCTAAACTATCTAGAAAATTAAATTATCCCAAGTGATTCAATTTGGAATTGAATTCAATTTGGACCTCCAGAGTTCCAGACAAGCCAAAATTCTACATAAATAAATCTCACATGCCATTTGTTTTGGTTGCTGAAAAAGTCAGGGACTGGGTCCAACCAGCCAATGTAGTTCAAACCTAAGATCTTCATCTCTGCTCTTTTCAGTCATTTATTAAAGACATATTTCACTGCACATAAAGCCATGTCATGACTTAAAATATTGCACTTTCTAAAAAAAATCACACTCAGAAACATCCATCTCCAACCATGATTAGAATCCTTCCACTATTTTACTCTCTAATTCCTGTGAACTCAGAGTACATTTTAGAGTCTCATCGTCTGAAATGTTTCAACTACTTTCTGGTCCATGTGTCCTCTCCTGAATATCACCTGCTCCAGTCTTAAGCTAAAACCCAGGGATGGCAATGAGTTCTTTTTCTTTCCTTTTTTTTTTTTTTTTTTTGAGACTGAATTTCGCTCTTGTCACCCAGGCTGGAGTGCAATGGCATGATCTAGGCTCACTGCAACCTCTGCCTCCTGGGTTCAAGCGATTCTCCTGCCTCAGCCTCCCAAGTAGCTGGGATTACAGACGCACACCACCATGCCTGGCTAATGTTTTGTAATTTTAGTAGAGACAGGGTTTCATCATGTTGGCCAGGCTGGTCTCAAACTCCTGATCTCGGGTGATCCACCTGCCTCGGCCTCCCAAAGTGCTGGGGATTATAGGCGTGAGTCACTGCGCCAGGCCTGGCAATGAATTCTTACTAGAGCACCTTCAAGTTCTTTCCCCTGGGTTTTTATCTTACACACGGTGCCAGTCAATTCCCAATCTTGGGCAAACCCCACCATCCACTTTATTTTCCCTCTCAAATACCATTGGAAAAAAAGGAAAAAGCTGACCTGGTCCAATATAAAACTAAACCACGGCTACTAGGAGGCAATCTTCCCCCTTTTAAAAATGTAGCCCTAGGCCGGGTGTGGTGGCTCACACCTGTAATCCCAGTGCTTTGGGATGCCGAGGCAGGCGGATCACAAGGTCAGGAGATCGAGACCATCCTGGCTAACACAGTGAAACCCCGTCTCTACTGAAAATACAAAAAGAAAAAAAAATTAGCTGGGCGTGGTGGCGGGCACCTGTAGTCCCAACTACTCGGGAGGCTGAGGCAGGAGAATGGCATGAACCCAGGAGGTGGAGCTTGCAGTGAGCCGAGATCGCGCCACTGCACTCCAGCCTGGGCAACAGAGCGAGACTCCATCCCAAAAAGAAAAAAAAAGGAAAGAAAATGTAGCCCTATACCAGAATATCCCTATCTCTTCTGGTTTCCTTTAGACAATGACTTCAAAGTTCGTGTTCCCCTAAAAGAATTTTGAAAAACACTGTAATCCAATAATGCATTTTTATGTTGGCACCTAAAATTTTTTCTCATAACTTAAATAATTGAAAAGAGGAAATTTTGACAACAAATTATATTGTAAATATCAGCATTTTAAAATAAAGACCATTTTATCACTTTTTAAAATGTATCTGTAGAATCTAAATAAGATTTTTTCTAAATACATTTGAATTTATTTTGAATTTATTTATTTATTTATTTGATACTGCGAGGTTAAAAACACAAACTATTTTTTTCTCTGTGCTCACATCGCAATCAAAACAGACTTTAGGCTGAGCATTGTGGTTCACGCCTGTAATCCCAGCACTTTGGGAAGTTGAGGTGGGCAGATGACTTGAGGTTAGGAGTTCAAGACCAGCCCAGCCAACAGGGTGAAACCCTGTCTCTACTAAAAAATACAAAAATTAGCTGGGCATGGTGGCACATACCTGTAATCCCAGCTATTCAGGAGGCTGAAGCAGGAAATCGCTTGAACCTGGGAGGAGGAGGTTGCAGTGAGCTGAGATTGCGCCACTGTGCCCTAGCCCGACGACAGAGTGAGACTCTTTCTCAAAAAACAAACAAACAAAACAAAACAAAACAAAAAGACTTCTGAGACCAAATGGAGGCGGGGGGGTAGGTTCTTCCCATACAACAAGCAAGCAAGCAATACTGTAGCAGACACCTACTAGATAGCCTCTAATTCAATTCCAACACCATCTACCTAGAGATAATGTCAGATCACACAGGTGGAGGGTTCAGTCCCACAAGACTGCCCCACAACTTACAATGCCAATTGCAAGCTCCAGGTTATTTAACCTGTGCTTTTGACTAAATGGCTATAAACTGAGGATCCATGACCCCCTCCTTGGTTCGACTGATTTGCTAGAGCAACTCACAGAAGTCAAGGAAACAGTTTACTGGTATATTATGAAGTATATCACAAAAGATAGATGAAAAGCCTCATGGGGCAAAGAATGAAAAGGGGTGTGGAGCTTCCATGCCCTCCCCAGGGATGACACCCTCCTGGAACCCCTATTTGTTCAGCTACCAAGAAGCTGTCTGTACCCCCATCCTCTTAGGTGTTTTATGAAGACTTCATTGCAGAGGCATGATTGAAAGATGGACAACCTTGTAGAAATGTGACTGGACAAAAAGGGTATGACCTAATACTAATAGACTGAGTTGAAACCCAGCCAGGCCTGTCTGTTCAGATTCTTCTTTGCCTCTCTGTGTATAGCATTATTTCATCCAGGTATGGGGCAGGACCCCTTCTGAAATGAGAGTCTTTTTTTATTTTTATTATTTTTTTTATTTTTAGTAGAGACAGGGTTTCTCCACATCGGTCAGGCTGATCTCGAACTCCTGACTTCAGGTGATCCACCCACCTCGGCTTCCCAAAGTGCTGGGATTACAGGCATGAGCCACCATGCCCAGCCTGAAATGAGAGTCTTATGATCTACAATTAGACAAGGCAGGTGAGAGAATTTTTTTACTGCCAACCTCCAAGACGGAATGGTACGGGAAGAAGATTCCTGCTTTGGGGAAAAAAAGGAGAGCAGGAGAAGGTCAAAGAGAGAGACAGATTCTGTTTTCTTTTTTCTATTTTTCTTTTTTCTTTTTTTTTTTTGTGACAGAGTCTCACTCTGCCACCCAGGCTGGAGTGCAGTGGCAAGATCTCAGCTCAGTGCAACTTCTGCCTCCAGGGCTCAAGCGATTCTCCTGCCTCAGCCTCCTGAGTAGCTGGGATTACAGGTGCCCACCACCATGCCCGGCTAATTTTTATATTTTTAGTAGAGACAGGGTTTTGCCATGTTGGCCAGGCTGGTCTCAAACTCCTGACCTCAGATGATCTGCCCGCCTCAGCCTCCCAAAGTGCTGGGATTACAGGCCTGAGCCACCACACCCGCCCGAGATTCTGTTTTCTGAGGCCTGCTTCTGAGGCCTAAAGCACCCCAACATTATAACAAGGGCTATTGGAGTCATAAGCCAGGAACCATAGAAGCAAACATATATATGATTTCACAGATATCTACCATCATCATTATTTTAAAAATACATGAACAAGACATGTTACATAATTGCTCTTTCTCCTTGAACTTGTGGTTTGACTTGACTTCCCTCACAATAATTTAAATGAATGCAATACAGTTTTAACCTTTAAAGTTTTATTCACTTCATTATTTTCTTCAACAAAAATACATATATAAATTAATTTTTTTTTTTTGAGATGGAGTCTTGCTCTGTCACCGGGCTGGAGTGTAGTGGCTCAATCTCAGCTCACTGCAACCTCTGCCTCCCAGGTTCAAGCAATTCTCCTGCCTCAACCTCCCGAGTAGCTGGGACTACAGGTGCACGCCACCATGCCCAGCTAATTTTTGTATTTTTAATAGAGACAGGGTTTCACCATGTTGGCCAGGATGGTCTCTATCTCCTGACCTCGTGATCTGCCCACCTGGCCTCCCAAAGTGCTGGGATTACAGGCGAGAGCCACCACACCCGGCCAAATTATATTTTTAAAAAAATTTTTCTATGACCATTTAAAAAATTATTTTAGATTGAGTAATCATAATTAGTTGCAGTACACAATTTATCAAAACAACATATATATATATATATTACAACCTTCTTAGGCATCGAACTATTAATGAATAATATTTTTTTTCTTAGAGATGGGATCTTGCTATGTTGCCTAGGCTGGCCTTGAATTCCTGGCCTCAAGCAATCCTCCCACCTCAGCCTCCTGAGTAGCTGGGACTACAGGCACGCACCACCACGCCCCGTGCAATTTTTTATGTTACAGCTTTTGAGAGTCATTATACATAAAAAGAAGATTTTATTGGAAATGTCTCTTTTAACAAAAAGGATAGACCAGCCTAAGCAACATAGGGAGACCCCATCTCTACAAAAAATTTTTTGAAGATTATGTGGGCATGGGCTGGGTGCGGTGGCTCACGCCAGTAATCCCAGCACTTTGGGAGGCCGAGGTTAGTGGATCACGAGGTCAGGAATCCGAGACCAACCTGGCTAACATGGTGAAACCCCGTCTCTACTAAAAATACAAAAATTAGCTGGGCGTGGTGGTGTGCGCCTGTAATCCCAGCTACTCAGGAGGCTGAGGCAGGAGAATTGCTTGAACCCAGGAGGCGGAGGTTACAGTAAGCTGAGATCGTGCCACTGCACCCCAGCCTGGGTGACAGAGCAAGACTCCATCTCAAAAAAAGAAAAAAAAAATTAGGTGGGCATGCTGGCACACACTTGTGGTCCCAGCTACTCCAGAGGCTAAGGTGGGAGGATCATTTGAGCCCAGGAGGTCAAGGCTGCAGTGAGCCATGATCATGCCACTGCACTCCAACCTGGGCAACAGAGTGAGACACTGTCTCAAGAAAAAGGAAAAGAAAAAAGAAAAGGATATTGCTTTTTGCAAAAAAAAAAAAAAAAAGAAAGAAAGAAAGAAGGAAAGAAAAAGATACCCAGTTATTTAAGTCATTTACATCCTCATTATCTAATTTGATACGTCAAATTGTCCCTTTGGGGCCAGGCATAAAGGCTCACATCTATAATCCCAGCACTTAGGGAGGCCAAGGCTGGCAAATCACCTGAGGTCGGGAGTTCGAGACCACCCTGGCCTACATGGTGAAACTCCCTCTGTACTAAAAATACAAAAATTAGCCAGGTGTGGTGGCAGGCACTTCTAGTCCCAGCTACTTGGGAGGCTGAGGCACAAGAATCGCTTGAACCCGGGAGGCGGAGGTTGCAGTGAGCTGAGATTGCACCACTGCACTCTAGCCTAGGCAAGAGAGCAAGACTATGACTCAAAAAAAAAATATTGTCCCATTGATATTGGACTCGGAGTTTTTACTCTAAGGGCAATGAACCATAATTAGACTAGAGATGACTGAGATGTATGGCTTGCTTTCCTAAAGCTAGACAAGGGTCTCTTGTGAAGTAGGACACCTTTCACCTTGTGAAACAGTACATCTTGACCTTGAAGGTGTTCTTAGGCAAATTAATTTGAAGAAAAAATATACACAAACTAGAGATTGATTGCCCTAATATTATCCATGGCCATGTATCCTAAGAAAATCTTTGGGGGACATTTGTTCCAAAACAGTGTATCTCCCATGCTCTTTCTTCTCATCCTATTTTGTTCCAGTCTCTCCTTTAAAAAAAAGAAAAAATAACCTATCTGAACCTTCTTCCATTTTTTTTTTTTTTTTTGAGACGGAGTCTCACTCTGTCGCCCAGGCTGGGGTGCAGTGGTGTAATCTCGGCTCACCACAACCTCTGCCTCCCGGATTCAAGCGATTCTCCTGCCTCAGCCTCCCAAGTAGCTGGGATTACAAGCCCCCGCCACCACGCCCGGCTAATTTTTGTATTTTTAGTAGAGACGGGGTTTCACCATGTTGTTCAGGCTGGCCTCGAACTCCTGACCTCAGGTCATCTGTCAATCTCAGCCCCCCAAAGTGCTGGGATTACAGGCATGAGCCACTGCACCTGGCTTTCTCTGCCTCCCCTTGAAAGTCAATATTTTCTGGGTTTCAGCTGCAAATCACTCTACCTGCTCTTTCTTTGCAATCTCCACTCCCTCATCTTCAATTACTTAAATGACTCTTTCATTTGTCTCTCCAGTTAGGTCTCCCGGACATCACCTACATGTCCCATTTGTGCTTCAAACTTAATGTGTTTCCAGCTGAATTTAACTTCCTTCTCAAACCTGCTTCCTGTATCCTTCAGAGTGCGTGGAACCAGCATCCAGTCGACCGAACCAGAGACCTGGGAGCAGTATATAATTCCATCCTCTCTCACCTTTACTCACTATATATGCTGATGGTCACTGGGTAGTATCAGTTAGGGTTTCTCTGGTTCCTAGCACAGAAACCAACTCATGTAAACACAACAAGGTTTGTAGAAGAGTACTAGAGAAGTTCACAGAAACAAAGGAAAATTAAAGAACTAGGCTTCATGAAGGGTAGAAAGCAGGCAACTGTGGGGTTCTCCCCAAGAGGAGCTGGAAGACCATCCCCCAGAGAACTACACCCACATAATTCGGCAACAATACAGCCTTTCATTTTCGGATGAGGTGGAATAAGAATTATAAACTCCAAACTTTTGATTCAACCTTGGTTAAAATGAAAAGAAACCATTGGTTGCAATGCTATTGGATGGGAGGTAAATAATCTTGTTGACGTAAATCTTCAAGAATCCAAACTACACTGCTGATCCCCACATTTCTCAACAACAAAAGAAGGAGATGATTAGAGGAAGTTTACATTCTGATGACTACAGGAACACAATGAACAAGATATTGGCTCTAAGAGACGAAGGTCATACTTAAGTTTCAAATCTATGCATGCTCTATTTCTTATTATCATGACCATGCCTTCTTTAATGTTTAATAAAGAGCAACAGACTCCTGTTTTAAGTAAATTTTCTCATTCACGCTATAAATGAGTTGACCAGCCTTGTATTCACATATATACTGTGTAGATTCTTTTGTCAGACCAAGAGTATTTTGAGTGACCCTCTCCCATAGCTGTAGATATTAAAGTCACCTCTGATACAGCTGATTTCAATGCAATACAAAGCTGATTTATACAGTAGTATCAGGATCAAACTCCTGGGAGGGTTGGAATTGATTGATTTAGTTTGGATCACATATCCATCCTGTCAGGGGGAGTTGAGAGTATTAATATAGGAATGGGGATAGGAAAGTTGAACAATAAGGTAAACAATAATAACCACATCTGATATGGTTTGGCTCTGTGTCTTCACCCAATCTCATCTTAAATTGTAATCCCCACGTGTAGAGAGAGGGACCTGGAGGAAGTGAGTGGATCATGGGGGTGGTTCCCCCCATGCTGTTCCCAATAGTGAGGGAGTTCTCACAAGATCTGGCATTTCCCCTGCCCTCACTCTGTCTCTCTCCTGCCGCCATGTAAGACGTGCCTTGCTTTCCCTTCACCTTCCACCAAGATTGTAAGTTTCCTGAGGCCTCCTCAGGCATACAGAACTGTGAGTCAATTAAACCTCTCTTCTTTTTAAATTACCCAGTCTCAAGTAGTATCTTTATACCAGTGTGAAAACGGACTAATACAATATCTCGCTATACAGCAAATATTCAGTCTGCTTAAAGTGGCCCTAAACTGTCACTTTATCTCAATGCCTCGCCTTAGTCCACTTTCTCTAAGGCATATTTCGGTAAAAATAAGTTCTCAGTCTTTAATCCCTTGCATTTTGGCTTCTGGCTTCTTTATTTTATTATTATTATTATTATTATTATTATTATTATTATTATTATTATTATTTTGAGACAGAGTCTCACTCTGTCGCCCAGGCTGGAGTGCAGTGGCGCAATCTCGGCTCACTGCAACCTCCACCTCTCGGGTTCAAGGGATTCTCCTACCTCAGCCTCCCAAGTAGCTGGGATTACAGATGTGTGCCACCACACTAGGTTAATTTTTGTATCTTTAGTAGAGATGGGGTTTCGCCATGTTGGCAAGGCTGGTCTCAAACTCCTGACCTCAGGTGATCTGCCTGCCTTGACCTCCCGAAGTGCTAGGATTACAGGCATGAGCCACCATGCCCAGCCATCTTCTGGCTTCTTTATCCTGATGAAGGTCACCACTGTTACTCTTCTTAAAAAAAAGAAAAGAAATTCTTATCTGAGGAATATGAACCCCTTTAAATCATCAGGCCCTGGCTGGGTTCAGTGGCTCATACCCATAATCCCAGCACTTTGGGAGGCTGAGGCGGGCAGATCACATGAGGTCAGGAGTTTGAGACCAGCCTGACCAACATGGCAAAACAATGACTGTACTAAAAATACAAAAATTAGCCGGGTGTGATGGCCCACACCTGTAATCCCAGCTATTTGGGAGGCTGAGGCAGGAGAATTGCTTGAACCCAGGAGGCAGAGGTTGCAGTCAGCTGAGATCGTGCCACTGCATTCCAGCCTGGGCCACAGAGCAACACTCTATCTCAAAATAAATAAATAAATAAATAAATAAATAAATAAATAAATAAATAAATAAAATCAGGCTCAGAGAAGCACTGGAATAAAAGAGCAGTCACATCATCCTCCCTTGAGCTAAATAATTACCTCTTGAAGCCACTTGCTGTGTGGGCTCTAGATTCTAACTGATGCCAAAAACCCATTAAATGGCATATACCCTATAGCTGATATGTAGCCAAACACTAACCAATGTTATTTCTGTAAACCAATAGGAATTCCTAACAACTTCTGTAATCACCCCCTTCTCCTGATTTGTTCTTCTTTCTTTAGAAACTTGAGCCTCTTCTTTCTTCCCCGGAGCATTCTCCAAGACAACCTGGAAGTATGTTCCAGACTGCAGTCCTAAACCTTGGCCCAGATGAACTCTCTATATATTAATTATCCCTCAGCTTCTTCCTTTGAAGTCGACACTCAAAGTTTACCAGTGACTTCTCATACAATGTTTAGTGATTTTTCAGGACAGCTTAGTCTTGCTGACATCTATCAAACATCAGACACCTCATGCAACTCTTCTTGTTGGCCTTGACTCATTTTTCTTCTTTCTAAAGTCTATCTGTTTGGCTAGGTCCAGTGGCTCACGCCTGTAATCCCAGCACATTGGGAGGCCAAAGCAGGTGGATCACTTGAGGTCAGGAGTTCCAGACCAGCCTGGCCAACATGGTGAAGCCCCATCTCTACTAAAAATACAAATGTTTGTATTATTTGGACAGAAAATACAGTAAAGCATGGTGGCACGTGTCTGTAATTCCTGTTACTTGAGAGGCTGAGGCGGGAGAATTGCTTGAACCTGGCAGGCGGAGGTTGCCGTGAGCCAAGATAGGAGGTTGCTGGAGCCACTGCACTCCAGCCTGGGTGACAGAACAAGACTCCATCTCAATCAATCGATCAATCAATAGTCTACCTGTTTCCATTCTTCTCTCCCCTTCCTGATAGCTATGTACCTCATTTAAGTTTTTGCTTAACCTTAGAGCAATGGGGTGCTGAAATGATCAAATGTGCATTTCAAAAAGATTACACTGGCTGCAGAGTTCAAAAAAATATTATTAAAGGGAGAGCAAAAGTGAATGAATGTAATGACATGTTGAGAGTCTATTTCAGTAATTCCAGAGAGAAATAGAAATTTGAATTATGGTGGAGGGATTTGGATGAACACAAAACAGATTTAAAAGTCAAAACCAAGCCAGGCGCGGTGGCTCATGCCTGAAATCCCAGCACTTTGGGAGGCCAAGGTGGGCGGATCACCTGAGGTAGGGAGTTCAAGACCAGCCTGACCAACATGGAGAAACCCCATCTCTACTAAAAATACAAAATTAGCCGGGCATGGTGGCACATGCCTGTAATCCTAGCTACTAGGGAGGCTGAGGCAGGAGAATCGCTTGAACCTGGGAGGCGGAGGTTGCAGTGAGCCGAGATCGTGCCATTGCACTCCAGCCTGGGCAACAAGAGTGAAACTCCGTCTCAAAAAAAAAAAAAAAAAAAGTCAAAGTCAAAACCAATGATGGACTAGATAAGGGAGATGAAGGATGACTGCCATGCTCCTGACTTAGAAAATTGTGTGGTACACAGGAAAACCAGGTGTGTAGGGGAGGATGCTGGAATTCGTTTTGGGGCACATTGGGTTGGAGGTGACTTTGAGATATTCAAGAAGAGATGTCCAGTAAACAGATAAATGAAACTGGAGGTCATATTGCACTGTAGTGGAGATGAATATAAATCTGTGAATTATCCTGGTACATGTGGTATTTGAAGCTAAGATTATGAATGAAGTCAGTTAAGGAGATAGTATGGAATCAAGGGAAGGTAGCATAGGACAAAGATTTGGCTCAGCAGAGAAGAATGAACTGGCAAAGAAGACAGGTGGACTAGCAAGAGAAGGGAGAAGAGAGCCTTAAGCCACGGAGAGCTTCAAGAATGGAATTAGGGCAGGTGTGGTGGCTCATGCCTGTAATCCCAACACTTTGGCAGGCCAAGGTAGGAGGATCACTTGAGCCCAGGAGTTTGAGACCAGTTGAGACCAGTCTGAGCATTAGAGTGAGACTCCTGTCTCTACAAAAACACAAAAACAAAAAACAAACAGAATGGAGTCATCACTCCCATCAAAATGTCCTGAGAAGACAAAGGATAGAACTTTAAAACCTGTTAGTTAAACCTGGGTGCAGTGGCTCACACCTTTAATCCTAGAGCTTTGGAGGCAAAGGCAGGTGGATCACTTGAGCTCAAGAGTTTGAGACCAGCCTGGGGCAACATGGCAAAATCCTGTCTCTACAGAAAATACAAAAATTAGCTGGGAGTGGTGGTGCACATCCGTAGTCCCAGCTACCTGGGAGGCTGAGGTGGGAAGACTGCTTGAGCCCGGCAGGCAGAGGTTGTAGTCAGCCAAGACTGCGCCACCGCACTCCAGCCTGTGCTACAGAGAGAGACCCTGTCTCAAAAAAAAAAAAAAAAAAAAAAAAGCCTGTTAGTTTGAAAAGTCTGTTAGTTTTATGCACATATACATTTGATAACTTTCTTAAATTCTGATTTGATATTTTCTTTTCATCTCTGTGTGCTTAAATTCCCTGGGTTTTTGGGGAGTGGGATAGGGGATATTTAAATAATACTTGGTTGTCTTTTCCCCTAGTCCTCAGCTCCCTAACTGAGGTTAGTGGAGGAACAGTCTCAGGGTGGCTCCTGGAATAATACAGTTTCTCCAGGGATGCCAATAGTCTTAGCTCATTTTGGCAACTATAACAGAATACCATAGACTGGGTGGTTTATAAACAACAGAAATTTATTTCTCACAGTTCTGGAGGCTAGTAAGTCCAAGACCAAGACCCAGCAAACTTGGTGTCCAGTGAGGGCCCACTTCCTGGTTCACAGACAGCCACTTCATTGTGTCTTCACTGGCAGAAGGGTTCAGGGAGTCCTCCAGAGTCCTTTTATTTCTTTTGACCAGGTCTCACTCTATTGCTCACTCACACCATTCAGGCTGGAATCCAGTGGTGTGATCATGGCTCACAGCAGCCTTGACCTCCTGGGCACAAGTGATCCTCCCACTCCCACCTCAGGCTCCCAAGTAGCTGGAACTACAGATATGAGCTACCAAGCCTAGCTAATTTTTTTTTTTTTGAGACGGAGTCGCCCAGGCTGGAGTGCTCTGTCGCCCAGGCTGGAGTGCAATGGCGTGATCTCGGCTCACGGCAACCTCTGCCTCCCAGATTCTAGCGATTCTCCTTCCTCAGCCTCCCAAGTAGCTGGGATTACAGATGCCTGCCACCAGGCCCAGCTAATTTTTGTATTTTTTAATAGAGACTGTGTTTCACCATGTTGGACAGGCTGGTCTCGAACTCCTGACCTCAGGTGATCTACCCACCTCAGCCTCTCAAAGTTCTAGGATTACAGGTGTGAGCCACCATGCCCAGCATGCCCAGCTAATTTTTAAAATATTTTTTGTAGAAATGGGGTCTGACCATGTTGCCCAGGCTTGTGTTTTTCGTGTTTTTTTTTTTTTTTTGAGTCAGTGTCTCAATGTCACCCAGGATGGAGTGCAGTGGCACAATTATGGCTCACTGCAGCCTGGAACTACTGGGCTCAAGTGATCCTCCCAAGTAGCTAGGACTACAGGTGTGCACCACCACATCCAGCTAATTTTTTTTTTTAGAAAGAAGGATCTTGCTATGTTGCCCAGGCTGGTCTCAAACTCTTAGCTTCAAGTCATCCTTCCACCTCATCCTCCAAAAACACAGGGATTACACGTGTGAGCCACTGTGCATGGCCTCATAGGCTCTTTTATAAGTGATGGCAGCGGCAGCCCACCCAGAGCGGCCACTGTGAAGACGCCTGGCTGCAGCGGAGGGAGGTGCGGTGGGGGCTGCATCCTCTGTGGAGCTGGCTGGGAGCAGGCAGAGGTACTGGGAACACGCGGGAGCCCCACCCCCTTCTGAGTTGGTGGCGCCTTCCCAGGTGCCTCTGCCACCGCCCAGCCCCACTGTGGACCAGGGCATCCCTGCACTCTGGGGGTCCAAGAAGCCCCCTGTCCCCACAGGCTCAGAAGTACCTGCTTCCGCTGCCTGGCCTCTCTGTGCTCCCAGCGCCTGCTCCGATTTCGGAGCAAAGTTGAGGCCAAGCCCAGGCACTGTCGCAAACTGGCCACGTGTGCAGGTACTTGCAATGCTGACATGCCAGCCTCCTGCAGCCTTGACCCCCTCCAGACTTTGAGCACCCATAGGAGGGAGGCTGAGGGAGAACTTGGGGCAGCTCAGCGTGGGCCTGCAGACATCCCACTGCATGAACATCCTGGGCACAGTGGGTGCTGTGGATGGCAAGTTGATGGCAGTAGGAAGCAGATAGGCTCCTGGGCGGAAAGGGGTGGGTCCCCAGTGAAACCCCGCCTTCAAGCCAGGGACAGCCTAAAGCCTGGGGGCCAGGCTATCGGTTCCCAGTGGTGTGGGTGCCTGGAGTCAGAGCTTATGGTGCTTTTTCTGGGCCACCCATGGCTGCCCATGGACCAATCAGTATGCGCTTCCTCCCTTCTGAGTCCATAAACCACCTCCCCCCAATCTGTCCAGACTCACACAGACGTCACGAAGACTACCAGCTGTTGGAAGGAGCTACTAAATTTGGGTCTCCTTAACTCCTGGGGATGACCAGCTGTTGGAAGGAGCTACTAAATTTGGGTCTCCTTAACTCCTGGGGATGACCAGCCTGTGGATAGGAGCTACCCACTCCAGGTCTCCTCTCTGCTGAGGGCTGCTCTCAGCAGCACTACCTGCCTGTGGAAAGCAGCTACCCACTTCAGGTCTCCTGAGAGCTGTTCTGTTGCTCAGTAAAGCTCCTCTCTGCCTTGCTCACCCTCCAGCTGTCTGTGTACCTCATTCTTCCTGCATATAGGATAAGAATTCTGGATCCACCAAATGGTAGGACTGAAAAAGCTGTAACACAAACAGGACTGAAACGCACTTCCCCCTCTCCCCAACCCACCCCCCACTCGCCACATTATAGGCGACAAGAAAGAAAGAAGAGCAGTGGCCCACCGGGGAGCCCAGGCCTAGGGGATCCCTGAGCCAGGGATGTGACACCCTCTCTGGGGCTCTGTGGTTTCTGGTGTCTCCAAGCTTCTGGGCACCACCATGTTCCTCTGTCCAGATGCATGTGCCCACAGCAGAAGCTGTTGGTGGTGCATCAGATCCAGCTACAGGTTTGCACGGAGCTGGCCCCTGGAGCTGCCCACCCTGCTGCAGCAGCCAGTATGCCTGGCTGTGTGCAGTGGCAGGACCCTGCGCTTGCTCACTCATGCACCCCTTGCTGCTCCAAGCGTGGCTTGCCCTTGGCAGGTGTGGGATCTGGGCCAGTAGTGTGAGCCAAGCACAGCCTGCCAGGCCATGTCAGCAAAACAAGCCCAACAAGCCTGAGCAAAACTCAGGCAAAGGCATCACCCACCACAGAGCTTTTCTGGCATGAAAAGAGACACCCAAGGGATCCTGTGACATAAGGGCACTAATCTGATTTATGAGGGTAGAGCCCTTGTGACCTCATCACCTACCAAGGCCCTACCTCCAAATACCATCACACTGGAGGTTAGGATTTTGACATGAGAATTTTCAGAGAACACAAACATTCAGACCATCCATGAGATATATGTTCAAGAGGTATTTCTTTCAGACTAATAAATTGCTTTTTGTTTTTTTCTGACATGGAGTCTCACTATGTCGCCCAGGCTGGAGTGCAGTGGTGCAGTCATGGCTCACTACAACCTCCGCCTCCCAGGTTCAAGTAATTTACCTGTCTCAGCCTCCCGAGTAGCTAGGACTACAGGTGCCTGCCACCATGCCCGGCTAATTTTTGTATTGTTAGTAGGGACGGGGTTTCACCATGTTGGCCAGGCTGGTCTCAAACTCCTGACCTCAGGTGATCCACCCACCTCGGCCTCACAAAGTGCTGGGATTACAGGTGTGAGTCACCATGCCTGGCGTAGCTTTTTTTTTTTTTTTGTCACCCAATACTCTTCTTCTCATGATAAGAAGTGCAGTTGATATTTTGGGAAGTTGAGAACTATTATATCAGTTAGGATGCTAGTAATAGGAAACCCAAATCAAAACTGCTTAGACCTCAAAAAGAGACACACAAATGGCCAATAGGTATACGAAAAATGCTCAACATCACTAATCATCAGGGAAATGCAAATCAAAACCACAATGAGATATCATTCATGATATTTAAAATGGCTATTAACAAAAAGACAGAAAATAAGAGATGCTGGCAAGAATTCAAAGAAAGGGGAATGTACTTATATTGTAGGTGGGAATGTAAATTAGTACAGCCATCATGGAAAACAGTATAAAAGTTACTCAAAAAACTAAAAATAGAACTTGTATGATTCAGCACTCTCACTGCTGGGTATATATTCAAAAGAAAGGAAATCAGTATAGCAAAGAGATACCTGCACTTTCATGTTTATTGGAGCATTATTCACACTACCAAGATGTGGAATCAACCTAAATGTCCATCAATAGATGAATATATAAAGTGTGGCATATATACAAAACGGAATATTGTTCAGCCTTAAAAAAGAATGAGGCCAGTTACAGTGGCTCACATGTGTAATCCCAGCACTTTGGGAGGCTGAGACAGGCAGGTTGCTTGAGCTCAGGAGCTTGAGACCAGCGCGGGCAACATGGCAAAACCTTGTCTCTACAAAAAATACAAAAATTAGCTGGGCACTTGAGCCCAGGAGGTTGAGGCTGCAGTGAGCCATGATTGCACCACCGCACTCCAGCCTGGGCAACAGAGTGAGACCCTGCCTCAAAAACAAACAAAAGAAAGAAAAGAGAAAAGAATGAAATCCTGGCATTTGCAACAACATATATAGAACTGGAGGTCATCATGTTAAGTGAAATAAATCAGACACTCAGAGACAAATATCACGTCATCACTCGTATGCGGAAGCTTAAGAGGTAGAGACACGGAAGTAGAGAGTAGAATGGTGATTACCAGAGGCCAGGAAGGGAAGAGGAGAAAGCTGCATAAAGAGAAATTGGGTAATAGCTACAAAAATGCAGTTAGATAAAGGGAATAACTTCTAGTATTTGATAGTACAGTAGGAAAATTATAATTACAATTATTTATTGTATATTTCAAAATAGCTAGAAGAGAAGAATTATAATGTGCCCAAAGTGAAGAAAAGTTAAATGTTTGAGGTGATGGGTATCCCAATTACCCTTATTTGATCATTACACCTTGTATACAGGTATCAAAATATCACATGTATCCCAAAATATGTAAAACGCTTATATAGAAATACAAAATAAAATGTAAAAAATAGAAACAGCTGGCCCGGCGCCGTGGCTCACGCCTGTAATCCCAGCACTTTGGGAGGCCAAGGTGGGCGGATCACAAGGTCAGGAGATCGAGACCATCCTGGGTAACATAGTGAAACCCCGTCTCTACTGAAAAAAAAAAAAAAAAAAAAAAAAAAAAATATATATATATATATATATATATATACACACACAAAAATTAGCTGGGCGTGGTGGTGCATGCCTGTAATCCCAGCTACTTGGGAGGCTGAGGCAGGAGAATCTCTTGAACCCGGGAGATAGAGGTTGCAGTGAGCTGAGATCATGTCACTGCACTCTAGCCTGGTGACAAAGCTAAACTCCGCCTCAAAAAAAAAAAAAAAAAAAAAGAAACAGCTTAAACAACAAATGGGATTTACCGGCTCATCTAATTCAATAGTGCAAAGATAAAGGTGATACAGAGACTCACATAATCTCTGATTTTCTTAGCTTTATCCTCCTTGGTGTGTTGGATTTGTCACCTGGCAGTGGCAAAAATGGCTATAGCAGTTCTAGAGGTCATATCATTACACCACATGGCGCAGATAAAGAAAGTATCTTTTCTGTTACATCTCTTGTAAAACAGGGAAGCTTCAGGCCTGCAATCAGGAAGCGTGGTGGCTCATGCCTGCAATCCCAGCACTTTGGGAGGCCGAGGCAGGTGGATCACCTGAGGTCGAGAGTTCGAGACCAGCCTGACCAACATGGAGAAACCCCGTCTCTACTTAAAATACCAAATCAGCCGGGCACTGTGGCACATGCCTGTAATCCCAGCTACTTGGGAGGCTGAGGCAGGAGAATCACTTGAACCCAGGAGGCAGAGGTTGCAGTGAGCCAAGATCACGCCATTGCACTCCAGCCTGGGCAACAAGAGCAAAACTCCGTCTCAAAAAAATCGAAAAAAAAAAAAAAGAAGGAAGCTTCTATTCTATAAATAAAAAGTTATATTTGTTGTTTTTTCTATTTGCTTAGGTCTCTTTTATGTTAGATGTTTTCCTCAAATGTTGGATGATCCTCAACTCTCCATTCATATTAAAGACTGAGGCATTATAAAGCTAATTGCAATCTGTAGACACAAGGACAAGGTTTTTTGACTGATGAGTCTTAGAATGCATGATTTTCCTATTTATTTCTTTGGGAGATTTACAATGTTGGCACATCTAGGTATTTTTCTTGGACCGGTAGGTTTTCCCAGAGAGAAAACTCCCAAACTTTTGCTTAGGAGTTATTATAAACATGTTAACCAGGATTCTAAAGGTAGGAAGTAAAGGGGGACTGGGTGTCTCACCATTAATTATTAATACCTGGTTTCAATAAGTTGCTTTATTCCTTTTTTTTTTTTTTTTTTTTGAGACAGAGTCTTGCACTGTTGCCCGAGCTGGAATGCAGTGGCATGATTTCGGCTCACTGCAACCTCCACCTCCCAGGTTCAAGCGGTTCTCCTTGCCTCAGTCTCCCAAGTAGCTGGGATTACAGGTGCCCACCACCATGCCTGGCTAATTTTTTTGTATTTTCAGTAGCGATGGGGTTTCACTATGCTGGCCAGGCTGGTCTCAAATTCCTGACCTCGTGATCCGCCCGTCTCGGCCTCCCAAAGTGCTGGAATTACAGGCATAAGCCACCGTGCCCAACCCAAGTTGCTTTATTCTTGCCTTCAGTTATGCTATGGTGACCAGAGACTTTGTACCCTTTAGGGAAAAGATTTGGAATCTAATTGGTAGCTAATTCTAATTATCTTGTGTTAGCCCCTGCCCTCAGAGATAAATTATGTCAAATGGATTATAACACATTGAATTTTTTTCAAAGAACTCATGAGCCCATAATTATATGAAAAATGAAAGGAAGCAATAGAGTTGGAAAAAGTTTTTTTAATAGAAGACTGCCAGATAATAAATATAGAAGAAATGATAGAAATAGAAAAATTATTATTTTGCAATCTCCAATGCAGTCACTGATTTAAACAAAGAATATCAATGGCTACAAACCCTATCGGGTGAAAGGTAAGTGAGAAATAAGATATTCAAACAGCCTCAAAATATCACCTCCAAATTATTTATTATGTACAAAGGGGAAAGACATTACCTTAGCTGAATGATCTAATTTAGTATTTCCCATAATGAGATAAACTGATATCATATGCCTCCTGATGCAATGCAAGGGGGAGTACAAAACATCACCTCGGTGGTATTCTTGACAAAATATTTAACCTGAATCGAAACACAAGAAAACAATCAGACGAATCAGTTTATGGGACATTCCACAAAACAATTAGACTGACTCTTTAAAATGTCTGTCGGCTGGACATGATGGCTCACGCCTGTAATCCCAGCACTTTGGGAGGCCGAGACGGGTGGATCACCTGAGGTCAGAAGTTCGAGACCAGCCTGGCCAACATGGTGAAACCCCATCTCTACTAAAAATACAAAAATTAGCCAGGCATGGTGGCAGGCACCTGTAATCTCAGCTACTCGGGAGGCTGAGGCAGGAGAATTGCTAGAACCTAGGAGGTGGAGGTTGCAATGAGCCGAGATCATGCCATTGTGCTCTAGCCCAGGCCGACAACAGCAAGACTCCATCTCAAAAACAAAAAACAAAAATTAGCTGGGCATGGTGGCACACACCTATAGTCCCAGCTACTTGGGAGGCTGAGACAGGAGAATTGCTTGACCCCCAGAGGCAGTGGTTGCAGTGAGCTGAGACTGCACCACTGCACTCCAGCCTGGGCAACAGAGCATGACTCCATCTCAAAAAACAAAAATAGGCCAGGCGCAGTGGCTCACACCTGTAATCCCAGCACTTTTGGAGGCCGAGACGGGTGGCTCACGAGGTCAGGACATCGAGACCGTCCTGGCTAACACAGTGAAACCCCGTCTCTACTAAAAATACAAAAAAAGTTAGCTGGGCGTGGTGGCAGGCACCTGTAGTCCCAGCTACTCGGGAGGCTGAGGCAGGAGAATGGCATGAACCCGGGAGGCAGAGCTTGCAGTGAGCCGAGATCACGCCACTGCACTGCAGCCTGGGCGACAGAGTGAGGCTCCGCCTCAAAAAAATAAATAAATAAAAATAAAAATAAAAAAAGTCAGTGTCATGAAAGATTTTAAAAAACAAAGTAAGCTGGCAGTGGTGGCTCACACCTGTAATTCCAGCACTTTGGGAGGCCAAGGTGGGAGGATCGCTTGAGCACAGGAACTCAAGACCAGCCTGGGCAACATGGCAAGACCTCATCTCTATTAAAAAATATATAAATAAATAAAACAAAATGTGTGTTTTGGAGGGGTCTGTGTTAGGTTGACTAAAGAGGCAACCAAATCCTGGACTGGACATTAGAAAGCATCTCTAAAGACCTTTCTGTGGAACCTGAAGAAATTTGAATGAGACTATGTATTAGGTAATAATATTGTATTCATTCTAAATGCCTTATATGTGATAGTGATACTTTGGTTATGTCAGAGAATGTGCTTGTTCTTAGATAATAGAAAAAATGTTTAGGGAGCAAATGTAATAACGTCCACAACTTAATTTAAAACGTATATGTGCACAAAAACCAAAAAAATGCAAAATGTGTGCAAAAAATGTGTGCAAAACCAAAAAAATGTTTCTGTGCAGAAACAAATGTGGATGTGTGAAAAACCAAAACGTGTATGTGTGGATGTGTGCGTGTGTGTGTGTGTGTGTGTGGCTGTGTGTGTGTGAGAGAGACAGAAAGAACAAATGTCACAAAATGTCATCATCTGGCAAAACCAGATGAAGGGTATTAGAGTATTATTTTGTGCTATTCTTACTACTTTGCTGCAGGATTGGAATTTTCAAAATAATGAATATTTTACTACAAAAACAAAATGAAAGGCTTATTTACAATCATATCCAATGCTTGCAATTATGAGATTACACTCCCAAAGAATTATCACAAAACAACTGCATTAATAGGCTATATTTGTTTCCCTTCTTATCTATTGATTTGATCAAGTGACCACTGTAAATTGATAGGTCACGGTTGAAAATATGCCATGAGGCAGAGTCCTGGATATAATTAAGTCATAATAAGGCAAGCCAATATGGAAGTATATACGGCATTGTTTCCTCTATCACCCCCTTCTTTCCTTCCTGAAGGTAGAAGTTATTGGCAAAACAAAGTAATAGATAAGTAGATTTCAGTAGCATAATAATGCATCAAAGTTAGTAAGACAAAAGTCTGTTTTAAAGATGCTCTTCTCTGAGGAATCTGAAAAATCTAAGCTTTCTGCTATGGAAAGAAGAATCTAGGCCATCAGCCAGGCGTGGTGGCACACCCCTATAATCCCAGCACTTTGGGAGGCCGAGGCAGGTGGATCACCTGAGGCCAGGAGTTCGAGACCAGCCTGACCAACAAGGTGAAACCCCATCTCTACTAAAATATGAAAATTAGCCAGGTGTGGTGGCATGCACCTGTAGTCCCAGCTACTCCGGAAGCTGAGACAGGAGAATCACTTAAACCGGGGAGGTGGAGACTGCAGTGAGCCCAGATGGCACCACTGCACTTCAGCCTGGGCAACAGAGCGAGACTCTGTTTAAAAAAAAAAAAAAAAAAAAAAGAATCTAGGCTATCTTTCCAGGTAAGAACCAGAAACAAAGTTCAACTTGACCTACAGAAACTTTGTGGCATACCCGCAGAGTGGAAACTGTGCCCTCTGGGAATTTCCATTCCCTTTTACCCAGTTCTGTACTTCCTCTCCTCCTCAAGAGATCATTTATTAGCAACATAATGCATCAAGTAGCCAGGCGTGGCTGGGCGCGGTGGCTCACACCTGTAATCCCAGCACTTTGGGAGGCTGAGGCGGGCAGATCATGAGGTCAGGAGATCAAGACCATCCTGGCTAACACGGTGAAACCCCGTCTCTACTAAAAAAATACAAAAAAATTAGCTGGCTGTGGTGGCGGGTGCCTGTAGTCCCAGCTACTTGGGAGGCTGAGGCAGGAGAATGGCGTGAACCTGGGAGGCGGAGCTTTCAGTGAGCCGAGATAGTGCCACTGCACTCCAGCCTGGGCGACAGAGTAAGACTCTGTCTCAAAAAAAAGAAAAAAAAAAAAAAGTAGCCAGGCATGGTGGCTCACACCTGTAATCTCAACACTTTGGGAGGCTGAGGCAGGTGGATCACTTGAGCTCAGGAGTTCAAGACCAGCCTGGCCACATGGCAAACCCCATCTCTACAAAAAATATGAAAATTAGCCAGGCATGGTCATGCATGCCTGTGGTCCCAGCTACTTGGGAGGCTCAGGCTGGAGGATCACGTGAGCATGGGAGGTGGAGGTTGCAGTCAGCTGTGATTGTGCCACTGCACTCCAGCCCGGGTGACAGAGTGAGACCTTATCTCAAAAAAATAATAAAACAAATGCATAAATTATAATGGACAAACCTTGCTATCTGCAAGACAAAAGTGAGTTTGTCTCACTGTGAAAGACCTAAGCCTTCTATCTGAGGAGAGGAAACATCCTAGGTTGCCCTTCCAGGAAGAAAGGTCATCTTGATCTCATGAACCTTGTGGCTACCCTGCAGAGAGGCCTAAGGAGTAAAAATCCCAGAGGAGACTATGGTATTAAGAAATAGAGAAAGAGCGTAGACTAGAGAGAAATAGGGTTCCCTGTAGGGTTAACTGAATGTTCAGTGAAGAGAAAACTTAAAAAAAAAAAAAAAAAGAAAAAGAGAAACAGGTTGGGTGTGGTGGCTCACATCTGTAATCCCAGCACTTTGCGAGGCTGGGGTGGGCAGATTGCTTCATCTCAGGAGTTTGAGAGCAGCCTGACCAACATGGCAAAACCCCATCTCCATGAAAATACAAAAATTAGCCAGATGTGGTGGTGCATGCCTGTAATCCCAGCTACTTGGGAGGCTGACGTGGGAGGTGGAGGCTGCAGTGAGCCATGATCACACCATTGCACTCCAGCCTGGGCAACTGAGCAAGACCCTGTCTCAAAAACAAACAAACAAACAAACAAAAAAAACCCCCAAGCCATCAGACAACTATGTGGTATATAGTGGAACACAGGTTCAGGAGCTGTGCTGCCTGGTTTGGAATCCCAGTTCTACCTCTTTACTAGTTGTCCAATGCTTACTAGCTGAACTGTTACCAGAAACACTGTAACACATGCAGTAAACACTATACTCAGCTATTTGTCCTATAGACTCCATATATGTTTTTTGACTTTTTTTTTCTGATAATAGTATCTGCACATCTTCCTGGCATAAGTAAGGTGTTATATATGAGTAAGTGGAATTTCTGAATGAGAGAAACACAGGGGAAGGAAAAGAATAAGTCATTTGGTGGTTAAGAAAGGATTAAAGAAACTTGGGGCATTAAAAGATTTGTATGAGGCTGGGCGCGGTGTCTCATGCCTGTAATCCCAGAATGTTGCAGGAAGTCAGGGACCCCAAATGGAGGGACCAGCTGGAGCCGAGGCAGAAGAATATAAATTGTGAAGATTTCACGGACATTTATCAGTTCCCAAAATTAATACTTTTATAATTTCTTACGCCTGTCTTTACTGTAATCTCTGAACATAAATTGTGAAGATTTCATGGACATTTATCACTTCCCCGACCAATACTCTTATAATTTCTTATGCCTGTCTTTACTTTAATCTCTTAATCCTGTTATCTTCATAAACTGAGAATGTACGTCACCTCAGGACCACTATTGTACAAATTGATTGTAAAATATGTGTGTTTGAACAATATGAAATCAGTGCACCCTGAAAAAGAACAGAATAACAGCAATTTTCAGGGAACGAGGGAAGATAACCATAAGGTCTGACTGCCTGTGGGGTTGGGCAGAATACAGCCATATTTTTCTTCTTGCAGAAAGCCTGTAGACAGACATGTGAGTAGGAGAAATATTGCTGAATTCTTTTCCCAGCAAGGAATATTAATAATTGAGACCCTGGGGAAGGAATGCATTCCTGGGGGTAGGTCTATAGACGGCCACTCTGGGAGTGTCTGTCTTATGTAGTTGAGATAAGGACTGAAATATCCCTGGTCTCCTGCAGTACCCTCAGGCTTAGTAGGATTGGGAAATTCCAGCCGGGTAAATTCTAG
Source organism: Homo sapiens (assembly GCF_000001405.40). NCBI lineage: Eukaryota > Metazoa > Chordata > Mammalia > Primates > Hominidae > Homo > Homo sapiens. The sequence continues at coordinate 111,511,775 of NC_000009.12, forward strand.
TCAGATCGGTTCTCTGCTCTCGAACCTTGTTTCCTGTTAAGATGTTTATCAAGACAATGCGCACACAGCAGGACATAGGCCCTCATCAGTAATTCTAATTTTGCCTTGCCTTGTGATCTTTATTGCCCCTTGAAGCATGTGATCTTTGTGACTTACTCCCTGTTCGTACACCCCCTCTCCTTTTAAAATCCCTAATAAAAACTTGCCGGTTTTGCAGCTCAGGGTTGCCATCATGGTCCTACCAATATGTGATGACACCCCCGGAGGCCCAGCTGTAAAATTTCTCTCTTTGTACTCTTTCTCTTTATTTCTCAGACGGGCCAACACTTAGGGAAAATAGAAAGAACCTACGTTGAAATATTGGGAGCTGGTTCCCCCGATACCAGCACTTTGGGAGGCCAAGGCGGGTGGATCACCTGAGGTCAGGAGTTCGAGACCAGCCTGGCCAACATGGTGAAACCCAGTCTCTACTAAAAATGCAAAAAAAAAAAAAAATTAGCTGGGCATGGTGGCAGGCACCTGTAATCCCAGCTACATGGGAGGCTGAAGCAGGGAGAATCGCTCAAACCTAGGAGGTGGAGGTTGCAGGGAGACAAGATTGCACCACTGCACTCCAGCCTGGGTAATAGAGCGAGACTCAGTCTCCAAAAAAATAAAATAAAAATATACAAATACAAATATTAGCCGGGCATGGTGGCATGAGCCTGTAATCCCAGCTACTTGGAGGCTGAGGCAGGAGAATCACACTTGAACCTAGGAGGCGGAGGTTGTAGTGAGCCAAAATCATGCCACTGCACCCCAGCCTGGGAAACAGAGCAAGACTCTGTCTCAAAAAAAAAAAAAAAAAAAAAAAAAAAGACTTGCATGAGAGTGAGGATCCACATACTGGTCCTATCTCTGGGTATAGGCAGTTCTATTCACAATACTCATAACAGAGTGGACATTACCACCTAATCATTTGGTACACTATGGATTTCTTCAATCAAAAGCACATAAGATCCTCCCTTGAGGCATTTGTCTAAGAACTCAGTCTTGAACAGATTACACACATCAAATGCATATTTGTAACACCTTCTAGTAAAATACACAGAATGGAATACATGGGCTAATTGTTCACTAAGTTCCATTAAATTCAGCTCTGGGTATATCATTTTTGGGAAATTTAACTTGTCACAGACTAGATTTCAATGCCTCTTTCCTTCAGCTAGCTCCACTAGCTTTCAAAGGTAGGGCTTTGCCTTAGGTTTTACTTAGGCTTGCAGAGCTGTTTTGCTTCAGTACTGTTTTTCTTTTCTTTTTCAAGAGACAGGGTCTTCCTCTGTCGCCCATGCCGGAGAGCAATGGCATGATCATGGCTCACTGCAGCCTCGATCATACTACTGGGCTCAAGCAATCCTCCCAAGTCAGCTTCCTGAGTAGCTGAGACTAGAGGTGCATGCTAACACACCTGGTTATTTTCTTTTTCTTTTTTCATAGAGACATGGGTCTCTCTCTGTTTCACAGGCTGGTCTCCAACTCCTGGGCTCAAATGATCTTCCCACTTTGGCCTCTCAAAGTGCTAGGATTACAGGTGTGAGCCACCTCACCTAGCCTCTTTCTATTTAAAGATGGGTCTCAAGATGTTGCCCAGGCTGGTCTTGAACTCCTGTCCTCAAGCAATGAGCTGTCATGAGCCATCACAGCTAGAAATGTTTTAAAATTTCTAAAAAAGGAAATTCCTGGCCGGGTGCGTTTGCTCATGCCTGCAATCCCAGCACTTTAGGAGGCCAAGGCGGGCAGATCACTTGAGTCCAGGAGTTTGACACCAGCCTGAGCAACACGGTGAAACCCCATCTTTACCAAAAATACAAAAATTAGCTGGGCATGGTGATGCATGCCTGTAATCCCAATGACTCGGGCAGCTGAGGCAGGAGAATCGCTTGAACCCGGGAGGCAGAGGTTGCAGTGAGCCCAGATTGCGCCACTGGACTCCAGCCTGGGCGACAGAGCAACACCCTATCTCAAAAAAGAAAATAGAAGGAAAACCCCTTGAAAAAAATGACGAGTATGTTTTCTACTGGTCAATTTAACCAAGGAATAGCTTTTTCTAGAATCTAGTGCCAGGAAAAAGTATGAATATCAGGAAAACTTCAATAATTCTTTTTATGAGACAATAAGAATTATGTAATCCACTGTGATTTGTTTTTATCTTAACTGTTAGTGTCCAATTGCATTAAACTGTCATACCATATTTAATTCATCTGTATACTCAAATAAATGTGAATGGAGGAAAGGACAATGGGAAAACAACTACGCAATATTCCAGATGAAAGTAACAGAGACAGAGAATTGGATTTCAAATTCAAGAGACAATTCATTTCCTTTTTTTTTTGAGACAGAATCTTGCTCAGTCGCCGAGGCTGGAGTGCAGCCTGCAACGTCTGCCTCCCAGGTTCAAGTGATTCTCGTGCCTCAGCCTCCAGAGTAGCTGGGATTACAGGTGCCTGCCACCACACCCGGCTAATTTTTTGTATTTTTAGTAGAGACAGAGTTTCACCTTGTTGGCCAAGCTGGTCTCAAACTCCTGAGCTCAGGCAATTCACCTGCCTCAGCCTCCCAGAGTCCTAGGATTACAGGCATGAGCCACCGCACTTGGCCTCAAAAAACAATTCAAAGACAGATAAATGTAGGAATTCAGGAGCAGGGAAATCATTCCCAAGGTTTCCAGTTTAGAGAACAGAGTAGATAATGCCACTAACCATGGGAGAGGAAACTAGGGAAAGGCTAAGATGGGTTTTGGCAATGTTGGGCTATCTAAACAAACATTAATTATTTATCATCTCCCCTCTCCCAGCCACTTATTTTCAAAAACTAGTGGATGTGTCTTATAATAAGAGGAGTGATAGAGAAGGAAAAAGATTACTCATAAAGACAAAAGCCAAGTTGTAAAGCAAATCAGAACATGCCCAGCTAGGACCAAAGCAAAGGTGAACATTTCTAAGCCAGCAAGGACATCAACTGTGACTTGGTAAGGTTGACACACTTAGAAAATCATTTGGCTAAATTGCAGCCTGCCCTTGTCTCTTGTCCCCAGGCAGATCAGGACCCAACAATGAGGACTTTTGGGGAGGGCTGGCATCCAATGTTGAGCATGGAAAATGACTCCCAGGTCATGTGGCCTCAAAGGAGACTGAGAGAAAGTGGGAGCAACATAAGTGCCCAGTGTGTTTCATGGGGAGGAAGGGGCCTCAAAGAATTCCAAGGCCCCCACCCATAGCCATCCACTGTGCCTCTGCCTAGATTAGCTTTGTAATTGGACTGGGCCAGTATCTACAAGGTAAGAAAGATCTGTAGGCAAACAATACTATCAATATGAGAAAAGAAAGATGGCTCACAGCAGTCTGAGCACTGTGAGGTCTGCAAGAGAAACATGAGTCAGCCCCCACACCCATACCTGGTGGCAACTGTTTAAAGCCTGACTAGCTGTCTCACCCATTATTTTCATGCTCCTGAAATTTGTGATACAAAAAATTATGTATAGCCAATCAATATGTTATTTTAATGTGAATTATTGGTAAATAACTTAGGAACTACCTCTTCTTTTCCTTTAAAAATCCATCTGGGCAAGGTGGCTCACATCTGTAATCCCAGCACTTTGGCAGGCTGAGGCAGGAGGATTGCTTGAGGCCAGGAGTTTGAGACCAGCCTGGGTAATGTAGGGAGATCCCACTGAATTTAAAAATTAGCTGTGCAAGTGGTGGTGCATACCTGTGGTTCCAGATACCTGGGAGGCTGAGGTGGGAGGATCACCTGAGTCCAGGAGGTTGAGGTGCAGTGAACTGCGATCACACCATTGCACTCCAGCCTGGGCAACAGAGACTGTGAGTGACACCCTGTCTCAAAAACAAAACAAAACAAAAACAAAAACCTCTTGTAAGTGCTGCTAATCAGAGTGTATAAAAGGCAACATGAATCTGTGCTTCCTCAAACTTGGCTCAAATAAACTCCCTGCTTATATTAATTTTGCCTACGCTGCTTTCCTCTAGGTCAACAAATATCAGGCAGAGGGAAAATAATTGCTGGAATCCAGTTTGAATTTACCCTAGACTAAGAAATGCTTTGTCTCTCTGATAATCCCAGTCCCTTTCTGCCCCTGCCCTCCTGCCCCAAGAGAAGGTGGGATACTTCTATTCCTGTGCTAGAAACCCCACGCTTCCATGCATTCTTTCCAGGCTGACCCACCCTCTCACAACCACCCTCAAACCCTCCACTGAGGCCTCTGGAACCGATTTAGTCTTCACAAATTCCCCTGCATCCTCAACAGCTTCACAGAACGGATTGTTAAACTAAATTTGGCCTGAGGCTGCCTCTGTACCTTGAGTCCCTACATAAGGAACTGCAACCTAGCTTGGCATGTAAACAAACTGAAAGCCTAACTTGGGAGCATACTTTTGAAACAGATAGCTGAATTGCAGCCAATCACAGCAGCTAAGCTTCAGCCAATCACAGGCTGCCAACTGATCAGACCATGGCAAAGTATAAGGCAAAGTAGAGCTGTAAGCAATCCAGCAGTGTCTGTACCTCACTTCCATTTTCTGTCTATAAACACTGCCGGCCCACACTGTGTTCTCTGAACCTTTTCTGGTTCTGAGGGCTGCCCAGTTCATGCATTATTCTTTGCTCAAAAAAAACTCTGTCAAATTTAATTTGTCTAAAGCTTTTCTTTTAACACTATTAACACTTATCTGATGTTCCTACCTTATCTGATGCTTTTCCCTGTGCAGCCCTCACTAGTATAAACTGCTAGATCTCTCACACCTGGCCTGCCACTGGGACAGGTGTTAGGCTCAGCACCCTTGCTCCTCCAGTTGCTCCCATATCAGTGCTCACTTAGCTTACATCTTCCCCTACATCCCAAGTCTTGGAGTATCTTGGATGCTGACATCCATCCATGGAGCCATCCCGCACTTTGGCCTTTCATTTCCTTGAACGTTTTTTCCGTGCTCCCCTTCTTTTCCCAAAGTCAAGTTTATTGCCATATAATTTTCTAAAGCTTTATCTAGGCTTAATTGATGAACAATAAACTGCATATATTTAAAGAGTACAGAGCAGGTGCGGTGGCTCATGCCTGTAATCCCAGCACTTTGGGAGGCCGAGGTGGGCAGATCACCTGAGGTCAGGAGTTCGAGACCAGCCTGGCCAACATAGTGAAACCCCATTTCTACTAAAAATACAAAAATTAGCTGGACATGGTGGCACGTGCCTGTAATCCCAACAACTCGGAAGGCTGAGGTGGGAGAATCGCTTGAACCTGGGAGGAGAGGTTGCAGTGAGCCGAGATCATGCCACTGCACTGCAGCCTAGATGACAGAGTGAGACTCTGTCTCAAAAAAAAAATTAAATTAAAAATTTTAAAGAAAGAGTACAATTTGATGAGTTGCCACTGCACCTGGCCGATGAATTCTGACATACTTGTACACTCATGAAACCATCATTGCAATAGTATAATGAACATATCTGTCACCTCCAAAAGTTTTCTGATGTCCCTTTGTAATTTCTCCCTCTCTCCACCTCCTCCCTTTACAGGCAACAACTGATCTATCACTACAGATTAGTTTATATTTTCTCAAATTTTCTATAAATGGAATGTTATACTATACGTTTTTCATTCCTTTCACTTTGAGATTTCATCCCTGTTGTGGCATGTATCAATAGTGCATTCCTTTTTATCAGTGGATAGTGCAGTATTCCATCGTGTGGATGAACCACTATTGTTTATCCACTCACCATTTGCCGGACATTACAGATAGTTACAGGTTTTGACTATTTTAAATAAAGCTGCTGTGAACAATCATATCTAAGTCTTTGTGTGGAAATATGCTTTCATTTCTATTGAGGTAAAATTCACACTTTTAAGGTGCACAATTCCATTTGACAAATCTATACAATGCAATATTCAACTGGACAGGTAAATACAATCATGTAACCACCATTTTCATTATCCCCCAAATTCCCTTGGGCACTTCTCTACACTCCCATCCCCTGGCAACCACTTATCTGATTTCTGTCCCTATAATTCTGTTTTTTTTAGAATGTCATAAATGGAATTATACAGGGTCTACCTTCTTGCATCTCGCATCTCTCACCTAGCATACTGCTTTTGAGATTCAGCCACATCATTGCATGTATCTGTTACCAAATCAAACTGGGTCTGCTTGCCCAGCAAGTAAGGCCAAACATCCACACTGAGGTTTGTAGCTGGAGAAAGGAGGGTGTTTATCTCCAGGGCACCAAGCAAGGAGAACTGAGCAGCTCATGCTTAAGACCCAACCCCTTGGATGGCTTATATGTAAGAGTTTTTAAAGGCAGGGAGCAGAAGTTACAGGCACTATCATAAATCAATATATGGAGGCTACACATTGAGTTGACTTAAAAAGGCTAGACCTCTCAAAACAGAAGCCCAGAAGTCATAGGTGGATTCAAAGGTTTTCTGATTTCTGATTGGTTAAGGAGGTAAAGCTTTAATTTTGTTTTAAAGTGGCTAGACGCAGTGGCTCACGCCTGAAATCCCAGCACGTCGGGAGGCCAAGGCAGGATGGATCACCTGAGGTCAGGAGTTCAAGACCAGCCTGACCAACATGGAGAAACCCCGTCTCTACTAAAAATACAAAATTAGCTTGGTGCGGTGGCGCATGCCTGTAATCCTAGCTACTTGGGAGGCTGAGGCAGGAGAATCGCTTGAACCCAGGAGGCGGAGGTTGTGGTGAGCTGAGATCGCGCCATTGCACTCCAGCCTGGGCAATAAAAGCAAAACTCCGCCTCAAAAAAAAAAAAATTTTTTTTTCTAAAGTCTAAAAATTTGGGATCAGCAGAAAAGAATGTTAGCTCTGGCCCATGGGTATGACTTCCTTTATGCCTCTCAGGAAGAAATTTAGAACAAAGAAGAGCAGTCAGAATTTAGTCCTCAGTTCCCGCTTATCTGAATTCTACAAGACAGCAGATCTGTTTGGTGGGGGTCTGAGTTTCTGAAAAACAACTCAGGAACATATGTTATGATGTTATCTTTAGTTTCTATAGGGAACCAAATATCTTGTGATTCTAACTTCCTTGGCTATTGTTTTACGCTACTATTACCCCCTTCTTGCTTATCAAGTGGTTCACTTACTTCTCAGGGCTAGCTAAGTGCCTGGAATTTCCCTTGAAGGAACTCAAGATTTTCCTTTATTTTCATGTGTGAGGGGGGCCTGCAGGCCCATAAGAGGGGTCCCTGCTCCCTCATCAGTAGTTCATTCCTTTCTGTTGCTGAGTAGTATTTCATTGTATGAATGTAAGACAATTTATTTATCTGTTCACTAGTTGCTACACATTTGAGTTATTTGCAGTTTTTGGCAAGTGTTAATAAAACATACATAAGCATTTCCAGACAGATATTTTTGTGGACATGATTTCATTTTTCATGAGTAAATACCTAGAAGTGGGATTGCCGGGTCATATAGTAAGTATATATTTAACTTTATAAGTACATTATTATTATCATTATTATTATTATTATTTTGAGACAGAGTCTTGCTCTGTCACCCAGGCTGGAGTGCAATGGGGTGATCTCGGCTCACTGCAACCTCCGCCTCCCGGGTTCAAGCGATTCTCCTGCCTCAGCCTCCCAAGTAGCTGGGATTACAGGTGCCTGCCACCACACCTGGCTAATTTTTTGTACTTTTAGTAGAGATGGGGTTTCGCCATGTTGGCCAGGCTGGTCTTGAACTCCTGACTTCAGGTGATCCACTTGCCTCAGCCTCCCAAAGTGCTAGGATTACAGGTGTGAGCCACAGCACCCGGCCATAAGTACGTTATTTATTAAGCTTTGATGCTTTGATTTCGCTTGTCCTTTAATCTCTCTACTTTCTTCTTTTTCATTCGTTCATTCTTTTTTTTCTTTTTTTGTTTTAGAGACAGGGTCTCACTCTGTCATCCAGGCTGGAGTGCAGTGGCACAATCAGAGCTCACTGCAGTCTCAACTTCCTGGGCTCAAGAGATCCTCCTTCCTCAGCCTCCTGAGTATATGGAACCACAGTCATGCACCACCATGCCCGGCTATTTTTAAAATTTTTTATAGAGATGGGTCTTGCTATGTTGCCCAGGCTGGTCTCAAACTCCTGGCTCAAGTGATCCACCCACCTCGGCCTCTCAAAGTGTTGAGATTACAGGCGTGAGCCACCACACCTGGCTCATTCTTTCTTTTTTTAAGAGACAGAGTCTCACTATGTTGCCCAGGCTGGTGTCGAACTCCTGGCCTCTGGCAATCCTCCTGCATCAGCCTCCTGAGAAGCTGGGACTATAGGCGCATGCCGCCATGCCCAGCTCTCTTTTCTTCTTTTATGTTAACTAACTCTTATCTTCATCTTCCTTACCTAAATTGGACTCCATCATAAATCATTTTAAACAAACTTTTGCTCATATCCTCAACTGGTTATCCCACTGTCCTCCTGTCAAACTTATGCTACAACCCCCATCCCCTGGATCAATTCAACTGTCCCTCTTCCCTGTACCTATTCTGGAGCTATGTTGTGTACCTTGAGAAAAATCATTTAATGTACATATTGATGTAACATAAAATGGGGGTTTCTAACCTCAAATGGGCCCTTAACACTGCAGGGAAATCCTTCTGTGTTTTTGTGATCAACTCATATTCTCCCAGCAGCCATCTACTCTTTTTTTTTTTTGAGATGGAGTCTCGGCTCTGTCACCCAGGCTGGAGTGCAATGGCGTGGTTTCAGCTCACTGTAACCTCCACCTCCCAGGTTCAAGTGATTCTCCTGCCTCAGCCTCCCAAGTAGCTGGGACTACAGGCGCGTACCACTATGCCCGGCTAATTTTTTTTTTGTATTTTTAGTAGAGACAGGGTTTCACTATGTTGGCCAGGCTGGTCTCGAACTCCTGACCTCGTGATCTGCCTGCCTTGGCCTCCCAAAGTGCTGGGATTACAGGTGTGAGCCAGCACGCCCGGCCAAACCTAATCTACTCTTATCAAGCTTCAGATCCCACCCGTATCTCCCTTCTGGGGAGGTCCCAATAGTGGATCTCAGCAGGATCCATTAGATACCAGTTCCAAATCCAACTGCATCTACCCCCTTCTTTGCCTCCTTCCCTGCTATTACAATGAACACTGCATGCTGGCTCTGGCAGTTTAAAGCTAATTTCTCCACTTGTGCTTCCCCCTAGTTTCTCAGTCTTCACTCTACAGCATATTCCCACACTCTCTGTCTTCATCCCCTTTCTCTCTAGTGGATCCTTACGGGAGCTTCGTAGCTCACTTGCTTGCTATTTCTTTTTCTTTCTTTCTTTCTTTCTGGAACATACCACCCTCTGTGGCTCTACAGAGCCAGGCAGGAGGAATTTTTTGTTATTTCTTTTCAGGAGAGGGTCAGCTCCCCTAGAGTGGCTCTGGGATCTTTGGAGTCCCAGTTAAACCAGGACTGGAGGCACCTGGAAACAAGGACTTGGTGTCCTTGAGGCAGCTCAAACCTTTAGAGCTCAGAGGCCTCCAAAGTGGATGCACAAGAGCCCTGAGGGTCTTAAGGAGATAACTCCAAAGCTGCTAGGTGGGGAAGCCAGGACTTCAATCAGGAATGCACCTCTTTCATCTGTAATATTTCTTTTGGACAGTTTGGCAATTAACAACTAGTTTTAAAACACCTGTTTTAGATCCTTGATCAGAGTCCCAGCCTGTCCTCCTCCCTCTAGAGATGGGGAAGATGTGCTCCTTTCTCCTAAAAGCCTTGGGCTCAGAGCCAGTCAGTTTCCAATCTACCAGTTGAGTGACCTTGGGCAAGCCCCTCCCTGCGCTGGGTCTCATTTTTGAAAAAATAGGATATGGGGAGGGGTGGGCAGGACCTTGGGTCTTCAGTTTCTTTAAAGTGGAGTGAGTCTAGAAAGAAGACAGGGAAGCCGGGCGCAGTGGCTTACGCCTGTAATCCCAGTACTTTGGGAGGCCGAGGCGGGTGGATCACGAGGTCAGAAGTTCAAGACCAGCCTGGCCAAGATGGTGAAACTCCATCTCTACTAAAAATACAAAAATTAGCCGGGCGCAGTGGCAGGCGCCTGTAATCCCAGCTACCTGGGAGGCTGTGGCAGGAGAACTGCTTGAACCCGGGAGGCGGAGGTTGCAGTGAGCCGAAATCGCACCACTGCACTCTAGCCTGGGTGACAGAGCTAGACTCCGTCTCAAAAAAAAAAAACAAAAGAAAAAAAGAAAGAAGACAGGAAAATTAGACAGACTCTCCCCTTCAGATACACAAACAATCATACATACTTCCTCCCCAACTCTGTGTACGGGAACAGAGGCTGGGCAAGGGTCTAAGAAAACAGGAAATGTTAATACAAATAACAGGTCAGGCCAGGAGCAGTGGCTCACCCCTGTAATCCCAGCACTTTGGGAGGCCAAGGTGGGCAGATTACCTGAGGTCAGGAGTTTGAGACCAGCCTGGCCAACATGGCAAAACCCCATCTCTACTAAAAACACAAAAATTAGCCAGGTGTGGTGGTGAGCCCCTGTAATCCCAGCTACTCAGGAGGCTAAGGCAGGAGAATTGCTTGAACCTGGGAGGTGGAGATTGCAGTGAGCTGAGCTGAGATCACACCACTGCACTGCACTCCAGCCTGGGCGACATTCCGTCTCCAAAAAAAAAAAAAAAAAACAAATACACACAAAAAAATCATAGGAGAACACTATGCAGCAATGAAAATAAACACTGTATAATCACATGCAACAATATTGATAAATCTCACAGACATAATGTTGAATGAAAGAAGTCATAATATATGAAGAATATGTACTGTAGGATTCTACTTTCTTTCTTTTTTTTTTTTTTATTTTTGAGATGAAGTCTCACTCTGTCGCCCAGGCTGGAGTGCAGTGGCGCAATCTCAGCTCACTGCAACCTCTGCCCCCCTGAGTTCAAGTGATTCTCCTGCCTCAGCCTCTTGAGTAGCTGGGATTACAGGCAGGCGCCACCATGACCGGCTAAGTTTTGTATTTTTAGTACAGATGGGGTTTCACCGCGTTAGCCAGGATGGTCTCAATCTCCTGACTTCGTGATCCGCCCACTTCGGCCTCCCAAAGTGCTGGGATTACAGGCGTGAGCCACCAGCCCGGCCCTTCCATCACCTTTTAAACCACCTTCATTTTATGTCACCATCATGTTACCTGGATTATGATAAGACAAAGTCTTTTTATCTCTGGTGTTACTTCTTTCTAATCTACTGTCCATACTGAAACCAGAACAGTTAAACGAACAAACAAACAGCTCACTTAAAGTTCTCCTAAGTATGTTTTCCTGTTTAGAGATCCCACCAGCTTGCTTACCAGTGGAACTGATTTGTAGTTTCCTGCTTCCTTCCTGATGCACAGTCCATCACTCCTTACCATGATGGTTACTTTTAATCAAAAGTTATAGTTTGACTACCAGTTCCAAAAAGATGCCATTCTTTCCTGGTAATTTATTCATAGGTAGCATGTCATTTACTTACAGAATATTTCAACTAGTACTGTGTTTCTCAAAATACAAGATCACCTGCAACAAGTTGATGGGTGGGGAGGGCCAGAAGGTTCCAAAATCTGTATTCAAATAAAGAACACCATGTGATTCTAAAGTACAGTAAAGCTTGAGTAAGCTTTACTAAGTAAAGTGCCTCTGACTTGCCTGGTTAAAATAATGAGCCAATAGACATTTCCTATTCCTTTGCCTTCTCCAGCTTCTTCCTGATGCGTCTAAAGCCAGCCAAGGGGAGGTGGGTAAAGGAGAATATGCCATGGGACTCGGGACTGAGAAAACTTTTGTCTTCATTCTCAGCCCTGTTTCTTTTTTTTCTCTTTTTTTTTTTTTGAGACGGAGTTTCACTCGTTACTCAGGCTAAAGCGCAATGGCCTGATCTCAGCTCTTCACAACCTCCACCTCCCGGATTCAAGTGATTCTCCTGCCTCAGCCTCCCGAGTAGCTGGGATTATAGGCATGTGCCACCACACCTGGCTAATTTTTTGTATTTTTAGTAGAGACAGGGTTTCTCCGCGTGGGTCAGGCTGGTCTCAAACTCCCGACCTCAGGTGATCCACCCGCCTCAGCCTCCCAAAGTGCTGGGATTACAAGCATGAGCCACCGCGCCCGGCCATTCTCAGCCCTGTCTCTTCAGCTTGACTTGCTGCCTGTGATAAGCCCACTCCTTTTGAGAGGAGTGGTTCATTTAGTTGAGCTTGCTCTGCCCTTTTGAAGTCTCAGGGCCTTGAATCACCTTGCTCCTTCAGTCTAGAATGAATCTAGTCTTTCTCTCCTAACTCCACCCCTTCAGGGATCATCCAGTTATTAGAACCCTCCAAACAATTTTTCTGGAGTTCTTTGGCCCTTTTTGCAATGCCCCCAATAATCCATGCAAATACTCATTCATAAGCTCAACAAATATCTATTGAGTGCCTGCCATGGGCCAAGTCCTGTTCCAGGACCTAAACACACAACCTAGAACAAATGAAATAAAAATACTTACTCTTCTGAAATTAGTATTCTACTGGAGAAGGCGGACAAGTAGTAAAAAAAAAAATTAACAAACCTATAGGGCATGTTAGAAGAGGAAACAAGAGTAAGGTGGGATTCCTATTTAAGTGGAATGGTGGGAGAGCTTCATTGAGAAGACCTGAAGGGATGAGAGAGCGGGCCGTATGGCCACTTAGGGAAGGAGCAGGTCAGCCGGAAGTACCTGGCAGGTTACAAGAAGAGGAAGGGGTCTATCAAGATTGGAGCAGGAAAGTGGGGAAGAGGTGCGGGAGGTTACAGGGGCTAGATTCCATCAGGCCTTGTAGGCCACTATAAAGACTTGGGTTTTAACTCTGAGTGAAATGGGAAACCATTGCAGGGTTTTAAGCAAAGGAGGGTCATAATTTGACGTTTTTAAAACGTCCGTCTGGCTGTGGAGAATAGCCAAGAGAAGTAAGGTATAATCAAGAAGCTATTGCAATAATCCAGGTGAGCCATGAGGGTGGACTGGACCATGGGGGCAGGTGTGGAAGTCATAAGATTAATATGTGTTTAACTCAAGTTGTGGCATTAATTATGGCTTGCATTAAATGCATCGGTAATATGCTTCTGCGGTGGATTTTTCCACCTTAGATTTCAGGGAATGGAAGTGATGGGAGCGGGTAGGGAAGGTCTGAGGTTACTAAACAGATGGAGCCTCCTGGATCTGCAAACCTCATACGATTCTAGGCCTCTGAGCCTCTGGCGCAGCAATAATTCTGCAGCCGAGCCCACTAGCCGCTTCCCAGTGACCATGCGCAACAGGCAGGTGGGAGCCTATGGAAAGCGCGGACTTTCGGAAAGCTGCACGAGCGCGTTCGGGGAGTCCGGTTCAGCGCCTCTGCGCAGGCGCAGTGGTTCCCGCAGGCTTGCGCGCGCACTCGCTGCGGGACAAGCTTCTGGAAGCTCTTTGCGGTGGCGTTGGTGCTGTTTGCGGATGCTGATGCAGGTACTGGTCGTCCCGGGCCCCGAGTTTCGGGGCCGTGGCCGGGTCGCCGGCTCCGAGGGCGCACTTGGGGCGGGATGGGGGCCGGGAGCAGCCTACCAACGGGCTGTGCGCTGCGCTGCTGCTGCTTCTGTGGGAGGTGCGCACTCCGCTGCGGGATGGGGCTGTTGGCTTCCCTCCATCCCTCCCTGCGCCACTTGGGCACTGTTGACATTTTGGGCGGGATAATGCCTTGTTTTGTTTGTGGTGTGGCGGTGAGGGGGAGGCTCTCCCGTTGTGGCAGGATGTTTAACAGCGTCACTGGTTCTGCCCGTTAGATAACAGTACCACCTCTCGTCCTAGTCGAGCTAACCAAAAATGTGTCCAGACATTGCCAGAGGACCGCTGGGGGGTGAAATCTCTCCTTTTTTCTTCCCTCTGGTTGAGATCCTCTGGCTGCGTCACATTTTCACCGGGCCTCCTATGTAAACTCCCTGTAGACGGAGCCGAGTGTCTTAGTCATCGCGGAGCCCCAGGTGCTCAGCACGGCGCCAGGTACGTGGTGGGCGCCTAATATTTGGCAGAGGAATAAATGACGTCATGCTGCTGTGTGCCGGGCGCTGTACTCGGAAGTGGGTTGTTATTGGTATGGTAGTTGCAATGCGAGGCTGTCACATCCTTCACTTGTCGCATTGTAGTCCCGCTCCGGCTGTATTGTCATTTCCTGGACCCTCTGTGAGCGTGAGGACCCTTTCAGGCCTGTCCACGCCTGGCCCCGCAGCTCATGGCCCCTGGTCTCGTTCCAGCTCATTGTAGTTGCTCCGTCACTTATAGAATGAATGAATGAATGCAACACAGGGCAGTCTGTGTGCAAAGGAGTGCTTTGGGATCAAGCAGAGCATCACACCAGAAGTGACAGTTGAAAGGAGTCAGGCTTTAAAGACGAATAAAAGTTTGGTAGGAGAAAGAAAGCAACATTCCGAGGAGAGGGAATAGCCTTGGTGCAAAGGCTAGGAGAGTATGTAGAGAGAGAGGAGATACTAATTTATGGCTGTAGTGTCAATCGGGTAGCTAGAGCTCAAGAGGTGAGGTCATCAGACAGTGTCTCTAGATCACAATGCCATGGTCCCTGCATGTGAACTTTATCGAGAGACAGTTCGGTGGCTGGTGAGGGACTGTAAGCCGGGGAGTGATAAGATCATATTTTGCATGTTAGAAGGAATTTTTTGGCCACAGTGTGAGACTGGAGTGAAGAACCCTGTACTTAGGCAGTTTCAGAAGGATAGAATGGAGAGGTTCTTAGGAAATAAAATCGCCAGAACTTGGCGATTGATGGGAGAAGTAAGGAGGAAGAGAAATTTGAAAGTCAAATATTAAATTGGGCTTCTGAGTTGAGCAACTAGTGAGAAATGTGTGCCCTTTCATTAAGAAAGGGTAGGAGTTGTTAAATAGCTTTGTGACTGGGTCCCCTTGTGAACCTTTTCTGATAACATTTTGTTTAGGAGGAGTATTCAATCTAAAGCAACTGTTTCCTTAACCCTTAAGTAGCTCCCTGGTTTTTGACTATAAAGAAAATTATGGCTGGGCACAGTGGCTCACGCCTGTAATCCTGACACTTTGGGAGGCTGAGGTGGGTGGATCGCCTGAAGTCAGGAGTTCAAGACTAGCCTGGCCAACATGGCGAAACCCCGTCTCTACTAAAAATACAAAAATTAGCCAGGCATGGTGGTGGGCGCCTATAATCCCAGCTACTCAAGAGGCTGAGGTAGGAGAATCACTTGAACCCAGCCGGGGCAGAGGTTGCAGTGAGCCGAGATCGCACCACTTCACTCCAGCCTGGGCACCAAGAGCGAAACTCCGTCTCAAAAAAAAAAAGAAAGAAAGTTATCCTTTTAATTGAGCAGGGCTTTTCTAGGCCTTTGCTGGTATGTGTGTGGATATATTTCTCTGAACCAAACCAAGAACGATGTTTTTAGGACTAACAACAGTTTTTTTACTTATTTAATGCCTTAATATTTCTTCTTGACAGTTTCTGCAGGACTGTAAACTGGATTCCTGGAACCTTTGATATTCCTGGCTGTGTATAGTGCCTGTTGGTGGACTGTACTGATACTCAACTAGAGTGTGAAGGGACTGGATTCCTGCCCCTGAGACACAATGCAAGCTGTAGTGCCCTTGAACAAGATGACAGCCATCTCACCAGAACCTCAAACTCTGGCCTCGACTGAACAAAATGAGGTCCCAAGAGTGGTTACTTCTGGGGAACAAGAAGCTATTTTAAGAGGAAATGCTGCTGATGCAGAGTCTTTCAGACAGAGGTTTAGGTGGTTTTGTTACTCAGAAGTAGCTGGACCCAGGAAAGCTCTGAGTCAACTCTGGGAGCTCTGCAATCAGTGGCTGAGACCAGACATTCACACGAAAGAACAGATTTTAGAGCTTCTGGTGTTTGAGCAGTTCCTGACCATTTTGCCTGGGGAGATCAGGATTTGGGTAAAGTCACAACATCCTGAGAGTAGTGAGGAAGTGGTGACCCTAATAGAAGATTTGACCCAGATGCTTGAAGAAAAAGGTGAGATTTATAGATGGAGGGAGGAAGCGGGAGACATTGCCTCAAAGTCCGAAAGTAAATTCCTCAAAAGAAGGCAATTTACTGCTAAAGAGGAGTCTGAGGTTAGAAGTTGGGACTGGGTTTGAATCAGCCCTGCCATTTACTGTGTGATTTTGGGCAAGCTGTGTAAACTCTCAGAATGTAAATATTTTTATCTGTTAAAAAGGGATTTTATCTTTCTTGTAGTTTTCTTGTAAAGGTGAGACAAGATAGGATATAATATATGGTGGATGCTCAAGAAATAGTAATTTCTTTCCCATCCCCTTCAAGAACACAAGTTATCTGTGAAAGTGTTTGGAGTCACAGGCAAATCAACCAGCTCAGGCCCTAATGCCTAGTTCCATTGTGTGGACTAGCACGTTGCTAGAGGGTGGCTGTGAGTGTCTTTGCTGATGGAAATGTTTCTGCACTGTTTTGCAATTCAAGTACATGAAAAGCAGCTAGTGCAAATAAGGAACTGAATTTTTTAAATCAAATTTAAAGTTTAAATAGCCACATGCGACTAGTAACTATTTTATAGTGCAGTTCCACAGCCTTAGGGCAGGAAAACCTGGATATATGTATGTAATTACATATTATAAATACAAATGTATAAACTATAAACTGAATTACGGTGATATCATTATAAAATATTGATGTAAAGTCTTCTAGGGTGAGTAGTCCTTTCAGGGAATGTGGCTCGCCTTTTTTCTCAAATTTGTAGCTATTTATGTTCTCAAATATGATACAAATATTTGTATTTTGCAGTGTAATATGCTACAAATATTTGGAATATTTGTAGTATATTATTTACCATAGGGCTCCTGACATATGTGTGACAGTTTGTATTCTGGAAGAGTTCTGAGATAGGGAAATAAATAGTATTTACCTCCATACACTTAATTCGCCATCACGCAGCTAATTAGTGTATCTCAAATTTGGGTTTCCTGACTCCTCTGTGATTTGTCACTGCAGTGTCATGCTTCTACAAAATTAGGGCCTCTTTGTGGAGGCCCCTGCAATAAAGAATTGATTTCGGGCTGGGTACGGTGGCTCACACCTGTAATCCCAGCACTTCGGGAGGCCTAGGCGGGTGGATCACCCGAGGTCAGGAGTTTGAGACCAGCCATACCAACATGGAGAAACCCCGTCTCTACAAAAATACAAACTCAGGCAGGTGTGGTGGTGCACGCCTGTAATCCCAGCTACTCTGGAGGCTGAGGCAGGAGAATCGCTTGAACCGGGGAGGTGGAGTGAGCCAAGATCACGCCATTGCACCCCAGCCTGGGCAATAACAGCGAAACTCCGTCTCAAAAAAAAAAAGATTGATTTCTAGGATTCTGTAGGGTGTAACAGTTTTCTTAAATTCACCCCACTTTTCTCTTTGATTACGTAATTCTAATTCTTAATTTTTATTGATTGTCTAATCACTAAATTTGCCTAAAATTCTTTTCATAAGAAGGTAGAGTATGATTTGAAAAAATAATTTTTCTTAATTGAAAAAGAGCTGTTGACATCCGAGGGTTTTTATGTATGTATTTTTTACTGCTCCTTGTGGAGCAGGGATCACTCATAGGCAGTATGCCCAGAATGGGCCAATCTGAAGGTACTGCATACATTTAGTTCCTATGAGTTTATTAGATGCCTCTTCTCTGTCTTAAGGAATCTGGTGGAGTCAACTCTTGAGACTAACCTGGTGCTTTCATTCAGTTAGCAGGTTTGAGCAACTCTTGAGCAAGGCTTTGTACTAGGACTATGAAGAATACACAGTTTTACCTTACTACATCTTTTAAATTAGGATACTTCACAATTCATTATTGTTCAAATTAAATATTTTTAAACTGAGGGTATACAGAAAGAAGTTTTCGTGAGCTTAGGATTTGAAAAGATTTTTATATGAGCTAAGAGGAAATGCCTAGGTTTTCACAGGAAACTTTTATCTATGGCTGTTCTCTGTTTTAAAGAGTGGGACAACTTTTTGTTTCTTCTGACCTTTTTATCCAGAGAGGCTCAGAGCTCTTAGAACCCTTGTAATTTCCTGGGTGATTAGAACAGTAAGAGTATCTTTTGTTAAAATATTTGGCCTTTTGTCCGTGGTTCCTGAAACAGCTCCTGAGCTATAAAGGAGAAAGACAGTCTTTTTGTTATTTATAATAAGCTCCTTTTAACCACACTTGAGTTTATGTTAACGAGGTGATTTTTGGAAAGTCCTTAGATAACCCTGGAATTGGGGAAGGGTGCTGGTTGCCAGGGGAACCAACCCAGTTGCTTAGAGGGTTGGAACTCAGCTCCACCCCCCAACCTGTCAAAGGGGAGAGGGACTGAAGGTTGAGTTGATCACAGGACCAGTGATTTAATCAGTCATGCCTGTCTATGAAGCTTCCATAAAAACCCAAAAGGACACAGCTCATGAGAGTTTCCAGATAGCTAACCACGTGGCAGTTCCTGGAGAGCTGTGTACCCAGAGATGGCATGGAAGCAGCAAGCCCCTTGCCCTATGCAATGCCTCATCCATCTGGCTGTTCATCTGTATCCTTTGTAATACCCTTTACATTAAACCAGTAAACGTAAGTAAAGTGTTACGTGAGCCACTCTAGCAAATTATTGGAACCCAGGGAGGGGCTCATGGGAACCCCAATTTGTATCTTGTTGGTCAAAAGCCCTGGAGGGTCGGACATGAGACTGGCATCTGAAGTGGAGGTCAGTCTTGGACTGAGGCCTTAACCTTTGGGAACTGATGCTATCTCCAGGTAGATAGCATTAGAAATGAATTAGAGGACACCCAGCTGGTGCCTGCTGGGGAGTCCAACACAGAACTGCCTGCTGGGTGTGGGGGAAACACCCCCACATATCTGGAGTCACAGAATTATTTTGTGTTGTGAGTATAGTAGGAGAAACTGACTTAGTTTTTTTCCTGTTTATCACTTAGAAATATATATATATATATATATATATATATATATATATATATATATACATATATATATATAAGATTTTTAGTCTGAGGAATCTGTATGAACGACTGGACTGGTTTTCTCCCCTTTCCTAGATCCAGTCTCTCAAGATTCTACTGTTTCCCAAGAGGAGAACTCAAAAGAGGATAAAATGGTCACTGTTTGTCCCAATACTGAGTCCTGTGTAAGTTTCCTTTGATGGTTTTTATTCCTAAGTGAATACTTAATTGAGCTCCTACTGAGTGGTATAAAGATATAAAAATAAAAGGCTAGGCACGGTGGCTTACACCTGTAATCCCAGCACTTTGGGAGGCTGAGGCAGGAAGATCGCTTGAGCCCAAGAGTTCAGGGTTGCAGTGAGCTATGATCATGCCACTGCTGCCTTCCAGCCTGGGCAACAGAGCAAGACCCTGTCTCTAAAAAAAATAGAATAAATGTAATCTCCCTTTCAAGGAACTGACGCCTCATTTTCCACATGCAATTTTGTTTCAGTTCACAGAATGCCATGAGTCTGATTGTAATGAAACAAAAACACTTACTAAAATTCAGCAGTTACCACTATTAAAATTAGTCAAGTGAAATAGAAGTTCATTTCCTTCTTTTTTTTTCTTTCTTGAGACAGAGTTTTACTCCGTTGCCCAGGCTGGAGTGCGGTGGCGGTATCTCGGCTCACTGCAGCCTCTGCCTCCCAGGTTCAAGCGATTCTCCTGCCTCAGCCTCCTGAGTAGCTGGGATTATAGGCTCCTGCCACCATGCCCGGCTAATTTTTGTATTTTTAGTAGAGACGGGGTTTCACCATGTTGGCCAGGCTGATCTCAAACTCCTGACCTAGGTGATCCACCCACCTCAGCCTCCCAAAGTGCTGGGATTACAGGTGTGAGCCACTGCATCCGGCCTTGCTTTTTTTCTTTTTAAGAGATGGGGTCTTGTTCTGTCATCTAGGCTGGAGTGGAGTGCAGTGGTGCAAGCATAGCTCACTGCAACCTTGAAGTCCTGGGTTTAAGCCATCCTCCCTCCTCAGCCTCATGAGTAGCTGGGACAACTGGCGCACGCCACTGTGCCCAGCTCATTTTAAAATATTTTTTGTAGAGTTGGGGTCTTGCTGTGTTGCCCAGGCCAGTCTTGAACTCCTGACCTCAAGCAGTCCTCTCCCTTGGCCTCCCACAGCATTGTGATTACAGGCATTAGCCACTGTGCCCAGACAGAAATACATGTCCTTAAATCTTAACATGATAAAGAACATCCTTGGCTGGGTACAGTGGATCATGCCTGTAATCCCATCACTTTGGGAGGCCGGGGTGGGAGGATTGCTTGAGCCTGGGAGTTCGAGAGCAGTCTGGGCAACATAGCGAGACCCTCGTCTATATAAAAAATTTTAAAAATTAGCTGGGCATAGTCACATACCTGTGGTCTCAGCTACCCGGGATCTGAGGTGGTAGAGCTGTAAGGGGGAAAGACAGTCTTTCACTTGAGCCTGGGAGGTTGAGGCTGCAGTGAGCTATGATTACGCCACCGTACTCCAGCCTGGGTAACAAAGTGAGACCCAGTCTCACAAAAAGAAAACAAGATGAGGAATTTATTCTGGATTATATAGGTGGGCCTTAAATGCCATCCCAAGTGTCCTTGCTAGAGAGGCAGGAGGAGATTGAAAACACAAAGAGAAGGTGTTGTGAAGAGTTAGGCAGAGTTTGGAGTGATAGGGCCGTAAGACAAGGAACTGTGGCAGCCACCAGAAGCAGGAAGAGGCAAGGAACAGATTATCCCCCAGAGCCTCTGAAGGGAGCACAGCCCTGCCAACACCTAGATCTCAGACTTCTGGCCTCCAGAACTGTGAGAGAACAAATTCCTATTTTGAGTCACCAAGGTTATGGGAATTTGTTACAGCTCCCAGAGGAAGGTAATACACGTACCAATAGCCATTTGGCTCTACTGCCTTATAAAAAGCATGCAGAGAATGCTATAGAAAGTGTATTTCAAAAATTAGCTGGGTGCGTTGGTGCATGCCTGTAATCCCAGCTACTTGAGAGGCTGAGGCATGAGAATCGCTTGAACCCAGGAGGTGGAGGTTGCAGTGAGCCGAGATCATGCCACTGCACTCCAGCCTGGGCAACACAGTGAGACTCCGTCTCAAAAAAAAAAAAAGAAAAAAAAGGAAAGTGTATTTTAGTGAGTCAGTATTCTTGTTTGTAATTGTGAAGTAATTGCAAGTGTCAGTATGTTGTTGAACATAGATTCTCTGAATATGATGGAAGATAATTGCTGCTCGTAATTGGAAGTTAAAATTTGGAATGTAGTTGCAGATATTATTGTACAGTTATTACCTGTAGTAAGCTTACATTAATTCTGCAAATTTAGGGTTCAGGAATGTAAATCATACCCTTCATTTAATATTTTAGTCCTAGAAATCTATGTGTTAGGGTGAACTTGATCAATGTTACACATTCCAGATAATTCTTGTACAGTATTTAACACTAGAGACTGAATGGAAGAGGCAGGGATTGTGTAATACCCTTGTTCTGAATCACTTATAACAGTCATAGAATGATTAGCCGCTCCGTAGCTTTCTTTGGAATTCTTAAAAACTTGCATGCTATCCAAACCATTCTTTATATCCTATCCAGGCTGGGCACAGTGGCTCAGGCCTGTAATCCCAGTGCTCTGGGAGGTAGAGGACAGAGGATTACTTGAGCCCAAGAGTTTGAGACCAGCCTGGGCAAATAGTGAGACAATGCCTCTACAAAAAATTTAAAAATAAGCCAAGCATGGTGGCACGTGCCTGCAGTCCCAGCTACTGGTGGGAGGATCACTTGAGCCCAGGAGGTTGAGCCTGCAGTGAACCATGAAGCACCACTGCACTCTAACACGGGCGACAGAGCCATAATAGCCTGTCTCAAAAAAAAAAAGTACTTAGGTTCTATTTGGGAATAATCCAATACAAAAGAGCTGTTTGGTGTTCTAGGAATCTATAACATTGAAGGATGTAGCTGTGAACTTTTCAAGAGGAGAGTGGAAGAAGCTGGAGCCTTTTCAAAAGGAGCTATATAAGGAAGTGCTACTGGAAAACCTCAGGAACCTAGAATTTCTGGGTAAAGACACCTTTTCTTCATTACCTAGCGTTTAACCTTGGGTCTCTTTTTGTTCCCTTTTATTGAAAGGTAAGTGCTGTGTGAAGTACTTGGTTTTGGCTGGGGACCCAGGGACTGATAGGACTAATCCTAAAAACTGGTTCTGAAAATGTGCTTTTCTGCAGCGTATCTTCTAGAAAAGGTCTTTGCTTCATTGAATTGGAAATGTGAAGCATCATTTTGATTTCATCAGTGGAATACCTTTTCCCATTTTTGTCTCAAGTTCCAGTATTTATGTCTGTGTATTTTGGTAGCATGTTTTTATCTTCCTTGGAGAACCAGAGGCTATATGTGAATGCTGGGATATCTTTACTCTATGCAAAACAGCAATTTTCTGTTCTTTTCTCTATGAGCAGACTTTCCAGTTTCAAAATTAGAGTTGATTTCCCAGCTAAAGTGGGTTGAATTGCCATGGCTGCTGGAAGAAGTCTCAAAAAGCTCCCGACTAGGTGAGTTGGTGAAAAATACACAACGAAATTAAAGCAGTTGTTTAGCAAGTCTGTTGAGAAGACTCTTTGAAATGTTGGGCTGCCTAGATACTAAAATACAAAGATGATTAGAATAGAGCCCTTGCCTTCCTGAAATGTTCATTTTAGTGGGGGAGACTTGGTTTGGGTCCTCTGAATAGATGCCAGGACATGATTAGCCATGTAAGATCTTTACTGGAGAAAGATTCAGTGAAGGAAAATGAGGAAGGAACTAGAAGAAGCCGGAATAGCCATCAGAGCATAATGCTGGTCTAACCCCTGTGAATGAGAACAGGAAGGAGGGCAGATTGGGTAGGAAAAGTCTTAGACTAAAGTGTCGTTCTATCTTTTTTTTTTTTTTTTTTTTTTTGAGTCGGAGTCTCACACCGTCTCCCGAGCTAGAGTGCAGTGGCGTGATCTCGGCTCACTGCAACCTCCGCCTCCCGGGTTCAAGTGATTCTCCTGCCTCAGCCTCCTGAGTAGCTGGGATTACAGGCGCCTGCCACCAAGCCTGGCTAATTTTTTGTATTTTTAGTAGAGACGGGGTTTCACCATGTTGTCCAGGCTAGTCTTGAACTCCTGACCTCGTGATCGGCCTGCCTCGGCCTCCCAAAGTGCTGGGATTACAGGTATGAGCCACCACGCCCGGCTGCAGTGCAGTTCCAAAAAAGTTTAGGCAGGGCCAAACAGGAGTCCTTGCCATAGTTACCTATCAGAGGAGTCCTGTGTCTCAAAGAAATGGGCCTGTGTAAGTATCCTGTACTCCATCATTGACTGGGAGCAACTCGTGGGAATTTGTGTGAATGCAGTGTTGGATTCATAGAGCAGCAGCAGGGGTTGTCAGGTAATATCCCCGCAGGGGGAGGTGTGAGTGGTGCATTTTTATGGACACTAGAGGACGTATCGAAACAAGAGTGTTAACACTGATGCATACTATATCAAGCACATGTATAAGGAGCTGTGGGAATATACAGGAGCAAGGTTTTAATTCGCATTTGAGTTGAATCTTGAAGGATGAGTAGGAATTCATCCAGTGGACAGCATGCATAATAATTCCATTTTTGTTAAAGGGAAAAAATGTACATATAAATACATGCCTGAATACATAGAGTATATGGATTTTTAATATCTGGAAAACATTCATGTTAACACTGGTTATCTTTGAAGAATTAGGTTTTGTTTTGTTTTCTTGAGATGGAGTCTTGCTCTGTCACCAGGCTGGAGTGCAGTGGTGCAGTCTCAGCTCACTGCAACCTCTGCCTCCCAGGTTCAAGTGATTCTCTTGCCTCGGCCTCCCAAGTAGCTGGGACTACAAGCATGTGCCACCACGCCAAGCTAATTTTTTTTGTATTTTTAGTAGAGGCGGGGTTTCACCATATTGGCCAGGATGGTCTTGATCTCCTGACCTCGTGATCTTCCTACCTCGGCTTCCCGAAGTGCTAGGATGACAGGCATGAGCCACCGTGCCCGGCCAGGATTAGGTTTTTTTATACTTACCTATATCTTACAATTTATATATATTATTATTCTTTTTTTTTTTTTTGAGACAGAGTTACCCAGGCTGGAGTGCAGTGCCGTGATCTTGGCTCACTGCAACCTCTGCCTCCTGGGTTCAAGCAATTCTCTCCTGCCTCAGCCTCCCAACTAGCTGGGACTATAGGCACGCGCCACCACGCCCAGCTAATTTTTTTTGTATTTTTATTAGTAGAGATGGCGTTTCCCCATGGAAAGGAGGTGGATCACTCCTGACCTCAAGTGATCCACCCGCCTTGGCCTCTCAAAGTACTGGGATTACAGGCATGAGCCACTGTGCCCGGCCACAATTTATATATATATATTAAATTTACATTTAAAAAAATAAAAATAGGCCAAGCGTGGTGGCTCACACCTGTAATCCCAGCACTTTGGGAGGCTGAGGCAGGCAGATCATGAGGTCAGGAGATCAAGACCATCCTGACTAACACGGTGAAACCCCGTCTCTACTAAAAATACAAAAAAAAAAAATTAACCAGGCTTGGTGGTGGGCGCCTGTAATCCCAGCTACTCTGGAGGCTGAGGCAGGAGAATCGCTTGAACCTGGGAAGTGGAGCTTGCACTGAGCCGAGATGGCGCCACAGCACTCCAGCCTGGGCGACAGAGCGAGACTCCATCTCAAAAAATAAAAACAAAAGTAAGTTATTACATGTATCAATACCTTGGTTTATCTTAAAAGAAAGAAGCAATGATCCATCTTGCTCTATTCCATCTTCTCAAACATTTATTGTAGTCAACTTATTGGCTGTTTCCAGTATACAATTGACCCTTGAACAACAGGATTAGGGGCCACTGACCGCACCCCCCCCGCCCCCGTACAGTTGAAAATCCATGTATAACCGTTAACTCTCCAAAAACATAACTACTAATAGCCTACTGTTGACCTGAAGCCTTATTGATAACATAAACATAATTACATATGTTATGTGTTTTTTATACTGTATTCTAGTAAGCTAGAGAAAAATGCTATTAAGACAAGAAAGAAAATAACATTTACGGTACTGTACTGTGTGTATCGATCACTAAATTTATGTTGTTTGTCTGAAATGGCAGACAATTGCAGCTGCAGACCTCAGTCTATGGTACATATCAAGCAGTTCAGCTTTTTCTTGAAGTATCATGACTATTCTGTGCTTGTTGGGAGCACTTCCAGCATTACTAGCAGCACTTTGTATGGGTCCCATGATGTTATTCAAGATTTACAGTATTGCACTAAACACAGTGAAAAATAGGAGGGAACCGCAAGAGATCCATTTTTACGGTGATAGGCAATTTCCTGGAGACATAAACTGCTTATGTGGAGATGATTAGCATTACGTGGCTTTTTTTTTTTTGGAGACAGAGTCTCACTCTGTCACGCAGGCTGGAGTGCAATGGCGTGATGTCAGCTCACTGCAGCCTCCACCTCCTGGGTTCAAGTGATTCTGCTGCCTCAGCCCACCAAGTAGCTGTGATTACAGGCATGCACCACCATGCCCAGCTAAATTTTGTATTTTCAGTAGAGACGGGGTTTAACCATGTTGATCTCGAGCTCCTGACCTCAAGTGATCTTCCTGCCTTGGCTTCCTAAAGTGCTGGGTTTACAGGCGTGAGCCACAGCGCCTGGCCTACCTGGCATTTTAAGTGGATACTTAGAGCAGACATTTGAGCTCATTGCAATACCAACAAGAGGTGCCTATGAAATTATTACAGTGTATAGTATGTACTACAGTTTTATGCAGTTATTATTATTATTATTTTGTGACAGGGTCTTGCTCTGTCATTCAGGCTAGGGTGCAGTGGCATGATCACGGCTCACTACAGCCTCCACCTCCTGGGCTGAAGCGATCCTCTCACCTCAGCCTCTTGAGTAGCTGGTATTACAGGCACATGCCACCATGTTCAGCTAATTTTTGTATTTTTTGTAGAGAGAGAGTTTTGTCATGTTGTTCAGGCTGGTCTCCAACTCCTGGGCTCAAACAAACTGTTTGCCTTGGCCTCCCAAAGTGGTGGGATTATGGGGGTGAGCCAGTGCGCCTGGCCCAGTTATTATTTAATACTGTATCTTTACATTTGTTTACATTTCTCTTGACTGTGAATGACACCAAGTACGGCCTGTAAGTGTGTGTGTACGTTTTGATAAATTTTAACTTGATAATTTGTGTACATTTTATAGTAGTAAATGACAAAATAGACTAGTATCTATATATCTTAAAAATACATGACATACATTTTTGGGGTTGTTTTTTTTTTTGACATGTCTAGGCTACACAGTTTGTCTGCAAGTTTTTTCAAATTGTCACAAATCTCCAAAAATTTTTCTAACATGTTTATTGAAAAAAATCCACGGGCTGGGCATGGCGGCTCCCACCTGTAATCTCAACACTTTGGGAGGTCAAAGCAGGAAGACCACTTGAAGCCAGGAGTTTGAGACCAGCCTGGGCAGCATAGTGAGACCCTGTTTCTACAAAAAATTTAAACATCAGCCAGGCACAGTGGTGTGTGCCGTGGTGAGAGGATTGCTTGAGCCCAGGGGTTAGAGGTTGCAGTGAGCTATAATCATGCCACTGTACTCCAGCCTGGATGACAGAACAAGACCCCATCTCTTAGAAAAAAAAAAAAACCACCTGTAAGTGGACACTTGCAGTTCAAATCTGTGTTGTTCAAGGGTCAACTGTGATTACATAAATAAAGGACAACAGTTGTTTTATCATATTTAAGTAGCATTTTGGAGAGGAATTTAACAAATGGATTCTGAAAGTGTTTTGTGTAGTTCTAGCAGCACTGGTATAAATATATGTCCCTTCCCCAATTATCTTACATAAAAGAAAATGCCTCATGTTGATACACAGCTTGTTTTAAAAGTTATTTACGACACACCAGAGAAAAAAGTTTTGACAGATACAGCAGAGTCAATGGCAATAATTAAAAAACAAACAAAAAAACTCAGCCAGGTGTGGTGGCTCACCTGTAATCCCAGCACTTTGGGAAGCCGAGGCAGGTGGATCACCTGAGGTCAGGAGTTCGAGACCAACCTGGCCAACATGGTAAAACCCCATCTCTACTAAAAAATGCAAAAATTAGCCAGGCGTGGTAGTGAGCGCCTGTAGTCCCAGCTGCTAGGGAGGCTGAGGCAGGAGAATGGCGTGAACCCGGGAGGCGGAGCTTGCAGTGAGCTGAGATCACGCTACTGCACTCCAGCCTGGGTGACAGAGCGAGACTCCGTCTCAAAAAAAAAAAAAAAAAAAAAAAAAACCTCATTCAAATCAATAAGGAACACTAAGTCTGTTAGGAAAATGGACTAACTTGAATGGATCACCAACAAAATTTAAAATTTAAATAGCTTGTGAACATGAAAAAAATGTTCAAACTCACTGGCTAACAATGCAGTGTACATGTAAAGCAGTAATACTATTTATTACGCATTAAATTTGCAAAGATTTAAAGAATATTTGACCAGAGATAGTACTCAGGGGCTTCTGCTCCTCATGTGTCATTTAAAGCAGTATAACCTTTCTACCCTTTGGTTTAGTAATTCTGCTTTTATGACTCTGTTTTTTAGGAAGTGTGATTTGATAAAGGTTCAATAAGAGAATGAGGCTGGGTGTGGTGGCTCATGCCTGTAATCCCAGCACTTTGGGAGGCCAAGGCAGGTGGATCACCTGAGGTCAGGAATTGAAGACCAGCCTGACCAACATGGAGAAGCCCCATCTCTACTAAAAATACAAAATTAGCTGGGCGTGGTGGTACATGCCTGTAATCCAGGCTACTTGGGAGGCTGAGGCAGGAGAATCGCTTGAACCTGGGAGGCAGAGATTGCGGTGAGCCAAGATCGCACATTGCATCCAGCCTGGGCAACAAGAGCAAAACTCCGTCTCAAAAAAAAAAAAAAGAGAATGAACAATTATATCTATATGATGATCATCATGTCACTAATTAAAATTATCTTTATGAAGAATTAATGAGTTGCGTGCAGTGGCTCATACCTGTAATCCCAGCACTTTGGGAGGCTGTGGTGGGAGAATCACTTGAGGTCAGGAGTTAGAGACCAGCCTGATCCGCGCAGGGAGACCCCATCTCTACAGATAATTTTTTAGAATTAGCCAGGTATGGTGGCACCTGCCTGTGGTTCCAGCTACTTGGAAGGCTGAGGTGGGAGGATTGCTTGAGCTGGGGAGGTTGAGGCTGCAGTGAGCTGTGATCATGCCACTGCACTCCAGCGTAGGCAACAGAGTAAGACCCTATCTCTAAAAAATTTTAAAAAATTTTTTAAAAAGAAAAATTAGCAGTAAAATGGGAAATAATCATAAAAGAGTAACAATACAAAGTGAAAAGAATAACAATACAAATTATGCAGTTTTTCTGTTTTAAACTATATAGAAACATTGAAGGAAATACACAGAATTGTGTATTGGCCATTAGTTAACTTCTAGGTAATATGATTTTGAGTAATTTTGTATTTTATAATTATCTGTTGAAAAAATAGTTTCGTAAAAGTGACAGTGTGACCTCATGGTAAAAAGCCAGGATGTAGTTAATTAGTGAATTCAGAATTCTGAGAATAGCGTAATCAGTGAGAGTATGGTATTGGAGAAAGCTCTGGAGATTGTTGGAATTGAACTCTAGGCCCTGTTGAATTTATGTTTGTGATAGTGAGGGTGCTGTGGGAATGCATTCTATGTAGTAGGAAGTATGCAGGTCAGAAGAATAGTACTGGAACTGCAGCAGTGTAGGAGAGACTTAAAATGGATGCCTGATTAGTGTATCTGTAAGGCTGATAGGGCCAGCTGTGGTAATCTTTGAAAGTCTATATTGGTGGTGCTGCATATCTGTGATGTATTTAACGTTTTCAACAAAATTAGTGTTATTTGTTTGCTTTGGGGAGAGGTGATAGGATATAAGGATCAAGAGCACGGGCTTTGGTTTCAGACTAAGTTAAAAATCTGGCTCTATCGCGTATTATACATGTGACCTTGGGCAGGCTACTTAATACTCTGTGTTCCCAGTTGTCACATCCATAAAACCGAGATGGTAATAAAATGTACTCCATAGGGTTGTTGTGAAGATTAAATGCAGTGTATTGTACTTACTTGTATTACACCGTGCTTGGTGCGGGACCTGGCATTTGGTAAATATTCAACAAATGTTTGTGCTATCATTGTTGGAAAGAGAAAAGTTAGGATATAGGGACAATAAGTTTGAACCTTTTTTTTTTTTTTTTTTTGAGACAGAGCCTTGCTCTGTTGCCTAGGCTGGAGTGCAGTGCCACAATCTCGGCTCCCTGTAACCTCCGCCTCCTGGGTTCAAGTGATTCTCCTGCCTCAGCCTCCCAAGTAGCTGGGACCATAGGTGCATGCCACCACACCCAGCTAATTTTTTGTATTTTTAGTAGAGATGGGGTTTCACCGTGTTAGCCAGGATGGTCTTGATCTCCTGACCTCATGATCTCCCTGCCTTGGCCTCCCAAAGTGCTGAGATTACAGGCATGAGCCACCGTGCCCATCCTAAACCTCTTAAAAAAATTCAAAATGAGGGTGAGAACTTGCATCTAACTATAAAGCACAAACTTTTCATCTTTCTCAATGTTTTTCTTAACCCATGTGTTTACATTGTTTCCCTATATTGCCTTTTCCTTTTCTATTTTACAAAGCTCTTTTTGAGAACCATCGAAACTATATTCCTTATAGTTATTAATGTGTTCCTATTTCAGACCCAAAATACAACAGCTTCCTTTCTTGCAAACAGGAAATATTCTATTTCTTATATCTTTTAGATGAATCAGCTTTAGATAAAATAATAGAAAGGTGCCTCAGGGATGATGATCATGGCTTGATGGAAGAATCCCAGCAATATTGTGGCAGCTCAGAGGAGGATCACGGTAATCAGGGAAATTCAAAAGGAAGAGTCGCACAAAACAAAACTCTTGGGAGTGGCAGTAGGGGTAAGAAATTTGACCCAGATAAAAGCCCCTTTGGACATAATTTCAAAGAAACTTCAGACTTAATTAAACATCTGAGAGTCTACTTGAGGAAGAAATCTCGGAGGTATAATGAAAGCAAGAAACCCTTCAGTTTTCATTCAGACCTTGTTCTGAACCGCAAGGAGAAAACCGCCGGAGAAAAGTCACGGAAATCTAATGATGGTGGGAAAGTCCTGAGTCACTCTTCAGCTCTTACTGAACATCAGAAACGTCAGAAGATTCATTTGGGGGATAGGTCCCAAAAATGCAGTAAGTGTGGGATAATCTTTATTAGAAGATCAACTCTTTCTAGGAGAAAAACCCCTATGTGTGAGAAATGTCGGAAAGATTCATGTCAAGAAGCAGCCTTAAATAAAGATGAGGGAAATGAGAGTGGAGAAAAAACTCATAAATGTAGTAAGTGTGGAAAAGCCTTTGGCTATAGCGCCTCACTCACCAAACATCGGAGAATTCACACTGGAGAAAAACCCTATATGTGTAATGAATGTGGAAAAGCTTTTAGTGATAGTTCATCGCTCACACCACATCATAGAACTCATAGTGGAGAGAAACCCTTCAAATGTGATGACTGTGGGAAAGGTTTCACCCTAAGTGCTCACCTCATTAAACATCAGAGAATTCATACTGGAGAAAAACCTTATAAATGTAAAGACTGTGGGAGACCCTTTAGTGACAGTTCATCTCTTATTCAACATCAGCGAATTCATACTGGAGAAAAACCCTATACATGTAGCAATTGTGGAAAATCCTTCAGTCATAGCTCATCCCTTTCCAAACATCAGAGAATTCATACTGGAGAGAAACCCTATAAATGTGGCGAATGTGGAAAAGCCTTTAGGCAGAATTCATGCCTTACCCGGCATCAGAGAATTCACACTGGAGAAAAACCATATTTGTGTAATGATTGCGGAATGACTTTTAGCCATTTTACGTCTGTGATTTATCATCAAAGACTTCATTCAGGAGAAAAACCCTACAAATGTAACCAGTGTGAGAAAGCCTTCCCAACCCATTCACTGCTAAGTCGTCATCAGAGAATTCATACTGGTGTAAAACCTTATAAATGTAAAGAATGTGGGAAGTCCTTCAGTCAGAGTTCATCTCTTAATGAGCACCACCGAATTCATACAGGAGAGAAACCCTATGAGTGTAACTATTGTGGTGCAACCTTTAGTCGAAGCTCAATCCTTGTAGAACACCTAAAAATTCATACCGGAAGGAGAGAATATGAATGTAACGAATGTGAGAAGACATTTAAAAGTAATTCAGGCCTCATTAGACATCGGGGATTTCACTCTGCAGAGTAATCCTGGAACTACATTAAAGTGGGGGGAATTTAATTCAAATTGTCAGTTACTGAAACCCTGGGATGTAAACTTACAGTATTGATCAGTAGCTGCAGCTTTCGTAAATTGGCAGTTAGGAAAAATATCCTTTTGCCCATTCATCCCTCTTCTTTTCAAGGATGGCAACGACTGGTAAACAGTAATTAGTTGGTAAAGTCACTGGAAAGGGAAGAATGCAAAATGATTCTGAGGCCAGACGAATTGGAAAAGCTCTTTTCTTCAGGGGATTTCTCTCTGATTTCTTCTACTACCATGTAGTGTGATGGAGAGAACTTGACTGCAGTCACATAACTTGGATTCTGTCCCAGTTTGCCAACCAACTTGCTGTATACACCTTGGACAAGTCATTTGACCTTTCAGAATTTTATTTTCGTCACCAGCAGAATGAAGGGATGGGATTAATGATTTTTGCCTTTTTTGGTTTTTTAGTTTTTTATTGGTATCCTGATAATCTCTGAAGCTGTGGACATAAGTTATTTTTTTTTATTTGTCATTACTTTCAAGTTTCTCTAGTAAAAAATACAATACCACTATTCAGGATGCTGGACTTCTTTTCTTTTTTTTTTCTTTTTTTTTTTTCAATTTTTCTTTTTTGGGATGGAGTCTCACTATGTTGCCCAGACTGGTCTTGAACTCCTGGGCTCAAGTGATCCTTCCATCTCACTTTCCTGAGTAGCTGACATTACGGGTACACTCCATCAAGCCTGGTTCCTAGGATGCTGGACTTCTAGCTTAGTGAGAATGCAGTATACTTTTTGAAAACTTCGTGCAGGAATCCCTCAAATGCTGTAACTAGGAATGGGTCAGTGAAGTTCAAACGACTTTTCCTTGAGGGAGTATTTTAATCGGACAAGGGAACTCTTTTTCTTTTGGGCATTGGCCAACAGGACTGAGAAGCCAGAGAGCTTGCACCTGAGCCATCTCAGCCGTGAGAGTAACAGTCCTAGGAAAATAGATGGGGGCTGGGGGTAAGGAAATGTGCTGAAGACAGAGCTATTCTGGATGGATTTTGGTTTGCAAAAATTCTACTTTAAAACAATTTTGCCTGTAGCAAGTACATTTTTTTGCAATTGGAGTGTAAACATTCTGTGTGGCAACAGTTAAAAGCTGT
The DNA here is from genome assembly GCF_000001405.40 of Homo sapiens. Taxonomy (NCBI): domain Eukaryota; kingdom Metazoa; phylum Chordata; class Mammalia; order Primates; family Hominidae; genus Homo; species Homo sapiens. Next base: position 111,544,321 of record NC_000009.12, read on the forward strand.
TATAACAATTTGCTTGGGTGTGTGTGCATGTGTGTGTGTGTGTGTGTGTGTGTATACATTGTTGCCACTATCTAAAATTAGGGCATTTCATACTAAAAACAAAGCTTGTCTTAAAAAAAATTATAAGGGCTAACAACACTGGGCTTTTATTTATGTAAAGCACTCAGCTGGTCCTGGGTAGCAGCTGCCACCTTTTGATGGGGAATCAACTTTCTGACTTAGCTAGTTCTCTCATGTATGTCACCTGACTTTCCCACTGTATGAATGTTCTATTATAACCCCTACCATTTGGAGAATAGATACCCTAAAATCTAAAGAGACTGCACTGATAGCAAGTAAAGTTCAGGGAATGAATGTAGAATTGATACAGAAAAAATTTTCAGTTAAGTTTTCTTTTGTGAAATTAGACCTCAGAGGAATGGAATATACGGGTATTGGTGGATTATTCCTTATAAATTTCATTGGTGGAGTCTGAATAATAATTTCCAACTGAAAAAGGAACTTAAGGCCCTGAATGAGTGAGGTTTTGGCTTCAGGTCATAGGGTTCTGGAGGAACCCCATGGACTCAACAGTGGTCTAGAAATAAGTTCCTAAAGTTGAAATTGTGGGCACCTCCTATAAAAAGAGAGCTAAACCAGAAAACTCTTCACTTATGGAAGTAAAGCGATCCTTAATGCTAATCTTAGACTCAGGAACATTTACTGTGACTAATGTATGTAGGTGTGAAATGCTACCTCTGGGAGAAGGTTTTTGGTGCCTCCCCAACCCCAAGCCTGCAGTTTAAATATTGCCGTGTGATAAATTGGTCCGCATAGTTATTGCTAAGCAGACCAACGAATCACATCCTAGCCATGAAAGGAATGTTTATTATGAGAATCATTCATAATGGTTTTAAGTTTTTTTCTGAAAAGACAGAAAACTTGTTGTAAGTTTTGTTTTCTGAAAAATATAATTTATAGAAAGTTGAAGAAATAACGTAAAAGTCTTCAGAAGAGGCTTGTTCCAAGATGATTACTCTTAGACTCCCTAACATTCATAACAATGTTTTATCCCAGTATCCATTGGGAATCTGGAGTATAAACTTTTTTTTTAAAGGAATTTATTGAGGTACAAATTACATATCATTAAAACCATTTCAAGTGTACAATTCAGTGAGTTTTAGTAAATATGCTGAGTTGTGCAACCATTACCATAATCCATTTTTTAGAACATCATCCCAGCAAGATCCGTTATTCCAGTTTACAGTTAATCTCCCGTCCAACCTCTAATCCCAGGCACCCACTACTCAGTCGACTTTGTGTCTCTAGAGTTGTCTTTTTCTGTACATTTTATGTTATATGTGATCTTTCTGTGTTTTTTTCATTAATGTGTTTTAAGTTCATCCATGTTGTAACATACTAGTACTTTATTCCTTTTTATCATAAATAATATTACATTATGTGGATGCTTCGTGCATTCACTAGTTGAAGAACATTTGAGGTTTTTCCAGTTTTTGCCTGTTAGGAATAATGCTGCTTTGAACATTGGTATGCAAGTGTTTTGAACGTTAGTGTACAAGTCTTTGTGTGGACATGTTTTCATTTTTCTTAGGCAGATGCCTGAGGGGAGTTGCTAGGTCATACGGTAAATTTTCATTTAACTTTTTTAGGAAACTGCCAAATTGTTTTCCAAAGTGACCGCATTATTTTACATTCTGACTAGTAATGTGTGGGGCTTCCCATTTCTCTACAGTCTTGCCAGTCATTGTTGTCTGTTTTTTAAAAATTATGCCCATCCTAGCGTTTGAAATGATATTCCTTTGTGGTTTTAACTTTGATTTTCCTGATGGCGAATAATGTCAAAGCATCTTTTATGTGCTCTTCAGCCATTCATGTATCTTAGTGAAATGTTTATTCAGATTTTTTGTCCATTTAAAATTGGAGTTTGCTGATACTGTGTTGTAGTCCTTTTTATTCTGGATATAAGTCCTTTATCCAATATGAACTTTCTAAATACCATGTACTAGCTACAGAGAGCAGCCCAAACTCTGTTGGATAATATTTATCAAAGTCTTGATTTCAGTAGTTAAGTCTGTATAATTGCCTGCAGGACATTCAGTCTGGCCCATCACCCAAATATTTAAATTCACTTTTGGATTAAGTCAGATTATCAAAAGGCTTTAAACGTCTTTTGATTCATTATAGGATTGCTTTTATGAAGAGCACTGTGACACATTTTACTTTAAAATGAAGTCCTTGCTTTAAATAATGTTTCCTCTTAATGAGCGTGTATAAATTTTTTTCATGTCACAGGACAAGGCAAGGTTTTGGTCAATAAAGTCATTTTATTTATTTTAGAATTATTTTTTAATGTAGTAAGATACATATAGCTTAAAATGAACCATTTAAACACTTTTTGGTTATACAGCTCAATAGCATTTAGATAGATGCACATTTTGTGCAGTCATCACCACTATCCATCTCCAGAACTTTTTCATCATCCCAAACTGAAACTCTGTACTCCTTAAACAGTAACTCCCCATTTTCTCCTCCTCAGGCTCCTGGTAACCACTGTTCTACTTCCTGTCTGTACAAATTTGACTGTTCTAATTACTTGGTATGAATGGAATCATACAATATTTGCCCTGTTGTGTTTGGCTTATTCCACTTAGCATTATGTTTTCAAGGTTCGGCCGTGTTGTAGCACATATCAGAATTTAATTCCTTTTTAAGGCTGAATAATATTCCATTTTACTTGTATACCACATTTTGTTTATCCTTTTATCTGCCAGTGAACATTTAAGTTGTTTGCACCATTTTGGCTATCAAGAATAACATTGCTATAATCAGTGGTGCTTTCTGTTCTTTTAAGTATATGCCTAGAAATAGAATTGCTGGATCTTATGATGATTCTATATTTAACTTCTTGAGGAAGTGCAACTACACTATTTTAAATTCCCACCAGCTATGTACAAGGGTTTCAGTATCCCCGCCCTTGCTAACACTTATTTTCTATTTCTTTTTTATAATAGACATCCTAATGGGTTTGAAGTGGCATCTTATTCTAGTTTTGTTTTGCATTTCCCTAGTGATTAGTGATGTTAACTGTCTTTTTATGTGCTTATTGACCATTTGTATCTCTTCTTTGGAGAAATGTTTATTGAAGTCCTTTGCCCATTTTTTAATTGGTTTTGTTGGCGTTGTTGTTTAGTTGTAGAAGTTCTTAATATATCCAGAATATATAAAGAACTTTTCAGATAAATGATTTGCAAATACTTTCTTCCATTCTGTGTGGGTTGCCTTTTCATTCTATTCCTAATGCCCTTTGAAAGAAGGTTTTAATTTTGGTGAAGTTTAATTTTTCTATTTTTTCTTTTGTTTCCTGTGCTTTTCTGGTCATACCCAAGAAACCATGGCCAAATCCAATGTCATGAAGCTTTTCTCCTATTCTAGGAGTTTTATAGTTTCAGGTCTTATGTTTAAGTCTTTTAACCATTTTGATTTTTATGTATGGTAAAGGGTCCATCTTCATTCTTTTGCATGCGAATATCCAGTTTTCCCAGCCCCATCTGTTGAAGAGACTATCCTTTCCACATCATGTATTCTTTGCACTCTTGTCAAAGATCATTTGACCATATACATGCATGTTTATTTCTGGCTGTCTGCTCTGTTTCTTTGGTCTATATGTTTGTCTTTATGCCAGTACCATGCTATTTTGATTACTCCAGTAATGTTTTGTAATCAGGATTACACTACGTTTCCTGTAGTATGTTTTTGAAATGAGGAAGTGTGAGGCCTCCAGCTTTGTTCTTTCCCAAATTGTTTTGGCTATTTGGGGGTCCTTAAGATTTCAAATGAATTTTAGGATGGTTTGTTTGTTTTTGTGGAAAATGGCATGAAGATTGGGCTTGCATTGAATTTGTAGATCGCTTTGGGTAATGTGGACATACTAACAATAACAAACATTACAGTCTGTGAACCCCAGGTGTCTTTCCATGTATTTGTGCCGTCTTTAATTTTTTCAGCAATGTGTTACAGTTGTCATTGTACAAGTCTTTTGCCTCCTTGGTCAAGTTTATTCTTGAGTATTTTATGTTTTTGATGCTGTTGTAAATGGGTCTTTGTTAGTGAAGCATAACTGAGTTTTGAGTGTTGATTTTGTATCTTGCAACTTTGCTGAATTTGTTTATTAGTCATAATAGTTTCTTGTGAAATTTTTGGGATTTTTAAATATAAGATTATGGCATCTGCAAATAGATAATTTTTCCTTCTTCCTAATTTGGATGGCTTTAACTTGCCAATGGCTCTAGCTAGGACTTCCAGTACTGTGTTGAATACAAGTAGCAAAAGCAGGCATCTGTGCCTTTTCCTGAAATGCTTTCTATTTTATATCATTCCGTATGATGTTAGCTGTGGTCTTTTCATATTTGACCTTTATTATGTTAAGGTAATTTCCTTTTATTGATAAATTCTTGTTTGAAGGACAGTTTTGCTGTATATAGAATTCTCAGTTGACAGTTTTTTTTTTTTTCTTTCTGCATTAAGAGTATAACAACGCCACAGCCTTCTGGCTTCCAAGGTTTTTGATGAGCAATCAACAGTCTCACTGAGGATTTCTTTTATGTGATGATTTGCTTCTCTCTTGATGCTTTTGAGATTCTCCTTTTGTCTTTGGATTTCAGCAGCTTGATTATAACTTGTCTTGGTGTCTCTGTGGGGTGAGGGTAGGAGTCAATTGCAGTGCTTGTTGCCATAGTTCAGAACCTGCACCACAAAGACCCTTCCAGTTCTGTAGAGTGGTTTATTGCTTTATTATCAGTGCAATAGAGAGTCACTGAGTCACTGGAGGTTCTCTGTGTGTGTGAGTGTATAAATAAAGATTTAATTTTGTTTTGCTCTTTTGTTTTCCCCTCGGAATAGTTTATCAGATGAGGAATTTCTTGATCACTGGGGAGAAATATCTTACAATTCTGAAAACACACTGTCAAAATGCTTTTCATAAAATGTAGCACATTTTAGGGTTTCTCCCTTGTGTGGAAATGTTAGTGTCTATAAAGGTCTGAACTAAGAAAGCTTCTCTCAAGCCACAACACATGTGAGGTTCCTCTGCTGAATGAATCTTTTGGTGCTCAGTAAGTTGTGATTTCCAAGCAAAGTGTTTTTCACCCTGAGAAATTGGTGAGGTATCTTTCTCTCAGAGTCTTTTTTATGAAGTCTGATGTTGAGAGGTTCTTCCAGGTTGGAGTTCTCAGGTCTGTCTCCCTTGTAGATTATCAGAGTGGGTCGATAATCTACAAGCTTTGCTAAACCTACCTGTAGCTCTTCTGGGGCAGCGGTCGTGGTGGTGGTGGCAGCGGCAGCAGGGTTCCCCATTGATTTTCTAAATGTTTGTAGTCCTTTTGTAAAGTGGACCCTTGCCTTCTAAGGTAATGGTGAATGATACATATTCCCTTCATTTTTCTGCTTTGAAGCTTCAATCTTCTTCATTTTCTCTTTTGATCTGTCAACACAATCAGAACATTTAGCTCTTTGAGCATCTTTAAGGCAGTTGCTTTAAAGTCTGTCTAGTGAGTCAATGTTTGGTCTTCCTCATGTCCATTTTTTGTTGGTTTATTTTGTGCCTTTGAATGGTCAATACTTGTTTCTTTGTATGCATCGTGATTGTTTTTGTTGACAGCTAGACATTTGAATTTTATAATGTGGCAACTCTGGAAATAAGATTATTCCTTTTTCCCCAGGGTTTATTTTTTGTTGTTGTTTTTTGTGTTGTGTGTTTTTTGTTTTCGTTTTTGTTTTACTGTCATAGGCTGTCTCTGTGCTAGGGATCAGCCTGTGTTGAATGCCTAAAGTTGTCTCAATTCTTTACAGAGCCTGCGTTTTTCCCTGGGCGGGAGCAATGGCTTTCTGAATTCACCTAGATACACAGTTTTTTGAATGTCCAGAAAAACAGGTTTCATCCCTTTTTTCTCCTGGAAGCCACTTTAGCCAGTTGGGGGTTGGGAGAATGGTAGCTTGCTTCTTTGTCTGCTCTTTCTCTGTGATCAGAAGTAGATATCTGCAATCAGAACCCTGATATTTGGAGGAAGTGGCTATTATTGTCCACCCTGGCTGCAGCAAGCTGACCCAGAAATGTGGGGTTGTGTCTCCACAGCTGCCTGCCATGGAGTGGGTGGGGATGGGTAGCTGCTACTTCACTGAAGGCTGAAATCCACCAATGTTAACTGCAATTTACCACTCAGAATTTCCCCTAGAAGCTACAAGTGTTCAGATGGACTCATGTGCTCCCAAAATAATCACTTTAGGAACTTTCTGCCGATGTAATTATTATCTAGGTGGAGAGGTGGATTCCTGGGCCACTCTATCCATGTCTTTGATTTTTCCTGCTTTCTTGAAGATTTCTTCAACTTTATCTTCCAGCTCTACTATTAAATGTTGTGAATGTTTTTATCTCTGCTGTCATATTTTTATTTCCAAGTGCATTATCTGATTCTTTCTTCCTTTTTTCTAATTGGTTTTGTTTCATAGGTGAAATATTTTTTCTCTGAGCATGTTAATTATAGTGTCTTTCTGTGTTATTCTGCTCCCTGCATTATCCCTGTTTCCTTTGAGTTGTTTTCACCTGTTTTCTGTCTCTCACACTGGAGGCTTTCCTGAAGCCTCTGATGATCTTTGACTATTTATATTTAAGAGCAGGGCTCTAAAAAGCTGATTGGAAGGTGTTTTAGGTACTTCAGCACCATCCAACAGTAATATAATGTGAGCCACATACATAATTTCAAATTTTCTAGTAGCCACTTTTAGAAAATAAAACAGGTAAAATTAAAAATGTATTTTACTTCACCCAATATATCCATAATATTATTTCATCATGTAATCAATGTAAAAAAGTATTGAGACATTTTGTTTTTTGCACTATTTTTGAAATCTGGTATGTAATGTGTTAATCTACACACAAAATTTTCATTTGTAATACATAACTCACATTTAGATTTATAAAACGTAGAGTTGATAAGTAGATTCACATAGTTCTTCCAAACATACTTTGTTGTTGTTCTAAATATACTTAATTTTCCAATAACTGAATCAAGTATCCAGTTTTTGTTTTTTTTTTTTTTTTTTTTTTTTTGAGATGGAGTCTCACTCTGTTGCCCAGGCTGGAGTGCAGTGGCGCAATCTTGGTCCACTGCAACCTCCGCCTCCTGGGTTCCAGCAATTCTCCTGCTTCAGCCTCCCCAGTAGCTGAGATTACTGGTGCACACTGCCACGCCTGGCTAATTATTTTAGTAGAGGCGGGGTTTCACTGTGTTGCCCAGGCTGTTCTCCAACTCCTAAGCCCAGGCAATCTGCCTGTCTCGGCCTCCCAAAGTGCCGGGATTACAGGTGTGAACCGCCACACACAACCCCAATTTTTGTTTAAAATTTGCATCCACATTAACAAAACTTTTATTAGAAAAATTCATTTAATATCTAGGCAAAATTATATCACTTTCAAAACTTTTTAAGTAAATTCAGTAACATATCAATTCAGTTTATTAGCATCAAATTTGATGAAGCAGTGCATAAATGGAAACAAAACAGTTTATCAATACAATATATCATTCTTCAGATTTTGCTTATTTTTTGCAGCCATTTATTACATTTAAAATTTTGTGCATATTGTCTCATTTGAAAAATGTGAGTTATTCTGTTTTATTTGTATTATGAAATGTTTCTATTGTAAATAAATTCTTTTACCTGTCTAGCCAGGTCACAAGTTTTTCCCATTTTAGGAGCTTCAAATTTAGCTTGTTCATATGCAGCGTGATATTAGGGAGAAAATGTGAATCACAGTGCTACTTTTTGTCTTTGATTGAATATTTGGTAAGCATTTCTTTTGTTTCAAGGAAATCTTGAATTGGATTTTCTAGTACAGGAAATCCTTATAAAATTCTTTTGTAAGTCATCCAGGTAACATTGGTAAAGAAACAAGATCATTAGATACATTGTCTTTTTTTTTCAGAAGTTTCATAAACTGTCAACATTCTATAGCTTTTGTGCATATGTACTGAAGAATTATAACACATGTATCCGTGACTCGTTTCTTGGAGTCTGCTTCAGAAAATTGAACACAAATATTTTCAGTATGTATCATGCAATAGAATAGAGCAATGAGGGAAAAGTTATCCTCTTGCTTTAAAATTCCAACATGGATGGTCTTTTGACTTAACTTAGCTGGAGTTCCATCCTTGTGATAGAAACTAACTTTTCTGTCTCTAACTGAAATTCTTTGACAGATGGAAGATTGTCAAAAATATCTGCCATGAGTTTGAGCCTTTAGGCAATGAATTCACATTTCATTGCCTTTACATGAATCGACATTGTAAATTTGGAGGTTCTTTGAGACAGAATATACCCAGAGTTTTCTTTGGGCAGTGTCTTGTATCAAACAGTTCATCTAAGGCTAAAGAAAAATACTTGAAATTTTTCAAGATTTGAATTAATTGGTCTTTATTATTAAAATATAAATATTCTATTAGCAAAAATATATTCTGTTCATGTATATCCAAGAGCAAAATTGTTTAATGGTTTCATTGACGTTTTCAGTTTTCATGAATGTCTTTTAAGGTCTTTTCCTCATAATTTTCTAAATACGATAAAGTGATAATTTCTTCATCTCTCCATCTAAGGTTCTTTGTAGATGCATGTGTAAGAAGCTATTTTATAGCTTGCCAGGTTTACAAACTCAGACCCTTTTAAAAGTTGTTTAAATTGTTTTGTTAGAAATTTCACTCGCAGTTCATATGAGTAATTTTGTGTATTCTTTTTTGACTTACACTCACTAAATGGTTGCTAAAAATTACATGTCTTAAATATTGTCTTAAGTATTATCTACTATGTATCTTTAACACTTTTGAATAGAACAAACAGCTTTTCCATTTTGCTCTGCTGCAGTAAATTGCAATTGCCATTCATCATTAAATGTGCACTATACTGTCTCTAGTCTTCTTGACTATGCCAGTTGTAGTACCAGCTTCTGTATCTGCACTGAATTCTGCCTCAGTAATATGCCTTTGTTTAAAATTTAAATATTTTTTCATTTTTTTAACCTAGAAAATAATTATAATGAAAATATTAAGTATCTCATTTTAGGATTCTGATTTACATAGGTATCACTGTAACTTGTGCTGTTTGCATAGGTATACTCTATCTTGTGCTATCTGCATAAAATATCCAAGTAAACACATTGTGATTTTACATCCGTGCATAGAAAAAAAAATCATCTGAACTCAAATCAATCTGTTGATACTGACTAGATTGGTGACGTGTTTATGTGTAACACTAGTGATAATGCACGTTCCTGTACAAGCATTATAATACAACAGTGTCCTATGCAATGCAGTGGTTAAAGTGAATTGTAGTTCTATCAAAATAAAGATACGTTTAGTGGAAAAGTATTTGACTCTGCTTCTGTTTTTAAAATTGTGAAATGTGGCACTGTGTGGATTTCCATTTCTCACTAGCCTCAAGTGACTACCATATTAAGTTGCTCTACGCAATCCTAGCCACAGAGAACCCAACAAATTGGAGTAGCTTAACTGAATGAAAGTTTATTCCCCAGGGGTCTTTCCAGCATTTTGTTGCTTTCCCATATTTTGTAGTCATGCTGTGTGGAGCACATAACTTCCAACGTCCCAGAGGCAGGGAAAGGAAGAACTGGAGCATTGTGCAGTGTTTTTAAGCACTAGCCTAGAAACAGCTGAGAACCACAGGTTTCAAACTCGGTGCCAAGGTTTCCCATTCCACTCTAGAGATCTCACACAGGCTTCCCAGGATATTTTAAAATCTGGAGATTATCACAACTACAACTATTGACATCACAAACTACTACTATTATGTTATTGGAACTAACTACTTAGCAAATGGAATTGATAGTTAATGGGTTTTTTGTTTGTTTGCCTGGGAGCATTGTGGAAAAATGGCCATGGTACTACAGATCCTGTAACTAAGAAAGTCAACCTCTGTCTTAGAAGTCACTTCTACTCTTCCGTTGCCCAGAGATCAATCATATAACCCTAACCTAACTTAAAGGGAGGCTTGAAATACAGCTTTCCCCTCATTGTGGTGAGCACATAGATTATTTCTACCACAGTCTGTTCTTTCGGTCACCAAACTCTTTCTTCCCACACTTAATGCATACAGTAGCCCCCTTATCCATGGGGGATATGCTCCAAGACCTCGAGTGGATGCCTGCAACCTCAGATAGTACCAAACCCTGTATGTTCTATGTTTTGTCAGTCTGATAACCCAAGAAGGCTACTAAGTGACTAACAGACAGGTAGTGTAGATGACATGGATATGCTGGACAAAGGGATAATTTGTGTCCTAGGAGGCACGGAGCAGGATGGCAAGAGGTTTCATCAGGCTACTCAGAACATACTGGAATTTTTTATTTCTGGAATTTTCTATTTAAAATTTTGGGGCCAAGATTGAGGGTAACTGAAACCACGGAAAGTGAAACTTTGAATAAGGGGAGACCACTGTATTTTACCCAAGGGAGACAATCCAAAGTCTAATCTGCTCAGGGTCTACAACTGAAGTCCAGGGTCTTTGAGTTAGATGCTTTGAGTGTGACCTACTTTTTGCCTTTGGGACCCTAAATGTCAGTGCCTGTTAATTTTTCTTTGAGAAGTGTAATTTCTCCAGAGGTCTGCTCTTTAATTTCCCCAGAGAAGGATGTTCTAGTCAGCATGGGGGATATAAGCCTGGCTACCATTACTGGCGAGCAGGCAGAGGCACGCCACATGGTGGGATAGGAGTTGGAGTTCATCCCCTTTTATTCAGACTTCCACTTAGTATCCTGTTTTTAGTCTTCTATCTTATTTCCATCCTCCTCCAGGCCCAGGGTACCCAAGTTAATAGCCTATCAAGTTCTATTTGGCAAAAGATAATGCCTCTCATTTCCTGTGGGAATTGTGGTGAATTGATAATCACCTGGCAAAATAAGGTAGGAGTGGCATTTTGAGCTCAAACTGTTCTGTGCACATTTTCAAACTCTTTAGCCTCTGATTTTCTCCCTACTTCCAGAAAACCTGATGCCTCCACCTCCTAAATCTTTCCATATTTCATTAGTACCCCATCAGAAGGCCGTTGTGCTATTTTCTACTGTGCTCTGTTAATAAAATTTTTCCTCTAAACAATATGTGTATTAGTCTGTTCTCACACTGCTATAAGGAACTACCTGAGACTGGGTAATTTATGAAGAAAAGAGGCTTAACTGACTCACAGTTCCGCAGGCTATACAGGAAGCATGGCTGGGAGGCCTCAGGAACTTACAGTCATGGCAGAAGGGCAAAGGGGAAGCAAGCACATCTTCACATGGCAGCAGGGGAGAGCAAAAAGGGGGAAGTGCTACACACTTCTAAACAACCAGATCTCATGAGAACTCACTATCATGAGAACAACAGGAGGGAAATCTGCCACCATGATCCCATCACCTCCCACCAGGTCCCTCCTGCAGCATTGTGGATTATAGTTCAACAGATTTGGGTGGGGACACAGAGCCAAACTATATCATTCCACCCTGGTCCCTCGCAAATCTCATGTCCTTTCTCACATTTCAAAGCTAATCATGCCTTCCCAACAGTCCCTTAAAGTCTTAACTCATTCTAGCATTAACTCAAAAGTCCAAGTCCAAAGTCTCTTCTGACACAAGGCAAGTCCCTTCCACCTATGAGCCTGTAAAATCACAAGTCAAAAACAAGTTAGTTACTTCCAAGATAGAACAGGGGTACAGACACTGGGTAAATGCTCCCATTCCAAGGAGGAGAGATTGACCAAGACAAAGGGGCTACAGGCCCCATGCAAGTCCAAAACCTGGTGGGGCAGTCATTAAATCTTATAGCTCCATAATAATCTTTGACTCCATGTCTCACATCTAGGGCATGCTGATGCAAAGGGTGGGCTTCTAAGGTCTTGGGCACCTCTGCCCCTGTTACTCTGCAGGGTACAATTCCCATGGCTGCTCTCAAGGCCTGTTGAGTGCCTGTGACTTTTCCAGGTGCATGGCACAAGCTGTTGGTGGATCTACCATTCTGGGGTATGGAGGATGGTGGCCATCTTCTCACAGCTCCACTGTGTAGGGGGCTCCATCCCCATGTTATCCCTCTGCACTGCCGTAGTAGAGGTTCTCCACAAAGGCTGTGCTCCTGCAGCAGACTTCTGCCTTGACATCCAGGCATTTCCATACATTCTCTGAAATCTAGGCAGAGACTCCCAAACCTCAACTCTTGTCTTCTTTGCACCTGCAGGCCAACACCACATAGAAACTGCCAAGGTTTAGGGTTTGTATCCAATGCTGCGGGAGGGACCTGGTGGGAGGTGATGGGATCATGGTGGCAGATTTCCCTCCTGTTGTTCTCATGATAGTGAGTTCTCATGAGATCTGGTTGTTTAGAAGTGTGTAGCATTTCCCCCTTTTTGCTCTCCCCTGCTGCCATGTGAAGATGTGCTTGCTTCCCCTTTGCCCTTCTGCCATGATTGTAAGTTTCCTGAGGCCCCCCAGCCATGCTTCCTGTATAGCCTGCGGAACTGAGAGTCAATTAAGCCCAAGCTATACCTTCACCTGTGATAGCCGTGGCTGGAGCTGGAGTGGCCACAATGCATGGTTCCATGTCCTGATGCTGCACAGAGCAGTGTGACCCTGGGCCTGGCCTGTGAAACCATTTTTTATCTCCTAGGCCTCCAGGCCTTTGATGGAAAGGGCTGCCGCGAAGATCTCTGAAATGCCCTGGAAGCATTTTCCCCATTGTCTTGGCTATTAACATTCAGCTCCTCATGCAGCATTTCCGCAGCCTTCTTGAATTCCTCCCCAGAAAATTGGTTTTTCTTTTCTACCACATGGAATGGCTAACGGGGTGAAACTGCATCTCTACTAAAAATCCAAAAATTAGCCGGGCATCATGGCATGCACCTGTAATCCCAGCTACTTGGGAGGCTGAGGTGGGAGAATTGCTTGAACCCAGGAGGCAGAGGTTGCAGTGAGCCGAGATGGTGCCACTGCACTCCAGTTTGGGCGACAGATCGAGACTCCATCTCCAGTAAAAAAAAAAAGATGACTTGAACACATGGAAAGGTACCATGCCGTTGAACAGGAAAACTCATTATCTTTTTTTTGCTTTTTTTTTGGAGATGGAGTCTCGCTCTGTCTCTCAGGCTGGAGTGCAATGGCGTGATCTCAGCTCTCTGCAACCTCCGCCTCCCGGGTTCAAGTGATTCTCATGCCTCAGCCTCCCGAGTGGCTGTGCCACCATGCCCTGCTAATTTTTGTATTTTAGTAGAGACGGGGTTTCACTGTGTTGGACAGGCTGGTCTTAACTCCTGGCCTCAAGTGATCCGCCCACCTCGGCCTCCCTAAGTGCTGGAAATACAGGTGTGAGACATTGTGCCCGGCCCATTTGTCTCATTATGGATGATGTTAACCTTGACCACTTGATTCAGTGGTGGTAGGCTTCTTCACTTTAAACAACTTCTTTACCCTTGGTAATTAAAAAGTATTCTGTGGTGAAGTATGTTAAAACTATGGAAGTAGGGCTGGGCATGGTAGCTCATGCCTGTAATCCCAGCGCTTTGGGAGGCCAAGGCAGGCAGATCATGAGGTTAAGAGTTCGAGGCCAGCCTGGCCAAAATAGTGAAACTCTGTCTCTACTAAAAATACAAAAATTAGCCAGGCATGGTGGTGCGCGCCTGTAGTCCCAGCTACTCAGGAGGCTGAGGCAGGAAAATTGCTTGAACCCGGGAGGCGGAGTTTGCACTAAGCCGAGATTGCACCACTGCACTCCAGCCTGAGTGACAGAGCAAAACTCTGTCTCGGAAAAAAAAACTATGGAAGTACTCCATTCCTCATCAAGTTTTCAGTGTATTCAGGTATTTGTCTCAGTACGGACTCATGGTTTCCCTTTTTAATTCAATAGTATATAATCTGTAATTATCATTATCTACATGGAGCTCAAATTTTCCATGATTTGTCTAGTGGGAGCCCTTTCAAATTGGCTGTGTTCTTTCAACATGACTTCATTATTCTTTGAGCACTTCTTTGATTTATGGTATAAGATGCTCCAGGCTGGGCATGGTGGCACATGCCTGTTGTCTCAGCTAGTTGGGAGGTTGAGGTAAGAGGATCTCTTTAGCCTGGGAGTTTGAAGTCAGCCTGGACAACATAGCAAGAATCCTCTTAAAAAAAGAAAACTGAAAATGTTGCAAGCTCATCTTGTATCTTCCCTACCCCAGCCCCAGAACAAACCATTTCTGGTTCCTTTTAGTAGAGAATAATATATAAAATCCACAATCTGGAATTTAGATAAGTTCATTGCTATTGGAGTGTCACTACTTTCAGGCCCTCTTAGTGGGCAGAGTTATATATATATGTGCACACACACTCATTTATATGTGTGTCTATGTACATATGATATATACACACATACCTATTTTTTTGTCTCATACACATTGAAATTCATGAGTTCATACCAATACCTCCAATTCCAATCTAACACCACAAGGTTCTTCCCATGTTTGTAACTCCCTTCTCTGACAGTGAGAAACTCTGGCTTCCCTTATCTTTAATTTACTTGTTTGATCAAACCTTCTGTATGTAACCATCTTCTATCACCACCACTACCCCCTCTCCTGCAGATGCTCCTCCATTCCTCTCAAGCTCTGACATCCTGCAGCTCCTGGCCCCTACTCTTGCCTCCCCATGTGGTTAGTCTTTCCTTCCCAAAGCTCTGTCTGCTCATGCTGGGCCATGCTGCCAGGTAGAAGCTCCCCTCAGGCTCTGACCTCCCTGCCAAGCTATCCATGCATCAGCACCTCCTCAGCCTCCTTGGGATCCAACCGCCCATACCAGGTCACTCACTCGCACGTGATACCCTCCTACCTCTGCTAGGGATCACATACTTCACACCAGGCCACCCCTTCACGTGCACACCTTCCTTACTTTGGGCCCTTAAACTCCATGCCAAGCTGCCCCCAGGCACGATGCCCTCCATACTGTGTGGACTTTGACTCCTCACACCAGGCAGCCCTGCGATTCCAATGCCCTTCTCACCCTACTTGGACTCTGACACCCTCAATCAGGCCCTGCTGCCCCTGCCCTACCCACACGGATGACTTCACTGTTGTTGGGCTCTGATACACCATCTGGGAAACCCTGCTATGACTCAAGCCATGTTCATTTTGCTTGGGCTCCAACTCCCCTCATCAGGCCACAACACACTGCCCAACCCCTCCTTCTTCCTGCTCACCAGTGTCCACACACACACACTCACACACACACATATACAACATACATATATAACACACACACACATACAGCACACACACACACAGCTCTGGGCTTTGACTCCCTGTGCCAGGCAGCCAGCCTCGGTGCATGACCTCTTTGCTCTGCTGTGGGCCATAGAGGTTCTCCCACCCCAAACCCCAGCAGACAGTCACCTTGCTTGGCTCCTTCTAATGTCTTTAGGATTGAATAGTTTGGTAAGAAAAGAGGACACGGGCAGTGACTTTTTTTTCTCTTATCCCTGTCCTTCAGGCATTCCTTAGTTATCTTCCTTGAAGACAAACCATATTAGAAGTGTATTACATCTTTCCAGAGTTTTTGTACAGACACTCTTCTCCCCATTGTTTCATTGTACTACAATTTATTTAACCCCTTATCTCTATGATGGCAGAATTGATCAATAGAATTGACATCTTTCTGACTGATACTGAATCTTCTGGCCGGGCATGGTGGCTTATGCCTCCCAAAGTGCCTCATCCCAGCACTTTGGGAGGCCTAGGTGGGTGGATCACCTGAGGTCAGGAGGTCGAGACCAGCCTGGCCAACATGGCAATACCCATCACTACTAAAAATACAAAAATCAGGCTGGGCATGGTGGCTCACGCCTGTAATCCCAGCACTTTGTGAGGCCAAGGCGGGTGGATCACGAGGTCAGGAGATCGAGACCATCCTGGCCAACACAGGGCGTCTCTACTAAAAATACAAAAAATTAGCCAGGCGTGGTGGTGGGCGCCTGTAGTCCCAGCTACTCGGGAGGCTGAGGCAGGAGAATCGCGTGAACCCTGGAGGCGGAGGTTGCACTGAGCCGAGATCAGGCCACTGCACTCCAGCCTGGGTGACAGAGCGAGACTCCATCTCAAAAAAAAAAAAAAAAGATCAGCCGGGCATGGTGGCAGGCGCCTGTAATCTCAGCTACTTGGGAGGCTGAGGCAGGAGAATTGCTTGAACCCGGGAGGCGGAGGTTGCAGTGAGCAGAGATCATGCTACTGCACGTCAGCCTGGGAGACAGAGACACCATCTCAAAAAAAAAAAAAAAAAAAAAAAGGCACCACGCACGGTGGTTCACGCGTGTAATCCCAGCACTTTGGGAGGCCGAGGTGGCCGGATCACAAGGTCAGGAGTTCGAGACCAGCCTGACCAACATGGTGAAACCCTATCTCTACTAAAAATACAAAACACTAGCCAGGCATGGTGGCTCATGCCTGTAATCCCAGCTACTCAGGGGGCTGAGGCAGGAGAATCGCTTGAAGCCGGGTGGCAGAGGTGGCAGTGAGTGGAGATCGCACCACTGCACTCCAGCCTGGGCAACAGAGTGAGACTCCATCTAAAATATATATATATATATATATATATATATATAGAGAGAGAGAGAGAGAGAGAGAGAGAGAGAGAGAGAGAGAGAGGTGGCAGTGAGTGGAGATCGCACCACTGCACTCCAGCCTGGGCAACAGAGTGAGACTCCATCTAAAATATATATATATATATATATATATATAGAGAGAGAGAGAGAGAGAGAGAGAGAGGAGAGAGAGGGAGAGAGAGAGAGAGAGAGAGAGAGAGAGAAAGAGAGAGAGATTCTTCCTGTCCAAGAGTATGGTACCTTTCCATATGTTCAAGTCTTCTTTTGTGTTCATCAGTAATGTTGCTTTTGTTGTTGTTTTGTTTTTAATTTTTTTTAGACACAGGGTCTTACTCTGCTGCCCATGCTGGAGTGCAGTGGTACAGTCACAGGTCACTGCAACCTCAGACTCCTGGTCTCAAGTGATCCTCCTGCCTCAGCCTCCCAAGTAGCTGGGACTATAGGCACACACCATGCCCAGCTAATTTGAAAATTTTTTGCAGATGTGGGGTATTGTCCAGTCTGGTCTCAAACTCCTGGACTCAAATGATCTCACCTTAGCCTCCCAAAGAGCTGGGATTACAGGTGTGAGCCACTATGCCTGGCCCTTCAGTAATGTTTTAAGTTTTTCTTCATATAAATCTTGCACATTTTTGTAGATGTATAGACATTCCTGTGTGTTATCTTTTGTGCAGCTCTGTGAATGACAGATTCCTTCTTTGGTGTGTTGAATAATTAGACTCATCTGTAGAGGACCAGTATGGACTGGCCCTAAGACCCCTATATGCCTGCAGTGATTATTTCTTCTGGCATAATCACAAGCAATAGGGGTGGTAATCTTAAGACTTCAAAATCACTGATATCGGCAGGGAGGTAGCTAACACTTACCTAATATATGCCAGGCATTATGCTGTTGTTTTTTTGTTTTGTTTTGTTTTGTTTTTTTCTGAGATGGAGTTTTGCTCTTGTTGCCCAGGCTGGAGTGCAATGGCACAATATCGGCTCACTGCAACGTCTGCCTCCTGGGCTCAAGCGATTTTCCTGCCTCAGCCTCTTGAGTAGCTGGGATTACAGGCACCCGCTACCATGCCCAGCTAATTTTTGTATTTTTAGTAGAGACAGGGTCTTGCCATGTTGGCCAGGCTGGTCTTGAACTCCTGACCTCGCCTCCGCCTCCAAAAGTGCTGGGATTACAAACGTGAGCCACCGCGCCCGGCCTATGCTGGTGTTTTAAATAAATGTATAACATGTATATGAAAGATGTTATTATCCTCACTTTAAAGATGAAAAATCAGAAGTCTAAGGTCACAGAAGCAGTAAACTTTTTTTTTTTTTTTTTGAGATAGAGTCTCGCTCTGTCACCCAGGCTGGAGTACAGTGGCGCAATCTCAGCTCACTGAAACTTCCGCCTCCCAGGTTCAAGTGAGTCTCCTGTCTCAGCCTCCCAAGAGGCTGGGATTACAGGCATGTGCCACCACACTCAGCTAATTTTTGTATTTTCAGTAGAGACGGTGTTTCACCATGTTGGTCAGGCTGGTCTTGCACTGCTGACCTCGTGATCTGCCCACCTCAGCCTCCCAAAGTGCTGGAATTACAGGCATGAGCCACCACGCCCGGCTAACTTTTTTTTTTAATTTAATTTTATTTTATTTTCAGTTCCGGGATAATTGTGTGGAATGTGCAGGTTTGTTACATAGGTAAACGTGTGCCATGATGGTTTGCTTCACCTGTCAACCCATCACCTAGGTATTAGCCCCCGAAGGCATTAGCTATTTATCCTGATGCTCTCCCTCCCTCACCCCGGCTTCCACAGGCCCCAGCGTGTGTTGTTCCCCTCCCTATGTCCATGTGTTCTCATTGTTCAGCTCCCACTTATGAATGAAAACATACAGTGTTTGGAAAATTTTCACACTTCAAAGCCATTATTTTCTACCACAACTCAGAAGAAGCTGTAGTGAACAGTGAGGTGACTGGTTGTTGTTGACTTTGAAACTTCCATCCTCCATCACTAATTACATACCACTTAAATGTATTTTATTAAGTAGCTCAAACTCATTATGAGTACTATTTCTTAAGACATTTAAGGTAGTATACATTTTTGCTAAATGGTGAAAAACAAATTAACTAATCATCTAAATGGCCTCCAGATTCCATGTGTCCTCTTTTTCATGCTTTCACTATTGTCTTCCCCAAATTATCTCCTTTCAGCATTCCCATAAATGCAGCTGGCATGTTTTCAAATCCTTCAATGATATATTCCTTGTACTGGATTTTACCCTGTATCAAAGCAACAACAAATTTTAAAACTTAATTTAATATTCTCAATGATATACTGTTCTCATCCTAGCAACAAATTTATCAGGTACATCATTGGAAACCTTGAAAATAAGAGATGGAAGTCCTGTCCTCCATGAACTTGAAGTCAAGGTGGGGCAAGATCCACTTACACAGTACATGTAAAAAAGATTACAAAGTACACCTAAGAAGAAATAATAGGTGTCGGATCATAGTGCGAAATGTCATAAGGCAGTGATTAAGCAATCTCTTTTTCTTTCTTTTTTTTTTTTTTGAGACAGAGTCTCGCTCTGTTGCCCAGGCTGGAGTGCAGTGCCGCGATCTTGGCTCACTGCAAGCTCCGCCTCCCAGGTTCATGCCATTCTCCTGCCTCAGCCTCCCGACTAGCTGGGACTACAGGTGCTCACCACCATGCCCGGCTAATTGTTTTGTATTTTTAGTAGGGACAGGGCTTCACCGTGTTAGCCAGGATGGTCTCGATCTCCTGACCTCGTGATCTGCCTGCCTCGGCCTCCCAAAGTGCTGGGATTACAGGCGTGAGCCACCGTGCCCAGAGCGATTAAGCAATTTCTAAATAAGATGCATAGTAAAGTTTAATAACACAATGATCTCAGAGGAGGTACAAATAGACAGAGAAAAGAGCACCCTTCATTACCTCTGGCCCCTGAAGAGGCAGGTCCTATTCAGGAAATATAAATGGCAGGACAGTCTAATAATCTGTCTCCCCTTTAAGCCAAGGTTCTTTTAACATGTGTTTAACCTTTATCTGGGAGTGTGGGAAGGAAGGGTTCATGTTAGTGAGAAAGGGTCTTCATTTCTCTTTCTCCTACAAGGCACAGCCTACTAATGGGAACTAATTTACATTTTCAGATTTTTTTAAGGGGTCTTATATAGAGACCTGAGTTACCTGATACAAGTTTTTCGCTAATGTATTCCAGTGATGGCTTAGCACTCTTCATGGATTTATAGACAAGATTATTTGCTTGAAGTCAGTCAATTACAAAGTAGGGAAGCTGAAATTTAAACTTTTATTATTATTATTATTATTATTATTATTATTATTATTATTATTCTGAGACAGGGTCTCACTCTGTCACCTAGGTTTGAGTGCAGTGGCACAATCATAGCTCACTGCAGTCTCAACCTCCTGGGCTCCAGTGATCCTTCTGCCTCAGCCTCCTGAGTAGCTGGGACTACAGGGATGTGCCACCATGCCCAGCTAATTTTTTTAGTTTTTGTAGAGACGGGGTCTTGCTAGGTTGCCCAGGTTGGTCTCAAAGGCCTAGGCTCAAGTGATCCGCCCACCTCAGCCTCCCAAAGTGCTAGGATTACAGGCATGAGCCACTGCGCCTGGCTGAGATTTGAACTTTTGACTTGAAAGCCCCAACTCATTCTTATTCTTGAAGAAGCAAGGAATCTGGATAGGGTGGAAAGGTAGAATCCAGTTCAGAGGTTATAAATAGAGAACGAATACTGTTATGGACTGAATTGTATGCCCCCAATCCAAATCCATATGTTTAAGTCCTAATCACCAGTGCCTGACAATGGGACTATATTTGGAGATAGGGCTTTTTAAAAAAAGGTAATTAAGAGGCCGGGCGCAGTGGCTCATGTCTGTAATCCCAGCACTTTGGGAGGCTGAGGCGGGTGGATCACCCGAGGTCAGGAGTTCGAGACCAGCCTGGCCAACATGGTGAAACCCTGTCTCTACTAAAAATACGAAAATTAGCCAGGCGTGGTGGCGTGTACCTGTAATCCCAGCTAGTCAGGAGGCTGAGGCAGAAGAATCACATGAACCCGGCAGGCGGAGGTTGCAGTGAACGGAGATCGCACCATTGCACCCCAGCCTGGGCAACAAGAGCAAAACTCCATCTCAAAAAAAAAAGTACTTAAGGTAAAACAAAGTCACACAGGTGGGCCTTAATCAATATGACTGGTGTGCTTATAAGGAGGTTAGGACATAGACACACAGAGAGAAGGCCACGTGAAGATGCAGGGAAAAGGAAGCCATCTACAAGTTGAAAAGAGAGAGGCCTGCAAAGAAACAACCCTGCTGACACCTTGATCTTAGACTTCTAGCCTCCAGAACTGTGAGAAAATAAGTTTGTTGTTTAAGCCACCCAGTCTGTGGTACTTTATTTTGGTAGACCTAACAAACTAATACAAATACTAATGTAAAATGTTAATAATAGGGGAAATTAGGGTATAGGATGCAGGGTATATGGGAGCTCTCTGTACTATCTTCCCAATTTTCCTATAAATCTAAAACTTCTATTTTTATTTTTGTTTTTGAGACAGGGTCTTGCTCTATTGCCAAGGCTGGAGGACAGTGGCACATTCAGAGTTCACTGCAGCCCTTGAACTCTTGGACTCAGGTGATCCTCCCACCTCAGCCTCCCGAGTAGCTGGGACTACAGGTGTGCACCACTGCACCCAGCTAATTTTTTAACTTTTTGTTTTTTGTAGAGTCTCATTATGTTGCCAGGGCTGGTCTTGGACTCCTGGGCTCAAGCAGTCCTCCTGCCTCACCCTCCTAAAGTGCTGGGATTATAGCTATGAGCCACCGCACCCAGCCTAAAACTTTTCTAAAATAAAAAGTGAATTTTAAAAAATAGGGAATGAGATTAAAAAGGGAGTATGTGAAAGAAATTAGGCCAACTCACGACTTAAAACCCACTAGGGCTGGGCGCGGTGGCTCACACGTATAATTCGAGCACTTTGTGAGGCTGAGGCAGGAGAATCACTTGAGGTCAGGAGTTCAAGACAAGCCTGGCCAACATCGTGAAACCCCATCTCTACTAAAAATAGCCGAGAATGGTGGCGGGCACCTGTAATCCCAGCTACTTGGGAGGCTGAAGTGGGAGAATCACTCGAACCCAGGAAGTAGAGGTTGCAGTGAGCTGAGATCGCGCCACTGCACTCCAGCCTGGACGACAGAGTGAGCCTCCATGTCAAAAATAAATAAATAAATAAATAAATAAACACCTAACTAACTATGATCAGCTTCACTTTGTTAGAGGGAAGCACTGGGGACACCAGCACAGTGGTTTCCTGTTGTCAACTGTGATCACAGATGGGTTACATTAGATTTCACCAACTGGGACAACTTAGATTCAGCTCCCTGGTGACAGCCCAGCCCGGCACTGCAAGTGCTATACTGGGAAGAGTGCCAAGCTCCAGTGGCTGCTGGAGGAGCAATCTATTCTTTGGAATTGGGAAATGATCATTGGCCAGGGATTAGGAAACATGATGTCATTTTTCCCCTGTAAAACTAAAATAATGCAACTTGATTGTTCAGATTTCTGTTGACTAAAACTTACATGGTGTAAGGTTTGAAAATTATCACAGCACAGGACTAAGGGATTGTCTTATTTGCTACTTGGGACCTGGAAGAGCTGTGGCACATGTATGCACCCCTCTAACATTCATTTATTCAGCAATATTTATTCAGTGCCTACATTGCTTCATATACTATTCTGGGGGCTGGAGATACACCAGAAAGCAAAATGTATGAATATGCTGTCTTCATGGAGGTTACATCCTCAAGAAGGGAGATGTGCAATAAATATAAATGAATAAGTAAATTATAGTATATATTATGTTAAAAGATGATTAATTGCTATGGATAAAAGTAGGATAGGAGCCTGGGCAACATGGTGAAAGCCCTTCTCTACGAAAAACACAAAAAAACTAGCCAGGTGTGGTGGCACATGACTGTTGTCCCAGCTACTCAGGAGGTTGAGGTGGGAGAATCCCCTGAGCCTGGGTCAAGGCTGTGGTGAGCCATGATCACGGCACTGCACTCCAGCCTGGGTGTCTGAGACCCTGTCTCAAAAAAAAAAAACAAAAAAAGTCGGGGGGCGTGGGATATGGAGGATCAAGAATGAAGAGGGAATGCAACTTAAAATAGGGCCATTTAAAAACTTGCCTCACCTGGAAGGCACTTTTTGTTTTTTTGAGATGGAGTTGTACTCTGTCACTGTGCTGGAGTGCAGTGGCACGATCTTGACTCACTGCAACCTCCGCCTCCCAGGTTCAAGCGATTCTCCTGCCTCAGCCTCCCAAGTAGCTGGGACTATAGGTGCACGCCACCATGCCCAGCTAATTTTTGTATTTTTAGTAGAGACAGGGTTTCACCATGTTGGTCAGATGGTCTCGATCTCTTGACCTTGTGATCCACCTGCCTTGGCCTCCCAAAGTGCTGGGATTACAAGTGTGAACCACCGTGCCAGTCCAGACGGCACTTTTTAGCAAAGGCTTGCAGGACGTGAGAGAATTCAGCAAGCAGTTACAGAGGGGTGGAGGAGACTGGGCCAAGTAAATAAGAGGATGAATACTAAGAAATGAAATCAGAGAGATATCAGGGGTCAGATTTTGTGTAAGCTTACTGAATATTAGCACTTTGGTTTACTTTAAGTGAAATGCAGAGCTTTGCATGGTTTGGATCATAAGAACGGCAGGATTTGATTTGTGCCTTAACAGATCGCTATGGCCACCACATTGGGAATTGTCTATAGGGATGCAAAGATGGGAGGCCAGGTAGAGTCCACTACTGTTGCGGGAAGTCAGGGACCCCAAACGGAGGGACTGGCTGGAGCCATGGCAGAGGAACATAAATTGTGAAGATTTCATTTTAATATGGACATTTATCAGTTCCCAAATTAATACTTTTATAATTTCTTACGCCTGTCTTACTTTAATCTCTTAATCCTGTTATCTTTGTAAGCTGAGGATGTATGTCACCTCAGGACCACTGTGATAATTGTGTTAACTGTACAAATTGATTGTAAAACATGTATTTGAACAATATGAAATCAGTGCATCTTGAAAAAGAACAGAATAACAGCGATTTTCAGGGAACAAGGGAAGACAACCATAAGGTCTAACTGCCTGCGGGGTTGGGAAAAACACAGCCATATTTTTCTTGTTGCAGAGAGCCTATAAATGGATGTGCAAGTAGGGAAGATATTGCTAAATTCTTTTCCTAGCAAGGAATATTAATAATTAATATCCTGGGGAAGGAATGCATTCCTGGGGGAGGTCTATAAATGGCTGCTCTGGGAGTGTCTGTCTTATGCATTTGAGATAAGCACTGAAATACGCCCTGATCTCCTGCAGTACCCTCAGGCTTATTAGGGTGGGGGAAAAACTCCGCCCTGGTAAATTTGTGGTCAGACTGGTTCTCTGCTTTCGAACCCTGTTTTCTGTTGTTGAAGATGTTTATCAAGACAATATGTGCACAGTGAACATAGACCCTTATCAGTAATTCTGATTTTGCCCTTGTCCTGTTTCCTCAGAAGCATGTGATCTTTGTTCTGCCTTTTGCCCTTTGAAGCATGTGATCTTTGTGACCTACTCCCTGTTCGTACACCCCCTCCCCTTTTAAAATCCTTAATAAAAACTTGCTGGTTTTGTGGCTCAGGTGGGTATCACGGTCCTACTGATATGTGGTGTCGCCCCCAGCAGCCCAGCTGTAAAATTCCTCTCTTTGTACTCTTTCTCTTTATTTCTCAGCCAGCCAACACTTATGAAAAATAGAAAGAACCTATGTTGAAATATTGGGGGCAGGTTCCCCCGATACACTACAAGCATCCAGGCTAGAAGGCATGGTGCCTGGACCAGGGTGGTAGCAGGGAGGTGGGAGAAGTGTTCAGATTCTGTATATATTTTGAAGATAGAACCACCAGAATCTCCTTAGAGATTAGACATGGGTACGACAGAAAGACATCAAAGATGACCAAGGCTTTTGGATTGAGAAACTAGAAGTATAGAATTGTTATAACTGAGATAGTAAAGTCTGAATATGGAGCATGTTGAGCAGGAAAGATCAAAATATATTTAGTTTTCAAGATGTTATGTCAGAGATGTGTATCAGGCATCCAGGTGGACATACTAGCCTAGAGTTAAGAGGAGAGCCAGGCTGGAGATAGAGATGGGAACTCCCAGCATACTGAGCCCAGACGAGCTAACTAAGGGATAGCTCAAGCGTAGATAGAGAAGAGCAAAGTCCCAGTGACCATGACCTGGGGCACTCTAATATTAATTTGGAGTAAAGAAAAGCTAGCAAGAGTCTGAGGAGGACCAATCAGTGAGGAAAACCAAGAGTTAAGGGAAGCCAAGGGAAGAAAGCATATCAAGGAGAGAATGATCACTATGAAATATTTCCCATAGCCAAGTGAGGCTAAGAATCAACCAGTGGATTTCACTATGTAAGGGTCCCCTGTGACCTTGACAAAAGTTAATTTTGGCCAGGTGCGGTGGCTCACAACTGTAACCCCAGCACTTTGGGAGACTGAGGCGGGCGCATCACTTGAGACCAGCCTGGCCAACATGACGAAAACCTGTCTCTACTAAAAATACAAAAAGTTAGCTGGGCGTGGTGGTACACACCTGTAGTCCTAGCTACTCGGGAGGCTGAGGCATGAGAATTGCTGGAACCCAGGAGGCGGAGGTTGCCGTGAGCTGAGATTGTGCCACTGCACTCCAGCCTGAGCAACAGAGTGAGACTCTGAAAAGCCTCATATGTGGGTTTAAGGAAGAATGGAAAGAGAGGAATGGCAGACAGTGAGTGTAGACAGCACTTCCAGGTATTTTGTTATAAAAGGGAGAGAAGGGAAATGGACCTGCATTTGCAGTGGAAATGAACTTTAGAGAGGGTTGTTTTGTTTTCCTTTCAAAGATGGGAAAAGTAAGAATATTTATACTCTAAGCACAATGACCCAATAGGGAAAAACTGACGATGCGGCAGAGATGGGGAAGAATTGGTAGAACAAAAGCCTTGAGAGGCAAAGGGAGTGTGACCTAGTGTACAATTGGAAGGGGTGGCTCCGGAGCTCCTTACCTCTAAGACCCATTTCAGCAAGTCCTTCAGAGCTTTTTGGCGGGCATCTCCTTGCCAGCGGTAGACGACAAAAGCTTCCATGCGAAGCTCCTGATAGATAACAATCTCTGGGGGTGGGCCTGTGAAGAGAAGGGCACATTTGGGTGGCAGGATCCAGGGAGGTGCCCATGGTGAAACAAGCAGTACAGGTCACTGTCACTGTGCTTGGTGCTGGGAGTTTTTTGGTGCTTCTCCCCTTCCATTTCCTCACTCCTTTCTGATCCACGGGACTGCTGGCCAATCAACATGCACTCTGCAGCCAGGCAGAATAATGGCCCCAAACATGTTCATATCCAAAAACCCCAGAACCTGTTCCTTACATGGCAAAAAGGACTTTGCAGATATGATTAAGAAGTTTGGGGGTGGCGCGGTGGCTCACACCTGTAATCCCAGCATTTTGGGAGGCCAAGGCGGGCAGATCACAAGGTCAGGAGTTCGAGACCAGCCTGGCCAACATAGTGAAACCCCCGTCTCTTCTAAAAATTAAAAAAAAAAAAAAATTAGCTGGGCATGGTGGCGGGTGCCTATAGTCCCAGCTACTTGGGAGGCTGAGGCAGGAGAATTGCTTGAACCCGACAGGTGGAGGTTGCAGTGAGCCAAGATCGTGCCACCGCACTCCAGTCTGGGTGACAGAATGAGACTCTGCCTCAAAAAAATAAAAAGAAAAAAAGAACCTTGAGATGGGAATATTATTCTCCACTATAAAGATGGACCCAATATAACAGCAAAGGTCTTCGTAAGGGAATGAGGGATACAGGAAAGTTACAGTCAGGGACAGAATATGGGGTGATAGAAGCAGAGATGAGAGAGAGGAGGAGGAGGAAGAGCCTATGCCCCTGGCTTTGAGGACAGAGGAAGGGGCCACATGCCAAGAAATACAGGCAGCTGCTAGAAGCTTGAAAAGGCAAGGAAGCAGATTCTCCTCTAGCATCTTCAGAAGGAATGCAGCCCTGCCAACCCATTTTACTTTTAACCTCTAGACCTACAAGAATAAGTGTGTGGGGTCGGGTGCGTGGCTCATGCCTATAATCCAGCATTTTGGGAGGCCGAGGCAGGCAGATCACTTGAAGTCAGGAGTTTGAGAGCAGCCTGGCCAACATGGTGAAACCCTGTCTCTACTAAAAATACAAAAATTAGCTGGGCATGGTGGCACATGCCTGTAATCCCAGCTACTCAGGAGGCTGAGGCAGGAGAATCGCTTGAAGTCGGAAGGGGACTGCAGTGAGCTGAGATTGCACCACTCCACTCCAGCCTGGGTGACAGAGCGAGACTCGGTTTCAAAAAGAAAAAAAGAAGTAAACAAACAAAAGAATAAACATGTGGGTGTTTTTGTGTCTGTGTGTTTTGTGGTTGTCGTTTTTAATTTGAGACAGGGTCTGGCTCTGTTTCCCCAGGCTGGAGTAAAGTGGTGCCATCACTGCTCAATGCAGCCTTGACCTCTTGGCTCAAGTGATCTTCCCACCTCCGCCCTGCAAGTAGCTGGGACTATAGGTGCATGCCACCACACCTGGCTAATTTTTTTTAGTTTTTGTTTGTTTGTTTGTTTGTTTGTTTTTTCTGTCAGAGATGAGGTCTTACTCTATTGCTCTGGTTTGAAACTCCTGGGCCAAGCGATCCTCCTGCCTCAGCCTCCCAAAATATTGGGATTACAGGCATAAGCCACTGCGCCTGGCTAAGAATTTGTATTTCTAACAAGCTCCCAGGAGATGGTGATGCTGCTGGTCCTTGGCCCACACTTTGAAAACCAGCACCCCAGAAAAAGCACACAGCTCTCCTGCAGCCTGTAAAGAAGATACTACCCTTCTGCGTGTAAGGAAGAAAAAGTTTTTTGGTTGCCTGGTTGATTTTCCCAAGTGTCCTAATTGACTAGAAACTGACAGAATGACACCTCAGCATAGGCTTTCAAGTTCCAGGAAGTCAGGCGAAGATGCCTGGTGTGCTAAGACGAGTGGTGGAATCTAGCTTCAGCATCTTTGACCACTGGCACCACTCAGCCTAAAGTTCCCACTGATTACTTTGAGGAAAGTAACATTAGCAGTTGGAAATATGAAGCTTTGTCCTGAACCAAAAGAAACTAATGCAAGAGAATGAGACAGAAAGAGTGCTTCTTCAGAAGACCCACATCAACTATTCTTTGTGAGTTAGGGATTGGAACTCTCATTTCCTCATCTTAAATGAAAGTGGGATGGGCATGGTGGCTCATGCCTGTAATCCCAGCACTTTGGAAGACTGAAGGGAGCAGATCACGAGGTCAGGAAATCAAGACCATCCTAACACAGTGAAACCCTGTCTCTACTAAAAATAAAAAAAATTAGTCAGGCGTGACGATTTGTGCCTGTAATCCCAGCTACTCAGGAGGCTAAGGCAGGAGAATCGCTTGAACCGGGGAGGCAGAGGTTGCAGTGAGCCGAGATCGTGCCATTGCACTCCAGCCTGGGCGACAGAGTGAGACTCTGTCTCAAAACAAAACAAAAAACAATAGCCAGGTATGGTGGCACATGTCTGTAGTCTCAGCTACTCGGGAGGCTGAGGTGGGAGGATCACTTGAGCCCAGAAGGTGGAGGCTGCAGTGAGCCATGATTGCGCCACTGCACTCCAGCCTGGGCAACAAAGCGAGACCCTGTCTCAAAAAAAAAAAAAAAAAAAAAAAATTAAAAAATTAAAAAAAAAATCTCCAGTCTGGGAAACAGAGCAAGACCTTGTCTCAAAACAAACAAACCAATAAACAAAAAAGCAAAATGAAAGTGAAATGCTGTTTCTGGATTTGTGCGTGTTGATGAGAATGTTGGTTTTTGTTTTTTTACTGAGAGCAAAAAAGCATATGTAGCATTAAACCTGGAGGAAATCATTGCTTGCCTCTGAGCTATCCTAACAGTGGAATATGTTAGAATTTCTGGGGCTCTGTGGCAGGGCAGAATTCCATCTGATTAAAATGGAACGGACAAGGCCAGCTGACATCTCAAAGTCCTGTCTGAGCAGCTGAGCTTCCAAAGACTAATTGCTAAAAAGACTAGATCGAGTTACTGTATCCAAAATATTTGGCTATTCCTAATCGGACTGTGGTTAAGAAAAGGCCTCCTGCAGCTTTGCTCAGTTGGCAGGCAGACAATTTCCCATGATTCCAGCTTAGCACCAGTTAGAAAATTATAGGGGGAAAAAAAAGTCCCTAACAATAAGATTGCCAAGTAAATCTGGAGTTTCCTTCTTGGTAATGATTTTGATTTTTCACAACCTGAGAGGGAATCTACAAGTTGCCCTTTGTCAGCCCCTTCCTTTCTAGCCCCCCCATCTCCATACAGTTGTGTGGTGGTTAACCAGTGGGGCTATAAGGTTTCATTCCCATTAGTCAAGCTCATCATAGAATAAATAACCATTGATTTATGGTTGCCTGGATCCTGATTAGAGTCTGGAAGATTCCTTTTTTTCCTACTTTCTCGTACTTTCTCCTTTTTTGGGGGGGGACCATAGGTAATTTGTGATCTCTCTTAATAGCACAGAATCACTGTAGCAGAAACAGACTCTGTATGAGGAGCTTAGAAGACTGGTCTTTGTTTTGAGTCTGTTGCCAATAGGAGTTAAAGAGTCTCTGGTCCTCTTGGCCATTCCTCTCCACACCCATAAAATGAGAGGCCTGTACAAGGCATCTCACAGGACTGGGATTTAATGAATATGGTTCTCTGGTTGATACTGCTTTTGGACCTCAGAGTGTGGAGCGGGAGGGATGTGGTTTCAGCATAAGAGAGTAGGGAGTGGGGAATGGAGCGCATGGCAGGGCACCAGAGAAATAAAACAAGGACAATCAAGGAATGGAGGGAAGCTGCTGCTCCCTTCCCTTTTAGTGGCAATTGTCAGCCTGCTGAGGCCAAGACGCCCTACTGCTCCAAGAAGCACTGCCCAAGATTTCTGAAGGGCATGGCAGTCTGCTCTTCCCTTCACCCACAGCAAGTCACACTTTATTCCTCTCGCACCTCCAGCAATGTCTCTAATATCCAGAGGAACCTGAATATTTTACCAGCCAGACCAAGGTGTTCTGTTTCTAAATCAAATCATCACTGTCTTTTTACAGTTTTGCATTAAATGATAGGTAAAAACTAAAACTTTTAATAACTGTTTCTTTTATATTTGTAGATCTTGCTGTTTCTCTACATAAAAATCTAATATAAGCTGATTTAGCACAAAATATGTGAAATTATATATATTTTTATTTCTTTTGTTATTGTTTTTGTTATTATTATTTTGAGACAGGCTGTCACTTTGTCACCCAGGCTGGAGTGCAGTGGCAGGAACACAGCTCACTGCAGCCTCGCCTCCCAGGCTCAAGCAATCCTCCCACTTCAGCCTCTTGAGTAGCTGGGACTACAGGTGTACACCACCACACCCAGCTTATTTTTGTATTTTTTGTAGAGACGGCATTTTGCCATGTTGCCCAGGATGGTCTCAAACTCCTGAGCACTCACAAAGTGAGACTCTGTCTTAAAAAAAAAAAAAAAAGAATATATGAAAATCTTTCTAATAATTTCAGAGTCACTGGCCTATGGCATATCTGTGAATTTTCTCCTTGTCCAGCCTTGTGACATATGGGATCGTGTGCATGTGCTCATTACCTGGGGGAAGTGGGCCGGTTCTGTTATATGTAGAGATGGCTCCACATATGGCAATCCTTCCAAATTTCTTCATCTGGCCGATAACAGTGTTTGAAAACTCTCCACCTACCTAAACAGATAGCAAAGACAAAATGTTAAATAATCTAAATACTAGAGATTCAGGAGAATCATTAAGTCACAAGCATTATTTTACAATACCTGTTTTAGCAGCAACAAAACTGACTGAATTAGCCCAACAGTGCAGAAGACTGCAGTTAGAAAAAGACATTAGAAACAGGCATTTTCGGCCGGGCACGGTGGCTTACACCTGTAATCCCAACACTTTGGAAGGTTGAGGTGGGTGGATCACCTGAGGTCAGGCGTTCCAGACCAGCCTGGCCAACATGGTAAAATCCTGTCTCTACTAAAGATACAAAAAATTAGAAGGGCATGGTGGTGGGCACCCATAATCCCAGCTACTTGGGAGGCTGAGGCAGGAGAACTGCTTGAACCCAGGAGGCGGAGGTTGCATTGAGCTGAGATCACACTACTGCACTCCAGCCTGGGCAAGAGAGCAAGACTCCATCTCAAGAAAAAAAGAAAAATAAATAAACAGGCTTTTTCATTTGATTCTAAGACCATACCTTTTATAACTTATACATTTTCCTTTATTATATATTGAGGTTCTCTGATCAGTCCAATAACCTCATTGTCTTATAATTTAAAGGTATGGAAAAATACTCAAAAGGTGTATAGAGAACAAAGTTGGAAGACTGGCACTTTTCAATTTCAAAACTTAATACAAAGCTAAATTAATTAAGATAGTGTGAGAGTAGAAATACAGATCAATGGAACTGAATCACGAGTCCAAAAATGAACCCTTACATTTAGGATCAATTGGTTTTCTACAGAAGTGCTAAAGCAGTTCAATAGAGGAAAAATAGTCCTTTCAATAAACGTGCCGAACAACTGGATTTCCACATGGAAAATAATGCAATTGGGCCTCTTCCTTATACTACACACAAAAATTAACTTAAAATGCATCGTAGACCTGAATGTAACAGCTAAAACTATAAAACTCTTAGAAGAAAACACAGGAATAAATATTCATGACTCTGAGAAAGGAAAAGCCTTCTTAGACATGACACCAAAAGCTCAAGGAACAAAAGAAAAATAGATTAATTGGGCTTCATCAAAATTTAAAACTTTCATGCTTCAAAGAATACCATCAAGAAAGTGAAAGCCAGCCTGGGCAACATAGTGAGACTCCATCTCTACAAAAAAAAAATACATAAAAATTAGCTGGGTATGATGGTGCATGTCTGTGGTCCCAGCTACTTGGGAGGCTGAGGCAGGAGGTTGGCTTGAACCTGGGAGGTCAAGGCTGCAGTGAGCTGTCATCACATACTGCACTCCAGATTGGGAGACAGAGTGAGACTGGTGAGACTGAGTCTCAAAAAAAAAAAAGGGCAAAAACAAAAACAGAAAGAAGGTTAAAGGCAATTCACTGAATAGGAAAAAATATTTGCAAGCCATATAGAGTTGGTCCTCATTATTAGTGGATTTCATATTTGCATATTGTAAACTACTTGCTAAAATTTTATTTGTAACCTCAAACCAGTACTCACTAAGCTTTCCCTGGTCACTTGCAGACATACATGGAGCAGTAAAAAAGATGCAGATGTTCTCTGAGGCTGAATAAGACCATGCTCTGCCTTCTTGTTTCAACTGTTACACAGAGATGACCAGAGGATGGGGCCACTGCAGTGCAGTTCAAGAGGCTCTGGTTCGGGGAAGAGCTGGATGGAGTATGAATCCCAACTCTGGGGGTATTAGCTAGTGGAGTGGCCATAGGCAAGTTACTTAACACTTCTGAACCTCCTTTTGTCTTTCATAAAATAAAAGCTACTAGGATGAGTTGTTTTAAGGATTTCAGATTATAGTCTATGTGAGATATGTGCAAACATGTACATATTTCCCCTAGAAGCAATGGTTTTCAGCCTTGGTGGTGACCTTATAGAACATAAATATTGTGAATAATGAAAATCCACTGAATCTAATAAGGGACTTGTATCGGTAAGATGTAAAGAACTCTTGGCCAGGTGTGGTGGCTCATGCCTATAATCCCAGCACTTTGGGAGGCCAAGGCAGGTGGATCACCTGAGGTCAGGAGTTCGAGACCAACCTGGCCAACATGACGAAACTCCGTCTCTATTTAAAATACAAAAATTAGCTGGGCATGGTGGTGCATGCCTGTAATCCCAGCTACTCGGGAGGCTGAGGCAGGAGAATCACTTGAACTCGGGAGGTGGAGGTTGCAGTGAGCCAAGATCGCGCCACTGCACTCCAGCCTGGATGACAGAGCAAAAAACTGTCTCAAAAAAAAAAAAATCTTACAACCTCACAAATAACCTAGTTCAAAAATGGGCAAAGATTTTGAACAGATATTTCTCCAAAGAAGATATACAAATGGCAAATACATACGTTGAAAGATCCTTAATATTGTTAGCCATAGGGAAATGCAAGTCAAACTCAAATCAGAATGAAATATCACTTCAAACCTACTAGGATGGTTATAATAAAAAAGACAGACAATAGCACGTGTTGGTGAGTATGTAGAGAAGTTGGAACCCTCATACACTGCTTGTGGGAATGTAAAGTACTGTAGCCACTTTGCAAAACAGTTTGACAGCTCCTCAAAATGTTAAACATGAAATTATCATATGACCCAGCAATTCTACTCATAGGTATATACTTAAAAGAAATGAAAAATCCACACAAAAACCTCTGCATGAATGTTCATAGTAACATTATACTTCATAGCCAGAAAGTATAAGCTAATACCCATCAGGCTGGGTGTGGTGGCTCACGCCTGTAATCCTAGCACTTTGGGAGGCCGAGTTGGGAGGTTTGCTTGAGCCCAGGAGTTCCAGACCAGCCTGGGCAACATGGCGAAACCCCATCTCTACTAAAAATATAAAAATTAGTTGCGTGTGGTGGCACATCCCTATAGTCCCAGCTACTTGGGAGGCTGAGGTGGAAGGATTGCTTGAGCGAGGGAGGTCGAGGCTGCAGTGAGCCACGATCACACCACTGCACTCCAGCCTAGGTGACAGAGTGAGATCCTGTCTCAAAAAACAAAAAAAAGGAATAAAGCACTGATAAATTCTATGATATGGATGAAACTTGAAAACATTTTGCTAAGTGAAAGATGCCAGTCATAAGAGACCACTTTTAGTGGGGAGGAGGGTGGTAATGGAGAGTGACTGCTAATGAGTAGCGTTTTTTGGGGGGGGTGATGAAAATATTCTTAAACTGGTTGTACAATTTTGCCAATATAGTAAAAAACATTGACTTCTACACGTTAAATGAGTGAATTACATGGTACATGAATGATATCTCAATAAAGCTGTTTTTTAAAAAAGGCATATATACTTTCTTCATGTACCCCAAAATGGAAACTCTAGGAATATATTCCCTTGTATCAGCGGTCCTCAACCTTTTTGGCACCAGGGAGCAGTTTCATTGGAAGACAATTTTTCCATCGATTGTTGGGGGGATGGTTTCAAGGATGATTCAAGTACATTGTGTTTATTGTGCACTTTATTTCTATTATTATTGCAATGTAATATACAATGAAATAATTATACAACTCACCATAACCATAGAATCAGTGGGTGAGTTTTCCTGCAACTAGACGGTCCCATCTGGGGGTGATGGGAGACAGTGACAGATCATTAGGCATCAGGCATCATCAGGCACCTGAGTAGTGCGATCTCCATAAGGAACGCACAACCTAGATCCCTCACATGCATAGTTCACAACAGGGTTTACACTTCTATGGGAATCTAATGCTGCCACTGTTCTGAGAAGAGGCGGAGCTCAGGCAGTAATGGGAGCAATGGGGAAGGGCTGTAAATACAGATGAAGCTTTGCTTGCTCACCTGCCCCTCACCTCCTGCTGTGCATCCCAGTTCCTGATAGGCTATGGACCACTAACCATCCATGGCCCAGGGGTAGGAGACTCCTGCTTTATATAGTACTTCCATAATAAATTAGATATTAAGTCCAGTTTGTACTTACATTATCAAAATAACAATCATAACCATCAGGAGACGCTTTCTTCAAGGTTTCTTCCAAAGACTCTACCGTCTTGTAGTTAAAGACGACATCAAATCCAAGCTTTTGAAGGTAGGCAACCTTTTCATCAGACCCTACTGCTCCAACAACTTTGCAGCCCTAAGTAGAAAAAAAAAAAAAAAGGAAACCATGAATAAGTCACAAGCATGGACCAACACTACTTTCCTGGTCTCGTATGCCTAGGTTCCCTAGGAACACTCTCTTAGGTGCTGAGCCACATATAAAAGGAATACCATAATGGGCCAACAGATCCCATAGGTGAAATCAGTCCCCGGACCATCCTACAACTCAGCTTCAGCTTGCTTCTGACCACCCAGCAGGTCCCTTCTGCATTTATTTGGTTCATAGTTCCACCAGCTGGTTTCACAACCGATCCATTTGACTTCCTTGGTTCTTTGTTTCTGGGCTTCTCTTCCTTGCAATGCAGTGTATGCCATCTCTTGGTACAGTCATTCTTCAGACTATTATTTTGTCTCAGCTCTGTGACTCCCACATCACAGACAGCCCTCCTAGTAACTGCCCCCTTATCCTTTTTTGATTTTTTAAATGTTTATATTTTTTTGAGACATGGTCTCACTCTGTTGCCCAGGCTGGAGTGCAGTAGCACGAACATGGCTCACTGCAACCTTGACCTCTTAAGCTCGTGATCCTCCCACCTCAGCCTCCTAAGTAGCTGGGACCACAGGTGCATACCACTACATCTGGCCTTATATTTTTTAAATTTTCACAGAGACAGGGTCTCACTATATTGCCCAGGCTGATCTCGAACTCCTAGGCTCAAGTGATCCTTCTGCCTTGGCCTCCTAAAGTGCCCAGGCTGATCTTGAACTCCTGGGCTCAAGTGATCCTCCTGCCTCAGCCTTCTAAAGTGCTCGGATTACAGGCATGAGCCACTGCACCAGGCCCCCTTTATCCTTTGATTTAGTCCAAAGCACCAGACTACACGCTTCCTAATCACAGAGGAGCTAGGAAGCATTCTGAAAAGCACTTTCAGGATGACACTACAGATTATAGTGGTTCATAGAAACTAGCTTTTCAGAAAGCTCCCTTATACTCTAAATGTATTATGAAGACCAGAATATGTGCCACTGTGCATTTTCAATCGAGGAAAAACCCCAGTTGGATTTACATGAATCTCTGTACAAATAGTGACGGCCACAGGCTTTTTCCATTCCTTCATGATTCCAGAAAAAACTATTGCAAGAGAGCCCTCCTTGGTCCTTTTTCCTTCTAAGACTATAGACTATCATAGGATGATCTCTTTCACTCTTATGACCTCCTTTATGCAGATTATTAATTAATCTATTAATTCTATCTATTAATGTTAGCCCATTTTTTTTCTCCTGAGTTCCAAATCAGTATTTCCAACAACCTATAGATGTCCTCACACTTGGATGTCCTGTAGGTCCCTCATAAATAGTGTGTTCAAAAGGGAATATACTTTTTTCCTTGCTTCTTACTTATTTCTTTTCTATCCACTATTATAAGAGAATGATACCACTCAGTTATCCAAACCTGAAACATGGCTCAAAGGAGAAGCTTTCCTTTGTCTTATGATCCATGTCCAATCATCTGGTTTTCTTCCTCTTTTTTAACCAAACAGCCTTAAAATCCGACTCTGGGCCAGGCGCGGTGGCTCACGCCTGTAATCCCAGCACTTTGGGGGGCTGAGGTGGGTGGATCACCGGAGGTCGGGAGTTCGAGACCAGCCTGACCAACACGGAGAAACCCCATCTCTACTAAAAATACAAAATTAGCCAGGCGTGGTGGCACATGCCTGTAATCCTAGCTACTCGGGAAGCTGAGGCAGGAGAATAGCTTGAACCTGGGAGGCAGAGGTTGCGGTGAGCTGAGATCGCACCATTGCACTCCAGCCTGGACAACAAGAGCGAAACTCCATCTCAAAAAAAAAAAAAAAAGCTGACTCTGACTTCCAATCTTTGTCGATGCATCAAAATTTTCATTTGAATTATTGTAAGAGCCTCCTAAGTGGACTTCTTGTTTCTAGCATAGCGTCCCTAGGAACTATTCTCCTACCAAGGCCTAAGTGATGTTTCTAAAAAGCAGAACCAATCATGTTACTTCTTTAAGGATTGAGTATAAATTCCTTAGCATGGCAGTCTCCAGTGGAATTTCTACAGGGAAGAGAAGATATTTTAAAAGATGTGTTCATACTGTTTCAAGTTTCTCAGTGAAATTCAAAAGGATACTGCATTAGTCAACAAGTGCAGGTTATGGGGAAAGGAAGCAATCCTAGAATATGAGGAGCCTCAGCTATGAAAAACTTAATTGCTAATCTAGAAACTGATGCTGCTGCAAGTCATGTAATTCAATTGGAGGACCAGATTAAGAAAGTACAGAATTCAGAGGAAAAAGTACAAAAGATGTAATTATGAGAGCAAAGAGAGCATACAAGAATAGTCCTAAGGGAAACAGAATGAACATATACCATTCCTCATGAAGAAAACAGAATAGATGAAAAAAATAATTAAATAGAAGAAGAAAACTGTTCTTCATCTGAAGAAAAACGTTGGTCTTCAGATTATAATGGCTAACTAAGTTGCAGGCAGGATTAAACAAAGACAGATATAGACATTTCCTGGTGATATTTCTAAACTCAAAGAATAACAAGAAATGCTTATAAGCACCTCAAAGAAAAGTCTAATTACCTACAAAGGAAAGAGAATCAGATTGGCTTTGAATGTCTCATCTGCAACCCTAAATAGAAATTGAAAAAGTAGAGCAATTTTATAGAGCTCTGAGAGAAAGGGATTGGGTCCTTTGAATTTTTTTTTTTAATTTAGAGACAAGGTCTCACAACATTGCCCAGACTGGTCTTGAACTTCTGAGCTCAAGGGATC
This sequence comes from Homo sapiens, assembly GCF_000001405.40. Classification (NCBI taxonomy): domain Eukaryota; kingdom Metazoa; phylum Chordata; class Mammalia; order Primates; family Hominidae; genus Homo; species Homo sapiens. The sequence goes on from NC_000009.12 coordinate 111,581,714, forward strand.
CTCTTGCCTCAGCCAGAATTCTGAGAAGCTGAGATTATAGGCACACAGCACTGCACCTGGCAGGTCCTTTGAATTCTATATGCATCAAAATTAAAAGGCATTTTCAGATGTCATAACCAAAAAGTTTTAATGATAATGAGATTTTTATTATTTATTAGATTATTGAATAAAAATCTAGGATGTAGGGTAGAATATGGGGAAAAAATATACTGTTTGAAGTTCATATACATGTATATGTTTATTCTGGAATATAAAATATGTATATGAATAGTAGCAGGATATAAATAAAACAGATTTTAAATAATTGGTAAAAAGGTAAACACTAGCAGAATGTAAATAAAACTTAGGTTCTCAGTAATTAGAGAAAAAAGAACAAAGAAAATATCACAGAAAGAAATAACCAATAAATGGAAAACAAAGTAAGATAATATAAATATGACCAAACATTCCAGTTATGACAATTAATAAGAATGACTTAAATTTAACTATTACAACACTGAGACTTTCAGATGGGTGAAAAATGCAAATAGCTGCATTTTACAGAAACACACATAAAATGGACAGAAAGGTTGAATATAAAAGAATAGGTTTAAGCGCAAGTCCTATCAAACTTACGGGATAAAAGCCCCTTGTGATTTAATAGGATATTTGAAATTGGAATATTTAGAAATAATCCTAATTCATTTTGTAATTTTAGCACAATCCAAGCCTAGCTAAATTCCAGAACAAAAAGTAAACTTTAAACCAAACTCACTTGTGACTATAGATGCAAAAATTCTATTTTAAATGTTATCAAGTCAATTCCAAAGGTAGCCCATAATATACCATACATACGTAAAGCTTATTCTGCAAATGTCAGAATGGTTCGACATTGGAAAACTAATGTAATTCATTCACTGAAAAGTGAACCTGATAAATGCCGCAATGGCATTTGATAAAATTTAATATCTATTCCTATTTATTTACTTACTTAAACAAATTATTCTACAACTTCTATGGTAGCCTCACATTTGTATTCCAAGCTTCTATTAGCACTGGAGACCAGTCCAAACCCTTGGCCGTTGGTTGTAACCCTGTACTCATCTGTACTCCATCTAACTTGTCCCCTAGGACCTAGGTCCTGAATCCTGCATCCCAGCCTTGGGCAAAGGATCAGTTGAGCCAGATCACCTTCCCACTATGTAATAACAAATCCATACTGTGTCTGAGTTGTTGCCTACTCTATACACCCACCATCAGATTGGATCCCTTGAGCAGACATCTGCTTAAATCAGAGCCAATGTTTCCTTGTCTTAGGTACCTCCCAGGAGTTAGTTCCCAAGCCATGGCCCCACTGCTCTGGGCTGAATGCCCATTTCCTTCTAGTACAACAGCCTTGGCAGTGGGGCCACGTGGGTGATGACTCTTAGCTGGCTCATCTCAAGTCCCTTCTTCTATTGCTAAGGACAATCATGAAGAAAGAAGATTAAGCTGTAGCGATAGAATGTTCAGTAAAAAATATGAAAATGATAAATGCCGATAAACTCACTACTCTAGACAGAGGCCATTTCTGACTTGATTATCTGCAATGTTATCAAATAACAATGTTCAGCTTATCTTTGGTATAGTTTTCCCCATTCCTCCAATTTCTCAATCTCCAACTTCTAAAGAAGACAACTAGACTATAAACTCCCTGAGGCCAAGGAAGATTTGCTGTGTTCACTGTTGCATTCCCAATGGGTTTTGAATAAAGGCTTGTTACTGGAGAAAGGCACTTACCTTGAGCTTTGCAATCTGCCCCACGACTGAGCCCACAGCTCCAGCTGCTGCATTAACCATCACTGTTTCTCCACCCTTCACACCACAGATTTCAAGTAGGCCAAAGTAGGCAGTCAGGCTAAAGGAAGAAAATTAAGGATATATGAATAGAGTTGTTTCTTTCCTCTATAACTCATTTATATATATCTTGAAAGCCTTCTCAGTGGCCCAGTGCCATGGGTCCAAGTAAAAGACAAAAATATGGAAATAAATATTGCCAGCCACTGTTGCTTTACTTCCTCCATCTCTACTGTCAGATAGGAATAAAGGTGATGTGAACTAGGGAGGGAAGGGAGAGTTGGCTAGAAAGGGGCTGTATCCTGTCCATTCACAGGCCAAATTTCAGGGGCAAAAGATGGAATATCTTTCTCAAACTTTGGGGATTCAAGAAGAGAGAGCTGTGCCTCATTCCCATATAAGTTCTATGTAGATGATGAGCTTCATGGGAGAAGCCCCCATGTTATCATGGCGACATAGCCACAGAGTAGCTACAATGCTGTGATATTAGGCATGAGAGGGTCACAGGGAGCATCTGGAGCTTTCCATGGCTCCAAAGTGGTATGGAAGACCTTCTGAAACTTCCCCGTATTACCCCAAGTAAGATGTCAAAGTTAGCTTGCAGGAAAAGAGCTACTGGACCTACCAAGATGCAGCACTGGCAGTACTGATGGGGACTGGGTGAAGACACCACCGCATCTCATTGGATTGCGAGTTTGGAAGGTGATATGATTGAAGACTTTCTTCACAACCAAAGTTTCCTCGTGTCTCCCTTCACCTCTTCTCCCCTACACCTGGCTCACAGTCCAGAGGGAATGACAGGTAACAGAGGAGAATAGAGAGGAAGAGCTCTCATCCGTAGAGGGTACAGGGCGGGCAGGAAAGACCAAGAAGTGCTGGAATTGTTTAGTGCCCACTAATTGAATGTAAGAAGGTATTAAGCATCCTCTACTTTCACAATGATGTCCTTGGCAGTGGCAATTTTGAGGAGTTCAAATTCTGAGTGAAATATGAATTTGGGGTACATAGGAGTTGTTTTTGTTTAGAGGTGACCATTTGGCACTGTATATATATTTCCATTTCATTCCTCAGAAGACCTTCAAAGTTGTAAAAAAGGAAAGGGAAGGAAGGGTGGGAAGAAGGAAAGGGGGAAAGGATCTCAAAACTTAGAGAAAGGAAGTAACTTTGAGCAGGAGACCAGCTTAAGACCAGTATAGATCAAGATCAAGAAGTTGTTGTTGTCCCCCTTCTACTGACACTGAACTTGTATTATCCCTTGGAGCTTTGCAACAACCGCAGGGAGAAGAAAAAAGAAATCCTGAGTTTTAAATTTGAAATGATGTGAGAAATCACTGAATTTAACTGAGGTTTTCTCTTATTACACTAGCCAAAAGGAGGGCTTGAGGTAGAAATGAAGTTCAGTAGTGGAAAATGTTAAGCTATATTTTTGCAGACCTGAATCTCAGCCAATAAAATCCAGACCCATTATAGTGATTGTTAAGCCACTTGCAGAATTTCAGACAAATTCATGTAAAGTTATTTCTGCATTAAAAAAAAAAACTACATGTTGACATTACTTAGCTTACACAGCCTCTGACTATATTTGGGGCCCATGAGAGGCTGGCATTGAATAGAAGGCAGTGAGAGGCACAGGCAGCATTTTTTTCTAAGAATCCAAATATCTAACATGCATTCCTTAGTGGCTTGGATCAGATGAATAAGAAATATACATAAGTGAATAAATTATCTTCTCTTTCAGGAGTCAGGATCTCCTAATATATTACAAATTACCTTCTCAACAACCAAAGTTTCCTCATGTCTACCTTCACCTCTCCTACCCCACACCTGGCTCACAGTGCAGAGGGAAGGATGAGCAGGATAACGAAGGAGGAGGAAGAGCTCTCACCCATAGAGGGTACAGGGCAGGCAGGAAAGAATAAGAAGTGCTGGAATTATTTAGTGTCCACTAATTGAATGTAAGAAGGTATTAATTTTAGTAAACATTAATTACTAAAATGTTTATTCATGCCGGGCATGGTGGGTCTAACTGAAATTTTGTATCCTTTGACCAACATCTCCCCAACCCTTCAGCCTCCCGGCCCCTGATAACTATCATTCTACTCTCTAATTCTATGAGTTCAACTTTGTTAGATTCCACACTGAAGTGAAATAATGTGGTATTTGCCTTTCTGTGCCTGGCTTATTTCACTTAACATAAAGTCCTCCAATGTTGTCACAAATGACAAGATTTTCTTCTTTTTTAAGGCTGGATAGTATTCTGCTATGTATATAGACCACGTTTTCTTTATCCATTCACCCATTGATGGACACTTAGGTTGATCTGCCATCTTGGTCCTGCCCTCTTCTCTGATCAGCCCCTGAGCCTATCATGCATCAAATATCTTCCTGTTGACCAAGTTCTGAACAAACCATTTTGGAAAATCAGAGTGTCAGACATTCAAACAAATGGAATATATCCATGAAACTCACCCTGGCATGCCAACTGTCCCCAGAGCCAAAGACAGTGGTATTGTGTCTGGCCACTCTGTCAGCAGCTTTTCCAGATCTTTCCCATCAGAAATGGAGTGCGTTGTCCAGCCTGGAGAAGCCAGTACAATAGTTCCTTTTGGTAGGGCTACATTTTTACTTTCCACAACTCTGAAAGATAAAGCACATTAAGGCATTAAGGCATGTGACATGTCTTCCCTTTCAAGGGAGTCAGGATGCTGTGTGGTTAGTGTTGACAAAAGTGCACTGAGGTTGATATTCCACAACTGATAGTCCACCACCCCTCTCCATCTTAATTCTTAGCCATCGGCATAGGGGTCACCAGAGAACTCTCAACTGGCCCAGCCACTTGAGGAAGGAGTGGCTCATGGGGTGAGGAGCGCCTGTTCTCACCCACATCTCTTCCTTTTAAGCAAGAGGCCTCTGTCCTGTGGCTCAAGGTGACCTGGACACTAGCCTTCTCTTCTTCAGGTGTCGCTCTCTTTCCCTTAGCCTTCCACTTTCCAGAATCGTTGAGATTTTCCTCTCTACTGTCCCTTTCACTCAAAATATAAGCATGCTCAAGTCTGCCATCTTATAATCCCATCCCTCCCCTAGCTCCTTGCCCCTTCGTCTTCCTTTTTCAGCCAAACTTCTTCACTTCCCATTCATGTGCTAACCCGCTGCAACCTGCCTTCCACCCCTACTACTCCACTAAGGTCACAACAACCTCCTGAGCACAAAATCCAGTGGATATTCCTTAATCATTGTCTGATTTTACTTTTCCACTCTCTCTCTCTCTCTCTCTCTATATATATATATATATGCATACTTTTTTTTTTTAAGATGGAGTCTTGCTCTTGTCGCCCAGGCTGGAGTGCAGTGGTGTGATTTCAGCTCACTGCAACCTTCACTTCCTGGGTTCAAGCAATTCTCCTGCCTCAGCAGCTGGGATTATAGGCGCCCACCACAACAACACCAGACTAATTTTTGTATATTTAGTAGGGACAGGGTTTCACCATGTTAGCCAGGCTGATCTCGAACTCCTGACCTCAGGTGATCCACCTGCCTTGGCCTCCCAAAGTGCTAGGATTACAGGTGTAAGCCACTGCGCCCAGCCTACCCTTTTCCACTCTATTAACACAGGGTCACCCAAAAGTCTTCCCTCATTGGTTCCCAGGGTACTGATCTCTGCTGGCTTTTTGCCTCCTCCTCTAAGCTGCACCCTTTCTGTCTCATTTACTGATTCCCTTTTCTTCATCCAACTCTTTATCCTTCTTTACCATCTTTCCTTCCCAGATCATAAAGTTATATAATGCATATTTATTCTAGAAAATTTTAAACATATAAAACAAAAATATCAGTTCTAATCTGACAGCACAAAGACAACTGCTAACATTTGGGTGTATTTTCTGTCAATCTTAATGGTATATTTAAAAATGTATACTATATGTATGTATTTATTTATTTATTTTTTGAAACAGAGTCTCGCTCTGTTGCCTGGCTGGGTGCAATGGTGCCATCTCGGCATACTGCAACCTCTGACTCCCGGGTTCAAGCAGTTCTCCTGCCTCAGCCTCCCAAATAGCTGGGAATACAGGCGCGTGCCACTACGCCCAGCTAATTTTTGTATTTTTAGTAGAGACGGGGTTTTGCCATATTGGGCAGGATGGTCTTGATCTCTTGACCTCGTGATCCGTCTGCCTCAGCCTCCCAAAGTGCTGGGATTACAGGCGTGAGACACCGCGCCCGGATGTATTATACATATTTACATAATTGAAGTAATGTTATATGTTTTATAACCAATAATTTATCTGTCAACATTACGTTGGTCTATATAATTTATACTTTTTTCCATGTTAGTAAGAATCCTTCAAACAATGTAATGAATTTAATTACACCCCCATTATTAGGATACTTTCAGTATTTTTCCTAATGTTAATTATTTTTTTCCTTTTTTCTGAGTCTGCTTGCTAGGAAATATATTTTAATTAATATTCATAAACGTGATTATTATTTTTTCTTTTTTTTTTTTTTGAGACACAGTCTCTCTCTGTTGCTCAGGCTGGAGTGTAGTGGTGCGATCATGGCTCACTGCAACCTCAACCTCCCCTGAGCTCAAATGATCCTCCCACCTTGGCCTCCTGAGTAGCTGGGACCGAGTAGCTGGGACCACAGTAGCACACTACCACATCCAGCTAATTTTTTTTTTTTTTTTTTGAGACGGAGTCTCGCTCTATTGCCCAGGCTGGAGCACAGTGGCGTGATCTCAGCTCACTGCAAGCTCCGCCTCCCCGGTTCACACCATTGTCCTGCCTCAGCCTCCCGAGTAGCTGGGACTACAGGTGCCCACCACACCAAACCCGGGTAATTTTTTGTATTTTTAGTAGATATAAATATACATGTATTTGTATATTTAGTAGAGATGGGGTTTCACCTGTTAGCCAGGATGGTCTCCATCTCCTGACCTTGTGATCTGCCCGCCTCGGCCTCCCAAATTGCTGGGATTACAGGCGTGAGCCACGTGCCTGGCCAATTTTTTTTTTTTGAGACAAGAGTTTCAATCTGTTGCCCAGGCTGGAGTCCAATGGCGAGATCTCAGCTCACTGCAACCTCCGCCTCCCAGGTTCAAGCAATTCTCGTCCCTTGGCCCCCTGAATAGCTAGGATTACAGGCGCCCACCACCACGCCTGGCTAATTTTTGTATTTTTAGTAGAGACGAGGTTTCACCATGTTGCCCAGGCTAGTCTTGAACTCCTGACCTCAGGTGATCCACCCACCTCAGCCTCCCAAAGTACTGAGATTACAGGCGTGAGCCACTGTGCCCAGACTTTTTTGTATTTTTTTGTAGAGACGGGGTTTACCACGTTGTCCAGGGTGGTCTCAAACTCCTAGATCCACCCACCTCGACCTCCTGAAGTGCTGGGATTATAGGAATGAGCGACTGCACCTGGCTCAATACTGTTGCCTTAGTCAGGATTTCTATAAATGGTATTACTAGGTCAAAGAGTATTAAAACATTTGTAACTCTTGCTGCATATTGCCAAATTCCCAAATTCCTTTCTAGAAGGTTGTGCCAACTTCCACTTCCACCATCAATGTATGAGTGTATTATCTCCATTACTATTATATTTTCAAAAATAGTTTGCCAATCCAGCAAACACAAATACATGTTCATTTCTTTAATTATTAGCAAGAAACGTATAAGACCTATATGAAGAAAACTGTTAATGGGATATAAGACAAAATGAATAAATGGAGAAGCATACCTTGTGTTTGGAGAGAGAAATTGTAAAGATGTCAGTTTCCTCTAAATAAATCTGTAAGGTCACTGAAATTCCAGTAAAGATCCATAGACGATTTCTACCAATGGTATTATAATAACTGGCTAGTCATTGAGACACAAAATTTAAAAAAATAAAGAATGAGATGTTTGGTTTTTTTAAGAGACAGGGTTTTGCCATGTTTCCCAGGCTGGTCTTGAACTCCTGAATTCAAGCAATCCATCCACCTTGGCCTCCCAAAGTGTTAGGATTACAGGCGTGAGCCACTGAAGCTGCCCCCACTCATTATTCTAATATAAAAGCTAAATGACTCAAAATTTTTGTCATAAAAAATTAAAGTATAAAATACAGAAAACATGAATACTTTTTTTTTTTTGAGATGGAGTCTCACTCTATCATCCAAAGCTGGAGTGCAATGGCGCGATCTCTGCTCACTGCAACCTCCTCCTTGGTTCAAATGATTCTCCTGCCTCAGCTTCCCAAGTAGCTGGGATTACAAGCGCCCACCACTGTGCCCAGCTAATTTTTGTATTTTTAGTAGAGATGAGGTTTCGCCATGTTGTCCAGGCTGGTTTTGAACTCCCGACCTCAAGTGATCCGCCCACCTTGGCCTCCCAAAGTGCTGGGATTGCAAGCGTGAGCCACTGCCCCCGGCATGAATAAATATTTTAGTAATTATGGAGTGGGGAACCCCTTTCTAAGCATGAGATGAAACCAAAGGACCATAATTATAAATACTTACAATTTTATCACATAAAATTTTAAACTGTAATTGGACACAGAAGAAATATCAACAAAGGCCCAAACATTTGCAACACTAATATCCTGAACATACGAGAAGCTTTTACAAATCAATATAACGAATGATAAGACCTAAAGGAAAAGGGCAAAGGATATAAACAGATAATCCACAGAAGAAAATTGAGAATTAACTTACAAAAAGAAGGTCAACATCACTAATAATAAAAGAAATGCAAACTAAACTAAGCATAAAGTATCATTATATTTATCTCAGGTTGCCGAGACTGATGATGAACAGTATAAGGGAAACAGGTTAATACTATTTGTGGGAGTGAACATTCATACATTTTTTTTTTTGAGACCAAGTCTCACTCTGTTGCCCAGGCTGGACTGCAGAGGTGTGATCTCAGCTCACTGCAACCTCTGCCTCCTGGGTTCAAGCAATTCTCATGCCTCAGCCTCCTGAATAGCTAGGATTACAGATGCCCATCACCACACCTGGCTAATTTCTTTATTTTTAGTAGAGATTGGGTTTTGACATGTTGGCCAGGCTGGTCTCAAATTCCTGACCTCAAGTGATCCTCCTGCTTCAGCCTCCCAAAATGCTGGGATTACAGGCATGAGCCACTGCGTCCAGCCTTCATGTAATTTTTCTGAAGAACAATTTGTCATCACCTTTTCAGTTAAAAATATACATTTCTTTGGGTCTAGAATTTATACTTCTGGGAACTTAATGTAAAGCAATACTCATCCAAGAGGGTAAAGAATACACAGATACACACGTATACATACATACATGCTCCTGGAAGAATTATTTGTCATAGAAAAAATTGAAAACAGTTGTTATCAGTAGTAGATTAGTTAAAAATAACTTGCAGCTATTAAAAGGTAGGTGGTATATTCATATACTGTCAATGAAAGATATCCTTAACATAATAATTGATAGCAGTTTTCTGAAGGTCATATAATTCCATTTAAAATTTATATATAGGCCGGGCACGGTGGCTCATGCCTGTAGTCCCAAAACTTTGAGAGGCCAAGGCGGGCGGATCACCTGAGGTCGGGAGTTCGAGACTAGCCCAACCAACATGGAGAAACCCCATCTCTACTAAAAATACAAAATTAGCCGGGTGCGGTGGTGCATGCCTGTAATCCCAGCTACTTGGGAGGCTGAGGCAGGAGAATCAGAATCACTTGAACCTGGGAGGTAGAGGTTGCGGTGAGCCAAGATTACGCCATTGCACTCCAGCATGGGCAACAAGAGTGAGACTCCGTCTCAAAAAAAAAATAATAATAAAATAAAATGAAATTTATTTATAAAAGTATGTACACTGGACAATTTTTCTTTTTCTTTTTTTTTTTTTTTTTTTGAGATGGAGTCTCACTCTGTCGCCCAGGCTGGAGGGCAGTGGTGCAATCGGCTCACTGCAACCTCCACCTCCCAAGTTCAAGCAATTCTCCTGCCTCAGCCTCCCGAGTAGCTGGGATTACAGGCATGCACTACCACACCCAGTTAATTTTTGTTTTTTTAGTAGAGACGGGGTTTCACCATGTTGGCCAGGCTGGTCTCGAACTCCTGACCTCAAGTGAACTGCCCACCTCAGCTTCCCAAAGTGCTGGGATCACAGGCGTGAGCCACTGCTGGCCCACAATTTTTGAAATAATAATATATTAACAATAGTTGTCTTTAAGGTTCAGATGACAGGGGAACTTTCAGTTTCTAAGATAAAAATTTTGTTTTATTTGAATTTTTACAATAATCATTGTAGGCAGACCCCCTGAAACTATTGCTACGGAATAAAAGATGAAATGCTCCTGATTATTGTGAATACAAAGTTGCATGCAGGATTGTGTAAAGACAATGCCAGGTTGGACTGCCAGAATGAGCCAACAGCGTGTGATGTGCTTCCCCCTGCAGAGAGCCTATGACCAGACATGCAGTCAGGGAGGTTTCACATCACCAAGATTCCTATGCCAGAAATGCAGATTTTCATAGCTCTGGGAATGGAATGCAACCCTTGTGGAGAGCCTATAAATGGACGCATGTGGGGGCACCTGTCCATATGGATAAGATAGGGCTGTAAATGCCCTCATCTTGCCACAGCTCTTCTAGCCCTCTTTACGGTTAAGGCATACTCCCTTCTGAGAATTTCTGGTCTAACTGATTGTCTAGCTTCACCTCCTGTTTCTATGGATTGTTTGTAACCAGCTTTTGCTGCAACTGTTACTGCTGATTAATATCTTGCTAATCATAGGTTATGGAAAGACTGTGTTTCTGTTTTAAGGCTCTGTTAGAAATTACTGATGCACACACTATATTGTAAATTCTTATCTCTGTATACTGTACTTCTGCATACAGATGTATGTTAAAGAATTACTTCATCCCCATGTGACCATCTCACCTCATAATCAAATGACCCTAAATCCCTCACTAACCTACCCCCGCCCTCACTAAACTTAATAATAAATGCGGGTATATTCAGTGCTTTGGTGGCACCACGGAACCAGAAGGCGGTGACGCCCCTGGACCCAGCTTTCACTATCTTGTGTGTGTCTATTATTTCTCAACCTGCCGATCCACCTGGGAACAAAGAGAGAACCCTGTTGCATTGTGGGCTGCTGGCCAGATCCCGCAATAAATCATGACCTGGACAAATACTTTTTTTTTTTTAGTAATTAAAAGTAAGGATGGCAAAGTGAAGCTGAAAAAATGACAATTTCACATCCTTCCCTCCTTTCCAGCTAGTTAGGAAGGAGACAGAATTTCCCAAGTTGATTCCAAGATCACACAGTGAGTCAACAACATAGGCTGAAGAAATTGTAGGAGCAATGGACAGAGACAGGACCCAGCAGGAGGTAAAGAGGAGACATATTTTCCAAGCACTGGGACAAATGGAAATAATTACTTGGCCACTTGCTGCCCCATCATTGTATCACCTTCCTTCAATCTTTTGGCTGCCACTCTGCAAAAAAAAAAAAAAAAAAAAAAAAAAAAAAATAGGTAAATAAATAAAATTCCATTCTTAATACATAGGAGCATCGGGGGACTGTTTTGAGTTTCAAGCCAAATGAAAAACTGCTGGATAAGTGTATGCGGCAATAAAACCCAGACAGATGAAGGGCTACAACTAGGTGAGATACAGGAGGAAAGCTGTTAGAGGAAGTTCTGCTCTGTGACCTCAGATAAGCACTCTGATTGGATTTTTTTATGAGTGAACACAAAAGTCTTACTGCCATGTTCAAGTAAAGATGAATTTCTACCAATGACTTTAAAAATAGAACCCAGGCACCACTGGGTAGTTATTACCCAAAACACTAGCTACGCAAAAAGATGCCAATTAACATTTTTAAACTGTATTTTCCACTTAAGATTTGAATCTTTATCAATCAGCTATGAAAAAAATGTAAAAGAATGATGGCTATGTTATTTACCGAGGCAAAAAAATACTGAGGACTTAGTAGTCAATAAAGGCTTTTGATTTCCTCCCCTCCCTGAGTTGTCTGCTGAGTATATAAGTTTGAGTCAACCACAGATTCACCTACATTAAAAGAATACAGGTAAATGGAAGGCCAGAAAAACTGATTTTAGTCTTAGCATCTTCCTCTATCCAAATTACTTGCCAGTAGTGAAATGCACAAATTGGGGTTTGGCTTCTTTTTTCTTTATGAGACGGGGTCTTGCTCTGTTACCTAGGCTGGAGTGCGGTGGCAAGATCTTGGCTCGCTGCAACCTCTGCCTCCCTGCAACCTCTGCCTCCCAGGCTCAAGTGATCTTTCTGCCTCACCCTTCTGAGCAGCTGGGACCACAGGCCTGCGCCACCAGGCCTGGCTACTTTTTTTGTATTTTTAGTAGAGACAGGGCTTTGCCATGTTGCCCAGGCTTTATTTTTTTCTTTTAAGGTTTTTTTTTTCCTTCTTTTTTTTTTTTTTTCTGGAAGTAATTCTGTTGAGCAGTGAAAGGCAAATTGTGCAGAGCAGATAGGAGATGGTTGGGACAAAGGGACTGAGGTGATCCCTCACTAAGCTACTTAGACCTTTGCCTGCAAAAGACGAGCGTGCATGAATCTTATCACTGATACTGGCTGGGAGAAACAGAAGGAAAGTGACAATGTTTTAAGTCAGTTGGATATTTTAGAAGATGAACTACTTCCAGATAGCATTTAACACAGCATTAGCATTTTGAGGGGCGAAATAAATAATACCTCATGTAGGGATCCACGGTGAGGAACAAAGCTTCAAGCAGGACCTCTACAAAATAAAGCATTCCATAGGCAATTAGAAACTCAAGGCCTGAGAGGAACAATAGACACTGAGCACCACTAGACAGGAGGGGTGAGACAGGGACAAGGGTTGAGAAACCACCCATGAGGTACCATGCTCACTGCCTGGGTGACAGGATCATTCGTACACCAAACCTCAGCCACATGCAATTTACCCATATAACAAGCCTGCATATGTACCCCTAAAACTAACATAAATGTTGAAGAAAAAAACGGAACTCAAGGCCTGATGCCTTCGTTTTTGGCATTCTTTTTTTTTTTTTTTTTTTGAGAGGGAGTCTCGCTCTGTCACCCAGGCTGGAGTGCAGTGGCGTGATCTTGGCTCACTGGAAGCTCCGCCTCCTGGGTTCATGCCATTCTCCTGCCTCAGCCTCCTGAGTAGCTGGGACTACAGCCGCCTGCCTCACAACGCCCAGCTAATTTTTTGTATTTTTAGTAGAGACGGGTTTCACCGTGTTAGCCAGGATGGTCTCAATCTCCTGACCTAGTGATCCATCGTCTCGGCATCCTAAAGTGCTGGGATTACAAGCGTGAGCCACTGCGACCGGCCTCTTTTTTTTTTTTTTTTTTTTTGAGACCTAGTCTTGTTCTGTTGCCCAGGCTGGAGTGCAGTGGCTTGATCTCTGAACACTGCAACCTCCATCTCCCAGGTTCAAGTGATTCTCATGCCTCAGCCTCCTGAGTAGCTGGGATTACAGGCGCCCACCACTGCACCCAGCTAATTTTTGTATTTTTAGTAGGGACGGGGTTTCACCATGTTGGCCAGGCTGGTCTCGAACTTCTAACCTCAAGAGATCTGCCCACCTTGGCCTCCCAAAGTGCTGGGATTACAGGCATGAGCCACCATGCCCAGCCTGTTTTTGGTATTCTAAAAAACCACAGATAATACTTCTGCTTCAGGAATGTCTTCCCATCTGTGCTTCTATCGCAGAGACAAGAAGGGGTTCTCATTTTTGGCCCAGCCCAGTTAATAATAATAATAATAATGGTAATGCTATTTACTCAGCACTCATTCCATGCTTTACACGAATTATGTCATTTGATATTCAACAAATATTGCTTCCATTTTAGGTTAGGCTTAGTTACTTGCCCAAGGCCACATTTAAACCATTATGTTACAGTGCTCACCATATGGCTTCATCGCCAGCCCCAGTTGGTGTGAGAGAACATGCATTTTGCTGGAGTGACTCTCATGTATTCATTCTTTGGAATTTTGAATTTGAGTCATGGCCATCATAGCTTAGATGGGACTGATCACTTTGTCATGCTACTTGATTGCGTCCCCTTTTCTCAAATGCTTACCTACCTGTAAACACTCCTTAGAGACTCATCTTTATTTATTTATTTTTTTTGAGATGGAGTCTTGCTCTGTCGCCCAGGCTGGAGTGCAGTGGCGCGATCTTGGCTCACTGCAATCTCCACCTCCCGGGTTCATGCTATTCTCCTGCCTCAGCCTCCCAAATAGCTGGGAGTACAGGTGCTCACCACCACACCCAGCTAATTTTTTGTATTTTTAGTAGAGATGGGGTTTCACTGTGTTAGCCAGGATGGTCTCGATCTCCTGACCTTGTGATCTGCCTGCCTCAGCCTCCCAAAGTTCTGGGATTACAGGTGTGAGCCGCCACACCCAGCCGAGACTCATCTTATAGTCTGAACTCTTCGTATAGCTACTGGGCAGTGCTTACCTCACTGCCATCATCAGGCTTATGAGGATAGAGAGGACATCCTCCCCATAGTCTGGTCAAAGCCATGAAGAGTAATGCACTCAAGCATGAATTTCAGTTATCAATGAAAGCAGGGGAATCCTGCCATGTGACATCGAGGATTCACACTGAGAACCCTGGAAAGGTCTTTGTGGCAGATTGCAAAATGGCCACAAATAACTCCCACCCTTGTGTGCTTGTCTCCTTGCCACTTCTCCCATCAAGAAATCTATTTTCTGCCTCTCGAATCTGAGCTTGGTTTTGTGATTTGCTTTGACCATGGGATATTAGCAAACGTGGCACAAGTAGAGGCTTGAAAAGGGCTTGCACAGCGGGGCATGGTGGCTCACACCTTTAATCCCAGCACTTTGGGAGGTCAAGGCGGGCTGATCATCTAAGGTCAGGAGTTCAAGACCAGCCTGGCAAAGATGGGAAACCCCGTCTCTACTAAAAATGCAAACATTAAGGCCGGGCACTGTGGCTCACGCCTGTAATCCCAGCACTTTGGGAGGCCGAGGCAGGTGGATCACCTGAAGTCAGGAGTTCGAGACCAGCCTGGCCAACACAGTGAAACTCCATCTCTACTAAAAATACAAAAAAAAAAAAAAATTAGCCGGGCGTGTTGGTGGGCGCCTGTAATCCCAGCTACTCAGGTGGCTGAGGCAGGGAGAATTGCTTGAACCTGGGAGGCAAAGGTTGCAGTGAGCCGAGATTGCTCCACTGCAATCCAGCCTGGGTGACAGAGCAAGACTCCATCTCAGAAAAAATACAAAAATTAGGGGGGCATGGTGGCGCACACCTGTAATCCCAGCTACTCAGGAGGCTGAGGCAAGAGAATCGCTTGGACCCAGAAGGCAGAGGTTGCAGTGAGCCAAAATCATGCCACTGCACTCCAACCTGGGCAACAGAGCAAGACTCTGTCTCAAAAAAAAAAAAAAAAAAAAAAGAGAAAGTGCTTGCACATTGGAGCTTGCCAACTACTGCTGCTCTAGATCTATGGGGCCACTATAAGAATAGAGCTCAAGCTAGCCTGCTAGAAAGGCCACATAGATGAGAACTAAGGCATGCACCCCAACAGAAAGCCTGCTAATCAGCAGACATGTGAGCAAGGCCCATCCTAAATTAACCATTTACCCCAGATGAGACCTAAGAAGAACCACCCAGCTTAACTCAGCCCAAATTGCCAACCCAAAGAATTGTGAACTAATAAACCGTTGTTGCTTAAAGTCACTAAACTTTGGGGTAGTTTGTTATGCAGCAAAAGCTAACTGATACAGTCCCTTCCAACTCTGAAATATTTTTAGTATGACTTACCTCCATTTTTTAAGGGTGGGAGCTCAGCTGTCTTCAACTCAAAGTCACTATTAGTAGGATAGCCAACAAAGTGCTTCTTCAGGGTCCATGTCTTAGTACGAACCATCCTGAAGCTCCTAGAACACAGTAAATATGTAGTCAACTGCCATGAAGTGACTGCATTCTAACAGTTCTCTAGCCGTCAAACTGAGACCAGACAGCACAATTACAATATCCTCAAATCCCATCATTATCATATCATGCCAACCACATTCATTTAACATTTACTATGTTTCTGGTGCTGTGCTAAGCACTTCATATAGATTACCTCATTTTATCCTTATAACTTCCCTATAAGATAGACATTAGTATCATTGCCAGTGTACGGATGAGGAAACTGAGGTTTAAAGAAATCTTCAAGACAAGGAAAAAATATAAAACAACAAAGAAATTCTTCCCAGCCACTGCTAGGCTAGAGTTTCTCTACGGCACTGAACAGTTACCGGAAGTGCGAATATTCCATTCCGTTTCTCATCTCACATGGAGTGAATTCTAAGAAAAAGCATCAAACACAAAGAACCCAATAGATAGAAGTCCATGCACCTCTTTCAGATGGAAACAGCCACGCATTTCAAGGCAGTCTCAGAACTCCTGAAAACCACCGGAGGGCGCCGCTGCTCCGCCCCATTTTCAGGTGCGTTTTTTTTTTTTTTAAATACTTTTTTTTCTCTCTTTTCTTGTAGAGAGGAGCCTCACTGTGTTGCCTAGGCGATCCGCCCGCCTCGGTCTCCCAAAGTGCTGGGATTACAGGTGTGAACCACTTGCACTCAGCCATCGGGTGCGAATTTTCTTTGGCCCAGTAGGGATTTGAGTTTAAACTCCACACCAAACCGATTTTGAGCTGAAACGCTGCACCAAAGCAAGGGAAGATGATGAAGGCTGCCCCGAGCTGGGGGTTCAGGATGTTCTGCTTGGACTGAACTCTGCCGAATCACTTGGGACCTGCGCCTTCCCGCGGGTGCATCCGCTACAAACAATCCAGTTACGAAACCATTTGGAGCTGCCAGTGATCTCCCCAGCTCCCCTACCGGTGCCGCGGGAGGGGACACGGTGACCTGGAGGGAGCACTCCCGCATTGCGAGGGAGCCAGGGGGGCGGTCTGATCTGCAGCCCGGGGTTGTTCCTTCTTTTCTTTTTTTAAAATTAAGACTTTTTTTGTGACGGAGTCTCGCTCTGTCGCCCAGGCTGAAGTGCAATGGCGCGATCTCAGCTCACTGCAACCTCCGTCTCCCGGGTTCAAGCGGTTCTCCTGTCTCAGCCTCCTGAGTAGCTGGGATTACAGGCGCCCGCCACCACGCCCAGCTAATTTTTGTACTTTTAGTAGAGACGGGGTTTCCCCATGTTGGCCAGACTGGTCTAGAACTCCTGAGCTCAAATGATTCGCCCGCCTCGACCTTCCATAGTGCTGGGATTACAGGCGTGAGCCACCGCGCCAGGCCCTACGTATCATTTTTACGGTGAGACATTTGCAGTTTACTCTGTTATTTCGAAATACACATTATTGGCTCTAGTCACTCTGCTGTGCAACAGATCTCAGAACCTACTCCTCTCGTCTCTGAACTTCGTACCCTTTGGCCAACAAGCCCCCATTCCCCCCCGAACCCGCTCCCAGCCTCTGGCAACCATCATTCTAGTCGTTATTTCTATGAGTTCAACTTCTTTAGAGTTCACACATCTTTGTCCCTTTCCCCAAAAAAGCAACCGCTGGGCTTCCAAACTCGCTACAAGTCCAGAAGCCCTCCTGGAAAGGGTCTGGCCGCAGAGGGGCCAGGTCCCGGGAAAGTCTCGCCCGCCCGAGGAGGGGGCCTGGCGCGGCGCCCGGCCTTTGCCCGCTCGCCCTTTGCTCCCACCCTCGCCTCCCGCCGCCCGCCGCCCGCTTGCCCATTCCCGAATCCCCACCCCGATCTTTCTTCTTCTACCCTCCCCCAGTTGTGCAGTCCAGCAAGTTCCCTGGCCAGCCCCCTCCCGGGTGCAGGAAGCTACCGGGTGTCCCGGGTTGTAACCAAGCTTTCCTATTCCCTCCGGCGCGCGGCTCCAAGCTCTCCAAGGAACTGCGGGGGCGGGAGGCGTCGGGACGTCGGCTCCCAAGATCCTCCGAGTGCAAGACCCAGCGGTCATTTCGACGTAAGGGGAGGAGGTCTAAGAGCAAACCTCCTCCACTGGGGCGTCTAGAAACTTGGCAGGAAGAAAGCAAGGGGGTTAGAGGAGGGAGAAAAGGGAAGGAAAGAAAGCAGGAGGTCTACTTACAGGAGCCCGAAGGTTCCACTGCCTGGGGAAGGCGGCTGGGACTGCGCAGCCGGGCGCCCGGGGTCCGACTTATGACAGGTCCCAAGAGAGGGTGGGGCCACCCCAGGGCGGGGCTGCTTCTTTAGGGTGAGAGCCCGGCCCCGAAAGGGTCACAGGAGGAAAACCAGGGTCCGGGAAATCTGAGTGCGTTTGTGTGTGTGTGTGCGCGTATCTCTGTGTGCCTATGTGCATGTGCGCGCGCGTATGTGTGCATGTGTGCGTGTGTGTGCGTGCGCGCCCGCGCGCCCGTGTGTGTGCGTGTAGGGGGTTAGGGACTCCTGATAGGAAAATTCCTAACAGAGCTTTGTCCAGCTGACACTGGACCTCCGCCTGGGGTCCTAAGTTGGAGCCCGGCGGAAATATGCCCCGTGGGGGAACCAACCGTGGCATCTGCCAAGCAGGCCGGAAGGGTCCAAAGGCAGGGCCTGGGGCGGCCGCAGCCCTAATAAGCCCCCGGTGCTGGCTCCGATCCCTGGGCTCCCCGTCAGCCCTGCCGCTTGCCCGCAGTGCAAGCTTTCGCCCAGGGCTGCGGTGCAGACACCCTGCCTGTCTGTCCCCAGTCCGCCTGCTGAACACCTACTCGCCTTCCACCAGCCAATTCAAGGTCACCTCTGTGAACCCTTGCCAGACTCCCCCAGGCAGGAGTGAGCACTCTTGCCACTGAGGCACCCCACCCATCACACCCTAGCAAACATCAGGCCTTGACCTGGCTTCTGCAAGGAGAGGTGGTCTCAGGCAGGGGTTGAACGTGAAGCTAAGTCGTTGGTATTAGACGACTGCAGGTTCGAAGCCTGCACCTGCCACTTACTAGTGGTGTAGCTTTCAAAGACTTACTTACCTTCTCCTTGCCTCACTCAGTTCAGCCATCTGCAAGATGGGGATAAGAAGAATGCCTAACTTCCAGTCATTGTGAAGATTCAATGTCTTTAATTTATTTATTTAATTTTAATTATTTTGAGGTCTTGCTCTGTCACCCAGGCTGGAGTGCAATGGTGGGCATCATAGCTCATTGCAGCCTTGAACTCCTGGACTCAGGTGATCCTCCTTCAGCCTCCCTAGAAGCTGGGATTACAGGCCCACCACCACACCTGGCTCAATGTCTCTCCTTGTAAGGATACCCGCCATATTGGATTAGAGCCCCACTTGTCAGCCTCCGTTTAACTTAAACACGTCTTTGAAGGCCTTGTCTTCAAATACTGTCAAATGGATTAGGGCTCACTAATATGGCCTCATGTAACCTTAATTACCTCTTTAAAGGCCCTATCTACAAATACAGTTACATTCTGAGTACTGGGACTTGGGGATTTTAACACATGAAATTGGGGAAGACACAGTTCAGCCCATAACAGAGTGTGTGGACCAAGCGTGGTGGACGCATGCCACAGGATATACACAGCATCAGAAGCACTGGGTTCCATGTACATAAAGCAACTTGGATGGACCCTAAAAACACAATGCCGAGAGTTGAATTCTTCACACTAATCAGAGTTGGTGGCACTTTATCCCCACTGGTCTGCCAAATTCTTTCTTTCTCACTCTCTCCCTTCTCATTAATTTATGTAACTTAATATAAAACAAAACTCCATTCCCAGGCTGGGTGCTGTGGCTCATGCCTGTAATCCTAGCACTTTTGGAGTCTGAGACAAAAGGACCACTTGAGGCCAAGCATTCAAGACTTGCGTGGGCAACATAGCTTTAACCTGGGAGGTGGAGGCTGCAGCGAGCTGCGATCGTGGCACTGCACTCTAGACTGGGTGTCTAAGTGAGATCCCGTCTCAAAAGAAAACCAAAAAAACTCAATTTCCTGCTTTTCTCCTCCTACTATAGGTAACTACTGTGATGTATTTGATTTGCATACAGTTTTTTTTTCCATGTTCTTACATAATGTGCACTGTGGTCATATACATTTAATTTATAGAAACGGTATTGGGTTACATATCGCATTCTGCTTCTCTCTTTTTTTTTTCTTTTAAGATAACTTGTTACAGAATCACTGTTTCTTTTGGATATTAGAAGTGTTAATAAAATTGCAGGCATAAAAAGTCTTTGCAAAGTAAGAATAAGAGAAAAAAGTGCCAGAAACACAGAGTGGCTCACATATTTACTCACTTGTCCTTAAATTGAAGATACAGATAAGATTGGGCCGCACCAGGTCAAACAAAATCTGTTTCCCAAACTTGATGACTCAGTCAGTCTCAAAGGCTGCAGCTTGTCAAGTCATGGTGATTAAGTTAAATCACGGCTGTTACATACTCGCACACAGAGAGTTAGAATATGGAATAAAGGATCAAGGAAAAAGATTTTCCTTTGCTTTACCCCAAGACAAAACTCTACTCAATTCAGTTCTCTGATCTTAGGTTTCAATGAGTTCTGATCTAACTGTGGAGGGAACAGTTCACTTAAAACAATAAAGCAGTAACAAACAAGTAATTAAAAAATGCTTTTTTATCAAATAATTCAGATGATACAGATGTGTACGCTATAAAAAGCAAAAGTCATTGTTATCTGTTTGGTGGAAATTTCTTTTGGATTTTTTTTTTGTACTTCAAAAACAGACAGACTTAGTCAGGGGTGGTGGCTCATGCCTATAATCCCAGCACTTTGGGAGGCCAAGGCGGGTGGATCACTTGATGTCAGAAGTTCGAGACCAGCCTGGCCAACATGGTGAAACCCCATCCCTACTAAAACTACAAAAATTAGCTGGGCATGGTGGCGGGCGTCTGTAGTCCCAGCTCCTTGGGAGGCTGAGGCTGGAGAATCACTTGAATACAGGAGGTGGAGGTTGCAGTGAGGCAAGATCATGCCACTGCACTCCAGCCTGGGCGACAGAGCAAGACTCTTTCTCAAAAACAAACAAACAAACAAACAAAAACAGACAGATTTGTCCCCCACTTTTTTCTCTACAACTTCCATTTCATTGGTCTGGTGGGATAATGCTTGAGAAATAATTATAACAACAAACAGTAATATTTGTCTCATAATTGCAGGAATTCCTGAATATATGTGGGACACTGCGTTTGAAGAGATAGTGATTATCCTCTCTGCACAGCACAGAGGAGATGCAATCTTGCACTAGAATAGCCCTTGGTATCCAGTATTTCTAGTCCTCATGATGACCCAAGGAGGGGTCATCAACAGGTTTGCATGCCCACTGCATAGTATAGACCAATTACACTAAGACAGCAGGGATGCAGCAAAGAAAGAGTTTAATGATCACAGGCCACCCAGCAAGGAAGTGGAAGGAAACCCTCAAATCTGTCTCCCAAGAAGTTCTGGCCTGGGGCTTTAAGAGGATTGTGGAGAGTGAGGGGCTGGAAAATTGGGGTTGCTGGTCGGTTGGGGCAAGGGGGATAAAATCATCGCAAAGTGGAAACTGTATTTTTTGATGAGGTAGCTCCTCGGGGAGTCCTTCAGGACAGCTGCATCAGTGTGGTCCTTCAGCTGACATCAGTAGTTTCTTCCATATCAGGACCTGAAGGAATATCTCAAAGTGAAAACAACATTTCATAATGTTCGAGTTGCTATTTAAAGAGCAGTTAAGGTGAACTATAATCTTGTAACTGGGTCTAGTGATTCTAGAACAATAGGCACCAAAGTGTGAGGAAGCAGATGGGAGAGTGTGCCGAGTTAATCATGAATGCTGAACCTGCTGCCAGCTTGGTTTGTTTTTGTTTCTCCCTCCCTCCCTTCTTTCCTGATTAATTTTATGTATTTTTTGAGATGGAGTCTTGCTCTGTCTCCCAGGCTGGGGTGCAGTGGCATGATTTTGGCTCACTGCAACCTCTACCTCCCGGGTTCAAGGAATTCTCCTGTCTCAGCCTCCTGAGTAGCTGGGCCTACAGGCACACACCACCACGCCAGGCTAATTTTTGTATTTTTAGTAGAGACAGAGTTTCACTATATTGGTCAGGCTGGTCGTGAACTCCTGACCTCAGGTGATCCACCCGCCTCAGCCTCCCAAAGTCCTGGGATTACAGGTGTGAGCCACCGTGCCCGGCCTAATTTTATAAAGTTTATAGGGGCAGTTTCAGAAGCAAATATTACCATCATCTTCCTTGGAGCCTCAGGAAACTGAAAGTCTGAGAGGTAAAACAACGTAGACAAGATCACATAGCTAGTCAGTAGCAGGGTTGAGATTTGAATCTCAGTCCATGTCAAAGTCCTACACTTTTGTCTGTTCCATTCACGTTGACAGCCCAATTCTGTTGCTGTTGGGGGTGCCACTATGCCGCGGATCTATTGGACTGAACAAAGGGGGCAAACGCGGGAATAAAAGACAGTAGACAAAAGAGTATATTTGGAAGAAGGAGTCAGGGGGAACCTAGCGTCTAGTGGACAAGGGTCCTGAGCTTTACACAGCCCTCCGTATTTATTAGGTAAAAGAGATAGCGAGAAGCAGGGGTGATTGTTGAGTAATTGTCAGTCGGCCGTCTGGTTCACAGCAGGCTTGCGAGACTGCATCCTTTGAACAATAGGCCCTAATTTTCTCAGTAGATAACTATCGGGGGAATTCACACCCAATATTTCCACGTAGGTTCTTTCTATTTTCCCTAAGCGTCGGCCGGTCTGAGAAATAAAGAGAAAGAGTACAAAGAGTACAAAAGAGCCCGGCGCCAGGGAGTGATATCCCTCAGCAAAGCTTTTGGTGGCAGGGCAGTGTGAGTTTGCCCACATCCTGCATTCATGATAAACAATTTGCTGTTTGATCATATAGCCTCCAGCGGAATGCTGAGTTGGTCATGTCCCACGGGCCTTCGGCCCCCTGCACTTTCAGCTTTCCAGTACAGGTGAAGTAGATTCCTTTTGTAGGTAAGAACAAACTTAGGGAAGGTTACTAATGAGATTTCTGTAAACCCCTATCAGCGATGTCATTTCTGGCATGCAAACATGCTGCACGTCTTGGAATGTCATCTCATCCTAGCTTCCCCTTCCAGCCTCTCCTTCTACCCTCCTGTCTCCACTTGGGTAGCGTCTGCTGTAATTCTGTGGTGGGACTTCTGCCTCTTGATGGATGGCTGGGCTGAGACAAGGGCAACGAAAGTACAAAAAAACCCTGAAACATCCTTTTGCGTCAGTCAGTAAGAAAGTGTGCAAAATATGATGGAAACACGAAAGAGTAAGGGATGTGTCAAAAGGAACACAGAAACCACCTTAAAGGAGCTTCCATTGGCCAAATCTAAGACAATCTGCACATAAAAACCGGCAATAAAATTAGCATTTTATTATTGTAGCACCCTACAATTAACGATAGCAATTAACATGTTAATGGTTAACCCTTAATAGTTTAAGGTAAAAATCAATCAATCAATAAGTAACAGAAAATATGTTAATGGATGAACATATTTTATCACCCCTAAAATAAGTTACCAAGAGTTCATAAACACAGAAGTAAGAAAAGGAGGGCTGGGCTCAGTGGCTCAACGCCTGCAATCCCAGGACTTTGGGAGGCCAAGGTGGGTGGATCACTTGAGGCCAGGAGTCCAACACCACCCTGGCCAACATGACGAAACCCCATCTCTTCTATAAACACAAAAGTTAGCCTGGCATGGTGGCACACAGCTATAGTCCCAGCTACTATGGAGGCTAAGGCACGAGAATCGCTTGGGCCTGAGAGGCGGAGGTTGCAGTGAGCTGAGATCGCATCGCTGCACTCCAGCCTGGGTCACAGAGTGAGAGAGACCCTGTCTCAAGGAAAAAAAAAAAAAAAAAAAATTCCTGACAGTAGAATGCCACAGTTTTGAAACCATTTATTAATAATTGACTCAGGCAAGAATCATGAAAGCTAAAAGAAGGTGAAAGTTTAATAAGGAACAGAGTGTCTACATGTTCTAAGCGTATCTCTTCACAGATTGTTTATTAAAGGGGAAAAAGGTAACTTTACGGTGGAAAAACCTGACAGATAAGAGGTCAAAGTCAATATCATCAATGAGACCAACAGATATTATCTGTGCTTTCTCATATTATGCCTTGAGAAGGACACAACATCAATTCTGTGGTTTCCTGACTGAAATACATAATCTGGATTTAGCCATGAGGAAACAGCAGACAAACTCAAATTGGGGGACCTTCTACAAAACAGCTAGTTTGTAAGTTTCAAAAGTGTCAAGGTCATGGAGTCAAAGAAAGATTGAGGAACTGTTAAAGAGATATGATAACGAGATGAAGCTGAATTACATGGCTGGGGAGAGGCGCAGATAATTATAAAGATCATGGTTGAAACAACGGGTAAAATCTGAATATGAACTAAAGATTAGATCAGGAGTTGGCAAACTGGCCAAATCCAGCCTACTGCCTATTTTTGTACAGCCTGCAAGGTAATAATGGTTTTTACATTTTAAAAATATTATAGTAGGCTAGGTGCGGTGGCTCAAGGCTGTCATCCCAGCACTTTGGGAGGCTGAAGCACGCGGATCACGAGGTCAGGAGATGGAGACCATCCTGGCTAACATGGTGAAACCCCGTCTCTACTAAAAATAAAAAAAAAATAAAAAAAAAAAACATTAGCAGGGTGTGGTGGCGGGCACCTGTAGTCCCAGCAACTCAGGAGGCTGAGGCAGGAGAATGGCATGAACCCCGGAGGCGGAGCTTGCAGTGAGCCAAGATTGCACCACTGCACTCCAGTCTGGGCAGCACAGTGAGACTCCATCTCAAAAAAAAAAAAAAAGAAATAGCATGAAGATCAGAGCTATCTTCTTGCACCTGCCATCTTTCAAGTGCATTTAGCTTAACTACTCTGTGCACCAGACTAGCATATTTTAACCTCATCAGTGGTAATAAAATGTTAAGAAGCTTGATGTAGCCAGTCCACAATGTACACAGATATCAAAACATCATGTTGTACTCCATACATATTTATAATTTGTACTTGTTAATTAAAATAAATTTTAAAAATATAACTAGGTGCAGTGTTTCTGTGTCCAGGCATTTGTGGGATGAGAGGAAGGTAAATTTAAATTGAGAGCCTCCCTGTGGTTCTAATCCACTTGGGGCAGAATCTCTCTGAAGCAGCCTCTGACTTGGCAATTTTCTAGGAAAGAATTAGGGAATGGTGGTCGGGTGCAGTGGGTCACTCCTGTCATCCCAGCACTTTGGGGGACCAAGGTGAGAGGATTGCTTGAACTCAGGAGTTGAAGACCAGCGTGGGCAAAATAGTAAGAAACTCATCTCTACCAAAAAATTTTAAAAATTACTTGGGTGTGATGGGGCATGCCTGTAGTTCCAGCTACTTGAGAGGTTGAGGTGGGAGGCTCACCTGAAGCTTGGGAGATTGTGGCTGCAGTGTGCTATGATTGTGCCACCACCTTCCAGCATGGCTGGCAAAGTGAGACTGTCTAAAAAAAAAAAAAAAAAAAAAGGAAAAAAAAAGATTTAGGGAATGAATCAGGAATAAGATTAATCAAAGTTTTTTTGCTTTTCTTTTTTTTTTGAGATGGAGTTTTTTTCTTGTCGCCCAGGCTGGAGTGCAACAGTGTGGTCTCGGCTCA
Source organism: Homo sapiens (assembly GCF_000001405.40). Lineage (NCBI taxonomy): Eukaryota > Metazoa > Chordata > Mammalia > Primates > Hominidae > Homo > Homo sapiens. The sequence goes on from NC_000009.12 coordinate 111,607,126, forward strand.
CTGCAACCTCCATCTCCTGGGTTCAAATGATTCTCCTGCCTCAGCCTCCCAAGTAGCTGGAATTATAGTCACTCGCCACCACGCCCATCTAATTTTTGTATTTTTTGTAGAGATGGGGTTTTGCCATGTTAGTCACGCTGGTCTCGAACTCCTGACCGCAGGTGATCCACCAGCCTCGGCTTCCCAAAGTGCTGGGATGACAGGCATGAGCCACTGCACCTGGCTAAAGATTTTTTTTTTTTAACTGCCCCCCGACCCGCCACAGCCTTATTAATTTGCTTATTTTAAGTTGTGAGTATATGCAAATGATGTTTTCTTTTCTTTTTTCTTTTTCTTTTTCTTTTTTTTTGAGACATTCTCACTCTGTAACCCAGGCTGGAGTGCAGTGGCACAATCTCGGCTCACTGCAACTTCCACTTCCCAGGTTCAAGCGATTCTCGTGCCTCAGCCTCCCGAGTAGCTGGGATTACAGGCATGAGCCACTATGCCCAGCTAATTTTTGTATTTTTAGTAGAGACGGGGTTCCGCCATGTTGGCCAGGCTGGTCTGGAACTCCTGACCTCAGGTGATCCGCTTGCCTTGAGGTCAGGTCGTGAGACACCTGTGGCCTTGTAAGAGCACTCAAACCGTATTCTCAGGAGGCTGTTTTCAGCGTTCCTTATCACACCACACGCTCCACTCCCTGTCCTGTTTTCAGGGTCAAGGAGTTTCATTCTCATGCACAAATAACATACACACAGTGCCTCAGTATTTTTCCATGTCCCAACCTCAAATGCCTTCTACATAAGCTTGACTATGTTGCTGTGCGCCCCACACACACTTTTTTTTTTTTTTTGAGATGGAGTCTTGCTTTGTCACCCAGGCTGGAGTGCAATGGCACGATCTCGGCTCACTGCAACCTCTGCCTCCCCGGTTCAAGTGATTCTCCTGCCTCAGCCTCCTGAGTAGCTAGGATTACCGGCACGCACTACCACGCCTGGCTAATTTTTGTATTTTTAGTAGAGACGGGGTTTCACCATGTTGGTTAGGCTGGTCTCAAATTCCTGACCTCATGATCCACCCGCCTCGGCCTCCCAAAGTGTTGGGATTACAGGTGTGAGCCACCATGCCCGGCCCCCGCACACTATTATAGTCACAGTTGAACGCAGTGCCAGCGGAATCTGCCTCAGCAGGATGATTGTAGGTTGTGTTTTCAGAGATGGTGCCTTCTGGCATAGTAGTGTTTTCCATAAAAATGTTTTTCTCGAGATGAGTGTGTTGTTATAGCCATATCCTGGAACTTTTTTAGTGAGAAAAAAAAAAGGAAAGAACATTTTTAAAAAAAAACAAGGAGGATGAAGAGGATGAAAGCTAACTATTCAAAACCCCAGTATTACAGGTGAGTAGCTTACAGGTTCTTTTTATTTCTTTCAGACAGGGTCTCACTCTGTTGCCCAGGCTAGATGGAGTACAGTGGTGCGATCACGGTTCACTACACACTCTACCTCCCTGGGCTCAGGTGATCCTCCCACCTCAGCCTCCCAAGTAGCTGGGACTACAGGCACTTGTCACCACACTCAGCTGATCCTTGTATTTTTTCTGGAGACAGGTTTTCACTATGTTGACCAAGCTGGTCTCAAACTCCTGACCTCAAGTGATTGATGCACCTCAACCTCCCAAAATGCTAGGATTACAGGTGTGAGCCTTTGCACCTGGCCTACAGTTTATCTTGTGTACTAATCTATTTCACTCTCTAAATGAGTAAAGTGGGAGATCATTGTCATGGTCAAAGTTACATGGCCAAGACAAGCTATGCTCTGGGAGTCCCAGGTTCTCCTGTGTGGGCACTTTCCTGGCATATGCTAAATGATGGGAAAGTCTGGGTCTCATGTTTCTGTGTGGTCCTCACCTCATTCGACTTCTGCTCTTTCTGTTCATTCTGGGCTTCCATGCTGTCATTGATACAGTTCTCAATTCTTGCTGCTCACTGAGAAGCTTCATTAGGAGGCCTGTCCTAGAGATGAGCTTGGCACAGGCCAGTTGCAAATGGGTCTCAGTGCAGTCCGTCTTCAAGGTCCGGATAACATGAGAAACAAGCCTTCTCACATCGTTGTTGGGGATGAGGGACCATAGCTGCTGGTTTAGCTGAATTTCAAACTGGTCACCTGAGGATGAGAGCAATGGGTAATTGAAGCTTTTGGGTTCGGGGGACAGGTCAGTGCCCACGTTGTTGTATTCCAACTGTGTTTCCCTGGTTTGTTTAACAGTCGTCTCTAAGTTTAATGCAGTCCCAGCGGAATCTGCCGCAGGAGGATGATTGTAGGTTGTTTTCAGAGATGGTGCCTTCTGGCATAGTAGCATTTTCCATAAAAATGTTTTCTTCAAAGGCATTTCTTGCAGTGGTGTTTTCTACATTAGTGTTTTCTATAAAAGGTTCTGAAAAGGCAAATACTTCTGGAAAAGGATTTTCCTGAGGACTCAGATCCCCTAAAGACTTCACCCTCATGACTTGATCACCTCCCAAAGGCCCCACCTACTAACACCATTATCTTGGGACTAGAATTTCAACATATGAATTTTGTGGGAACACAAACATTTAGACCCCAGCAGCAGGGAACCCAGGGATCTCGGTTGTTAGTGGTGATCTAGGTGTGAGGGTGAATGTGTGTGTACCTATGTGTAATCGAAATGGTCTTGTATTCCCTAATGCCCCACTCTGCACACATCACTGAGGTCCCGGGACTGTACTCCATCATCTCAGAAGTGTCTCCCAGCCGCAACTCCTGCCTGGCATTCTGAGACCACACAATGTATGTGGAGGGCTATGCTTGCTATCTCATGATCTCATTCCAGGTTATCATCTCCCCGATACTGACTTGTGTGCACCACACACTCCCATCTTGCCATCTCCTTGCCTCCACACAGACATCAGACAATCTCATTTCACATGTACCCCACCAGCCCCATGTTGGCTCCCCAAGATTCTCTTTGTATGGGGCGGGGGTTTGACAACAACAAACCATTTCCCTGCCAGAGTACTACCTGCCCAGCTAGAAGCTTTTGGCAGGAAAACGGGAGTCAGGAAGTGAGTGGTCTGTAGTCTTTGATCTTTCTGAAAGGCTGGGAAGAAGAAACGTTTCCTGGTTGGGTCCCCAAAGCTGAGGCTGAGAGCTCTGCCTGGACACTTCTGGGCATGCTTGTTCTGGCTGGCGCTAAAATGCAATGCTGGTGTTTGCTAATTCGTTCACCACACTTGCCAGGCCTCATGAAAAGATTCCTGCCAGGAGAGGAACCAGGAATCATGAGTTGGCTGAGTCGACACAGCATAAAGCTCAACTTAAACAGTTTATGGGTATTTTATTTCTGTTCTCTTTTTTCCTTGGTTCTGGTTTTCTAGCTTTGTATTACTATTATCAGAGTGGGCATAAATTTCAGTTCAATTTAGTTCAGATAGGATTCCAGCTGGGCGCAGTGGCTCATACCTGTAATCCAAGTACTTTGGGAGGTTGAGGTGGTGGATGGCCTAAAGCCAGGAGTCTGAGACCAGCATAGGCAATGTGGTGAAACCCCAGCTCTACGAAATTTTTTTTTTTAATTAGCCAGGTAAGGTGGTGCATGTCTGTGGTCCCAGCTAATTGGGAGACTGAAGAGGGAGGATAACCTGGGCCTGAGGAAGTTGATGCTGCAGTGAGCTATAATCATGCCACTGCACTCCAGCGTGGGTGACAGAGACCCTGTCTCAAAAAAAAAAAAAAAAAAAAAGATTCCAAGGTGCTTTGTTATAATCACTCCCTGGCAAATGCTTTCAGCTTCCTTGCTTTTTTCTTCCTCCATCAGTCACGCCTGGCATAACCCTAACCCCGAGTAAAAGCAATCACTGACTTTTCCACGCCTTCCCATGAGCCCCTGAACATTGTTGGCGAAAATTACTTAACTAGACTGACTGGTTTTCCTCTAATGATCACAAACAACACAAAGGCACACACGACACTGCCCAGTAACCCCAGAGATTCTCCAGGAAATTTCCTTACTCGCAAAACTTGATGACAATTTTATCCTTTCACACGGTTCTCAAGCCTCACCCCTCAACTATTCTTACCTGATGCTTCACTGAGAGATTAAAACAGATTAGACCAGAGACTTTGTCTTTTTATGGTCAAGACTACAAACTTTTCTGCATATGCATCCATCTTCACTCCTTTCTTTCTTTCTTTCTTTCTTTCTTTCTTTCTTTCTTTCTTTCTTTCTTTCTGTCTGTCTCTTTCTCTCTTTCTCTCTCTCTCTCTCTCTCTCTTTCTTTCTGTTTTTGAGACAGGGTCTCACTGGGTTGCCCAGGCTGGAGTGCAGTGGCACAATCTCGGCTCACTGCAACCTCCGCCTCCCAGGTTCAAGCCTTTCTCCTGCCTCACCCTCCCGATTAGCTGGGACTACAGGCATGCACCACCACACCGGGCCCATCTTCACTTTTCTTTCTGTGAAAATGGAGGCAGCTTCTCTCCTCCTACCAAAGGTTAATGTACTTGGGATGCATTTCTCCTAACCTTCCTAGGCTACCTGGATTATTTCTTTTCTCCTGCATAACTAACCTCTTCTGAATCAACTAGGACACTTTCCACCGCAAGTAAAAAGACAAAGGCCATCAGCAGACTGAACACTCCCAAATTTATATCTCCTGCCCAGGATGTCTTCCAGGCTCCATCGATTAATGGGCTGAAGAGCCTCCTGTGTCCAGCCTGGGCAACATGGCAAAACCTCGTCTCTACGAAAAATACAAAAATTAGCCAGGTGTGGTGGGGTGTGCCTGTAGTCCCAGCTACTCGGGAGGCTGAGGTGAGAGGATCGCTTGAGCCCGGGTGGTTGAGGCTGCAGTGAGCTGAGATCATGCCACCGCACTCCAGTCTGGGTGACAGAGCAGAGGGAGACTCTGTCTCAAGAATTAAAAAAAAAAAAAAAGTCACCTGGACATTTTCCCCATGGCATCTTAAACTTAACATGTTCTAAACTGAACTGATTTCTACCTGGAACAGATGCTTCTAGCTGCATTCTCTCTTGGTTCTTTGCTAGCAAGTATCCCCACGTTGTTTAGAATAGTAACATGTCTAGCTAAAAAATTGCTAGCCAAGCTCCTTTATTGTTAGAAGTGATCACATGACAATTCTGCCTGGAGGTATGAGCAGAAGTTACTGGATAGGGCCTCCAGGAAAGCTTTTCAAAAGTGGGCAGAACACACTCTCTCTTTTTTTTTTTCTGCATGGAACATGCACGGAAGTAGAGCAGCGACTTCATGATCGTGAGGTCCACAAGCCGAGAGTGAAAAAGCAGAAGGTTAGAAGGACTCTGGGAAGCAACATCATGGGATCCCAACATTAGTTCTGGGATGTTACAGGAAAAAAATGATGCCCTACTTGTTTTTTTGTTTTGTTTTGTTTTTGAGATGGAGTCTCACTCTGTCGCCCAGGCTGGAGTGCAGTGGTGCAATCTAGGTTCACTGCAACCTCCGCCTCCCAGGTTCAAGCGATTCTCCTGCCTCAGCCTCCCGAGTAGCTGAGTCTACAGGCACATGCCACCACACCTGGCTAATTTTTTGTATTTTTAGTAGATACAGGGTTTCACCGTGGTAGCCAGGATGGTCTCGATCTCCTGACCTCGTGATCTGCCCGCTTCGGCCTCCCAAAGTGCTGGGATTACAGGCGTGAGCCACCGCACCTGGCCGCCATTACTTGTTTAAGCTACTATGTATAGCAGACATTTTGTTACAAGCAACTGAACCAAGCCTTAGCTATACACCACTCAAACCTACTTCTCCCTAGCCTTCCCCATTAGTAATTGGGACCTCCAGCGCCAAATCCAGAGGTGGGCAAGTTATCCGGGATTCTTCTCTCTTAACACCCACCTACAATCCAATCTATAAGCAAGTACTGCAGCATCTCCTCCAAAATATTCCTATTCATGCACTTGTCTTTACGAGCTTTGCCACTACCTGGTTCAAGCCACCATCATCTCCTAAAATAACCTGATACTGGTCCCTTTGCCTATCCCCTTGCCTCCTTTCAGTCTTTTCAGCATCTAGCAGCTAGAAGGAGCTTTTAAAATGCAAACTGGGCATCAGTACTGGCAGATACTAAAACTTCCAGGAAGGACATGAACTGCTTTGCCTAAGAGAGAGAGAGAAAAAAAATTTGGAACTCCCCAATTTAGAATGAAAAATTAAGAAAATGGAACTCCCCATTTTAGAAGGAAAAATTAAGAAAAGAGTAGAGAGAATGGCTCTGGGTTACATAATGGATTCCTTAATCACTGGCTAAGAAATAAAAAAGGAACCTCTGAATATTGGAATGAATTAATTTTCTTGTGGAAATTGGTGAAGGGGCTAAATATCCTAATGATCTTGGAACAAAATAGAGCTCACATTTAAAAATAGCTAGCAGGACGCAGGAGGAGGCAAGCCCAGGGAGCTCACAGGCATTGTGGGAGAACTTTGGACTATCATGGAACATAGAACTTGGATTTGTTCCAATTTAATCAGACCTCGGAAGGGCAGAGGAGCCACCCACAGATGGCTTTGGGTTATGTTTGGGTTTTACTTGCCAGCTTGGGGGCATTGTTTAGATATCAGCTGTTGGTCATGCTGAACTGTGAAACAGGCGTCATTCCTTATTTGAGGTCTTATTACCTTGGTTTGTGAATTATGTGGGAAGGGTAAGGGTGAGTAGGACCTGCTGATTTGGATTACTTACCTGGATTTATAACCAGATGCATCCATCTGGTGGCGCTTAGGAGGAACTTTTTAGCAACTCTCAGTGGTGTCCTAATTTTTTCATTCAAAAGAATCTGAAAACAAGCCTGGGCAATATAATGAGACCCCATCTCTACTAAACTTAAAAAAAAAATGAGTGGGGCATGGTGGTGCATGCCTGTAGTCATAGATACTCAGGAGGCTGAAGCAGAAGGATTGCTTGAACCCAGGAGTTGGAGGCTGCAGAAAGCTATGATCACACCACTGTACCTCAGCCCAGGTGACAGAGTAAGACTCTGTCTCCAAAATAATAATAATTTTATATATATGTATATATATATATATATATTTTTTTTTTTGAGACAGGGCCTCACTCTGTCGCCTAGGCTGGTGTACAGTGGCATGATCTCAGCTCACTGCAACCTCTGCCTCCCAGGTTCAAATAATTCTCCAGCCTCAGCCTCCTGAGTAGCTGGGACCACAGGTGCGCACCACCAAGCTCAGCTAATTTTTGTATTTTTAGTAGAGATGTGGTCTTGCCATGTTGCCCAGGCTGGTCTTGAACTCCTGAGCTCAAAGTGATCCACCTGCCTCTGCCTTCCAAAGGGCTGGGATTACAGGTGTGAGCCACTACACCCAGCCTAACAATAATAATTGTGTTTTTTTGTTTTTTGTTTTTTGAGATGGAGTCTTACTCTGCTGCCCAGGCTGGAGTACAGTGGCGCGATCTTGGCTCACCACAAGCTCCACCTACCGGATTCATGCCATTCTCCTGCCTCAGCCTCTCGAGTAGCTGGGACTACAGGTGCCCACCACCTTGCCCGGCTAATTTTTTTGTATTTTTGGTAGAGACGGGGTTTCACCGTATTAGCCAGGATGGTCTCGATCTCCCGACCTCATGATCCACCTGCCTCGGCCTCCCAAAGTGCTGGGATTACAGGCATGAGACACCGCACCCGGCCAATAATTTTTAAATATTTATATGAGAGGCAGAGAAATTTTGTAGGAAAGGAATGCTTTGTATGGAAGAGAGTTAAGATGCACAAAGACAGTAAGTGGTTCAAGATCAAGGGGAAAAGTGAGTGCTCAGCTCAGTGTTGGTTACTTGTATCTTACTTCAGCCCAGACTCTTGGGCTCATGCCCAAGTTCCAGCTCAGGGGGACACCAACAAAGAAAAAAGTAAGAACTTAAACAAGTGGCTTCATTAAACTCTCTGTGACATACTGAGTAGCTTTGTTACATAGATGGGAGATGGCACCAGTGACTTCGACCCTATCGGAGACATTGGGATTCGTCAATCTAATTACTCATGTGGAGGGTGCCCAAGGATACCTTATGTTTGGAGAGTCACTGGAAGGGCTCACGGGACCCAGACTATAGTTGTATTCATGGCTAAGGTTTATTACGGCAATGTAATGAGGAGGGAGAAAGACTCAGGTGGAGCCTGGGGAAATCCATGGGCAGGCATCCTACTGCCCCCTCCCTCCACGAGGAATTGCACAGTGCACTCTTCCTTCAGCAATGAAAATATATTTCCCCAGCAGTAAGCATTCAATGTTTCTGCTTATTAGAGGGAAACCCATTAGAGTCTCAACATCCAAAGTTTTACTAGGGTCTAGTCACATAAGGCACCCTCTGCCTAGCGTGTACCAAAATTCCAGACCCCCCAAAGGAAGGCAGGTGTTCAGCATAAACCACACTGTTTGTATAGTCTAGGCAGAATGGGCCACCCTTGTCAGTTAGGGAATGGTGGGGACACGCTTCAAATCCAAGTTCCCAGACACCAGCCCAAGGCCAACATCGCAATCAGGCTTGCTATGTTAACTCTTCTGTACATCAGTAAAACCTCTAGCAATAGTGAAGTCATTAAGAGAAATTTCGTCCTGGAAATTTTCCACCAGAATTTCTAATGTTGTATGGTGTATGCACAGAAGTTAGGATTAAATATGTTAAAGCTTGGCAGCTCTTCTAACTGGTCTATATTCAAGAAATATATTCAAGGCAGGGCAAAAGAAAAAGAATATAGCCAATTGCAAATGAGGAGGTAATTGGTTCTTTGACCATTTGTCCCTGAAGCACAGCTGCAGATTAACACTTCCTTGTGGGTCGTTCTCATCTCAGGAGGACAGCTGATGTACATAGACACACAGGGAGGTGGGCACTGAGGGTGGGCTGTAAACCTGGCACAACCTAGCTATGATATCCACTGTGACATCTAACCTGCTAGTAGAATCATGCCAAGGAATGGAAGTAATGCAAGCTGACAGAGGTTTGGGCCCAGGAATTTCCTCCCACAGTAGAGGAATGTGGTAGAGACATACGTAGTCACAGAACCAGAGCTGTGGACCAAAAGAAGGTTCGAAGATGAATATTTCTGGCAGAAAGCTAACAGTAACTATTTTGAATTTACCAGGCACCTCCCTAAGGAAAATTGCTTTCAGAAAACACTGGAGCAAGAGAATACATGGAAGATAGTTTATACTCCTGCATCCTCCAACCTAGAATTCTAAAAGAAAAAAAAAGAGTACCTAAAAAAAGAAAGAAGCTGAGGACCTAGGACAAATTGAACAGAGCAATGCAGCCTGGGCTGCAAATAGCCGGATACTAAAACTAGGATTTTTGCAGAGCTATCTCGGGGGTAGAAGAACCTGAACTACAGGTTAAATGTGCCAGGTGATGTTCCGGAATAGAAAGTCAAGGAGAATGAGAGTCAGATTATGCAGTGTTTGGGGTGAGACTGTATGAAATGAGTGCCAGAAGCTATAACACTTGTGTGCTTAAATGCCAATTTTGGAGTAAGATTTTGTCAGGGTAGAATCTGCTGTGGAAGCATGAGCTGAGCTTCCCACCTTTCCCATCCAACAATGAATTAATCCAGTGAGACACTACCTTTTCTCCATCAATCTGTATCCTTGATCCTGAATATGAGGACAATGGTAAAATTGCACAATGTGAGTTACAATTCTCTTGTGCTCTTTGGATGATGTTTTTCTTTTTATTTATTTATTTATTTATTTATTTATTTTATTGATCATTCTTGGGTGTTTCTCGGAGAGGGGGATTTGGCAGGGTCATAGGACAATAGTGGAGGGAAGGTCAGCAGATAAACAAGTGAACAAAGGTCTCTGGTTTTCCTAGGCAGAGGACCCTGCGGCCTTCCGCAGTGTTTGTGTCTCTGGGTACTTGAGACTAGGGAGTGGTGATGACTCTTAACGAGCATGCTGCCTTCAAGCATCTGTTTAACAAAGCACATCTTGCACCGCCCTTAATCCATTTAACCCTGAGTGGACACAGCACATGTTTCAGAGAGCACATGGTTGGGGGTAAGGTCATAGATCAACAGCATCCCAAGGCAGAAGAATTTTTCTTAGTACAGAACAAAGTGAAGTCTCCCATGTCTACTTCTTTCTACACAGACACAGCAACAATCTGATTTCTCTATCTTTTCCCCACCTTTCCCCCTTTTCTATTCCGCAAAACCGCCATCGTCATCATGGCCCGTTCTCAATGAGCTGTTGGGTACACCTCCCAGACAGGGTGGTGGCCGGGCAGAGGGGCTCCTCACTTCCCAGAAGGGGCAGCCGGGCAGAGGCGCCCCCCACCTCCCGGACGGGTCAGCTGGCCAGGTGGGGGCTGACCCCCCACCTCCCTCCCGGGCGGGGTGGCTGCCGGGCGGAGACGCTCCTGGCTTCCCAGACGGGGTGGCAGCCGGGCGGAGGGGCTCCTCACTTCTCAGACGGGGCGGCTGCCGGGCGGAGGGGCTTCTCACATCCCAGACGGGGTCGAGGCCGGGCAGAGGCGCTCCCCACATCTCAGACGATGGGCGGCCGGGCAGAGACGCTCCTCACTTCCTAGATAGGATGGCGGCCGGGAAGAGGCGCTCCTCACTTCCCAGACTGGGCAGCCGGGCAGAGGGGCTCCTCGCATCCCAGACGATGGGCGGCCAGGCAGAGACGCTCCTCACTTCCCAGACGGGGTGGCGGCCGGGCAGAGGCTGCAATCTCGGCACTTTGGGAGGCCAAGGCAGGCGGCTGGGAGGTGGAGGTTGTAGGGAGCCGAGATCATGCCACTGCACTCCAGCCTGGGCAACATTGAGCACTGAGTGAACGAGACTCTGTCTGCAATCCCGGCACCTCGGGGGGCTGAGGCTGGCGGATCACTCGCGGTTAGGAGCTGGAGACCAGCGCGGTTAGGAGCTGGAGACCAGCCCGGCCAACACAGCGAAACCCCGTCTCCACCAAAAAAATACGAAAACCAGTCAGGCGTGGAGGCGCGCGCCTGCAATCGCAGGCACTCGGCAGGCTGAGGCAGGAGAATCAGGCAGGGAGGTTGCAGTGAGCAGAGATGGTGGCAGCACAGTCCAGCTTTGGCTCGGCATCAGAGGGAGACCGTGGGGAGAGGGAGAGGAGAGGGAGGGGGAGGGGGAGGGAGAGGGAGAGGGAGAGGGAGAGGGGATGTTTTCAACTTTAGTTTTTTTTTTGTTTTTTTTTTTGTAGAGTTTCAGAGAGAAAGAGGCGTTTGTATTGATTCAAGAGGATTGAATCAGATGGATTTTCCATTTAGAAAGCAAAAGGTAAGAAAAAAAATAGAAACAATACCTTTGTGCCAAGAGAAGAGCAAATGGGAAAGTTAGATATAGAATTGTTATCAGTATGTCTTCTTTTTCAGTACAAAATACCTTGAAAACTTAGTTAATCTTGTACATTCAACAGACTATGTTCTGGAATGTTCTATTCACATGTTTCAGGAAGACTAACCTTTCTCTTTCTATTCTGTAGAAAATCAAGACTTCAGCATTGTGTTTAAAATGATGAAGGCAGCCGGGGGCGGTGGCTCATACCTGTAATCCCAGCACTTTGGGAGGCTGAGGTGGGCGAATCACGAGGTCAAGAGATCGAGACTATCCTGGCCAACATGGTGAAACCCCGTTTCTACTAAAAATACAAAAATTAGCTGGGCATGGTGGCATGCACCTGTAGTCCCAGCTACTTGGGAGGCTGAGGCAGGAGAATCGCTTGAACCCAGGAGGTGGAGGTTGCAGTGAGCTGAGATCGTGCCACTGCACTCCAGTCTGGCAACAGAGCGAGACTGTGTCTCAAAAAAAAAAAAAAAAGATTAAGCCATCAACACGATTTTATTTTATTTGCATAGCCTTCAAATAGGAAAGTCTAGGTTCATAATTAGATACCTTTTCCTGTCTGGCAAGAGACCTTGTACAGTTTATATACTGGTGAACTAAATTATACAAAACCTGAGAAGCCATGGTCAGAGATGATTGCGCACGCGTGCGCACACACACACACACACACACACACAGAGTTGTTGTTTTGAGATAGAGTCTTGCTCTGTTGCCCTGGCTGGAGTGCAATGGGGTGACTTTGGCTCACTGCAACCTCAACCTCCTGGCTCAAGTGATCCTCCCACCTCAGCCTCCGAGTAGCTGAGGTTACAGGTACGTGCCACCACACCCAGCTAATTTTTTTGTATTTTTTGTAGAGATGGGTTTTCGTCATGTTGCTCAGGCTGGTCTTGAATTTCTAGGCTCAAGTGATCCACCATTGAGTGCTGGCCATGTATGCAGTAGCATCAGTACTTGTAGTAGCAGCAACAGTGATCCTAATAGGGGTATGGGTGGCATCACTAAGTTTCTTGGTTAATGCAGCCACAGAAAACATACCAGAGTATAGAGGAGCAGATGCTGGGTACCCAAGACAACCTAGTGATACAACACAAAGCTTTACTGGCAGCTGCAGGCCTCATGGAGCAGACTGGGACAGTTAGAAGCATGCTTTTTTTTTTTTTTTTTTTTTTTTTTTTTTGAGACGGAGTCTCGCTCAGTCGTCTGGGCTGGAGTACAGTGGCGCGATATTGGCTCACTGCAACCTCTGCCTCCCAGGTTCAAACGATTCTCCAGCCTCAGCCTCCCAAGTAGCTGGGATTACAGGCATGAGCCACCACACCTGGCTAATTTTTGTATTTTTAGTAGAGACAGGGTTTCACCATGTTGGCCAGGCTGGTCTCGAACTTCTGACCTCAGGTGATCCACCTGCCTCGGCCTCCCAAAGTGCTGGGATTACAGGCGTGAGCCACTGCGCCCAGCCATAGAAGAATGCTTTTATTGTTATTATGTTGACCTCATTTGCAACTCTAGATTGGTGTGGCCTGGTAACACATATATAGTGCCAGAATAAACATCTTTGTGCATACATCCTTTTCCATATTTTGAATTCTTTCCTTAAGACAGAAAAGTATTGAGTCAAAGGGTATAAATACTTTCTGGGAGTTGAAACAATACCTGGGCTCTTCTAGTCTATGTATTACAGTCACCAAATTGCTTTACAAAAAGTTGTCTCAATTAGGAATTTATGCAGCCCTGAGAAAAGTGTCAGCTGTCCTCTTCGATCGGTCTTGCTAAAATTGGCTATTGCAAGTTTTAGAATCATTGCTAATTTTGTCAGGAAAATGATAATTTGTGGTTAATGTTTGCATTCCTGTGATTACTCATCAAATTAAGTCTTTCCATTTATCCTGACTGGTTTGATTTCCTTTTCTGAGAATGTCCATTCAAGATCATTACTATTTAAAATGACTTTGTTTTGTTTTGTTTTGTTGTAAAGAGTCTTGCTCTGTCACCCAGGTTGGAGCGCAGTGGCGTGATCTCGGCTTACTGCAACCTCTGCCTCCCGGGTTCAAGTGATTCTCCTGCCTCAACCTCCCTACTAGCTGGGATTACAGGTGCCTGCCACCATGCCCAGCTAATTTTTGTATTTTTAGTAGAGATGGGGTTTCACCATGTTGGCCAGGCTGGTCTGGAACTCCTGACCTCAAGTGATCCGCCCACTTCGGCCTCCCAAAGTGCTGGGATTATAGGCGTGACTCACTGCACCTGGCCTAAAATGATTTTAATTATACCTTTTAATTTTTAAAATAAAGTATATAAATATTTATGTAAAATATACTAATTCTTTGTCAAATTTACTATATCTATTCCCAAATTTGTCATTTTTTCTTGAATATTATGAGTTTTAATGCATACCCTTAAATTTCATGTAAACAACTTCATGAAAAATTTCCATCTTTTTTTTTTTTATTTTTTTTGAGACGGAGTCTTGCTCTGTTGCCCAGGCTGGAGTGCAGTGGCGCGATCTTGGCTCACTGCAAGCTCCACCTCCCAGGTTCAAGTGATTCTCCTGCCTCAGCCTCCCGAGTAGCTGGGACTACAGGCGCTCACCACCACACCTGGCTAATTTTTTGTATTTTTGGCAAAGACAGGGTTTCGCTGTATTGCCCAGGATGGTGTCAAATTCCTGAGCTCAGGCAATCTGCCTGCCTCAGCCTTCCAAAGTGCTGGGATTACAGGTGTGAGCCACCACGCCCAGCTCATTTCTTAATTTAAAAAGCCTTCTCTGCATCAACAATTTTGTTGAGTATTCACATCTCACATCTTTATTCTTCTAGTTTGTGCTTCATTTTGTTTCAGTGGGACACAGTGGTGCGAAGCTGGAACTCTGAGCCAGGCAGACCTGCCTGGGGATTATGCTAATTAGCAGATGGATATCTCCTTGAGCTTCCTATATAAAACTTTATCATAGAGAATATTTCTGAAATGCCTGTTTACCCAACTTCACAGATTATTTAGACAAAAAGTGAATAGGTGTACACTGGAGATCTTCATCTGCAAATGTTTTTCCTCCCTGACAGAACCAACTGCCAGGTTTTAAAAAGTAGGTTTAGCTTGCTCAAAAGTCCCCTTTGAGGATCACGTGAGCCCAGGGGTTTGAGACCAGCCTGGGCAAGATAATGAGACCCTAGTTCTACAAAAAACATACAAAAATTAGCCAGAGATGATGACATGAGCCCGTAGTTCCAGCTACTCAGGAGGCTGAAGTGGGAGAGTTGCTTGAGCCTGGGAGGTTGAGGCTGCAGTAAGCCATGATCCTGCCTCTGCACTTCAGCCTGGACAATAAAGGGAGATCCTGTCTCAAAAAAAAAAAAAAATCCCTTTCACATCCATCCTTATAGGAAGTATGCCAGAGGAACAGGTATTGGAGCTTTTTTTAGTTTTCCCCATTTGTCTATGCAACCAATCATACAGATTTATTTTCCTTTCTTGGGTTCTTGGTTTTAAAAAGGTGCTTCATTCATGAATTCTGAGGATAGCTAGGGAAAATTTAAACCATTATAAACTGGGGAATTTAGCTTTTAGACATCTCCAACAGGCTGTGCAGAAGTGGGTAGCATCCTCTGGTGGACAGTTTTGGAACCGGTATGGTCTCTGATGGGTGCACTGGAACCAGTTGGGGAGATACAGATCCAGGGTGAATCCTCTCCAAAATCTCTCCTCAGCATTTTTCTGTGGCTCTCTGATGGTCAGCAAGTAAACGGCTGCTTTGTATCCCTGATGACCTAGCAGGTCCAGTATTAAACCCACTATGAGTGGTTTGTGTGAGCCATGTGAGTTTTCTGCTTGCCCCAAATAAGAATGCCAGAGGAATGGGAGAATTGTAAAATGAGTTTCTCCACAAAAGTGACTGAGTGGGCTGAACAGTAAAGGGCAGTGGATGTGGAAAACAAAAAAAGGGAGTGAATACAGGCAGAATCCACCCATCCTCTGACTCCCTGCCATTCTTCAAGTGGACAGATTTTAGGAGAGGTAAGGAAGAAACAGATATTAATTGCCTTAAGTAATTAATTAATTTTATTTTTAAATTTTTTGTAGAGGCAGGGTTTTGCCATGTTGCCCAGGCTGGTCTCGAACTCCCGGACAGGCTCAAGCCATCCACCCGCCTTGGCCCTCCCAAAGTGCTGGGATTACAAGCATGTGCCACCACACCTGGCTCAGATATTAACTCTCAACAACAACAAAAATATAGACATACACCAAGAAGGCAGAAGAGAAACTATAGTCATACAAGCCTGACAAAATTAGAGATGGAGTTGGCAATGAAATTGGTGGCATTCCAATGCCATGAACCGTGACTCACACTAGTGGGTTGCGACACTGGTAGTCCACTTGCAGTGAGAAGGACAGATTTGTAAATGTCATCAAAGGAAGTTCAAAGGCAATGCTGGTTTTGAATTAGCTTTTTAAACTGTAATATTATTTTTTAAATGTATATGCATTAAGTACATATGCATTGAAGCATTTCTTTCTCCACTTTGAAAGGAAGGTGTATTCATCTGTTCTCATGCTGCTATAAGGACATACCCGAGACTGGGTAATTTATAAAGGAAAGAGGTTTAATTGACTCACAGTTCCACATGGCTGGGGAGGCCACAGGAAACTTACAATCATGGCTGAAGGGGAAGGGAACACATCCCTCTTCACATGGCGACAGGAGAAAGAAGTGCCGAACAAAGGGGAAAAAGCCCATTGTAAAACCATCAGATCTTGTGAGAACTCACTCACTATCATTAGAACAGCATGGGGCTAACAGCCCCCATGATTCAATTACCTCCCACCAGGTCCCTCCCACTGGGTCTCTCCCATGACACGTGGGGATTATGGGAACTACAATTCAAGATGAGATTTGGCTGGGGACACAGCCAAACCGTATCAGAAGGATTTTAATTTTGAGACTTCCTGTGATGTGCGTGAATTCCCTACAATTTGCAAATGTGCCTATTCATCAAGACTTCTATTTTGGAATAAGTATGGGTACTCTGTCTTTGACAAGTTATCATCAAAGGAAACAATGAAAATTAAGTTTATGGAAGTCACAAGTCCATGTTGATACAAGAAAATGTTAATTGTCTTCCATATAAATTTCCAAAGCTGTTTATCAAAACTTAGAATGCTGTACAGACCAATCCCAATTACAAGAATCTTAAATATAGTTGTGATCAAGTTGCTAATCATAACCTGTTGCAAACCCACAAGTCCACTGATTCACTGAAGTAATTTAGCTAAAAGTTATCTGTGAAGACACTACTGTTTGCTGTGCTTCTTAGTTCTCCTTTTACATACCTTATATGAAGAAATTCAATGGCTGGGTGTAGTGGCTCACACCTGTAATCCCAGCACTTTGGGATGCTGGGGTGGGAGGATTGCTTGAGGCCAGGAGTTTGAGACCAGCTGGGGCAACATAGCAAGATCCTGTCTCCACAAAAATAATTTTTTTTTTTTTTTGAGACAGGGTCTCACTCTGTTACCCAGGCTGGAGTGCAGTGGTGCAATCACGGCTCACTGAAGCCTCAACCTCCCGGGCTCAAGCGATCCTCCCACCTCAGCCTTCTGAGTAGCTAGGACTGCAGGTGCACTCCATTATACCCGGCTAATTTTTGTATTTTTTGTAGAGACAGAGTTTTGCCATGTTTCCTAGGCTGGTCTCAAACTCCCGGGCTCAAGCAATCCACCCAGCTTGGCCTTCCAAAGTGTTGGGATTCCGAGCGCCTGGCCCAAAAAATTTTTTTAAAAAGAAATTCAAGGTGCGGATAGATAATTAAGGAATGGAATGTAGAGGCTATATCTCGAAATCCATCTGTGATCATCTAATCTTGACCTTTGGGCTAAAGAAATATAATCAAAAGCTAGATTTCAGGTAATAGGGGTTTTTTTTTTTTTTTTTTGGCTTAAGATGTTATTACTCAAATAATTATACTGGTCAAAACAACCTCCCCAGAAGATTGTTCTGACTGATTGAACATGTCCATCTAAGCAATTGGACCAGAGATAGTAAAGAACCCTCAAACCTCAGCGTTTGCCTGGGTTGTAGTATGAAATGAACTAATGAATGATAAGCCTCCTGATTCTTCTATTCAGCCTTGGGAAAGAAAGCCAGAAAGAAGATAGTTTTGCTCTGTGGGAAGATATTGTGGGGAGAACATTATAAATGATATAGCCCTGCAGCTGCAGTTAGAGGTACATCCAGACTAAACCCTGACTTCCCTCAGACTGCAAAGGTGGAGATTCATGTAGTAAGTAGTCCAGGAAGAACCATGAACAGCAAGTTCATCATAAGCCACATTCACTTAGACATTCAACAAATGTTTATTAAGCACCTACTATATACCAGATGCTGAATACATAGTAGTGGACAAAATATATTCCATTTTATAGTTGGTTATTGCCAATAGAGATCAATGCTATTAACTTTTCTGGGTTGAATTTGTGTGTTAATCTTGCTAAACTCTAATTCTAATAGCTTGATTGTTGATTCTGTTAGTTTTTCTAGATGCTCATATTATTTGTAAATATCAGCAGTTTTATCTCTGCCTTTATAATGCTTACACTTTTTTCTTTTCCTCATAATGCAGACAAGAACCTCCAGTATCATATTAAACAGCAACAAGGGTATTCCAATGGCTTGTCTTTTTCCTGATCTTAAAGTATAGTTTGCTATAAGTCTAACTTTGCTGTAGATTTTTTATATATAAACTTTTCAAGGTAAGAAAAATGTCCAGCATTCCTACTTTGTAATTTTAAAAATCATAGTCATTAAACATTATAAAACATTTTTTCTGTATCACCTGTGGGAGCATGTGGTTTTTTCTTTAAATTTATTAATTATGAATCCATTGATAAATTTTCTGATTGTAAAACATCTTTACATTCCTGCAAAGACTTTTACTGGATCAAGATGTAGGACTTTTTAAAGACATTGTTGTTGGATTCAAATAGCTGTTATTTTCTTGTATTGCCCTTATCTGATTTTGGAATCAATATGACAATAGCCAATAATAAAATGAATGGGTTGATTTTGAAAATCTTCTATTTTCTATAGCAACTTGTCTTGTTTTGTTTTGTTTTTTCAGGAGAGACAGTCCTGAATGGCTTTTAAGTTTCTTTAATATTAATACAAGCATGAATTTTGATATTTTATATTTTTTAGGAACTTTTGCATTTCATCCAAATTTTCCAATTTCCTGTCCATATGATGACTATGTCAATATTTTATTTCAGATTCTGGTTCATAGGGTTTCCTATGGTGAGAGAGATGAAGTGAGATCTGGTTCAGGCAGCACTTTTCAAGCATGGTGTTCATTTTTTTGAGTAGGATGATTCTATAAAGGATGTGTCCTTCCATGATTAGTCTGACATCTGATCTTGGCCTGGATGAGGCCTTTTGTGATTCTTCCTGGCTCCCCTGTAGTCTGCCTTATCTTCCTTCAGGCTGGGCATGCTCCTTTATGGTGCTGGCCATGGTTAGCTACTAAAAGGGAGAAAAGAGAACCTTAAAGGAGTATGGAGCAAAAGATGCAGTAACTGCATGCTTAGTAGATACAGGATTTCTATTTGGAGTGATGAAAATTTCTGGAACTAGACAGTGGTGGTGATTGTACAACACTGTGAATGTACTTAATGCTACTGAATTGTATGCTTTAAAATAGTTAAAATGGTAAATGTGATGTTATATTAATTCACGATATAAAATTTTTTAAAAAATAAATAATGAGGCCAGGTGCAGTGGCTCACACCTGTAATCCTAGTACTTTTGGGAGGCCTAGACGGGCGGATCACCTGAGGTCAGGAGTTTGAGACCAGCCTGGCCAATATGGTGAAACCCTGTCTCTACTAAAAATACAAAAATTAGCCAGGCATGGTGGCAGGCGCCTGTAATCCCAGTAACTCGGCAGGCTGAGGCAGGAGAATCGCTTGAACCGGGAGGCGGAGGTTGCAGTGAGCCAAGATCGTGCCATTGCACTCCAGCCTGGGTGACAAAAGCAAAACATCATCTCAAAAAAATTAAATAAATAAAGAATGCAGAGAGCAGCTAATTACTCCTAAAGTGGAGGGAAAAGTAAACAAATATGGAACTTAGAACTCAGAGAAAGCTCTTCCCTGATCTGAGATTTTTAAAAATTGTGATAAAATACACATAACATAGAATATACTGTTTTAACCATTTTAAAATATACATTTTAAAGGATATCCAGTACCTGTCAAGCATGCATTTACTACTTCTTTTGCTCTGAGGGGAGAGTATGGTTGCCCTAGGAGCATGCTGCCTGCTTTCGTGGGGAAGAAACTGGCCTCTGTTGAGAGCTAACAGCTGCCACCAACCTGGTGACAAAGTAACTGACTCAAGCTGCATTAGTGTCCTAGGGCTGTTGTAACAAACAAAGTACCACACACTAGATGGCTTAAAGCAGCTAGAAATTTATTTTCTCACAGTTCTGGGGGTGGGAAGTCTAAAATCAAGGTATTAGCAGGGTTGGATCCTTCTGGGGCCTCTGAGGGAGGAGGGGTTCCACGCCTCTCCCCAGGCTCCTGGTGGTTGCCAGCAATCCTTGGCATTCTCCGGTTTGTGGTAGCATAACCCCAGCCTCTGCCTCTGTCTTCTGTGGTCATCTTCTCTTGTGCCTCTGTTTTCTCTTCTTTTGATGACATGAGGCCGGGCGGTGGCTCACGCCTGTAAACCCAGCACTTTGGGAGGCCGAGGCAGGCGAATCACCTGAGGTCAGGAGTTTGAGACCAGCCTGGCCAACATGGTAAAACCCCGTCTCCACTGAAAATACAAACATTAGCTGGTGTGGTGGTGCATGCCTGTAATCCCAATTAGTCAGGAGCCTGAGGCAGAATGATCACTTGAACCCAGGAGGCAGAGGTTGCACTGAGCAGAGATTGCACCACTGCACTCCGGCCTGGGCAACACAGCAAGACTTGTCTAAAAAAAAAAAAAAAAAAGACACCGTCATTGGATTAGGGTCCACCCTAAGCCAGAGTGACTTCACTAATTTACATTTACAAAGACCCTATTTCCAAATAAGGTCATATTCACAGGCACCAGGATTTAGGACTTGAACATATATTTTTGGGGGGACATAATTCAACCCACAACAAGAGCCATCCCCAATGTGGCAGCAAATAAACTGGTGCTGAACAGGGAAACCTGCACATCGATCTGTTTGCTTTGAGAAGAAAATATCCCTTTCTTTTTCCACGTTTGTAGTGTCCTTCAAGTACCCTCTACTGGCAGAGTTTAACATCCAGCCAGCTGGCAAAGGGGAATGGACTTTGCATCGTTCCCTGGGGCAAGGAAGGATGGGTTCAAAGCTCAGAGGCAATAAATTAATAACTGCCATATCAGGGGACCAAAGTTCTCTCTGCTTTGAAGTGAGCTTCAGCTAGCCTCATTCGATCTTCTTCATTTTATTTTATTGTGGTCACAACACTTAACATGAGATCTACCCTCCGAACACATTTATTTTTTTTCTTTTCTATGGCTGAAATAGAACTCGTTGTTGTTGTTTGAGACAGTGTTTTGCTCTGTCGCGGAGGCTGGAGTTCCCTGGTGCAAACTTAGCTCACTGCAACCTCCACCTCTCGGGTTCAAGTGATTCTCCCACCTCAGCCTTTCGGATAGCTGGGATTACAGGCGCCCACCACCACGCCCAGCTAATTTTTGTATTTTTAGTGGAGATGGGGTTTCACCATGTTGGCCAGGCTGGTCTCGAACTCCTGACCTCAAGTGATCTGCCTGCCTCGGCCTCCCAAAGTGCTGGGAGTTGTTTTGAGACCAGGTCTCACTTTGTCACCCAAGCTGGAGTGCAGTGGCCTAATCATATCTCTGCAGCTTCAAACTCCCAGGATTAAGCAATCCTCCCACCTCGGCCTCCCAAGCAGTTGGGACTACAGGTGCAAGCCAGTGCACCCAGTAAATTTTAAAATTTATTGTAGAAGCCGGGCGCGGTGGCTCATGCCTGTAATCCCAGCAGGCACATCCATTCAAACCATAGCACTCAGGGGTTTGAACTCTAATCTAATCTGAGGGGAAAGTTGAGTAAAAGTTACATCGCCAAATTTGCAATATGGGAAATTTCCTCTATCTGAAGGCAGCGTGGGAACTTCTTCAATTTGGGAAGAAGAGCCCTGAACAAGTAGCAGTGAGCATCTATAAGAGGAGCTTGCATGGAGGAAATGGACTGGGTAAGCTGCATATCTGAAAGGCCTCACGGGAGGCAAGGGTCAATGAGAATCCTCAAAGGTTTCAAATTTGGAAACGACATGATCCAATGTGGAGATGGTTGGCATCTACAACACAACATGTTTCAAGCAAATGCCCCATTCTACTCCATAAGTCTACTTTACTTCTGTGTTCCCTGTTTCCAGAGTGGTACCTGGTTGCCCAAACTGGGAACCTGGGCATTATCATGACTCACTCATCTCCTTCACTCTTCCAGAGCCAACGACTAAATACTGTCCATTTTGCTGCATAAATATATTTTAACTTTTTTCTATTTCTTTTCCTTTCCCAGAGCCACTACCTAGAAATAGACCTGTAGCATCTGTTACTTGGACTTTTTTTTTTTTTTTTCCTTTGAGACAGAGTCTTGCTCTGTCGCCCAGGCTGGAGTGCAATGGTGTGATCTCGGCTCACTGCAACCTCTGCCTCCTGGGTTCAAGCAATTCTCCCAGGCTCAGCCTCCTGAGTAGCTGGGATTACAGGTGCCTGCCACCATGCCTGGCTAATTTTTGTGTTTTTAGTAGAGATGGGGTTTCACCATGTTGGCTAGGCTGGTCTTGAACTCCTGACCTCAGATGATCCACCCACTTCGGCCTCCCAAAGTGCTGGGATTACAGGCTACTTGGACTCATAACTGTCTCCTAATGGTCTTCCTGATACATCCCAACTCATTTTCCCAGGCAGAGTAATGGTTCTGAAATGTCAATCCGAAGGTGTCACTTTTTGCTCAAAGACCCCATATTGGCCTTTCCATTGCTCTTAAGATAAGGAACAACTTCTTTGACATGGGATAAAATGACCCTTTGCAACTTGGCTTTCTCCAGTTTCATCTCCTACACTCCTTACCTCTACTCCTAGTCATATAGGTTGTCTTTCATTTTTTGAAAAGCTTTATTATTATTTTTTTCTTGCCCATGGCTCGTTTCTCTTCTTGGTACTTATTTCACACTCCCTTGTCCCCAAACTCCTCTCTAATTCACATCCTTCAAGCCATTCTCTATTCGTCCTCCAAAGTCAGTTTAGCTGTCAGCTCCTACTGGAATTGATGCTTGTAATTGATCCCGATCCTAATAATTTCAGGAGACCCTCCCATGTGTTTCCATTCATTTTATCTTTCTCATTATATATATATATAAGCATATATATAAGCCATATATAAGCATATATAAACATATATGAGATACAAATGTAAATAAGCATATATGATACACAAAATTGTTATTATATATATAACTTTTGTATCTCATTACATATACATGTATCTCTCTCATTACATATATAACTGTATATGTTGCTATATAGTCCCATGCAATATTTAGTGGGCTGAGGTGAAAAATAGACACATATATGTTATATATGTAATGACAGAGACATATATGTGTAATGAGATTATATATATTATATATGTAATGAGGGAGATATATGTAATGAGAGATATATATTTATTCAATGAGAAATACAAAATTATAATGTATATTCATTATGTATTATAAGTATATAATGCTATGTATCAGTATTTGATTTCACTTTATTAAAAGAGTTGATTATATCTGAACGTTTATTTATTTGTTACTGACTGTCATCCTCCATCAGAATATATGCTCTCTGAAGTTGAGCTTCTTGTTTACTTTGCTCACCACTGTATCCCCAGTGCCTAAGTAACAGTGCCCGGCTCAGAGTAGAGACTCAATAAACATTTACCAGATGAATGATAGAAACAGATTTTTTGAGGCAAAGTTTTTCATGTTGCCATATAGTCCCATGCAATATTTTGGACATACTTATACTAAAAAATTATTATCTGAAATTCAAATGTAGGCCGGGCACGGTGGCTCACGCCTGTAATCCTAGCATTTTGGAAGGATCGCTTGATCCTTCCAGCAGGTTGTCCCGGGAACGCGCAGCCCAAGGTGGACGCACAGACCCGCGTACAGAGATTTTTTATTGTCATGACTGGGGGTGGTGGCACTACTGGCATTTAGTGTGGAGAGGCCAGATATGCTGCTAAACATCTTACAATGCAAAGGGCAGCCCCTCAAAGGCAAAGAATTATCTGGTCTAAAATGTCAATAGCGTGGAGGCTGAGAAAAACTGAACTAGATGGCTATGAACTTTCAGGGTCCCTACCTAGTACACAGGCAGCGCCTAGAATTGCTAAGTTCATCTTCCGTTTGGAAAGGCAGCATGGGGTTAGTGAGAGGAAGGCGCCCGGGGCTGGTGGCTGGCTTTAAAGGCCTACGTGCAAATCTTCTTGACGCTGATAACGGGATGCGAGAGAGCCAGGTAGGTTACCTATTGCAGCAGGTCAAGTGATGATGTCGAAAAGGATGCGTGTGCCGGACACTGTGGAAGGTAAAGCGCTCCGCACAGCCCGCCTAAGTGCGCCCGGGACAGAGCCATCCCCCAGGTGCTACCAAACAAATCCTCCAGCTGCTGGTACGGGGAAGGTGTTCAGTGACACACCGGAAGCAGCCTAGTGGCTGAGGCGTCCTTCTCCCTACCAACGGGTTGCGAAGGAAGTAGTTGCTGTAGCCGCGCCCTGTGCGCCTGCGCGGAGGCGTCGGCTGCTGACGTGTAGCTGGGGCCAGACGGGACTAGCCGGGCGCGCGGCTGAGTGCTGCAGAATCGCTGGGGTGGCAGAGCCGCCAGCGAGGCTGGGGATGGGGGCGCCGCTGCTCTCTCCCGGCTGGGGAGCCGGGGCTGCCGGCCGGCGCTGGTGGATGCTGCTGGCGCCCCTGCTGCCGGCGCTGCTGCTGGTGCGGCCCGCGGGGGCCCTGGTGGAGGGGCTCTACTGCGGCACGCGGGACTGCTACGAGGTGCTGGGCGTGAGCCGCTCGGCGGGCAAGGCGGAGATCGCGCGGGCCTACCGCCAGCTGGCCCGGCGCTACCACCCTGACCGCTACCGGCCCCAGCCCGGAGACGAGGGCCCCGGGCGGACGCCGCAGAGCGCCGAGGAGGCTTTCCTGCTGGTGGCAACCGCCTACGAGACACTCAAGGTGAGGCCTGCGGGCGTGGAGGGGCTTCGAAGACTGGCCGCGGGAAGCCCACGGCGCCTTCCGACCCCGGTCCGCGGAGCGTGGGCCTCTGTGACCCCGAAACTGAGCACAGCCACCACCGCGACCTTTAAGATACTCACGTTTCCCACGTGGCCCTGTGAAAGAGCCGAGTCGGCCCCACGGGGCCTTGGGGGGCACAGCTAGCCTCCTTGCCCTCTTCCTTTTTGTGACATTGTTATGCAAAACTTTGGCCATCTTACGATTTCGTGAAAATATTTTAATAACGTGCATTTCACATTCGAAAAGCAGGGTGATCATTATTAGTAGGATCTGGGGTAGCCCACAACAGGGAAAGTCTCGAATATCAAGTGACAACTGTGATCGCATCAGTTTGATATGACAGAAAATTGGTTTCTGGAAATAGTGTTAATGGTGACGCTTAGTTTGGGTTTAAGGAACTAAGAAAACACTGAGAAGAACAATGAACACCAGTCAAAAGGCTGGATGTGAGTCTTTGCTGTGACACCCCTGTATGACCTTGGATAGTGACTTATTATGTTGAAATAGCTGTTTCTTCATATGCAAAATTAAGGCCATGATACCTCCTCTCAGAGTTATTATGGGGATTAAATGATAAGTGTGCGAACCGCCCCCCTTTCCATAGGATCCATAAATAGGTGCTTAATGACTTGGGTACAAAACTCTGAGAATTTCTAGTAGGAAATATTTTGTGAATATGTATTTGTATTTCATTTGACAGGTTTTATTGAGTCTTGTGGGGATGAGAGATTTAGCCCGATGCTGTTTTCTTCTACTACTGCAAAAAATCAAACCATCTAGGACATCACGAAGTATAAATCGTACTTGATGGTGGTATTACTGCTTGAAGGGCCCCATCATACTAATGCGTCAGCGATTGTAGTTGTAAAGTATTTCTTTTCTAGCCTTTTTTTTTTTTTCCCGAGGCAAAATTTTCTATGTTGCCAGGTAGCCTGCTTTTAATGATTGTACTTTGAGTGGATATAATTTTACCTTGGATTGTTCCTCCAGATTGTTTTTCCAGAGCTGAAAATAGTCAAGGAGCTAACAACTTTATTGATGCCTTCCAGAGCAGTTTGGATAATTTGGAGTCATAAAATGAGTGGTGGAGGGGCGGGCCCTGAACTAGGTAAACTAGGTGAATTGAACTAGGTAAAATTTAATTTACCTAGTTCATTAAATTCTCACTAGCGTTAGTGAGATTGTAATTTTTATTGGCAGTTAACTGAGGGATGGCTGGGGAACTGGGAAAGTGCTGAGGCCCCAAAGGGCTTTGTTGCCGATTATGTAAAAAGTGATGGAAAAAAGACTCCAGAAAAAATAGGAAAGAACTCTCCATCCAAGGCACTTCAGCATATGAAGCTCCAACCTCTGTTCCTTGTAGTCAGCCAGAAGCCCTGCTGGTGCGTGAGGGAGCCCTGGACCAGTGTGTGAAATCATAATGGGATTTACTAGGGATAGTAAAATTGATAGGATTAGGGATGTTAATCATGTTAATTTGTTTCAGGCGCGAGATGGTAATAAGGTTGTGGTGCTTGAATTTAGGTTGAGTGTCAGGAATGCAGTAGTTGTTAGGATGATATAGATAATTAGGTTAAAGATAGTGATATTTGGATTGTATATCAGTTATCCCATTATGATTTCACACACTGCTTTATAAACTAAGACCATGCAATAGTATTTAGTGTGTTTGACTTTTGGGGATTTAGGGAGTTTATGGACTTTGGAAGTTAAACAAGTGGACGCTTACCCTCTGTGTCAACCCATCTTCTGGAAGATGGAGAACTTCCAGAAGAGAGGGCAGCAGAAACACTGCCAGCTGTTGCCTTCTGCTGGGCTTTGTAGGAGTGGAGATGAGTAGTTTTGGCATGAGAATGGTGAGCATGTTGGTAAGAACTTTGAAAACAAGTGCCATGATTAGAGGGTAGAAATAGTGATGGTAGAGATTCCTGCTGGGAGGGCCACCAGGAGAGACTGATCAGTGCCCCCATCCCGGAACTGATCTGATGAATCTATATGGTTGCCTCTAAAGGTTTCTACCCCTAAAGTTTACCACTCATTGTCAGCTAATGAAAAGCTAGATAAAATAAGTGATCCACTCAAGATCAAGGAACGTTTAGGCAGTTAAAGACCAGTATGTCTGGAGTAGGTAACACTTGTACTCTTGACTCTGACGGGTTTGTGATAGCTACAAATATCTTGGAACAGGGGAGTGGAAGTGGAGTTGTACTGGTGGAGGAGGGAATGAGGGGAGTGTTCTGTAGCTCCCCCAGAACGCCCACTGTCTTACTGTGGAAATTATCTGTGAGACAAAAGGGATGTCTGGAGATATTTTGGACCCTGGAAAATCAGACCCAGCAGAACTCTTTGAAAACTTGCATTTTAAATTTATGGAGATGAACATATATTCATCTTCCAAGTGGAGCACCTCCAAGAACTATTTACCTCATTGAAGATGCTCTCTCTTGGAATAAGGATAAGGACTTTGACTTGCTGTCTGTGGGAGCAATTATTACAGGGTGGTCTGCTTTAACTTCTGTCATAACGGAGAATTGTGAGGAAGTTGCCAAAGAATATGTTTTCTGGGTAATGCAAGGTTTTAATGAACTGAGGTCATCCAATTTGGAGGGCTTCAGCCTTGCACATTATCCGTTGAGGCAATGGAGATGTAATGGCTGTTTGTTTGGATTGTATCCTCCGGCTGTAAAAAGGGTTTGTGAAGGATAAAAGGTCCAGGTGGCGTTTGCTAAGAGCAGGTCAGATAGAATAGTGGGAGAAGCTGAGTTCCAGTGGCTCTGGAATAAAAACGGGATGCAGAAGCCTGTATCTGAATGTTGATAATAAATGCATCACCAAAATGGAAACTATAATTATGTAAAACATCAGTGGATTTATGATTCTGAGGTGGTTTTGGTCAAATAAATGCCCTTTTGAGGGGGTTTTGTTTTTTTTTTTAGGTGGTGGTGGTTAAAAAATAAGTACACTAACATGACTTAAATACAGTTGGTAAGACAAGAAGATATGACATTTGATCATCACTATTTTAGCAAAAAGATTTTACCTGTGCATGGAGAAATGGAGGAAAACCAAAAAAAAAGAAGTGTGGGTAATAATGGAAGGCAAAGGCACTGGCCTCATGCTTTCACCAAGTCATGCTTAGTTCAGATTCCCAAATAAATTACAGTTCCAGATCTCAGCAAAACTTCAAACCATTATGATTTCACACACTGCTTTATAAACTAAGACCATGCAGTTGTATTTAGTGTGTTTGACTTTTGGGGATTTAGGGAGTTTATGGACTTTGGAAGTTAAACAAGTGGACACTTACCCTCTGTGTCAACATTGGATCTCATGAGGTAGAATAATCTGGTCCCACTTACATGTTTTTAAAGTGGCTATAGCACTTATCACACTGCATTTAAGTACTGAGTAGGTCTCTCTTTCCTACTAAACCATGCTCCTCATTTTTTGTGCGTATATCCATAGCACCTAGCACAGTGTCTGGCACATCAGAGCATTAATGTTATAAAAACTCTTATCTGGAGGCATTCAGATAGAATGGAAATGGAAAGTGGATTTCTGGCATTTTGACATTGGTATGTGCAACGCCCTCTGCCATTTCACTCAAATTAATTGCAGTTTTAAAGAGTGGTATAGATAAGTAAATTGGACGGTTATGAGTGAAAAATTCCTGCATGAGAGAAAAATTGCACTTCTACTTTTAATGTTCTGAGGGTTTTTAAGTGAGAATGATAATTTTTGAATGTAGATAAAAATTGGATAATACATGAAATATGAGAAATGGCATAGAAATAAGCAGATGAGAGAACAACTTGAAAGGATGCACTTAGAAAAACTATGATTGGTAAAAAATGCAAAAGCGTAGAATTTGATGGCATTTTGCAGGATCACAAGAAAAGAGCCTAGAAAAGGTCTTGGGAATATTTCTGGCATGAAGGTGAAGGCTATTTGATAAGTTGAAAGGATGTGTAGAGAGGTCATTCTACTCCAGACTTGTCTTGGAAGGGAAGCGTTACAACAACACTTCAGTTTCCTTTTACCAGTCTGATGTGGCAGGGCTTTAGCACTTAGGAAGAATTTAGCAAAAAACGATTCTGAACTCCCTGCCCTGTTACGTTTCTGTTTATTGTTCGTTCCTTATATTCTCTTACTCAACCCCTTCTTTAACTGGGACTGACATAGGGGCTTGGAGGAGACCATAACAAAGGAAAAGACACAGTTTCTGACTTAAAGTTTTTAATAACAAGGGAAACAGATACTTATTGTTCAGTTATTATATAAGTTATATAATACAAGTCTGTGCAGATTATATTGCTGTGCTGAGAGGAAGTGATTATGTCTTCTTGGATTAGAGAAGAATGTACCCTTTGAGTTGATCAGGAACGAAGTCACCAAGGTTGATGGTGAAAGGACATTTCTGGTAGAGGGGAAACTTGATCAACAGAAACATAGAGTCATGAGTGTGCAAGGCTTGTTCCAGGAATGAGATGTAGTTTCATGAGGTATTATAGTAATGAGCATTTTCTCCACCAAGGATCAGTTTTATGGTATTTGTCCCAGGGACTCTGTTTTGGGGAAAAAATGAACTGCATGTATTACTATTCTTTTTCAACATTTCCCAGATTGTATTTAATCAGTCATTCATAGTAATCGAATAATCATAAAAATATTTTATAATTATATAAATTGCTTTCTTTTTTGAGACAGGGTCTCACTGTGTTGCCCAGGCTGGTCTTGAAATCCTATGCTCAAGCAGTCCTCCTGCCTCAGTCTCCCAAATAGCTGCGATTACTGGCACATGCACCGAACCCTAAAATTATATAAATTTCTATTTTAGGTGTGATGCTGATAAACAACCAAATTAAGTTAATTTATAGTCCACAGATGGCATATAGTTTCCATTTCATATGCCAATCCTGATTGGTCATGATTACCTGGAACAAAACTCTTACCTTTTAAGAGTTTTGAGACCTTTTCTGGGTTTAGTGGGAAAGAGTAACATATTTGATAGTAATGTTTCCCATGGCCCTGGAAAAATGATGTGGTAGTGTATGTACCACATTTACTATTTCTGCTGTGAACCCGTAAATGTTAGTTTTTACTGGTTCGTTAATTTCAGTGGTTACTCCCTACTTATGGCCAAGGGTGATTATATACTAGCTGTGTTTGATCCTGGTGCCATGACTGGCTGACATGATGTAATCAACAACCAATCAGAGTTCTTAATCAACCTGAAAACTACTGACTTGATATAATACTAGCCAGAAACTGAGTACTAGACATTTTAATTTAGCTTGTACAGATTTATCGTAGGTAAATGGAACATTTTGAGATATTCACAGGAGTGCAAAGACCCTTACTGTTTTTCATAGACTTTAGGGGATCTGCTATTTCTAGGTTGGGAGCCTGCGAGGTGCCGTGGGAGGGAGAATGTTGCAGGATACTGGAACATAGTTTGGGATCAGATGATGAAGGACCCCTTAAGTTGTGTTCAGGAATCGGAACTTTATGTATTGAATAGTTACCAGAAGTTTTAAAGTGGAGAAATGACACAATCTTACGTTTGTTTTAGGAAGAAAACTCTGGGAGCAATTTTGAGAATGGTTTGGGGAGGGCAAAAAGGTATTCTTGACTGAACTCATTTTACTTACACTGTCTTCTTCTGTCATTCTTCTTCTGGAATCTTCTTCTGTCATTCCTCTTTGGCAACTTGAAAATCTCCTACTTGGTTCATTTCCCACTCCTTTCGCTTCATTTTGCTTCCTTTAAAACTACACTTACATTTTTTCCTTTCTTTGGTGTTCACTGTCTTTACTTTCTCATCTCCCTTTCATTCAAGCTGTCATAGACTGGCGTGTGCAGCAGCACATGTGTTGGAACTGTTCTTGTTGAGGTGAACAGTGACACTCTACTCACCAGATCTGATCAGATTGACTGCTCTTCATTTCTTCCTCCTCCTGGAACTTTGTGTCATGTGATATTGCTGACCATTTCGTTCTTTAAGGTGTTCTTCCCTGACTTCCTTGACGTGATCTTTGTCTGTTTCTCCTGTCCTCGCCATTTCTTTTCAGTCTTTATCGTCTTTTCTACTATCTACCCCTTAAGCATTGCTATTCTGTTGAGTTCTCCTTTGTGTACTCTTTTCTTTTTTATTTTCTAAGCTCTTCCTGATGAAACTCAACTGTATCCTTGACCTAAGCCACTGCTTTTAAGCTGACAGCTCTAAAACCTGCATGTTCTCCAGGCTCATATTTTCAGCTGCCTCTCCTCTGTAGCACAGGTACCCGCAATTAAACATGTCTGAAATCAGTCTTATCTTTGTGAAAGCATAAACTTCAAAAGAAGATATAATTATGACTCTCACAAATACAGAATGAACATGTGTCAGAGATTTTATTTAACATATTAATCAATGAGGGAACCAGTAAGATACTAAAACTAGTTGAAAGAGAAAAAGTGCCAACATTTTTAATCAGATAGGGAATGCTGAAATGCCTGTAAAACTGGAAAATACCTACCAAGCAATAATGTGTTGCATTCCACGGACATAATTTGTCTTTCTGTGAATAGGAGTCATTTGCATTATTTCCAGTTTTCTACAAGTTACTTCTGTCTCTAGAGTTAAAATAGGTTAGTCAAAGACAAAGGTGCACTCCTCTGCAGGAATAGATAATCCTTGAGGATCCAGAAATTGAAAGGATAGCTAGTAATTTTTTTTCTTCCTAGTTCAAAATCTTCCACAAGTTTTCCTTGCATCTTCTCCAAACTTGCTGTTTTTTTTCCTGTATTCATTATCTTAGTGAGTAACATTGTCTACGTAGTAACTCTAATTAAAAACTTTGGTATCATGTTCAACATCTCCTTTGATTCTTGTGTACCCCTTTACTTACCAAGTCCTATTCTTTTTCTTAGCTGCTAAAATCTGTTTCTCCCTCATTCGACTTTTTGCAATACTGCCAGAATTGTCTTTCAGAAATATATACTTCTACATAATGCTATTGTTCTCATACTTGGAAACATTTTTGTTTTTGAATAGCACAGTTGATAACATCCTAACTCTTTGGTGCAGCATACAAGATCCTCAACAGTCCTTATCCAAACTTGCCTTCCTAGCTATATTTACTACTCGTTTCTTCCTAAATTTCCCCAATGCTCAAGCTTCCCTGAATCCATGATATTTTTTGATACTTTTATACCCTTAACACTTGCTGTTTCCTTTGCCTGAAACAAGTTTCATTATACCTTACTTGTTTCCGAGATCCAGCCCCCATTTCCCTTCTGTTGTGAATCCCATTGCTAGTGTTTTTAGACAGTCAGCCCCTTGTTCCTTAGCACACTCAGTTGTGCTTTTCTTGCTTGCTAGATTCTTCTTCTAGATGGAGGGTTCTTGAGGCCACGGACCTGTCTTGTCTTTTATTCTCTTTTTGTGCTCAATACAAGGCCTAATGCCCTGCATCATCATTTTTGAAATGAAAACAACTAAAGTTTTTAAAAGCTCAAGTGACTAAGTAGATGCTGATAGTATTAACTGATACACAGAGGGATAGATTGGTTTTTGAGCATGTTGAGTTTGAGATATTTATGTTGCATTTAGAAAATGTTCAGGACATAGTTGAGAATAGGAGGAGGCAAGAAAAACAGTTACAAGCATTACTAGTATGTAGGTAATATTCCAAATCATGGAAGTTTTTGAGACTATGTGCAGAATGAGAAGAGAAGATAGAGAAGAAGATAAGTTGCACTAGTGACTAGTGGGCAGGAAACAAGAAAAAAATGAAATGGGTAGCAGTTAATTTTCTCCCTCTTTTATAGGATATAATGGCCTGGAAAAAAATTTAGACTAGAGGTTGTTTTTTTTTTTTGAAGGATCATTTCAAAAAAATGTGTGTGTGTGTGTGTATGGGTGTGTGTGTGTGGATTTAAAAAAAAATAGTAAGATTAATATATATTGAGTGAATACAGTAATACATTTTCATATATCATTGATTCCTGACCTTCACCACCCCAAAGATGGTTTTTATACTCTATGTAATAGAAAGTTTTAAATGTAAAACTAGGACACTCAGTGGGAGTCACTTTAAAGGCAAGGAGGAGCTCTCCCTCTCCCTCTCCCTCTCCCTCTCCCTCTCCGTCTCCGTCTCCGTCTCCGTCTCCGTCTCCCCATGGTCTCCCTCTCATGCGGAGCCGAAGCTGGACTGTACTGCTGCCATCTCGGCTCACTGCAACCTCCCTGCCTGATTCTCCTGCCTCAGTCTGCCGAATGCCTGCGATTGCAGGCACGCGCCGCCACGCCTGATTGGTTTTGGTGGAGACGGGGTTTCGCTGTGTTGGCCGGGCCGGTCTCCAGCCCCTAACCGCGAGTGATCCGCCAACCTCGGCCTCCCGAGGTGCCGGGATTGCAGATGGAGTCTCGTTCACTCAGTGCTCAATGGTGCCCAGGCTGGAGTGCAGTGGCGTGATCTCGGCTCACTACAACCTACACCTCCCAGCCGCCTGCCTTGGCCTCCCAAAGTGCCGAGATTGCAGCCTCTGCCCGGCCGCCACCCCGTCTGGGAAGTGAGGAGCGTCTCTGCCTGGCCGCCCATCGTCTGGGATGTGAGGAGCCCCTCTGCCCGGCTGCCCAGTCTGGAAAGTGAGGAGCGTCTCCGCCCGGCCGCCATCCCATCTAGGAAGTGAGGAGCGCCTCTTCCCAGCCGCCATCACATCTAGGAAGTGAGGAGCGTCTCTGCCCGGCCGCCCATCGTCTGAGATGTGGGGAGCGCCTCTGCCCCGCCGCCCCATCTGGGATGTGAGGAGCGCCTCTGCCCGGCCGAGACCCCGTCTGGGAGGTGAGGAGCGTCTCTGCCCGGCCGCCCCGTCTGAGAAGTGAGGAGACCCTCTGCCTGGCAACCACCCCGTCTGAGAAGTGAGGAGCCCCTCCGCCCGGCAGCTGCCCCGTCTGAGAAGTGAGGAGCCTCTCCGCCCAGCAGCCACCCCATCTGGGAAGTGAGGAGCGTCTCCGCCCGGCAGCCACCCCGTCCGGGAGGGAGGTGGGGGGGGCCAGCCCCCCGCCCGGCCAGCCGCCCCATCCGGGAGGGAGGTGGGGGGTCAGCCCCCCCGCCCGGCCAGCCGTGCCGTCCGGCCAGCCGTGCCGTCCGGGAGGGAGGTGGGGGGGTCAGCCCCCCGCCTGGCCAGCCGTGCCGTCCGGGAGGGAGGTGGGGGGGTCAGCCCCGCGCCCGGCCAGCCGCCCCGTCCGGGAGGTGAGGGGCGCCTCTGCCCGGCCGCCCCTACTGGGAAGTGAGGAGCCCCTCAGCCTGGCCAGCCACCCCGTCCGGGAGGGAGATGGGGGGGTCAGCCCCCCCACCCGGCCAGCCGCCCCATCCGGGAGGGAGGTGGGGGGGTCAGCCCCCCGCCTGGCCAGCCGCCCCGTCCGGGAGGGAGGTGGGGGGGTCAGCCCTCCCCCCGGCCAGCCGCCCCGTCTGGGAGGTGAGGGGCGCCTCTGCCCGGCCGCCCCTACTGGGAAGTGAGGAGCCCCTCTGCCCGGCCAGCCGCCCCATCCGGGAGGGAGGTGGGGGGGTCAGCCCCCCGCCCGGCCAGCCGCCCTGTCTGGGAGGGAGGTGGGGGGGTCAGCCCTCCGCCCGGCCAGCCGCCCCGTCTGGGAGGTGAGGGGTGCCTCTGCCCGGCCGCCCCTACTGGGAAGTGAGGAGCCCCTCTGCCCGGCCAGCCGCCCGGTCCGGGAGGGAGGTGGGGGGGTCGGACCCCGCCCGGCCAGCCGCCCCATCCGGGAGGGAGGTGGGGGGGTCGGCCCCCCGCCCGGCCAGCCGCCCCGTCCGGGAGGGAGGTGGGGGGGTCAGCCCCCCGCCCGGCCAGCCGCCCCGTCCGGGAGGGAGGTGGGGGGGGGGTCAGCCCCCCTGCCCGGCCAGCCACCCCGTCCGGGAGGTGAGGGGCGCCTCTGCCCGGCCGCCCCTACTGGGAAGTGAGGAGCCCCTCTGCCCGGCCAGCCGCCCCGTCCGGGAGGGAGGTGGGGGGGGTCAGCCCCCCCGCCCGGCCAGCCGCCCCGTCCGGGAGGTGAGGGGCGCCTCTGCCCGGCCGCCCCTACTGGGAAGTGAGGAGCCCCTCTGCCCAGCCAGCCGCCCCGTCCGGGAGGGAGGTGGGGGGTTCAGCCCCCCGCCCGGCCAGCCGCCCCGTCCGGGAGGGAGGTGGGGGGGGTCAGCCCCCCTGCCCGGCCAGCCGCCCCGTCCGGGAGGTGAGGGGCGCCTCTGCCCGGCCGCCCCTACTGGGAAGTGAGGAGCCCCTCTGCCCGGCCACCACCCCGTCTGGGAGGTGTGCCCAATAGCTCATTGAGAACGGGCCAGGATGACAATGGCGGCTTTGTGGAATAGAAAGGCGGGAAAGGTGGGGAAAAGATTGAGAGATCGGATGGTTGCCGTGTCTGTGTGGAAGGAAGTAGACATGGGAGACTTTTCATTTTGTTCTGCACTAAGAAAAATTCCTCTGCCTTGGGATCCTGTTGATCTGTGACCTTACCCCCAACCCTGTGCTCTCTGAAACATGTGCTGTGTCCACTCAGAGTTAAATGGATTAAGGGCGGTGCAAGATGTGCTTTGTTAAACAGATGCTTGAAGGCAGCATGCTCGTTAAGAGTCATCACCAATCCCTAATCTCAAGTAACCAGGGACACAAACACTGCGGAAGGCCGCAGGGTCCTCTGCCTAGGAAAACCAGAGACCTTTGTTCACTTGTTTATCTGCTGACCTTCCCTCCACTATTGTCCCATGACCCTGCCAAATCCCCCTCTGTGAGAAACACCCAAGAATTATCAATAAATAAATAAATAAATAAATAAATAAATAAATAAATAAAAAATAAATGTAAAACTAGCTGCAATATCAAATTATTACAATTTATGTACTGAGATCAAACAATTCATGATTTCCTTCAAGGGCAGGAACATAATATATTTTTGCCTCTGGGGAGGGGGGATGACCCTTTAAGAGAAGGAAGGATTCAGTACTTTCTTTGCTTGTGGGTTTCCTCTTGTTCACTTTTGATCTAGATATTGGTTATGTTCCAGTCCTCCTGCATATGCCCAAGAGGATTGGGAGTGGAATGGACACCAGCAGAAGCACCACAGTTATTCCTGTAGAGATTAGAAACAAGGAGCTTATTGCCCTGCTTGTCAAGGCTCAGGACAGACAGGAGGAAGAAACAAGTATAAAGGTTTTGGTTTTGGAAAGAAGTTGGAATCTCCAGACCCTGGGACCTTAAGATCCACAAAATTGCTGAAAGAAAAAGTACTACCTTATTGAAAGGTAAGATATTAAACTGTTTTAAGGTTTAAGCTATGTTAGCCACAGTAGCATATTTTCATAAACTATGAATTCAAGCAGTCACTTCTGCCAAACTGAAGTTTTTATGACATCGCCACCCATCCAGCCTTGCTGGTGAGATGGAGACCTATGTAGTGGAGAGATGCATATTGCAAGGAAAAACCTTCACAAAAGTTCACTCGTTTTTGAAATAATGTTTACTGAATGCCAGGCACTGTACTAGGCCTTGGAGTTACCCTACCTACTTTCCAGAACTTCTCATTCTAAGAAAAGAAAAAAACTGATGATTACAATGTGATAAGTGCTATAATAAATAGGTACCAAGTGTAATAAGAACGATCCAACTGTCTGGGGCAGTAATGTTTACATTCTAAAGGATTAATAGGACTCATGAGGTTCAAATTAGAGAGAAATAGACATTTGAAGACATAGGTATGAAAAGGAACATTGTGTTGGAATAACACACCAAATTCCAGAAATTGCTGTCTGAATGTTTGCTATGGGTAAAAGAGGGGAAACTGATAAGGGATGTTGCTAGGTAGGTAAGTTTGGACCAGTTGTGAAGGCCTGGTGGCATGCAAAGGAAATTTTAACTTTGGCCATGGGAAAGCACTGGAGATTAAAAAAAAAAAAAAAATTGTGTGGCTACCTTAGTTCAAGATGAGTACGAAAAAAATAAGAATGTACCTTAGCTTTCTACTTGAGTCCCAGAAGGATGGTCCTTCTTATTATGTCTTTTCTTTGCTAATATTCTTGGTATCCTCTTGTTCTTACTAGGTTGATTCTAAACTTTGTAGGTTACTAAAGAGCAGAATTTTGACTTAGGCTGTTGAGAACTCCTAAGTTTTACCTATTTGTGCTGCTCTTGATTCTAAAGTATATGCATGCCTCACTGATCATCATCAGTATGCATGAAAACTGATCATTTTCTTCATTTTGGAGAGAAAGCTTTAAGCCCTAGAATGGAGATAAAATAAGTTGAATAAATGCTGTAACGAGGAAGTGGCCAACTTTTTAGTCTAATCATGGCCAAAACAGGGTCATAAATTTGTGGTGACCCTAAAGAAAAGAAAACCATCCAAAGAGAAGTCAGACTTGACCCTGAGATGTCTTGCAGGAATTTGGTAGTTTGAGGACTCCATTAGGGGACCTTGAACAGATTGCACAGGCTCTGCTTGCAGTAGAGAGGCCAGACACAAGGTATAAATTTTGGAGTTGCTTGTGTTGGAGCATTAGTTGACCATTGTGTTAAAGGAATTCAGGACTTGGTAAAGTCAATAATCTAGAAACCAGTGAGAAAATGGTGACCCTGGTGAAAGATCTGAGTGAAATGTTTGAAGAGGGATGATATCTACGTTCTGTAGAACAGAGATAAGAGAACAAAAAGAGAAGATAGTCACTGGACACATGATGTCCGCTTACCAGATTTCAACGACACTCCAAGACCTTACTCCATATACTTCAACCAGGAGGAGTGCAGACAGCCGGGGCAAAGGGCTGCACAGAGACAATGAGGCTCATAGGAGTCTGATCTCCGTGTGGCATTTCGTTTAAAAGCTACATGTAATCTAGTTGTAGCAAGAAGAATTGTACTTGAAGAAATACG
Source organism: Homo sapiens (assembly GCF_000001405.40). Lineage (NCBI taxonomy): Eukaryota > Metazoa > Chordata > Mammalia > Primates > Hominidae > Homo > Homo sapiens. Next base: position 111,644,719 of record NC_000009.12, read on the forward strand.
TTTCAAAAGGCATCTGTCATGATTGGGATGCCGAGTTAAAGTCAAGGATTTAAGGCGCCAAAACGGCATTTCTATAAAATTAGCCCAAAAAGCAGAGGGAGAATGGGAAAATTCTCAGATGATTTCTTGAGGTACTCAAAAGGAGACACATGAAGAGACACAGGCTTTAGTCTTCAGCGCTGTCTGTGTGATCCTTATATAGGTTTACCCTTTCTAGGTTAGGAGCTCTGGAATAGGATGATGACTTAAAGAAGGAGTCACGGATTGACAGTTGAGGCATATAGCAGCTGCCACAAGAAAATCCTTTTTGACTGAAGAGAACATACAAGGAGTGAATCTGAAAATAATACTAGCTTGAGCTCACACCTCGTTGTATAACTGAGAGTTTTCATATTGGCCCTCCATATAAATATATTCGTATCTAATTAAGCTAGCTACTAGTTTACATCGTTTCATATACTGGTGAGAGGTAAGAAATTGTTTGAATGTAATGAATATGGGAGAACTTACTGAGAATGATCTCACACAGATTCAAAATTTTTTTTTTTTTTTTGGAGACAGAGTCTCGCTCTGTCGCCCAGGCTGGAGTGCAGTGGTACAGTCTCGGCTCACTGCAACCTCCACCTCCCAGGTTCAAGTGATTCTCTTGCCTCAGCCTCCCGAGTAGCTGGGATTATAAGCACAAGCCACCACGACTGGCTAATTTTTGTATTTTCAGTAGAAATGGGATTTTGCCATGTTGGCCAGGCTGGTCTCGAACTCCTGACCTCAAGTTACCTGCCTGCCTTGGCCTCCCAAAGTGCTGGGATTACAGGAGTGAGCGCCTGTGCCCGGCCCAAAATTCTTAATAGAAAATACGTAATGATTTTAATGGATACAAGCAAGATTTAGTCATTAACAAATTTCTTACTTTAAATCTAAAAAACTACATGTTGGAGGACTCAGAAGGTGATCCTAAACAGACCCCAGAGAATCTGTCTGCAGTAGCAAGGCACTAAGTTTAGATTTTGAAATGCCTTTAGCTAGGAATCTGCAGTTAATAAATGTTGAATAATTCATTCCTCTAAGATAAAAAAAACTTTTTTTTTTGGAGACAGGGTTTTGCTGTCTTGCCCAGACTGGAGTGTGATGGCATGATCACATAAGTGATTTCCCACCTGGGGAACATCCTGGGAAGCTGGGACTATAGGCACATGCCACCATGCCCTGTGCAAATACAATTTTTTTTATTTTTTGTAAAGACAAGGTCTCACTATGCTGCCCAGGCTGATCTCAGACTCCTGGGCTGAAGCAATCCTCCCGCCTTGGCCTTCCAAAGTGTTGGGATTACAGGCATGAGTCACCACACCTGGCAAAACAGACTTTTGTTTTTGTAATGGTTTTTATTATACTCATATATAGAGATTAAATAATTTGTTTTGATTTTATAATAGTTTTTATCTTTAATTTTTTTGAAAATGGGGCAAGTTGGAAAATGTAATAGGTTTCCTGTGAGATAAAGAACAAATCGTGACCTGGTTTAATAACTCTGCAACCTGCATAGCTCAGTACAACATTGCATTTATCCCTGTTAGAAATTGATTAGAATCAGAGAATATATTTTTTTAAATGTTTTATCTGTGAACATACAGAGCAGCATTTTGGAATGCTATAATTCTTTCAAGGAGTTGGTATCGGTAAGGAAGATCTATATGTTACCTCATTTGTGACCTGGGCTGGACAACATATTATAGTGATGAAGTACTACATGTTTGTAACATGTTTTTGTATAATGTTTGTTATTTGATATTCACAACAACAGGGATTGTTAGCTCTTTTTGTGAATGAAGAAGGAGGAGGCTCAGAGAGGCTAAATATTTTATCTAAGGTCATAAAGCTAGACTTTGACCGTTGGGCTGCATGGGTGTCTCAGTGTTTCTTTGGGATGGGCATAATTCAGTTTTGTAGGCACAGACTGGCTTCACCTAGTTTTTGCTTTTAGCAGAAAACTATCTATACAAGGCTGGGACGTGATTGTGAATATATACAAGAAATAAGCATTAAAAAAAAATCAACAGTTAAGAGTAGTTGTGAACAGGCTTTTATTAGCACCAAGCATCAGCTAAAAAGGCTGAATGGTTAATAAGTGTTTTTATTTTTCCAGGAGGACTAACAATACTCAAGAACTTAGAGAAGTATTTTTGTTATGCTTTTATATCTAACATTGAAGTTCTGAAAATTTACATGGCTTTGAAGAGCAATGGGAAATTTTTTGATTTTGACAATTTCAGTATTTTTACTCAGATTAACCTTACATAATTATAAAATTCTATATGTGATTTAACAGATTATAAACTAAGGCCATTTAATGGACTGTCCTATGAAGTTGGATATCTTGTCATTTTACAGGATGAAGAAACACGAAAAGATTATGATTACATGCTGGATCATCCAGAAGAGTACTACAGCCATTACTACCACTACTATAGCAGGCGCTTGGCCCCTAAGGTGGATGTTAGAGTAGTGATTTTGGTCAGCGTGTGTGCTATTTCGGTGTTTCAGGTATGTATCAATGGATATTTTTATCTACATTTATGTGCATTGAGTGCACATTGCCTAGTGCTAGTCATTAAAACCTAACTGCGAGTATCTTCTTGTAAAATTTTACTTCTAGTTGAGATCTGTTTTAGTCATTGGCAATGTTGGAATCTTTGTCAGTGGCAAATCTAAGAAATTGTTGAAGAATGTCATTACTACTACAAAACAACCCCTCAAAAATCCAGACCCTTTTTCATTGTTCCCTCTGGAGTATTTTCTACATAATAGCCAGAGTGAACGTCAGCTAATTCATATCATTTACCTCTGTAGGACTTTTCCATGACTTACCATTAAACTTGGGAGAAATCTGAATTCCTTAACCTGGCCTAACAAGTCCTGGCACCAGTCACCAAATGCCAGTAGTGCTTGCCATCATTATTGTAACAACCAGAAATGTCCCATGCATTTCTGTGTGCCCCTTTAAGGGTGCTTCTGCTCAGGTTGAAAACCACTGAAATAGATTAAAAGAGGCATAGGAACTTTCTGTTTTTGTTTTTGTTTTGAGACAGAGTCTCGTTCTGTTGCCAGGCTGGAGTGCAGTGGCACAATTTCGGCTCACTGCAACCTCCGCCTCCTGGGTTCAAGCGATTCCCCTGCCTCAGCCTCCTGAGTAGCTGGGACTACAGGCGCGCACCACCACACCCGGCTAGTGTTTTGTATTTTAGTAGAGACGGGGTTTCACCATGTTGGCCAGGATGGTCTCAAACTCCTGACCTCGTGATCCTCCTGCCTCGGCCTTCCAAAGTGCTGGAATTACAGGCGTGAGCCACTGTGCCCGGCCAGGAACTTTTTATGTTGTAAAGTATCACAAAAATTTAACTTCTGCCTGAAATAAGTTTTCCCTGTTATTAAACTAGCCATTCCTATCACATGCTCCTTTAAAGGAAATGAACAAGTCAAATGACTAGAATGAAGCAATCTGCTTGTTTGAAAATTACTTCTCCAGTTTCATTCCCAGAAACGATTCAGTTTTTTTTTTTTTTAGAGATGGAGTCTCACTCTGTCACCCAGACTGGAGTGCAGTGGAGTGATCATGACTCACTGTAGCCTTGACTTCTTGGGCTCAGGCGATCCTCCCACCTCAGCCTCCTGCATAGCTGGGACTACAGGCATGTGCCACCACACCTGGCTAATTTTTGTATTTTTTTTTTTTTGGTAGAGACACGGTTTTGCCGTGTTGCCCAGGCTGGTCTCGAGCTCCTGGGCTCAAGCAATCCACTCACCGCAGCCTCTCAAAGTGCTGGGATTACAGGCATGAGCCCCTGCACTTGGCCGACATTCAATTTTTATGAATAAAAACTACATTGGAAACTAAGGTGGTATGTTTAAAATGTGTCAGCATTTGTAGAACGATTTACCCTTTCAAAGGGGAGAGCAGGGATAATTTTACTTTTTTGTTTTAAACAATCTAATACTGTAGTAACTTTTAAAAAAATATTCTTAATAGATTGCTACTATTGCAGGGTATTATTTGTATGTCTGCTATATTCATTCAGTTAATCAGGAGCTGAAATTTATGGAGGTACTATGTGAGGAGCAGGGCATTTTCTGACAAATGCTTTATGGTTGAATACATTTATGAAGTAAGTTAATGTTCTCCTGTCCAAATAGGTAGAGTTCAACCATATTTGAGTCTCGCATCAGAATAGGATGAGTGCCACTGTGATATATGCAGATTGGCTTAGGAAAAGAGATGGGAATGAATGTAGTTGCCTGAGTCTATACACTATGAGTTTTTTAAACAAATTCCTCACCAGCTAGATTTTGCCATTTAACTCTTTCTCTAGTAAGTAGGTTGCTGTTTAAAAAAAAAGAAAAAAAATTTTTTAAAGTGATCTAGGGAAGAGCCAAATGGTAAAGATACGAACCACAGGTGTGGTATGATACATTGATTAGCCTTTGACCTTGGGTCACTGACTGCAGCAGTGATTTTTGGCTCAGCTCAGAGTTTACCTTACTTATCCAGCCTTCAGATCCTGTGTACGCATGGGCTTCGTTCAGTTGTGTCTTTTACTTACAAAGTAAGATCTTTGAGATCCCTATTTTTAATTGTAATGGTTTCTTGGGAGATGGTATTCACCGAGACTCTATCATTCCTTTAATTTAGATGAATTTGGGTAATGAAAATGACTCATTGTTCTCTGTTAATTATTCTAGTTTTTCAGCTGGTGGAATAGCTACAATAAGGCAATCAGCTACCTAGCCACAGTGCCCAAGTACCGTATCCAAGCTACAGAGATTGCCAAGCAGCAGGGACTGCTCAAAAAAGCCAAAGAAAAAGGCAAAAACAAAAAGTCCAAAGAAGAAATTCGTGACGAGGAGGAGAACATCATAAAGAACATTATAAAAAGTAAAATAGATATAAAGGGGGGCTATCAGAAACCCCAAATCTGTGATCTTCTCCTGTTTCAAATTATCTTAGCTCCTTTTCACCTATGCTCATATATAGTTTGGTATTGTCGGTGGATCTATAATTTTAACATCAAAGGCAAAGAATATGGAGAGGAAGAGAGATTATACATTATACGTAAATCTATGAAGATGTCAAAGTCTCAATTTGATAGTCTAGAAGATCATCAGAAAGAAACTTTTCTTAAACGAGAGCTCTGGATCAAGGAGAATTATGAGGTGAGTAGTCACCCTGCTGTGATTTAAGTGTCATCCACCTGACCAAGTTAAAATCAGGTGTATTATAATGAGGGATCACAGAAGTGTGCTCACATTTCTGAAATCCTAGAGTTAAACAATTAGTAAAGACCTTTTATTGAAAGTAGGACTCTATTTGGTAGTGAGACGGTGGGTTTTTAACCTGTAATTTCTCTTTTTAGAGGATGAACTTCAAATACTTTAATCAACAAATTATGAAAACGTTTTAAGAATGTTAAACTGCATTGGAATGATATGCATGTTTGCAAGGGTGTTACAACAACTTTTGGGTAACTGCACTAAAATTTGGCCCTTCCCAAGTTTTCTTCCAATACTGTAAACCTAGCCACAGAGACTTAAAAAAAAAAAAAAACAACAGAGTAAGACGTGGAAATTTTGTTGAGATGACTTCATTTCAAAATAATTGAGCACAAGATATTCTGCGTAATAACTGACATCTATAGAAAGTTACTTTTGTTTTACTTTTAAATTAAATCGAATTACTGTAATGCCTCTAAACTTTCAGGCATTTTAATAAATGCTTTATGCTACAGTTGTCACCTACAAAAATTACTTCGAGGTGATCCGCTACCTAGCCATCATGTTAAAGGGATTAGCAGTCTCATTATCATAATGACACTGTTTTAGATTCAGGATAAAATTCATTGGCTATTATGTTAAATATAAGAATAGAGCACAGTGAAACCTTTTTGTTTTCTTTCTTATTTTTATCATATAGTGTTGGGGTTTTGCCATGTTGTCTAGGATGGTCTCAAACTCCTGAGCTCAAGCAATCTGCCCACCTTGACCTCCTAGAGTGCTGGGATTACAGGCATCAGCCACTGCACCCAGCCAAAACCTGCTTAAGAAGTCTGAGATACATTAGTTTTTTTAGTTTCATAGTCATTTCATTTTGTATGTGATGTCCTAAATAGATTTCACTGAAATTAAAGTTTTGGTCTGAATTATATTTATGTAAATTAACTTACTGTGAATTGCCCGATGTTTTACCAAGTATACCTGTTCATAAAAGTGTTATTTAGGGCTGGGTGTGGTGGCTCACACTTGTAATCCCAGCATTTTGGGAGGTCGAGGCAGGTGGATCACTTGAGATCAGGAGTTCAAGACCAGCCTGGCCAACATAGTGAAACCCTGTCTCAAAATACAAAAAAATTAGCTGGGCCTGGTGGTGCGTGCATGTAATCCTAGCTACTCGGGAGGCTGAGGCAGGAGAATCACTCGAACCAGGGAGGCAGAGGTTGCAGTGAGCCAAGATTGTACCACTGCACTCTGGCCTGAGCAACAGAGTGAGACTCTATCTCAAAAAAAAAAAAAAAAAAAAAATGTTATTTAGTTACAGCGTACCAGTTAGCCAGTTAGCTCCTAAACTATTTGAAAAGCTTGTTCTTTTAAGTACTTTTTTAAAAGTTTAAAAGTTTTCTTTTTTAAGAAGGTAAAGCAGCTCAATCTGCAAAACTGTGTCTTTCTTAGGGTGCTATTGTGGGGTGAATTATATGTTATTGTATGAAGTTGTCTTAGTCTTTACTTCCTAATATTTGGAAGTAAAATAATTTCTTTCCAAAATTTGATGTGGCTGTGAAACTGGCTAAGACAGCTTGTTCATTTTGCTTTAGTTGACAGCATTAAAAGTTACAGAATTGCAGGCTAGGTGCGGTGGCTCATGCCTGTAATCCCAGCACTTTGGGAGGCCCAGGCAGGCAGATTGCTTGAGCTCAGGAGTTCGAGACCAGCCTGGGCAACATGGCGAAACCCTGTCTCTACCAAGAAAATACAAAAAATTAACTGGGCGTGGTGGTGCCTGTGGTCCTAGCTACTCGGAGGTTACAGTGAGCCAAGATTGTGCCACTGTATTCCAGCCTGGATGACAGAGTGAGACCCCATCTCAAAAAAAAAAAAAAAAAAGTTGCATAAATGCAGATGTTCTGTGTTCTCACAAGTTTTAACTCTGTGGTTTATTTAACCTTCTTTGGAAACTTTAATTTAAAAAAATGAAAAATTCATAATTAGATGAAAGTAGGTGTAAGTTCAGTTTGGAGATAAACATGTATGTAAGGTCATTTTGTTCCTTGGTTAAGATCACCAAATCTGAAAGTCATCAGTTAAATTTACAAAGACTATATTAAAAAAATAAAGTTTTGATTCTTTAATATTAGACATTAGTTGTAGAGAGGAAATGTTAAGCCCTTTAAACTCAGTCAATTTTCATTGAGGAAAAGAATGTATTCCTAGGTTACAGAAATCAGTGACAAAAAATTACTAGTTCTAGGCAGGGTGCAGTGGCTCACGCCTGTAATCCCAACACTTTGGGAGGCCGAGGTAGGTGGATCACTTGAGGCCAGGAGTTTGAGACCAGCCTGGCCAACATGGTGAAACCCCATCTGTCCTAAAAAAAAAAATACAAAAAAATTAGCCGGGCGTGGTGGCATGCTCCTGTAGGCCCAGCTAGGGAGGCTGAGGCAGGAGAATTGCTTGAATCCAGGAGGCAGAGATTGCAGTGAGCTGAGATCACACCACTGCACTCCAGCCTAGGCAACCAAGAGAGACCCTGTCTCAAAAAAAAAAAAAAAAAAAGTACTAGTTCTTTTTTTTTAAATTTGAGATGGAGTTTCACTCTTGTTGCCCAGGCTGGAGTGCAATGGCATGATCTCAGCTCACTGCAACCTCCGCCTCCCAGGTTCAAGCAGTTCTCCTGCCTCAGCCTCCCAAGTAGCTGGGATTATAGGCATGTGCCACCACGCCCAGCTAATTTTTTCTATTTTTTTTAGGAGAGACGGGGGTTTCACCATGTTGGCCAGGCTGGTTTTGAACTCCTGACCTCAGGTGATCCACCCGCCTTGGCCTCCCAATGTGCTGGGATTACAGGTGTGAGCCACCACGCCCGGCCACAAAATTACTAGTTCTTATACAGGTTGTTCTTTCATGTTTAACACTGAATGTTAAAATGGTAAATTGCAAATAAATAAATAAATAAATAAATAAAATGCTTAATTGTTTAGTATTTTAGGTGAATGGTTATCAATACATTCACTGGAAACTTTTTACCTAACATTATGTTAGAAAAATGTAAATATGCCATAAAGCTAATGGCAAATGTTCCTCTTTGGATTGTGAAGTCATCTAGTTATTTATACTTACAGGTCTACAAGCAAGAACAAGAGGAAGAATTAAAGAAAAAGTTGGCAAATGACCCCAGATGGAAGAGATACAGGAGATGGATGAAGAATGAAGGGCCTGGGCGGTTAACATTTGTGGATGACTGAAGATTGATGGAATGCTACTATGCCAAACCTTAATTGTGATATTATTTTCATAACTGAATTATTTTAGAAATGTATCAATTGACTGCTGCTCAGCAGTAACTAAAATTCCTCAAGTATTTGATTAAACAGAATAATGTCAAAATTTAAACCTTCCCTTAAAACTTTATACATAAGACATTTATGATTGTTCAATTTTTATAATCTATTTGTGGATTTTGTTAAAAGATTTCACATGAAGATTTATTAGTTGCCATTTAAAATTTTTATATGTTTAGTTAAAAGATTTGACATGAAAATTTATTAGATACCATTTAAAAATTTTATGTGTTATGTGTTTATTCTTTGAGAATGTTACCTTACTGTTTGTAATAGTGCTACATTTTTCTGCTTTCATGGCCTCTGTATTTTCACAAAACACCAAAAACAGCATTTAATTATATTATCATGAGTGTGTTTCTGGACACAAACTTCTGCAGTAGAATGACCTAACATGTCGTTTTCATTGCAGTCATTATAGGATTGAAATACGTTCAAAATAACCTCTCTAGGAAAGTCTTCTGCTAGAATTTCTCCCCTCTATTCATTATAATATTCTTTGTTTTTAAAGCCAGTCAAATATAATAGTCTTAATAAGATCAGAAACTCTCCAGGAGAGTGAGTCTACCCTCACGTCCTTGTAGGATGATCTTGATTATAGTCTTATTATAGGACTATAACTGTATTCTCAACATTTCTCCAGAAAGGACCTTGTAAAAAGGTCTTTTGTACCACAGTATTGGTTTTTTCCCCTCTCTCTTCACTTAAAAAAAAAAATAGCAAGGCAGAAATAGTGTATTGAAAAGTTGTTCATCTATTATGAAGTCCTTGAGTGGTGAAAAATCCGTTGTACATGAGAACATTTCTATGCATTTAAGCCAGAAACGAGGTACATGGCTGTGTGCTCTTCTGTCAACCAATGAAATGTGTTTTCACATGTGTGGCAGTGCAAGTAAATAACACATTATTTGACTGAATCAGGCATGATACTGCACCAAAGTGTTGGTACATATTCACGGTAGTAAATCAGTACCCCTGTTAAAGGATTTATCCCATTGCTTCATATTAATAAAATGGTTACAATATATCACAAGTTTGTTGATATGACGTTTTAAATGAAACATTAAAATTGCTTTTATATAATTTTTAAAGATTAATATAGCATAGTTGATATGCAGAGTCTGTTTCTAGCTAAAGTAAGCTAGTTGTTTTGAGAGCTTAGCCCCAGTCAATGTGAGACAGAGCAGGAAGGCTCTTGCTAACGTAGACAAAGACCTGAGGCAAGGTAGTTAATCTGCGAGGACTTCAGTTGGCTCAATTATAAACTTGGGGAAGAGTCCGACCAGATTATCACTAGGGCCCTTTTGCAGCTCTAAAATTATTTATATTTTTGTAAACTTTAGATGAAAGTGTTTTATGCATCTATTCTGTTGGAGGAGTGTGGAGAAGGTACAGAGCTGAATTACAGGTAACTGTTTTTTAGACTTCAAACGCCCACCTCTTAGCTATAGACAAAATGCCTTTCAAAGATGCTGTGGTTGCCGGTAGAGTCAGCAATCCCTGTCCTGGTGAATGTATTATATAGTTAACACACAATGGTATTTACCACCTAAAAACATAAGTACGTGACATATATTATGAGGACCAAAAAGAAATGTCAGTACTCGACTCTCAAAATTTTTGAATGCCTCTATTAACCTAGCGACGAACTGTAAGAGGACTGGACATGTTAGCATTCATAAGGGTTGGCTGATGAAAACAGTTCATCTTTTGATATTCTTTTGCATATGTGCTAGATTACTGTATTTCTTCCAGTCTTCCTAGAAATGTTTCCGGAATTGTCCCCAGTAGCCTGCCCACTTGGTAATGTTTGGTCAGTCTTTTGGAATCACAGTCATTGCGTGAGTCTAGATGAATGGGCCGTGCTCGAGAGAAGAACTGATTCTTCTTGCCTTCCCTCAACAGATGGACCTTATGCTTCAAAATCCTAGGGTGAAGGAAGAGCCGTTAGTTGTCACAAATGTCAGTCATGTCTTCTGGGTGTCCTTATTATCTGTACCCTGCCCATCCCTCACCAAAAACCCAAAAGCCTCTCCATTTTAGAAACATCTGGAGAAAAATCCTGGGTAGAGAACCCCACAACTCCACTAGTTAGAACATTTTTCTCGAACTTCATTTTAGGGCTATTCCCATTGCCTTTTTGGTTGGTATTCAAGGGTTTATAGAGCATAGCTGTTCAATGCTATCTATTCGTCATTGTGTTACATAGTTGAGGTCTGCTAAGATTACCCTTCAGGTTATATGCATAACAGATATTCTCATAACAGATTCCATGACTAACTCTTCATTGCCTTATTTATGAATTCTAAGTTCTACAAATCATAGGTTACAGTTTCATAACATGTATTAGGTCTACTCTTAAATAGGACCATTGAGATACAGGATTTTTAAAATGTTACATGAAAGAATGGTTCAGTTTAGAGAATTAACTAGTACTATTTATGTTTAGAAAATAATAATTCATTACTTTGAGGGGTTTTTGTTTTTTTGGTTTTTTTTTTTTTGAGATGGTGTCTCGCTCTGCCACCCAGGCTGGAGTACAATGGTGCGATCTTGGCTCACTGCAACCTCTACCTCCCGGTTTCAAGTGATTCCCTGCCTCAGCCTCCCAAGTAGTTGGGATTACAGGTGCCTGCCACTATGGCTGGCTAATTTTTTGTATTTTTAGTAGAGACAGGTTTCACCATGTTGGCCAGGCTAGTCTTGAACTCCTGACCTCAGGTGATCCTCCCGCCTCAGCCTCCCAAAGTGCTGGAATTACAGGTGTGAGCCACCGCGCCTGGCCTAGTAGTAAACTTTTTTTTTAGATGGAGTCTCACTCTGTCACCAGGCTGGAGTGCAGTGACAGGATCTCAGCTCACTGCAACCTCTGCCTCCTGGGTTCAAGTGATTCTCCTGCCTCAGCCTCCCGAGTAGCTGGGACTACAGGCACCTGCCACCACGCCCGGCTAATTTTTTGTATTTTTAGTAGAGACAGGGTTTCACCATGTTGGCCAGGATGGTCTGGATCTCCTGACCTCGTGATCCACCCACCTCGGCCTCCCCAAGTGTTGGGATTACAGGCGTGAGCCACTGCACCCGGCCAGTAGTAAACTGTTAATACCCAAACCTTGGAGATATTTTTCTTGAGTGGAGGCCAATTGCTAGGGTATCACTCAGCTAGTGTGAACCAGACTGCTGGCCACAAACTGAAAATAATGTGGCTTTTATTAGATAGTATAAATGGAATCTAGCTACTTTAAAACATTAAATCAAACCTGGTCTCTTTTGACTTAGAATTATACACTTGAAGCAAATAGATAAATGTTGGTATTGATACAAACTAGTTGTGTATGGATGAATTATAATTATTTATAAAATGTGATGTTAACATTTAAATATTGGCAAAGGCCAAATCTAGAACCTAATAACTAAATTAAATTTACTTCATAAAATTATTTCAGTAGAAACCTACATAATTAGTTGTAAACTTTAGCCTCTTAATTCTTTTTTAATTGATATATGATAGTTGTACATATTTCAGCTTTTTTTTTGGAGACAGCATCTCTTGCCCAGGCCGAGTGCAGTGGCTTGATCATGGCTCACTGCAGCCTTGACCTCCTGGGCTCACATGATCCTCCCACCTCAGCCTCCTGAGTAGCTGGGACTACAGGGACTCATGCCACTATGGCTGGCTAATTTTTTGATTTATTTTTATTTTTATTTTAGTCGGGGGTCTTACTATGTTGCTCAAGCTGATCTTGAACTCCTGAGCTCAAGGGATCCTCCTTTTAAAGTGCTGGGATTATAGGCATGAGCTACAGGGTCTGGCCTTAGCTTCGTAATTATTAAAGGATTTAGGATATCCTCAACAATTGTGTATGGAATGGATCATGTGGTCTCAGATCAGTGTCACAGATTCCTCCTTCCTGGTTTCATTCGGGGGTGGAGAAACTTCTGTCATCTGACAGTCTCTCCTTTATAACCTCACGAAGCACGACATAGTGGAATGACTCTGGCTTTATAACCGGATAGAACAAGGTTGACTGGGCAGGTTACTTTAACCTGTGAGCCTTGTTTTCTTTCATGTAAAGATACTATTTCAGACAGTTCTTAGACGATAACAAGGGTAAAATGCCTGGCATATATTAAGTGATCAGGAAATGTGAGTTATTTTGCCTTCAGAGGGAATAACAAAGAGTCTCATTTGTTAAAAAAAAAAAAAGCATGGTAACAGGAGTGTGTTTTGTGATGATTACAAACCCATTGTTTATTCTTTTAATACATATTTTAATCCCTTGTGCAAGGCACGGTGCTAGAGTGAAGGAGTGATGCTCCTTAGGGTTGGAATTGTGTATTTTAAAAAGCAGCTGCCTGCCCTGTTGCCACCAGTGTGCAAGGTGGAGCAGCCGAGATGACGACTCAGGAAAGAAAGAAAAACTTTCAGAGATGACAGAATGATCAGCAAGTTGCTAGTCTAAGGCCTACATTTAGTGAAGGGACATTTTCAATGTAGCAAACAGATATGCTTAGAATGGTTGCTCAAAAAGACATCTAATAGCCCTAAGTTCTGCCGTCTCCCAAAGTCTCAAAAGTACCTGTGAAAATCTCTCCAGAAAAGCCATTCTGAATCTACAAACCTGCTGGTGATTCTTTCAGCTCCTGATTCATTATTTCTGGGTTCTAAAAATAATGTAATAGGCAAAAAGAAGTAAAATAATTTTTATAGTACATGATACTGTGTCACATTAGATATAGTTATTAATGTGTTTTCCTACTCTTAATCATTTTGGAAACTATAGATGGTATATATTATTGTCATTTTGATATAACATTGGCAGAAATATCTTCCCATTATGTCATTATTTTTATGGAGAAGATTGACTCACAAACCCCTTTCCTGGAAGAATAATCCACTGTTAGTAGACAGGTGATAAAATACAAGTCAGAGGAGTGAAGAACTGTAGCTCCTAACAGGGAAACAAATGAAACATTTGTCATTACAAGGGTAATGACATTTCTAGAAAGTTTCTTGGAAATGAGATAAGTTTGTGCTTAACCAGGGAAAAAAATGTGTGACAAAATTTGAAAGATATTCTACTGGTTACCCATGCATTTTAGCTGTAGTGAGAAGGAAAGAAGGGTACTCTGTCTCCATCCCTCACCTTCCAGAGCTCTGGAAATCACAGCACATGTGGGAAAGGCCTCTGGTCCTCTAGGTAAACCTTGAGTTCTTTGTTTGAGACGGAGTCTTGTTCTGTCGCCCAGGCAGGAGTGCAGTGGCGCAGTCTCACTGCAACCCCCACCTCCCGGGTTCAAGCGATACTTGTGCCTCAGCCTCCCAGGAATCTGGGACTACAGGCATATGCCAGCACGCCCGGCTAATTTTTGTATTTTAAATTAGCCAGGCGTGGTAGAAACCCCGAAGAGACGGGGTTTCACCATGTTGGCCAGACTTGTCTTGAACTCCTGACCTCAAGTGATCTGCCCGCCTTGGCCTCCCAAAGTGCTGGGATTACAGGTGTGAGCCACCGCGTCTGGCCTGAATTCTCTTGAAAGCTAAAATGAAATTCTTTTCCCTGCTCCCACTTTCTGTGATACTGGGCAAGTCACTTCACTTTCCTTAGTGGATCTGTTTCCTCATCTCTGAAATTGTAGATGCGCCGCACTATCTGATGGTTCCCTTCAACTTTGAAGTTCCATGATGCAAAAATAATGGATGAGAAGTCTTGTGGGGAAAGTGTGGAGCATCACACAGATGGTCAGCCTTCCTCAAGTACAAGTGGCGCCCGGCCTGCTTATCCATGGATCACAGACCATTCCTCTTGAACGGTGCAAAGTAACACTGAGGTGGGCGGGGCAGTGGGTGTGTAGGGCATGAAGGAGGCAGACACAGCACACCCCTAGACTTTTCCTGCTACCTCGTGGCTGATACAGTATGACATGGCTGACGTGTGTCCCTTCATTGAGGGCAACTCCAAAGCCTTCATTTCTAATGATTTTGAGGTAATCTCATTATTTCAGCTGCCATTGCTGTGGAGACATCTTCACATTAACATCTTGGCTACTAAACATTTTCAGCAGCCTAAAGGCATGTAGCAATGCCATGGAAGTCACTTCGTTACTCCTAAACCAAACCCCACATTATTTTTTACTCATCTCAAGCCAAGTCTTGTTTCCTAATTTCTGTTTTGGCATTAGTTCTGGCCCACTCTCTGCTACAGAACCCTTTGTCCTCTTTTCTTTGCATTTCATAACCACCATGAAGTACCACTGATTTTGTCTTCTAAATTTGTTCCCCCTCATTCCTACTCTAACAGTCCTACCCAGGGCCTCATTCCAGCTACTCCCCCACCATCAGCCATTTATCTTCTCAACTTCAGTTCATTTTGCACATTCATCTCAGATTAATATTCCCAAAATGCCTTACCCTGTGGCTATCCCACTGTTTACCATAAACTTTTGTGTGTATGTGAGGTTTTCTATGACTTCTGGCCCTAGCAACTTTGTATCTGCTATTAGTCACTAGAGCTTCCTCTATTTTTAAATTTATTCACTCTACATGTGTGCATCGCCTCCAGCTGTCCTCCATACTGGACTGTTCTTCCTTCTGAGCCATCTGCAAGACACGTATCTCCAAAGTCCAGCTCTCACGATCTATGATGAGCCTTTCCTAATCCAGTATGTATATCTTTGCACTGAGTTCTTTGCCATATCTTTTAAATATGAAATCATTCTATTTTGTCCTATTCATCAGTCTCAGAATTGATTGTTGAATGTTCCCAACATGTACTTTCATCTCTTTACTAAGATATATATTAATTTCTTTGTGGTGAGGAAATTGGCCACTAGAGAGGGCTTTCAAATGTGCAAGTCTCCCTTTGGCCCAGGCACAGCTAATCTGAGCACGTCAATGCCACACATCCTTGCCTTCAAAGAGTAATTGGGCCAGGGGTGGGCCCATGACTTAATACCAGCCAGTGAGGTTCATTATGGGGATTTTTGCTGGAACGATTAGAAAGAAAAGAGGTACTATTTTTCCTGGGTTTGCTAGATGGGGACAGTGAAAGTGTGGTGCCTTCCTTCATACCACTAGAGAAGTCCATCTACCACCAAGGAAAATGAGGCTAATCTCAGGAAAAGCAGAATCAAAACAAGGAGGATGAGAGCCCCAAAATTATTATTTGGGTAATTGAATTCACTAGTTTAAAGTCCCTGGACTTTTCAGTTACACAAGCCAATATATTACCTTTTGCAATATTCAGTTTAAGTGAGTTCTGACAAATACAATGGTGTACAAGAATAATGACGTATTAATGATACATGGAAAAAAGCAACACAAAAATTTTAAATATAGTAACGATCCCAGTTTTGTAAAACACTTATTAAAAAATGCAGTAGGCCTATAATGCCAGCACTTTGGGAGGCTGAGGTGGGAGGATCACCTGAGCCCAGGAGTTCAACACCAGCCTGGCCAACATCGTGAAACCCCGTCTCTACTAAAAATACAAAAATTAGCCGGGCGTGGTGGTGTGTGTCTGTAGTCCCAGCTACTCAGGAGGCTGAGGCAGGAGGATCACCTGAGCCCACGAGGTGGAGGCTACAAGGAGCTGTGATCACGCCACTGCACTCCACCCCGGGTGACAGAGCAAGACCCTGTCTCAAAAAAAAAAAAAAAAAAAAAAAAAGCAGCAGAATAGAAACAATGATGACAGTTAAATGGTGAGATGAGAGTGAGAAACGCTGAATTTAATTTTATTCTGTATGTTTCACAAAGATGTCAGGGTCTGGGATTTTATCCAATTTACCATACTCCACCAAATCAACTGGTAGGATCTCCGTGAAACAGTAACAGGGTCATTTAGAAACCTGTTGCTGCCTCATGAAAATCCTATGAACTCTCCTTGGTTCCCCGGTGATACTGTCTGGCAAGGCCCCTTATCTCTCCAACTCATGTCACACCTTGGCTCCAGTTCTCATTTCTCAGGGGTGCGTGTTTGCTGCCGCCCACTCCATCCTCGCGTCCCACGCCCTCGCGATTCCTGCTCATCCTAGGGGCGCCAGCTTCGCTGGAGGACGCCGCGCTCTGCGGGTCCCCGCCTCGGTTCCAGGCCCAGCTGCAGGTGCCACCCAGGTTTCAGGCGCTGAGGAGCGGAGAGCACTGCCAGCTCGCTGGGGTCCCCGCTGTCTCTGGCAAGCGGCTCCGCGCCGGGTGGGCTGGGGCGGCGGGGCGGGCGCAGCTGCTTCCCCGCCCCGGGGCGGCACCCGCGCTCGGGGCTGGCGGCTCCTCCCCGCCCGGCCGGGCCCAGCAGCCCCTAGGAGCCCAGCGCCGCCGCCATGTCCTCCGGGGCTAGCGCGAGCGCCCTGCAGCGCTTGGTAGAGCAGCTCAAGTTGGAGGCTGGCGTGGAGAGGATCAAGGTGCGGGCCCCGGGTACCCACGCTCCGGTCCTTCCGCCCGCGGGGCGTGAGAAGAGGAGGCCGGCGGCCCGGACCGGGCGCCAGCGGGGGACTCGGTGGCGGCGGCGAGGCCTCGGCGGGGCGCGGGGGCGGTGGGGTCCGCGGTGAGGGAGGGCGCGGGGCAAGCCGGGGGCCCGGGCCTGACGGGAGGAAGCCGCGCCTGGGGGGCCCCGCGGTCGTGGTCGGTCCCGGTCCCTGGGGGTGCGCCCACTCCAGAAGGCGGCCGTGGTCAGTTCCTCGGAGGGCGCAAGGGATGCCGGCGACGCGCGGGCCGGGAGGGTGGACCCAGGGCTGGGGAGGCCACCGCAGGGCGGCGAATTGGTGATGGATTGGTAGGATGAGAGCGAGAGGGAGGAGAGCCAGGATGCTCGGGTTTCTGTCGTCGTGACAGGGTGGACGGCGCTGCCACCCGCCGAGGTAGAGAGGAGGGGGAACAGGTTTGGGGAAATGATGAGTTCGGCTGCGGACCTGGGGACTCCGGGGAGTCATCCGGGAGGTATTTGTCCTCATGGCCTGAAGCTCAGCGCCCAGGGCTGAAAGAGGTCATTCAAGTGCATTGGGGCGAAAAAGCCTCTTCTATGAAGAGCAGAGCTCAGAGCCTGGGACCCGGGGACCAGCCACACCGATGGCCGGTGGCCGAGAGAAGAGGAAATAAGAGACAGCAAGGTTTCCGAGCAAGGCCTAGAGAAGAGGAAATAAGAGACAGCAAGGTTTCCGAGCAAGGAAGTAGGGATTTCCAAAAACTGGGGGCTCAGTCAACATGTCCAGCGTTTAGTCAGTTGGCTAAAAGGCGTCTGTTGTAGAGCTGTGTTTAGCTACGAGTGCAGCATTATTTGCAGAAGATCTGTAAGAAGGAACACAACCAGGATAGTCCCTGTGCCTCAGTTTCTCCTTTGCTGTGTGCCTGGCACTGCTACAGGGAATAGGGTGGTTCTGGAGGGGAAGGTAAACAGCAACTTAACGGATACATAGCATCGCTTCATGTACTAAGTGGAGTGAAGATAATAAACAGGGTAAAGGGAGAGAGGGCTGTGGAATGCAGAGGTCTGGTGGCTTATGTGTTAGTAAAAGCAGAATCTGGACTGTCATAGGGTAGGCAGACGTTTTTTCTTTTTAAAGAAACCTAGTTTTAAAGAGGAAATAACGTGTTTTTTTAACTTAGGAAATGAAAAGCCATGTTTTAGGGTTGAGAGGAAGTAACAAATTATATTTTTAGGTTCCAGGGAAGAAACAAATGGAAGCCAATTGCTGGTAGAGGAGACAGGGCTACGGGGGGGTGGGGGATTGGTGGCACAGCTTCTGAGACAGGAAGAAAGAAGGTAAGGGTGTGTGTAAAGATAAGTTTCTAGATATGGGCTAAACTTGTATGGTGACACTTTTCTTTGTGAAATAGGAGGCCAGGTTTTCTTCTAAGGCAGAGGAAAGGGGACTAAGGGAGTGGCCCCTGAGCAGGCACGCAGATGCGCTGTGACTGAAGACCCAGCTGCTGTGACAAGGGAGACTGCTGGTCATATTTGTGATTTTTTTTTTTTCCTGCAGCAATCTTTACCATCCTGGAATGTGAGTGCTGAAGGTGAACGGTAGTTGAAAGAGGAGTAAGTTAGCAGGGGAGGTATGCCAGAAAGGTGGAGGTGGGGCCGGAGGGCAAGGCGTGTGAAGGTCTGGCCAGAAAGAGGCTGAGCCTAGATGGATAGAGAAGGAATGCAGCCAGCCTCCTGGTGATAGGTGAGACAGAAGGGGAGGAGGTGATGCCTGGTGATCTCGGTGAGGTCAGAGCAGAATAAAGGAAGAATAAAGGAGGCAGCACCCTGGATGGGAAGGAGAGATTGTGATCAGAGAGTAGGATACTGGAGTGTAAAATTTCAGAAGTGGAGCAGTTACAGGTGTTGTAACTGTATCTGTTGGCATTGAGGAGAAGGCTGTTTGAGGGGAAGAAGTCAGGGAACTGAAATGAGGGTTGTTGGAAATTCACAAAGACAATGTGGGGACATGAGGTAGAAAGGAAAACTGTGAGCCAGTCAGATGCCTGTCTACCCGCCAAGTAGCTAAGAAAGAGGAAAGATATTCTTTTTTTTTTTTTTTTGAGATGGAGTTTCATTCTTGTTGCCCAGGTTGGAGTGCAATGGCATGATCTCAGCTCACTGCAACCTCTGCCTCCCAGGTTCAAGCGATTCTCCTGCCTCAGCCTCCCGAGTAGCTGGGATTACGGGCACCTGCCACCACGTCCACTAATTGGCTTTTTTTTTTTTTTTGTATTTTTAGTAGAGATGGAGTTTCACCATATTGGCCAGGCTGGTATCGATCTCCTGACCTCAGGTGATCCTCCCGCCTCAAGCTCCCAAAGTGCTGGGATTACAGGCATGAGCCATGGCACCTGGCCGGAAAGATGTGCTTATCTACCTTTTAAAAATGATGATGAAACTGAGAGCCATATAATTCAGGTGAATTGCCTGAGCTCGCAGTAAGCTTATTTACAAATAGGATAATAAGCCTATTTAAGAGGTGCGCTCATGGAAGTATGATCTGGGGTACTTGGCAGGGCTTCCCTCAGACAATACCTTAGAGAGTCACAACCATTCCAGGGTCTGGTCTACCTCACATCCTCATTCATTGTTGGATGTGCTTAGCATAGCCAGAGGTGTCTTCTCTTTGACAGACTTGCTATCTGAAAAATAAACCAGGACACCAATTTTCTAGCATATAATAGAGGACATCCCTTCCCAGCTATAGGAATGCTTGGTATCCTTCCAAGAACTCCTCCTTTAGAGGAGCCTCACAGAAGTTGCTGGGTAAACATGGGCTCAAACCAAGGAAAGTCAGGTAACCTGGGTGGAGGTTATCCCACCACCAATGGCAGGGGACAGCTTGCAAGTATTTGGGCTTATAGTCTCCCAGCCCACAGCCTCTCTCCCTTGCTAGTGTTAGAGAGATGCTGATCACGTTTACTCTTCTCTTATTTTCTCTGCGTATCCCCTTACCTTAACTTTTTGACCATGTTCTTGAGCCTAGAGTTCAGTTAGTCTCATTTCTCCAGGAGTCCTGGAGACAGTGTCCTTCCACCTACCATGTGTGGAGTTTACCTGCCACCCCAATGCAAAGATAGTAAGCCTGAGCATAATTGATTCTCGATTTCTTTTGAATTAATAACTGGTATATATAACCATTAATTCCAATTATAATTCACATGAAAATGTCAGAGCTTCTATTGAGAGCAAAAGCAAACTTTAGCATTAGCCTGGTAATATTATATTATGGTTTTATATTCATATAATATGGAGTAAACTGTCATTACATTAATGCAACCAAAATTCCTGGAGCTGTCCAGAAACTTGGTAGCAATTGTAACATAAACAGTTAATTTTCCAGTTATTTGGAGGCTTGGAAAATTAACACAAACTAGTAGTAATACCTGAACAGCAATTGGAACCATTTTTGTACAATATGGGTGAATTGTATTCAAAATGCCTTTTAATGCAAAAAAAAAAAGTACAATGAGGAAAACCTCCAAGTAGAAATATGCATCAAATGGAAGATAAGAAAAGGGATAATGATATTGTATCAGTTAGTTTTTGCTGCCTGACAAACCACCCCAAAATTTAGTGGCTTAAAAGATTTATACTCACAGTTCTTAGATGGACAATTTGAGCTAGGTTCAGGTGTACAGTTCTGCTGATCTTCTGGGCTCTCCCATGCATCTGCAATCAGATAGAGTGTTAACTGGTGTTGGCTGGTGTCTGGGTGATTGAGAATGGCCTCACTCACAGGTCTGCAGGTTGATAGGCAGGTGCTGGTTGTAGCTTACCAGTTCTCCTCTACAAGACCTCCAGGAGGCTATCTTGGGCTCCTTCAGATGGTTGTCTTACAGTTCCACCTGCACCAAGAGAGATAGGTGCAGAGACTCTTGAGGACTAGCTTGGAACTTGCCCTTTATTTCTACCACATTCTACTGGTCAAAGTCAGCCCAGATTCTTTTCTTTTTTTGTTTTTTTGAGACGGAGTTTTGCTCTTGTCACCCAGCTTGGAGTGCAATGGTGCGATCTCGGCTCACTGAAACCTCCGCCTCCTGGGTTCAAGCGATTCTCCTGCCTCAACCTCCTGAGTAGCTGGGATTACAGGTGCACGCCACCACACCCGGTTAATTTTTTTTTTTTTTTTTTTTTTAGTAGAGACAGGGTTTCACCATGTTGGTCAGGCTGGTCTCGAACTCCTGACCTCGTGATCTGCCCCCGCTTGGGCTCCCAAAGTGCTGGGATTACAGGTGTGAGCCACTGCGCCCAGCCACAGTCAGCCCAGATTCAAGGGGTGCGTCAATAGACTCTACCTCTTCGTGGAAGGAGCTGCAAACTATTGTGATCACGTTTGCAGTCTACCACAAATGTATTGCTATATGTTAGCGCTATTCTAATAGCTTTATATGTGTGAACTCACTTAATTGTTACAGCAACCCAGAGAGGTGAGTTACTATTTCTAATTATTTCTCAGATGAGGAAGCAGCTACTGAGACGTTGAGTAACTTGCCCAAGGTTATATAGGTAGTGGCAGAGCTGAATTTGAGTCCACGCAGTCTGGTTCCAGAGGCTATACTCCCAAATAATAAGCTATACCGCCTCAAAAGCAAGGCGGAAGAACTTTATCACTTGTTTGGAGCAGACTGAATAAGGCTTCAGACTTGTAAACATTAAGACAATTTGCTCATTTGGCAAACTTGGATATATTGATGCATGTTTTATATAAGTAAAAATTTGTAAAGGGAATGCTAGAATGAGCTATTTCTTTACCCGTTCAGTCTCAAAACTAGATTTCTAAATGGATCAAAGATACAGCTTTTTCTTGTCTTCGTTGAATAAGCAACTAAACCAAAAAATATCTAAATTGACGTTCATGGAAATTGTAACCTTTTCTCTTTGTAGTTCAAGTATTAGAACTTTCAGCAGAAAGAGACTTTTGGAGGTCACAAAAAGTTGATATTTACCAAGTTGGATGATCGTTTTCAGAATATCCTTGACTGCCGGGTGGCTTGGCTGTGAGCAGGGTGCCATGTTGCTGTCCCTTTGTTTCAGGTCTCTCAGGCAGCTGCAGAGCTTCAACAGTACTGTATGCAGAATGCCTGCAAGGATGCCCTGCTGGTGGGTGTTCCAGCTGGAAGTAACCCCTTCCGGGAGCCTAGATCCTGTGCTTTACTCTGAAGACTCGTGAGTAATGATACACCATGATGTCTTGGGCCCATAGCATTATCACAGGGCTTCCCAAAGGACTTGAGCAACTGAGTTTTGAATGTCTCCTATTCTTGGGGAAATTAAAACAAGAGCCAGCAAAATGCACAACTTTCCCTGAAGTGTGATTCTAGTGTATATTTACCTTGCCTGTAGAATACATCTAATCAGGACAGTCTGAAGTCTCTCTGGCACTAAGTCATGAGATGCCAACATCCTTCTGTACTTGAGCTCTTTGAGTTGGCTGGTAGTAATTTCTTCCTTTCTTTCTTTCTTTTTTTTGAGACAGTCTCGCTCTGTCACCCAGGCTGGAGTACAGTGGCATGATCTTGGCTCACTGCAACCTCCATCTCCCAGGTTCAAGCAATTCTCTTGTCTCAGCCTCCCGAGTAGCTGGGACTACAGGTGCCTGCCACCACGCCCGGCTAATGTTTGTATTTTTAATAGAGATGGGGTTTCACCATATTGGTCAGGCTGGTCTCGAACTCCTGACCTCAGGTGATCCACCCGCCTCGGCCTCCTAAAGTGCTGGGATTACAGGTGTGAGCCACCACACCTGGCCAGTAATTTCTTGACCTTAAGCCCACCCTCTCTGTCCTTATAGCATCCAAGGGTTGGGATTTGCTACTTAGTGCTATCAACTGACTTGCTACTCTTGGGAATAAGGACTCCCCAGAGTGGGAGATGTGTGCCTACCACCCGCTGTGATTTCTTTCCCAATGGTTTTCAGAATATATCTCTGTTTTAATGGAGGAAGAAATATAGCTATTGGGAAAAAGTGTGAGTGGGGTTAAAAGAGCTTTAAAAATTGATAAATGAAAACACCTCTCTGGTGGCATATTAGAAACTTCTTGGGTTCGAATGCTTTGTATTGGGGTCATTTTCACAATGTGTTTCCCCCCTCATCGCCGAGACATCTTGCTCTGTCACCCAGGCTGGAGTGCGGTGGCGCGATCTTGGCTCACTGCATCCTCTGTCTCCTGGGTTCAAGCAATTCTCCTGCCTCAGCCACCCGAGTAGCTGGGATTACAGGCGCATGCCACCATGCCCACCTAATTTTTTTGTATTTTAGTAGAAATGGGGTTTCACCATGTTGGCTAGGCTGGTCTTGAATTGGCTGGTCTCAAACTCCTGACCTCATGATCTGCCTGCCTTGGCCTCCCAAAGTGCTGGGATTACAGGCGTGACACAATGTTTTTTTAAGAGGACAAGGGCATGAATTATTAGAGTCTTTTGGGACCAACATATTTCAAATGATGTGTTCTAAGGGGTGTTTATACAGTGAGTAATTATCTTA
The DNA here is from genome assembly GCF_000001405.40 of Homo sapiens. Classification (NCBI taxonomy): domain Eukaryota; kingdom Metazoa; phylum Chordata; class Mammalia; order Primates; family Hominidae; genus Homo; species Homo sapiens. Next base: position 111,668,265 of record NC_000009.12, read on the forward strand.
GGTCCTTCTTCACAAGTAGCAAAAGGAAATTGTTCACATTTAAAAGAAGGAAGCAATCTATCAAATCTTATTGTACTTTTTAATGGAAAATGTTCATATTTATGGTGTTAAGATAATAGTCTTATGTTGGCATAGCATTTTTCTTTTTACAAAGCTTCCTTCTTCCCTCCCCTCCCCTCCCCTCCCCTCTTCTTCCCTTCCCTTCCCTCCTTCTTTCCTTCCTTCTCTTTATTAAATTGAGATGGAGTCTCACTCTGTCACCCATGCTGGAGTGCAGTGGCACAATCTTGGCTCACTGCAACCTCCACCTCCCAGGTTCAAGTAATTCTCCTGCCTCAGTCTCCCGAGTAGGTGGGACTGCAGGTGTGCAGCACCATGCCTGGCTAATTTTTGTATGTTTAGGAGAGATGAGGTTTCACCGTATTGCTCAGGCTGTTCTCAAACTCCTGACCTGAGGTGACCTGCCTGCCTCGGCCTCCCGAAGTGCTGGGATTACAGTCGTGAGCCACTGCGCCCGGCCTTACAAAGCACTTTCATGGGTGCTGCTCATTCAGTGGTGTGGTTTAGATGTCTTTTGTATTCACCTGTTACTTTCATTTTTTTTTTGTTTGAGACGGAGTTTTGCTCTTGTTTCCAGGCTGCAGTGCAATGGTGCGATCTCAGCTCACCACAACCTCTGCCTCCCGGGTTCAAGCGATTCTCCTGCCTCAGCCTCACTAGTAGCTGGGATTACAGGTGCCCGCCACCATGCCCGGCTAATTTTTTTGTATTTTTAGTAGAGGCAGGGTTTCTCCATGTTGGTCAGGCTGGTCTTGAACTCCCAATATCAGGTGATCCACCCACCTCGGCCTCCCAAAGTGTTGGGATTACAGGCGTGAGCCACCGCGCCTAGCTCACCTGTTGCTTTCTATTTCGTGAATACTAAAGTACCCTATTAAATGATGACTAGTTAATTTTATAAAGAAATCTTACTAAAGTGAAAACCAAACAAACTCTTTTTCCAGTAGGAGAGAAGTTTGCTGAGGAATGCCTTCAAGCACAAAGTGATGAATGACTGCCTTCAAGTCTCAAGAAAACACTTTTCCCTAACTTTTAGAGATATTTCAGCCCTTTCCTGTGGCCTGGTCCTATAGCCAAAATCACAGATATTCATGAGTTTCTACTTGAGTGAGAAAACTGGGTGAAGGAATAGAATTTTAAATAGTAATAACTGCTTGTTTTTTTTGTGCAAGTACTTTTATACATAAGATAAACAAAAACCTTACCACCAAACATACCAAAATGCACCTCTTTCATAAGTGAGTTACTAAGATTTCTATACCTGGAATATCATGTATGTTTCATTTACTGGATGTTTACATTTTAGGAAGGAAAATAGTTTTGTTTATTTAAACAACTGAATACTTATAAACTGTTGTTCCTGGAAGTTATTTATTCCATAAAAAATTTGTTCTTTTGTCATGAATTTATAATTCCTAAATGAAGACCAGAAAGTACAAATTGCTGGGAGGAAGAATAGGCTTTATTAATCAACTGATGTCTTGATTTTTCTAAATGGGAAGATTGCTTTATTTTTAACACTAATTATGGGAGCAGATTCTTAGCAAACTTCTTTGGAAAAGTTAATGTTATGATGTGCATTAGGCTGCCCCATCGTGTATATAAATGAAGCAGATTTGATTTTTGTATTCTTACGTTTCTCTGCTTTGTAGTTGTGGCTGTACTTAAAGAAATACAGAATTTCATATATTTAAAAATGTTTAAAATGTGACCCACAGAACATTGTAAATGATTAAAAACTAACATGAAAATATTACAACCTAAAAGAATTCTTAACTTCACAAGTGTTTTACTTCGACGATGTGCCTTTGATTTAATTTGGGACACTTTTTTAGAAGGATACATTATTCGTGTTTGCAACGGTCTTTGAAGAGCTTGGAAATAAAATTTCTGCTTAATTAATCATTTTTCTATGACAGCAATATTTTGTGTCTGATTTTGTATTAAGGACTCAAGGATTTCTGTTTGCCTGTGAGATTGAGTGCTGGAATGAGAGAGTGAAATTGTTGTTTTTAAGTCTTTGTAGAATTTTGCAAATGTCCTGAAAAATAGATAACTGTATAACATGAAGAAAATATCTCTATTAATGGCAACATTTGTTCTCTGAAATAGCTATATATAAACTCATAAATAAACAAAAATATCTGTGAGTGTAAGTAGTGTTACAATAGAGAAAATAGAAGTTATTAGATGGGAACTCCCTTAACTTTTAGCTACTAAACTTCTAGATCTAGTGATTGGAATCCCTTCCATTCAGTCATAATTCAGGCATCCCTTTTATAACCTATTTGTTCTCTGGATCTGTTTCACCTTCTCTGAAATTGCACACTACCAGTGATCCTTTCTCCTTCATCTTCAAGTTCTCTGCTGGATGCTTTATTTTCTCTTTTCTTCTCTTCTCTTTTCTTTTTTGAGACAGGGTCTCACTTTGTCACCCAGGCTGGAGTGCAGTGGCGCTATCTCGGCTCACTGCAGCCTCAATCTCCTAGGTTCAAGTGTTCTTCCCACCTCTGGCCCCCAAGTAGCTGGGACTACAGGCGTGAACCATCACACCCGACTAATTTTTGTATTTTTTGTAGAGATGGGATTTCGCCATGTCGCCAGGCTGGTCTTGAACTCCTGAGCTCAAGCCATCCACCCACCTCAGCCTCCCAAAGTTCTGGGATTATAGGCGTGAGCCACTGTGTCTGGCCTCCAGTGGACCCTTTCTATCACAATTTAGCATGTTCCATTCTGTCTTAACAACAACAGCATTTTTTAAAATCCTCATTGAAAAACAAAATTCTTTTTTGATTCCACTTTCCCCTTTCAGCAAACATTTGGTAAGATAGCACAATGAAACTATAAGCATCTCACTTATAGATGAATATAGATGCAAATGTCCTAGATATAAACAGATAAAATTCAGTAGTTAGAGAAAGTACAGCCGGATAAAACTACTTTAACATAACTAAATCTATCAATGTAATTCATTACTTGAATCACTTAAAGAAGGGAACCTATGCCAAAAAGTCATCTGATAAAATTCAATAGCTGTTCTGGGCTAGGTACAGTGGCTCACGCCTGTAATCCCAGCACTTTGGGAGGCCAAGGCAGGCAGATCATGAGGTCAAGAGATTAAGACCATCCTGGCCAACATGGTGAAACCCCGTTTCTATTAAAATTCAAAAATCACCTGGGCATGGTGGCACGCCCCTATAGTCCCAGCTACTCGGGAATCTGGGGCAGGAGAATCGCTTGAACCTGGGAGGCGGAGGTTGCAGTGAGCCGAGATCACACCACTGCACTTCAGCCTGGCAACAGAGGGAGAGACCCTGTCTCAAAAAAAAAAAAAAAAGCTGTTCTGAATAAAAACTAAGTGGATTAGTGAAATGAGAGTAGAAAGAAATTACTATGATGATAAAGACAATTTTTCAAAGCCAACAGCCAATATCATACTACATGGTGAAAGGCTGACACATTCAGATTATCAGGAACAACACAAGAATACCTTTTATCACCACTATTATTCAGCATTGCTTTGGAAGTCTTAGCTAATGCAGTAAGCTGAAAAAATGAAATGATGTAAACATTTTAGAAGAATTATCTGTATTTATGGGTTATATAATTGTACACCTTGAAAACTCGTGAGATTCTCGTACAAGAAATACTTGAATTTATAATAGAATTTGGGAAGCTAGCTGGATAAAAAAGACAGAAAAATAACATTTTCTATACTGACAATAGCTAGTTTAAAATGGAAATGGAAGTTATATTCCCTTTCTACTTTAATGATACAACTATAAAAATACTTGGGAATAAACTTAACAAAAGTGCAAGGTCCCTAAAAAAGATTTTATTGATGTTATAAAACGGAGTGTAAATAAATGGAGGGACATGGCAATTCTAGGATATTAAGACAATTTTGGCCAGGTGCTGTGCTCACACCTGTAATCCTAGCACTTTGTGGGGCCGAGGTGGGTGAATTGCTTGAGATCAGGAGTTCGAGACCAGCCTGGGCAAGATGGTGAAACCCCATCTCAACAAAAGATGCAAAAATTAGCTGGATGTGGTGGTATGCACCTGTAGTCCCAGCTACTTGGGGGACTGAGACAGGAAAATCGCATGAGCCCAGGAGGTTGAGGCTGCAGTGAGCTGTATTCACGCAACTGCACTCCAGCCTGGGCAGCAAAGTGAGAATCTGTCTCAAAAAAACCCCAACAAAAAAAGACAATTTCATTAAAATGTCGATCTTACTAAATAAAATTTCTGCTTAATTAATCATTAATCGTGTGTGTGTGTGTGTGTGTGTGTGTGTGTGTGTGTGTGTGTGTAAAACATGAGGAGGGGGTGGGCATGGTGGTTCATGCCTATAATCCCAGCCTAGGCAACATAGTGAGACCATGTCTCTATTTTTTTTTAATTAAAAAAAAAAAAAAAAACCTCTTGTAAAAATCATTACAGAGAAAAAAAAAAAAAAAAGCAGAGCCAGGCATGGTGTTGTGCACTTGTAATCCCAGCTACTCGGGAGGCTGAGACAGGAGAATCGTTTGAACCTGGGAGGCAGAGGTTGCAGTGAGCCAAGATCGCACAACTGCACTACAGAGAAAACACCTGCCATGTATAGGAGAGATAATGGGCTAATATCCCTAATATACAGAATATTCTGATTGCATGATGAGAAAAAAATGAGTAAACGGTGTGAAGAAGCAATTCACAGAGGAGAAAATCCAAACAAAAGAGCACATAACTCCACTAGTAAGCAAGGGAAATGTAAAGACGGTGATAATGAGGTATCATTTTTCAATCCCTCAAATTAGAAAACAAAAAATAAAAGTGCATATTCATTAAGAACTTACATGCCATGTTCTGAGTATTTATGTGTATTAGGTCATTTACTCCTTATTGGTGTGACCTTGAACAAATCAAATTCTCTGGGTCTCAGTTTCATCACCCATAATTATTTTTTAAATTTGGATAAGAATATCTGCTTTATCTCCTTTGCACAAATGTGGAAAGTGAGGCGCAGGTGAGTTGAACATCGTCCGTAAGCCAACAGTTAATAGATGATAGAACTAGTATCCAATGTCGAGCAGTCTAGCTCTAGAGCCCACACCCTAAACCACTGTGCTGTGTACCATTGCTGGTAAGGATAAAGGAGACTGGGCAGTTTTATACCTTATTAGGGTGTAATGTGCTACAACCCTTTGGGAGAGGAATTTGGCAAAATCTCTTTAAATCCCAATCAGAAAGAAATAAGATTTGAGGAGTCTGAGATCAGATTAACCCTCATGGCTTCAACTTAACTGTCATTCAGGTTTGGAGAAGCATGGTACAAGGAAGCAAAAATAAATAAATACAGAAATTAAGGATGAGGATTATGTCTATACAAGAACATTGGATGTAGTTACTGGTACATGAAACTCACTGGAAACAAATAGATCAGAACCCATCAAATTTTTGAGGGGATTTGAGAAAATGGCCCTAAAACTGTTGAAGTCGAGTAAACTTAACTTGAGGCCCTTAAACTTACATTTCAGAAAGTAAGAGGAGAAAGCTTTGTAGTCCCTAAGGAAGACACTCTCTTAAGGGGTCCAAGGAGAATAATGGATAAGGGAGGACTTCCAGAGGGAGGAGCTGAGGATGGGGTGAGGATGGAAAACCATGGATAAGGGTTTCTTCCAGAGAGTAAAATGACGACCTACCAGAGGAGGGCCTTCACATCTGCACGGCTGGATTTCAGAATGCTGACCGCTGACTTCTATGTGTCTCTCATTCTTTCCCCTTCTACAGCGAAGTTCATTGAGTCTCTGCTCCGCTATTGTGTTTTTAATATTGGTATGTGAGAGTGGGGGAAATGACAATAGACAACCAAAAAGTTCCTAGGTCACTAGACTTTGAGGAGCTATATCTAGCCCCGATGGGGAAAAATGAGCATTACCTCATAATCCTGGTCTTTGAGCTGCCTGCAGTGACTAGCTTTGGTTTTCCTCTTTTGAGGTGGGACTCACTGTGTTCTGCGTGTGAGAGGATGAATGAAATGGCTATTTGGGGACCAGAATGGTAGAGTGCGGTAGAGAAGAGACTTTCTAGCTCTTCACCAAATCCCATTTGTTTTTCTTTCTGGGCACCCTGCTAGATAGATTACAATTTGCAGCCTCTTTTCTAGTTAGATGTGGCCATGTGCCTCTGGCCAGTGGAATGTTTTTGCTCTTCCCTTGTTTGCTGTCTGTTTGGAAGTAAATACCCTGGGTGGGCTGGCAACCATATGTTGAAGATGACAGGCTCTCTCTGTGACTCTGTGGAGTGGAGTACTCTCCTTGCCCTAAGCAAGTGATCTCAGATGATCAAGAAATAAATTTCTCAATGTTAAGCCACTGAGGTTTCAGGGCTTTTCTGTTACAGCACCTAGTATTACTGTAACAAATACAACCTAGAAAGATATCTATGATATAGTAAGTACAGTCTTCCCTTAATATACATGGGGGATTGGTTTTAGGATGCGCCCCCTCCACCCCATTCCAGTTTACAAAAATCCACTCATACCAAGTCTGGCTGTTGGCCCTGCAGAACCTGTGTATATGAAAAGTTGGCCCTCCCTATAAGTATGTTTTGCAACCTGCAAATACTGTATTTTCTTCCTTCCTTCCTTTCTTTTCTTTTTTCTTTTTCTTTCTTTTTTTTTTTTGACAGAGTTTTGCTCTTTGTTGCCCAGGATGGAGTGCAATGGCACAATCTCGGCTCACTGCAAGCTCTACCTCCTGGGTTCAAGCGATTCTCCTCTCTTAGCCTCCCGAGTAGCTGGGATTACAGATGCACACCACGATGCCCAGCTAATTTTTGTATTTTTTAGTAGAGACAGGGTTTCACCATGTTGGCCAGGCTGCTCTTGAACTCCTGACCTCAGGTGATCTGCCCGCCTCGGCCTCCCAAAGTGCTGGGATTACAGGTGTGAGCCACCCCGCCTGGCCAAAATACTGTATTTTCTATTCACATGTTATTGAAATAAATCCACCTGTGAGTGGACCTGGTAGTTCAAACCCTTGTTGTTCAAGCGTCAACCATATAACATTAAAGAAGTGGTAGCTTCAGCTTAGCTGAGTTGACATCGTAGCCATATACCATGTCTCATATCCCCATATTCCCCATGTTCAACATAGTTGATATTTACAGCTTCACAGATGATAGTCAGCTGTCATCTAAATCAAATGGCTTAGTTTTTAATTTCCTACTCCTTCATATTAAATTCATTTTTCTTCATAGTTATGCTAAAACTAAATAGGCTCAAGTCATCACACCAGAATCCCTTATCTAGCTTTTTGATTACTAAGTTAAGGTGCTTCTATTTAGTTGCAGGGGCAGACAAGAATGGTGGATTGGTTATGTTGACACTTTGGGTGTAGGTAGATGGTGGTCAGTTTAAGAGGTTCTGAGAAATTATGGCAAAAATCTTCACATGGGAGCTGAGATGTGCAGAAACTGCCATAGAGATGGTTTTTCTCTTTGATGAGAAGCAAGTGGGACTGATAATGACTACCATTATTTTTTTTTTGAGATGGAGTCTTACTCTGTCACCCAGGCTGGAATGCAGTGGCATGATCTCGCCTCACCCCAACCTCCACCTCGCAGGTCCAAATGATCCTTCTGCCTCAGCCTCCTGAGTAGCTGGGATTACAGGTATGCACCACTACTCTTGGCTAACTTTTTTATTTTTAGTAGAGATGAGGTTTCACCATGTTGGCCAGGCTGGTCTCGAACTCCTGACCTCAAGTGATCTGCCTGCCTCAGCCTCCCAAAGTGCTGGGATTACAGGCATGAGCCACCACATTTGGCCATGACTACTATTCTTCAGTAAGGTATACTGCGTTCTTTCTGCCCCTTCCAAAAATTGCAGTCTAAAGCCTTTTGTTCGAAATTTGTTTGGATTATTGTCCTGTATCAAACAGATATTTATTAAAAGTTCCTTTAATTTTTATTTATCTAGTTATTTACCTAGAAAAAGCTTGTCTCAGCATTTCTAAATAAGATTTTTAAAAAAAGATTGTGACTGGAATATCACCATAAATCGTCTGTGGAAACAAAACAATTCCATATATCATGTTAAGTTTACCCTAACTGATTGAGGGATGGTATTTGCCTATAAAATCAAACAGTTCCAAAATACTTTCTATCAACAGGATGGTTTGGAATCCCATAACAGTGGGATTCCATCCTATAGAAGTAGCATAAGCTTCCCCTCACAGCTCCTTTAATTCTAGATTGTTACAGGATGTAATGCACATTTTTTTTTAACCTTCTCATTTTGCAGGCCCCTTAGTATTACCAGATAATTCTGCAAATACACTTTCTCCTTTTTTGCCATTTAATATAGATCATGGATCCAAAATGGACCCCCACATTGATCCTTTTCTTTATGGGTATTATGTTTGAATTAGGAATAAGTCCAATAATTGCCTCAATACATGCCATTTTTTTCTCAGCTCTCATTTTGGATTACTATAGTTTGCACTCTTCATCCCCCTCAACCCAGGCTACTCTACTTATTAAAATTGTTGGATCCCTTGTTTTAGGGCAGGCCTAATTATTGGGTGTAGTTAAGGAGTCTTCTATTGTGAGAGGCAAGGAAATGGGACATCCTGGTATTTTTCCCCAGTTATCTTCTGAGTCTCAGTGGCAAGGGAAGGAATATCTTATGCCCATCCATAATTGGAAGAGACAGCTGATGTTTGGTGAGGCCTGCAGACTTGGGCTGGGCTTAGGGACTTGGAGTAAAGCCCCTCAAAAGACCTCAGAGGTGAGCATCACTATCACCAGCAATGAATTGAAGGGCCAGCAATTCCCATTAGAACCCTATGCGGATGTTATATTTTGTGCTGTATTCTTACACTGTATGCAGTATTTTATACTGTATTTTTACTGTATCCTTCTATGTTTAGACACACAAATACCTACCATTGTGTTTCAATTGCCTACAATATTCAGTACAGTAATGTACTGTACAGGTTTGTAGCCTACAAGCAATAAGTTACACCATACAGCTTAGGTGTGTAGTGGGCTACCCAACCTAGGTTTGTGAATTACGCTCTATCATGTCCACAGAATGATGAAATCGCCTAATGATGCATTTCTGAGAATGTATTCCTGTAGCAAGCATGCATGACGGTGAAAGTGTAGTAGAAAGAGGAAAGTAGGATAGGCGGTGTTAAGTCAAGTTAAGCTTGTTTAAAAAAGGAAGAAGTATCAAATGCTGAAGAGAGGTCAATTAAGGTGATGTCTGAATGTCCTTTGGATCTAAGAAGGTAGAGGTTAATTATGGTAGTGATAGGGTGATAATTTCAGAAGTCAGGAAATAAAGGTGGATTATACTTGTGGTCTTCAAACATTTTTGCTTATATGCAACCTAAATGAAATAATGTCAACCCTGTGTACCTCCATTTTACAGTCGGCATCTAAATGTTTATCATAAGTTTAAATATATATAATATATATCATAAGTTTATATATATCATCGTAAGTTTAAGTATATATTTTAATATATAATTTTATTAAAAGTCTAGCATTTTAACATGAAATTATTTCATTCTTCTTTTAAATATATTCAATGGAATACAAATACCATCATCATTTGAAACCTACCATCATCCATTTAAAAATATACAAACCGTACTCTCCTTTAGTCAGAAATTTTACATGATTCTTTTTTTTCTCTAAAATCATACTTCCAATTTAATTTCCCCACAAAATTTAATCCTGTCTCAATTACCCTTTTGTTGCCTCTCATCTCCAAAGTCATACTTCATTGGTTTTGTGAAAATGGATCTGGATCCTTTAAATATCTTTTCTTTGCCAACTGGCATAATGCTGATTTGTTCATAGAAGGTGTTGGAGAGATATTCCAGGAGGAAGGAATGGGTATGTCTTCCTGGGTCTAACGTGGTTTTCTCCAATGCTAGGCAAAGCGCAGCTTTTTTTAGCTCTTCATGAAGGCAGTAGTGCTATAGCTGGGAGCCTCAGACAATGTGGCTCTGAGTCTTAGCCCATTCTGCTGCTCCTCATACCCTATCCTCAGCGCCTCATGCGTACTTGCTGGGGCCCTGCAGTGATGGCCATTTAGCAAGCCAGCCAACTGACCTTTGCTCTGCACCAAAGCCCAGAGCTTTCCAAGCCCAAGCTATACACAGAAGTGTGTTAGGTTTCGACAGAGGGCAGTCTGTTTATCTCCTGGTTTCAGCAATGCCCACAGTGGTGCCACAACTCTCTCCATGTCCCCCACCTCCATCAACTCTGGCTCTCCTGTGTGCAAAAGGTTTTTTCCCCACAGCCCTCCTGTCATGAACATCGTGTGCTCCAGGCCTTATCGGGCCTACCAGCCTTGGCTTGCCAATGCCCCAAAGGGTTGTTCTTGTTTTCCCAGCAATTATGGACCAATTCTGGCTTCAAATAAAATAAAATTTCTTTCTTGTCCAGTGGGCTACAACCACACCTTCTTCAAAGAGGTCTTCAAATAGGTGACCAGGTTTGTCTTTCTTTTGGGCTCTCCCTCAACTTTAGGGTACCCTTAGAGTTCTCATTCACAGCTTAAAAATTTTTTATATTAAATTTCCCCTATTTAAATTACTGTGCAGTTTCTCTCTTGGTTGAACCCAGATTGATGCAAATCCTAATGTAATGTTTATGCTTGAAAGCCTTTTATGATCAACCTATCATACTTCTCTGTAATAGGGTATAAATTGAAATAATTAAAAAATATTTCTTGTGACCTTAAGACTCTAAGTTAAATCGTTTTTCTTAATTACTAATTCAATTTATTTAAGTACAAGTATTCAAAACCACATAAATATATTATAAATTTTGATAATATAAAAAAAAAATACATATTACAAATGCATGACATAACTAAGAGGGTAGAGAAAGGAGGGGCTGACTTTGGAAATGACTGGAACTCTAAAGACAAATGGATTGTTCATAAGCATTGTACACTAGTTGGTGAAGTTGTTTCTCATGGGGTATGGGTTAACAAATCTGAACCTACCATAGATGTATATTGGGATTGAACAAAAAAGTAAATGGATAGAGGATGGTGGGAGTTAAGTGTCTCACTGTTGGAGTGGGGTGTGGGTTTACAGATAAGCAAGCAGGGAAGCTATAATGAACCATGTGGTACTGGATTAGAATACAAACGTAAGAATGAACGAACTCATGTTTATCTTTCTTTTTTCTTTATTTTCTTTTTTTTTTTTTGAGATGGAGCCTGGCTCTGCCGCCAGGCTGGAGTGCTGTGGCGCGATCTCGGCTCACTGCAACCTCCGACTCCCTGGTTCAAGCGATTCTCCTGCCTCAGCCTCCTGAGTAGCTGGCATTACAGGCATGTGTCATCATGCCCAGCTCATTTTTTTGTATTTTAATAGAGACGGAGTTTCACTATGTTGGCCAGGATGGTCTCGATCTCCTGACCTTGTGACCCACCCGCCTTGGCCTCCCAAAGTGCTGGGATTACAGGCGTGAGCCACTGCGCCCAGCCAAGCTCATGTTTATCTTAATATAGATACTGATGGATAGATGTAGATAAACTTGTAGATATGTGTCTATACAGAGATAACTATAACACATCTATTTCTAGCTCTGTTTGCTCAGAGGGCCTTAGAGCAAGGACACTCCAGTAGCAATGAGCATATCCAGTGCCCAGATTTTGGTTGCTAATACCATTCTCCAATAAAGGGTACTAGAGCTCCTTGGAGAAATGACTGATCCTAGAGCTGGGGCAATGAATATACTAGATGAGTCTTGATATCTTGTAATGTGAGAAAGTAAAGAAGTGGTCAAAACCCTAAATGGTGGGGATTTATCTAAGGAACATAGGAGCAAACTGAAAGAGCTCCCAGTGGCTAAACCTGGAATAATTTTAACAATATTTTTTCTTCTTCTTCTTTTTTTTTTTGAGGCAGAGTCTCACTCTGTTGCCCAGGCTGGAGTTCAATGGCACAATCTTGGCTCACTACAACCTCTGCCTCCTGGGTTCAAGAGATTCTCGTGTCTCAGCCTCCCAAGTAGCTGGGATTACAGGGGTATGCCACCACACCCGGCTAATTTTTGTATTTTTAATAGAGATACGGTTTCACCATGTTGGCCAGGCCGGTCTGGAACCCCTGACCGTAAGTGATTCACCTTCCTCGCCCTCCCAAAGTGCTGGGATTACAGGCATGAGCCACCACGCCTGGCCAATAATATTTTTAAAATGTCATATTGGATTATAAACCTGTCTTAGTCCATTTTATGTGGTATAACAGAATACTACAGACTGGGTAATTTATAATGAAGAGAAATTTATTTGGCTCACTGTTCTGGAGGCTGGGAAGTCCGAAAGCATGGCACGAGCATCTGGCAAGGACCCTCTTGCTGTGTCATCCCATGGAAGAGACAGAAGGGCAAGAGAGTGCAATAGGGCAATAGAGAAAGGGGGCTCAACTCATCCTTTTTATCAGGAACTCACTCCTATGGTACTAACTAACTAACTCCTGCAATAATACCATTAATCCATTCACGAGGGCAGAGCCTAATAAGCTCTTAAAAATCCTTCCTCTCAAAACTGTTGCATTGGGAATTAAGTTCTTAACACTTGCCTATTGGGGATCATGTTCAAACCATAGCAAACGCTTAGTATACATAAATATCTATGAGCAAGTACTATATAAATAAATAATTGAATAAGTAAATAAATTGGGGGAGAAGAGATAAATCTCCGGTATAGAAAGCTTCCAAATAATTTATATAGATACTCTTTCCTCAAGGAGGTGGAACATAAATCCCTACCCCTTAAGTGTGGACTACACTTAGCAACTTATTTCCAAAAAGTACAATATGGAAAAGGGTAGGGAGTAACTTTTTAATGGGAAACCTGGCAAATGGTACCTTATCTAGGTGACGAAATTTAACATAATCAGTGATAAGTCATGTTGATAACATGTACCTTTGATATGATGTATTGAGAATGAAACTTTAACTCGTTATGTAGTTTTCCTCCTCAAAGCACATAACCCAAGTCTAATCACGAGGAAAACATCAGACAAATCCAAATTGAGCAATATTCTATAAAATACCTGACCAGTATTCCTTAAAACTTCAAGGTCATAAAAAAAAAGGCAAGTTTGAGAAACTGTCACAGCTAAGAGGAGCTCAAGGAGATATGATGACTAAATCTAACGATATATCCTACATGAGGGTATATATATCCTATATAAGGATATATCCTACATGAGATCCTATAACATAAATAGGACATTAAAGAAAAACTAATGAGTTCTGAATAAAGGATGGTGTTTAGTTAATAATAATGTATCAATATTGGTTCATTAGTTGTGACCAATGTACCATAGTAATAGTAATGTAAGATATTAATAATAGGAGAAATTTGGTGTTTTATATTTGGGAACTCTTTATACTATTTTTGTAACTTTTCTGTTAATCTATTCTAAAATTGAGAGTTTATTTAAATTTTGGCTGGGCATGGTGGCTCACGCCTGTAATCCCAGCACTTTGGGAGGCCGAGGTGGTCGAATCACCTGAGGTCAGGAGTTCGAGACCAGCCTGACCAATATGGTGGAACCCTGTCTCTACTAAAAATACAAAAAATCAGCCAGGCATGGTGGCTTGCGCCTGTAGTCCCAGCTACTCGGGAGGCTGTGACACAAGAATTGCTTGAACCCAGGAGGCGGAGGTTGTAGTGAGCCGAGATCACGTCACTGTACTCCAGCCTGGGTGACAGAGCAAAACTCCGTCTCAAAAAAAAAAAAAAAAAAGAAAAAGAAAATTTATTTAAATTTTAAAAAGTAGATGTAATGGAAATGCATCTCTTAGTGAGATGAATGGGATGTTACAGTGGTTTAAAGGAGATTTTGCTGATCCCAGTATTTCAAATTATTCCTTTATTTATTGCTCTGGTAGTATTTAGATCTTAGGTCTTGGCTTAGTAAGATTCAGGATGGGTGACAGATATATATTTATTTCACAAAGTGGAAGGACAATTGTAAAAGTGGAGGATAGAAAAAAAGAACCCTTGTGATGGGTAGGTCTCAGGTGTGTTCTCTGGCTTGGGAAAGAGTGCCTGTGGAAATTGAAGCACTGGAAATTTACTCTTTTAAAACTGTTGGTGCCCATGTACTCACTCCTTGAAATGTCTTTGTAATATGCCCTAACGGTAGGTGTACCTCAGTCTAAAGACTTCTGATATATATCATCTTGAGAAGTTCAGCTGTGAAAGAGAACAGAGCAGGAGTAGTTGGAGAGGATATGAAGTCTAGAAAAGCTTCCTTCAGAAGCTTAAGTACATTTAAATGTCAAGGGGAAGGCCATTGTTGAGGGGAGGAAGGAAGGGAGACCCCATGTGGACTTCAGATTTAGCCTCAGAGTTTTGAACATGGTTTAGAGAAAGCTCTATATAGGGGTTATATGCACAGCTCAGTTTATAATAAAATGTACTTTGTGTCCCATTTACAATGTTAACATTATAACATTATCATTATTATGGTCACTGCCTTGCATACTTTGTCAACTCCCTTGCCCCACTCTCACTGTTGCTTCCTTACACAGTCTTGACTAAGCCACAGCCCTTTTTTGTTTGTTTGTTTGAGATGGAGTCTCACTCTGCCGCCCAGGCTGCAGTGCAGTGGCGGGATCTCGGCTCACTGCAAGCTCCGCCTCCCCGGGTTCACGCCATTCTCCTGCCTCAGCCTCCCGAGTAGCTGGGACTACAGGCGTCCGCCACCACACCCGGCTAATTTTTTGTATTTTTAGTAGAGACGGGGTTTCACCGTGTTAGCCAGGATGGTCTCGATCTCCTGACCTCGTGATCCGCCCACCTCTGCCTCCCAAAGTGCTGGGATTACAGGCGTGAGCCACCGCGCCTGCACCACAGCCCTTTAAATGCAATTCTCTGTCTTTGTTTTCCTCCTTTCTAGTGGGCACCCCTCCTCCATTTGTGACCTACTTAATGCTCTCACTTTAGAGTCATGATCACTAATTTAAGAGGATCTTTATATTTTCGGGCAAACATACCCTATAGTTCCCCATTCCCTTCACTCTCTCACTCTCCTAGATGACTGTTTCATGATTTATTTCTTCTCAAATCTCCAATACCTTCTCCTTCTTCACTCTCAGCTTCCTCGCTTTCATATCACTGAGGTTGAAAGTGACTCTAGTTTGTCCTGGCAAGTTCCAGTTTATCTTCCCCATTTTGCTTCCAACTCTCCTGACAATGAGCTTGGCTGACCTGAAGTGACTTCAGGCCCAACACCAGATGCAAAGACAACTGTCTTACATAACTTTTAAACCAGTTCCCACATTTGTACAAGGCCTAATCCTTATAATAAACTCTTTACTCTATAACTCTCAGTGGTTCTGCTTTTCTGATCAAAGAAAACAGAAAAGTAAAGAGGAAAAAAAATGGAAGCAATCAGAAGAGAATGGCCATAATCTCCCATCACATCTGCCTGTATCTCTGCCCATAATCTCAATGGTTCTTCTTATGTCTGTGGATCAACTCTCTATGGTCCTAGCCAAGACCAACTCCCTCCTTTTCTGCACTATATCCCATCTCTTTTCACCTTCCCAGGGACTTGTGTCCAGCACATCTCTCTCTATCTCCATTAGCATTTGCTCCTGTACTGGAATTTTCCCATCCATTTACAAACACTGTGAGATTTTTCTACTTTAAAACTACCCTGTCTTGACTTCTTCCTCTAGCCAATACCCCATCTCTCATCTATACAGCAAAAGTCTCAGAAAGAGTTGTCTAAACTCCCTATCTCCTGTTTTCCTTTCCTGTGCTTTCTGGAATCTATGATAATCAGGCTTTTGCCCCCACCTTTGCTCCGAACACTGCTCCTATCAAGATCACCAAAGAGCTCCACATTGGTAAATCCAGTGGTTCTCTTTCCTCCTCTCACTTGATTTGTCAATAGCAGTTGACACAACCGATTACTGTCTCCTCTGGAAACATCTTCTTCATCTGGCTTTCAGGAAATCTCCTGGTTTTTCTCCTACATCACTGATCCCTTCTTCTCAATCTCCTTTCCATTTTCTTCTATTTCTGTCTAATGTTGTCCCATGGCTTGGTGGTTGAAATTTTTCTATTTTCTGTTTATATTCACTACCTTGGTAATCTTATCCATTTTTATAGCTTTAAACATCATCTATACTCTGATGACTCCCAAATTTATACTTCCCAGATTTATATTTTCTATTGAACTTGAGACTTACATAATACAAATACCTACTTAGTAACTCCACTTGGAAGTCTAGTAGGTATTTCAAATTTAACTTGCCCAAAAATTGAGCTCCCAAGCTCTGTAAATTATACCTTTCTCATAATCTTCCCCATTGCAATAAATGACAATGTCATTCTTAGGCCACAAACCTTGGTGCTATCCCTGATTCCTCCGCTGTACCTTCAAAATATATCCAAATGTATAAAGAATGACAACCTTTGTATTTACTACTCTATCTCCCACTGTTGAAAGTTTGAGAATATATCTGTCCATATATTTTTCATGCCAAAGTTGGAGTCAACCTAAATGTTCATTAGTGAGAGAATGATTAAATATATTATGGCAGATTATATTATGCAGCTGCTAAGAAGAATATGTATTCAGTAGTGCTGCTATAATATGACACAGGCATTCCTAAAAATCACCAAGTTATATCAAATCACACAATAACCACCACAGGGCCTATGGGAAAATGGAGTTGGGACTTAATATTAAAAAATTTTGCCAGTGACAGTAAAAAAGACAGAAACCTAATGAAAATGATAGCACAGTTTTAAACATGTTAAATGATTAAGGAATACACAAATACTATAATACATATGGCTCCTTACCTTGAAAAATACTCAAAGTTTGCTCTTGAGCCTGTAGGCCCCACTGTCCCACTGGCCAGCCCTGCCTAGCGACCATGGCCGGTACCCTTTCTGCTCAAGGAAAAGAACAAAAGAGAGATAGAAAAAGAGTGAGAGAATAAATAGAGAAAAATGGCAGAGACCTGAGAGGAAAGTAGAGAACAATTAAAGAAAGGGGAAGGTAGGAAGCTGCTTAGCCAAGTTGCAACTGGCGAGTTACTGTGAGATGGTAGCAGGTGGACTATCTAGCCAAAAGTTGAGACACCAAATGTGGCATTAGCTACATTGTGTGGCTCAATGACCCTGTGAACTGTGGTGTGTATGTGTGTTTTGTGTATTCCTATGCAGCTTATTTCAGTTGGGTGTCATTTTTTAGTTCACCTAGTGTTTCTTGTGAACAAAATTGCATATAAGAATGTGAAATTCATCTTATGCCCACATTGTTCCCTGATATGGTGATTATTTTGGAAAATTTTTGAATTTTCAAAGGTCTATTTTTAAAAAACAGAAATGGAGTTGTGCAACATATAATATTTTATATATTGTTTTTCCCTTTTTTTTTACTTTATGTTATGGGCATCCTGCCTTGTCAGAGCACACGGACTTACTTTCTTCTAATGGTTTCATGATATTCTACAGTCTAAGTTGTTGATCTATTCCCCTACTGCTAGCATTTTTATTGTCTATAATTTTTAACTATTACAAATTATATGGCATTTCATTGTGTAATTGGATATTTCTTTAAGACAGATTCCTGGAAATGTGGTTGTTGAGTCAAAAGATAGGAGCATTTTTCCTCTTAGTGGGTTTACACAAACTGCACTAAAGAAGCTGTACAAACAATATAGGAAAGTGTTCTTTTCTTCAATATGTAGAAATTGGATAGTGTGAATTTTCAAAAATGTTGGCACCTGATAGGTGAAAAAACAGTAACATTGTTTTAATTTGCATTTGTCTAATAAGTAATGAAGCTTCATTGTGTTTCAAATGTTTATTGACAATTTTTGTTTTTTTCTGAGGAAATATCTGTTCATATATTTTGCCCGTTCTTCTATCAGGTTGTCTTCTTTCTATCAATTTGTAGGAATTCTTTATATATGAGAAATGTAAACTTTTTTTCCTATTATCTGGGTTGCAAATATTTCCTCTTAGTAATTTGTTCTTAAATTGTGTTTACAGAAAATGATACTTTAAGTTGGAAGTTTTCTAACTTCAATTTTGTCCTAGGTTTTAACTTTCTTGATGTGGGAGGGTTAACTGTGATGATCTTCACTTCCTGACTCAAAGGGTCAGACTGTGATGGAGACTCATTTAAATGGCCTGTGTGCAGGGGTGTCTGGAAGACATTTTGGATCTTATGATAATTATTCTGCTAATTGATAAATTAGAATATTTAACTTACAAAGATGCAAACCATAGGGCAGAATACATATTATGAATATTTAATACAGAAATACTGAGACATATATGAACAATTGTGTTTTCTTTAGTGTATGAGCAAATCTAAATAATTGCGCTAGTGGATTAGCATCAAAAACAGTGGAATATGGCATGTAACATTGCTCTTCTCCTCCTTCAAAAAAACCTCAGCCGAGTCTGCCCATCAACTCTACCAGGGACTTTTTCATATGCTAGACGTCGTTTTTTGAATTGTGGTAGTTGTGAGCACATAAAACCTGTTAAAAGGAGAAAAAGGAAAACCATTTTATTGCTTACAATAGTAAAGTATAGGTTTTTTCTTTTCCTTTTTTTTTTTTTTTTCTTTTTTGAGATGAAGTTTTGCCCTTGTCGCCCAGGCTGGAGTGTAGTGGCGCAATCTCGGCTCACTTGCAACATCTGCCTCCTGGGTTCAAGCGATTCTCCTGCCTCAGCCTCCCGAGCAGCTGGGATTACAGGCACCTGCCACCACGCCCGGCTAATTTTTTGTATTTTTAGTAGAGACAGGGTTTTGCCATGTTGGGCAGGCTAGTCTCAAACTCCTGACCTGAGGTGATCCACCTGCCTCGGCCTCCCAAAGTGCTGGGATTACAGGCATGAGCCACCATGCCCGGCTGAAGTATAGGTATGTTTTCCTCACTATTCAAACGGATTTTGTGTCTTCATCATCTACCTAAAAAGTGTCAAAATTTCCAAACTGGGATAAAATAATAACTATTAAAAAGTATGTTTTTAACATAAATGCCTCTGTACCTAATGGCCCGGTATTAAAAATTAGTGATAAATGCATATATTTTTATGCTCATGCCTTGTACAAATACTTAAATCTCCCTTGGTTTCAATTTTCTCTTCTGTGAAATGAAAAGTTATAATTCATAATCTCTAAATTCTCTTCTAACATTTTTAAGTAAAAACAACCCAAAATGGTTTGGGAAGCACCTCAGGCCGGGCTTCCTAATTCTTGAAAGTTTCCAATAAGTCCTCATTAATTAGGATATAAGTTAGAGGCTCATTTTGACAGACTTTGAACCTAAAACAAAGACATATTGCCTGGTTTCCGTGTACCTTGTATCCATCTTTGTGGTGAGAGTGTATACAATTCTGTCCGGTTTTTCTTCTTCTTCTTTTTTTTTTTCTTTTTTCTTTTCCAGTTTGCCCTTCCTATTCCTGACTGTGGCTTTTTTTCACTTGGGCTAATTTTCTTCTCATGAACATACACCCTTTAGGGGGATATCATTTTCACTAAGGACATATTTCGTTTCAGGGAGAGGTTATGTGTTTAGGAATCTATCTGTAAATTCATGTCTTTAAAGGCATGTCTGGAAAACAAATCTTTAACTCCAATTAAGGAGCTAAAGAATCCTTAAGTAAACAATTAGATGAAATACAGGGAATATTAATGACGACAGGACCTTGGTTCTTCACTGTAAAGCTGTGGGAGAGCCTGGACTACCAGTAGCATTCTGGTAAACGTTTAACAACCAGCTCTCGAAACAAGGAAAGGCCTGGTTTGTAGCATCTGCAAATTTTTGTGGTATGAAGACACCCACCATGGCTGATTTTAAGCTACCAATGTGATAGAAACAATGTTTTTTTCTGGATATCAATCTCTCACAGCCAATTCTAAAATTTCTAAAAATGCTTAAATTTCTTTTTCTATAGCTGCCAGGAAGCTTTCCCATGAAATAAATGTATATTTTGCACCTATTTAATAACTCCAATTTATTATCCATATATTATTTATATATGGATATCCATATATAGTTATCCCTATATTAGTATCCACATGTGCAATTATAAAGCACATACAAATTTCCAGTTAACCAATACAAAGTGTCCCAAGTACATTCACAGATGAAAACAGTTTTGAAGAGATTACCAGCATTTTGGACATTATGAGCAAAATTCACTATATCCTTGCCAAGTCAGATAAAGAATCATCATTAATAAGTGGAAGGAGTAAATAATAAACTGATAACAATGCAGTTGTCAGAAATAACAAAAGTTCAAAAAAACCAACAACATGAGAAAAACCCCACTCTTGGCTCAAAGAAAAAATTTATAATAGATCAATTAAGAAAAAAATAAAAATTAAAATACCATATTTAAAAATGGTATTAGTAGCTCATATTCAGCTTCCATTCTAGAGTCTTTAACATGCCATTTTCAATACTCTTGCTTTTAAGTTTTCCCTCATAGCTTGATCCTTGACCCACAGCTGTAATGTGAAATTTATTCTGAGCCCTGATGAATGATAGGTGGTGATTATATAAGAACTCACCTTATATGGCTTTTTAAAATATGATACATTAACGTGAAAAATCCTAGATTTGGATACTTACAGAGGCTGATTATGAAATCAGTAAAATGGAAAACTAAAAATTATAAAACAGTTTTAATAATTATCCCTGGGGATATAATCTCATAATTGCCAAGAGTTAGGGTACCATTATTTAAAAGTTTAAAAGGCAGGGTGGGGTGCAGTAGTTCACACCTGTAATCCCAGCACTTTGGAAGGCTGAGGCAGGCGGATTGCTTGAGCCCAAGAGTTTGAGACCAGACTGGGCAACATGGCAAGACTTTGCCTCTACAAAAAATACAAAAATTAGCTGGGTGTGGTGGTGCGTACCTTTCGTCCCAGCTACTCAAGAGGTGGAGGAGGGATGATTCAGCCTGGGTGACAGAGCAAGACTCTGTCAATAATAATAATAATAATAATTATTATTATTATTTTAAAAAGCAATGTATTTTGTCAAACAGACATGCCAAAAAATAAAAATAAAGCAATGTAGTAAGTAATTATATCATAGAGATCCCATATATACACTTCGGGACAAATGGAAAATTATCTTGAGGTTATGGGTTATGCTAATGGCTTTGGATAAATTTTCCAGGGCTGTGCCAATATTAATTCAAAAAGTGTTGTATCTTAAACAATGTATTTGGAGGTAATGATGTACTATGGAAAAATAAATTTTTTTTAATTTAAATAAAATTTGCCATATTGAATGTAGATACTAGTATCAAAGAGTCATGTGAACTGTTTGAATAAAATTATTTCATGGAAATAACTTGGAAATTGGAAGAAATTAATATTTCTAAACTGATATTATTTTATAGAGTATGTGATTTAAAAATATATAACTAAATTAATGAATTAAAATATAGGTAGCTGTTTGACTATTCTACTCATATACCTAAAAGCTTTAAGCTTTTTCTAACATTTAATGTTAGAATTTATTTAAAAATGACTTCTGGGTCTTCTCATTGGAAAATGGGAGGTTATATATTGGAGTGCCCTGTGTTCAAGAACATATAGTAATTCACATGTGTATTTTGTTTCAGAGTAGAAAAATATGAAATTTTCATCCAGTTTATGAAGTTAGCATAACTTTTATGTCCAAATGTGATAAGGCACAAATAAAGAACACAATCTAATATCATGAATGTAGACATGAAAATCATAAATATTAGCTACCATATTTAACAGCATATTAAAAGAATCTCTTAGGCCGGGCCAGGTGGCTCACTCCTGTAATCCCAGCACATTGGGAGGCCAAGGCGGGTAGATTACTTGAGCCGAGGAGTTCGAGATCAGCCTGGACAACATAACAAAACCCTGTCTCTACTAAAAATAGAAATGAATTAGCCAGGCATGGTGGTGCATGCCTGTAATCCCAGCTACTTGGGAGGCTAAGATGGGAGGATCGGTTGAGCCCGAAAGGTGGGGGTGGCAGTGAACCAATCATGCCACTGCACTCCAGCCTGGGCTACAGAGGGAGACCTTGTCTTAAAGAAACAAAAAATCTCTTAGACAAGGTAGCATGAAATATTAAATAAAACAAAAATATAAAAATAAAGAATCACCCCTCAAAAACCAGTTATGTTTATCACAGAAATGGCATAGATATTTTAATATTAGTAAACCTGTAAATATAATCTTTGACATGAATAGGTCAGTAGAGAAAACACATTTGATTTTTCCCAATATGTACTAAAATGAGTTTGAATAAATTCAGCATCTATTTTTCACAGAAGTTTTTACAAAACTAGACACAGAATACTTCCCATTAAAGTGAGGAACAAAACAAGTTGTAAGTATTAAATAAGAGCAAATCCAAGCATTACAAGTCCTGTAGCTTATACAATTTGGGAGCCCTTTTTAAAACAAAACAAAAAATACAAGATTTTCTTGGCCCCTCTCAGGCCTCACAAAAAAACCTATGAAAAAGAGAAGTTTGAAACTTAAGCTTCCCCCCGCCCTCCCCTTTTTCTCCTATCCTGGGGAAGGCCACCTTTGTACGGCTGTTAGAACTTAATATTTTGTTTTAGATGCTTGGGCCAATGCAGTAAGAAATGACACTGAAAGAAAAGCTAGAATCACTAGAAACAAGAAAATTAAATTGTGCTTTTAAAAATTTGATATGCTTAAATGTTCAGACAACTCAAAAACATCCACCAGAATGGAGCTAATAATACTGCCTATTTAATAGAATTGTTAGAATTAAAGTAAATAATCCAATAAAGCACTTAGAATGGAGACTGGCACCTAATTAGGCTCTTTTAATAAACGTTAGTCAGTTAAATATACCTGCTCCACAAAGAGGTTAATTTTCTAATTCACTGATTCCTCTGTTTAATCTTTGTTGATTTTAGTCTCCTGCTTTACTTAGAGTTGCACTGCTTTTATTTTTAACTTCTTAAGTTGAATGCTTAGTCCACTTAAGGTTATAATAATTTAACACAATATATTTTCTCTGCATTTATTTTAGAGTTTAGATTTTCTCTTTTACCCAACAGTTATTAGAGAAGTTTTTTAAATGTAGTAATTAAAACAAAAAAAATGTTAAATTTGGAGATGATTTTATCTTTTAAAATTAAATTTGAGAGTAGTTTTATCAACTATTGGATAGTGTTACCTGTTAATGATTCCTTGTCTCCTGAGTTAAATGAAGATTCATGGTGCCTTTTCTGTCCTAAACTTTTTCCAGCTCTTTGGTAGAAATAAAGGCTGTTGAATTCTTTTTGATTTGCATTAGAATCAGAAGCACGAAATAAATCCAAACTGGGGACAGATGGTAATTCTCTCCAGAAAGTCTCATCTTTTGAACTTTCACATGTGAGGCCTTCAGACTCATCTGATAGACATTTTTGCTGATCAGTGAATAAATTACCTTTCTGAGAGTACAA
This sequence comes from Homo sapiens, assembly GCF_000001405.40. NCBI lineage: Eukaryota > Metazoa > Chordata > Mammalia > Primates > Hominidae > Homo > Homo sapiens. Next base: position 111,691,822 of record NC_000009.12, read on the forward strand.
TTTGTTACATGCAGTCTGCTGTGCACCATATTGTAAGTTGAACGGGTGATTCTCTTGTTCCCATATATTTTTCTTAAAGTTCCAATGAAGAGGAGATTGAGTGCCCTCTAGTGAAAAGATAGGGTCCGATACATCTTTATTTATGAAACCTTTTGCTTCATGTGTTCTCCTTTTCTGAGAATTTATAAAACGGGGGACAACTGACACTCTCTTCTGAGTGTCAGTTGGTGATTTTATAGTTTCACAGTTCATTTGTGTTAGACCCAAAGAAAAGACATCTGACTCTGAATCACTGTGGTTTAGAAAGGAGTTATAAGCCGGTCTCCTTGATTCTATATTAATTAGAAAAGGAGTATTCTGCCCTATATTAGATTTACAGCTGGAGTCTTTCCAGTAGCTGGTCTGATTGTATGAAGTCACAGGTGGTAAAAAACTTGAGATTTCTTTTAGTTCCATAATGGAAGAGTTGTCATTCAAAATGGTGGTTTTGTCTTCCTGCACTGTCTCTCCTAATCCTAAATACTGATAATATTCATTATGTTCTTGAATGACAGAGTCTAAATCAGAAGCTGAACTTTGAGAAGACAAGGTACTAATCTGATTCCTATTTTCCTGAGGTGACGAAATTTGCGGTGATTTTGTTATGGAAGAAGAACCAATCTTGAATAGGGAAGTGATGCTACAAAAATGCTAAAAAATGAATTAATATAATGCAAATGTCAGTTTAGTAAATATAAATAATGATGCTTATCTATATGGAAAGAAGGCAAAATATAAATAGGTAGTCTATTCATAGATATTACATTGATCCAGGTATTAAGAACATGAAATCATTAGGCTCTATTAAAAGAAAAATTCATTGTAATTCATACTTATTTTCTAATCACTTGTAATAGAATTTTTAATAGTCTATTTTTCAGAACAATTTTAGGCTCACAGCAAATACAATAGAATTTTAGTTATACAATTCATACATGAATACTATTTCCTTGATAAGAATTTTAAAATATTACCAGTAAGGCTAAAGTTATCTTTACAGCTAGAATTAAGGGTATGTTAGGACTGTTTGGAAGAGGTAACGTAAATACATGTGAATAGGGTATATAACTGAATTTTCTATGAGCACAATAATATTCCAAAATGATTTAAAGCTGACTATATTGAATTTATCTGTATAAAATAGCTTTAGAATGTATAATATAGGCTGGGGTTTATGGCTCATGCCTGTAATCCTAGCACTTTGGGAGGCCAAGGCAGTTAGATCACTTGAGGTCAGGAGTTTGAGACCAGCCTGGCCAACATGGTAAGACCCTGTCTCTACTAAAAATACAAAACTTAACCAGGTGTGGTGGTGCACAACTGCAGTCCTAGCTGCTCGGGAGGCTGAGGCACGAGAATTGCTTGAACCCAGGAGCTGGAGACTGCAGTGAGCCGAGATCAAGCCATTGCACTCCAGCCTGGGTGACAGAGGGAGACTCCATCTCAAAAAAAAAGAAAAAAATACTGTAATCCCAGCACTTTGGGAGGCCAAGGTGGGTGGATCACCTGAGGTCAGGAGTTTGAGACCAGACTGACCAAGATGGTGAAACCCCGTTTCTACAAAAAAAAAAAAAAAAAAAAAAAAAATCAAAATTAGCCAGGCATGGTGATGTATACTTATAATCCCAGCTACTTGGGAGGCTGAGGCAGGAAAATCTCTTGAACTTGGGAGGTGGAGGTTGCAGTGAGCTGAGATTGTACCATTGCACTCCAGCCTGGAAAAATAAATAAATAAAATAAAAAATAAAATAAAATGTATAATTGATAGCTAATGAAACGTCTATATGAAATTTAGTTCAAGTAAATTATTTCCTTGCTATTTGAAGTCCAAAACAATTAAACTTGGATACCTTCATTTTAAAAATCCTATTGTAAAAATAGATACTCAAATCGAAAGGAAATAAATTCATATCATAGTACAGATCTCAAATAACTAACCTTTAACACTTTTTCTGGGACTTCAGGTAGGAGTTCCTGAAGTTGACACAGAGTTGCTAATAATATCCAATGCAGTGAAGGTCCTTTATTTAGCATGAGCTGAGCCACCAATGGGTTAATACATGGAAAATCAAGTAAGTACATTTCTTCCTAGAAAAGAGTTTAAGAAATAATCAGTCAGTAGTCTTTTGAAAGTGAGCCATTTTATTCTACAAGTAAGTACATTTCTTCCTAGAAAAGAGTTTAATAGTCAGTAGTCTTTCGAAAGTGATCCATTTTATTCTACTCGTTGCAGCAGATTAAAACTTTTGTTATTGCACCTACCACTCAATTTGAGACATTTGGGGGAAAAATGTTACCAGAAAGTAAATTCAAATACAGGTTTTTATATTTGCTTTGCAATTATCTATTTTACACATTTAGAAAATATACCTCAGATGGTGAAACTTTAAGCCAGGATTTATCCAACCATTCATGAGGATCTCTCTTTGAGGTCATTAAACTGTGGTCAGCAATTTGTCGAATTATCAAGGCAGTTGCTTCTACTCCTGGGGCAATTATAAGCTAAAAAATATTTTTTATGTTAGATTATAGGAAATACTAGGAAGCAAAATATAATATTTTTTAAACAGTTTGTAATTAGAAGATAAAATTAAACAACAGCAGATTCTATCTAATTTTAGATAGAAACTATTGGTTTATCTATGTCCAGGACATTTTATTTATGAGGATAACCAATTTTCATTCCTTATTTAAATGTGATATCCTTGTATTTTTAATTTTTGGAACTAAATCATTTTCATTTCATTTGGCATTTATTAACAGAGTCATTAAAATATAGTGTTATATTTCAACTATATTAGAAAAATCAGCAATTTGAATATCACTAGTAATATTACTATTTTGCTGTTTCCAAAAGTTAAACCTAATAGTTGTCAATTAAAATAAGAATTTTAAAAATATAGTGCAAGATTTTTCAAAGACAAAGTTAAAAAATAAGGATACTTATAAATGAATTTGATGTTGTATTCAAAAAAGAAAAAATAAGGTTTTGATTTAGAGTAGTCATCATTCCCAGCATTTTGGGAATTGCTCATCTAATATTGGCTTACTGATTCTAAGATACCCCTGCCAAAAATGTGGTGTTTGTGTATATTAAATTTAATTCTAAAAAATAATTTTTTCCCATTAGCACAGTAGTAAGGAAAAAAAGTACAGAAAAAATAATTTCATAATATCCTCTGTTTCCTGTCTGACACTGTTTTCCTCCATGCCCTTCTCTCTTCTGAAATGTCAACCTTCTTTTTCTGCTTTCATTTCTTTCTTTTCTTCTTCATCTTTTAAATTTGATTGAAGGAAAGATAGTTCATGAGTTAGCAGTTTAACGTGAACAGAGAAATACTGCCCCAAATAATCATATCCTGGAAAATAAATATCCTGTACTATAGTGGAAATTTAGTAAACTGTAGAAATCTCACAAAATAATTATGACTTTTTTTCTTTTATAAGAATAGCAAATACAAAACGGTTAGTACACACCTGGGGAGTATATGCATTTTAAAGGATTTTCTTTAAATTACATTATATAGGGAGAATACACAGAAATATATTGTTCAATTCCAAATGTACTTTATTGCTAGTTTTGGGTGTTTTGAGAAGATATGACACTTTCATTTAAATATAAACTTTATTTTAACCCTTTTCCCATTTAGAAAAAAAAAGTACAGCACTCATTTAATTTTACATAAACACGCTCTTTGAGGCTGAAGCAAATCTGACTGATTTTCGATGTGAAAATAAAATATAAAAACTGTGCTTGGAGTTATTTCTAAACAGAAATAACATCAGAATCATCTGAATCATCAGAATTTTCTATTTCAGAAAAATCAGATTCATCAATGGAGTCTTCAGCCAACAACTGTTTGAGAATGATGTTAACATCACGAGTAGGAATACTATGTTTTCTAGGATTTGACATTTTCAGGGACTGAGAATTACTATATTTTGTAATGGAAATACCACTACTAAAAATAGAATGCTATAAATAGAAAGATATCTTTTGTTTCCAAAGTTGATATGCTACAGCGATGCAAAAACAATAATAAAAACGAGATATTTCGTGGCAAAGTTGTCTCAGGGTAAACACTGCAGCAACAAGCCTGGCTGGTGAGGATTCTCAGGGCAAATGGGAAAAGGGTTAAAAGCCATAATTTTATGATGGCGATAATGACAATTAATTTATTAGGGCAGGAATTCTGGGGCTCATGGCTAGATTTGGGAATTCAGGAACCTACTTAATTTGTTTGCAAAATTTTGCATGTGTGTATTTATGCATTTTCCTGCAAAGATGGTTCATAAGAAAATTACAGAACTTTTAAAAAATTGGAATAACACTTAGCATAACACTAGTAGCAGTATTTTCTTTTAATTTAAGAAAATGTTCTTAAACTTCCTAATACTTCCTTGATTTTCAAGTTCTTCAGATGCCTGAAAATAAAAAGGTGCTAATGGTCCTGATGTGCTCTAAGAGATCAAAAGCCATGCTACTAAATAAAGTAAGGTAAAGCAACAATATGTTCTAAAATAATATGAGTCCAGGGAGCCTCCTTTAATACAACAATGTCATCAAGTCAGGAAAACAGGAGGCTTATGAGTACTGAGGACATACTGATAATAGAGTAAGAGCAAATTGACCATAGTTGCCTCTCAATGTCCATTGAAAAAATGACCTGCTTTTTAGATTATTATGTAAAACCTGAAAAGCTTTTAGAATAGTTTGATCCAGGTGGAAATAGACTTGTTTGGAATGGATTGTTCCTAGGCGGTACTCCTATTTCATCCCCAAATGCCTTATTTGGATCATGCCCTCCATGGGCCATGTTGCTGTATTTGAATATAGTATCACTCACTGGTATCATATGCCCCATGCATAGAGGAAAAAAACTTTCTAAAGCATATTTTGCCTGTAATGGTTTACCCTGAGCTGGGAAGAGAAGAAGCTAAATAAGTGGTAAGACCTCACTAGAGACAAATTTACATTTGTCATTCACTTTAGGTAACTTTTCTAAGAATTTTATTTCTGTTTAGTATGCAGCACAGAAACAAAATTATCTGGAATTCCAGTTCAAACAGATCATTTGTTGATTTTCTTAGCAAGTGGTACTTTGAATTCCACTTAGTAGACATTTATTGAATGTTTTTGCTTTGTGCAAAGCACTATGCTAGCTGCTAGGTTTTACAAATAAAAAGAGCATCATTCTTACCCATCAGGGTGGAGGATATATGAATAAATATCCCCATACCATAATAAGATATGAACTGTCAGCAGGAGAATGGGAGGAGAGATGATGCATCCTGAGAGAGTAGGATTGGGGCAGGTTTCTTTTCTCTCCTTTTTTTTTTTTTAATTATACTTTAAGTTCTAGAGTACATGTTCACAATGTGCAGGTTTGTTATATATGTATACATGTGCCATGTTGGAGTGCTGCCCCCATTAACTCGTCATTTACATTAGGTATATCTCCTAATGCTATCACTCCCACCTCCCGCCACCCCACGACAGGCCCCGGTGTGTGATGTTCCCCATCCTGTGTCCAAGTGTTCTCATTGTTCAATTCCCACCTATGAGTGAGAACATGCAGTGTTTGGTTTTCTGTCCTTGTGACAGTTTGCTCAGAATGATGGTTTCCAGCTTCATCCATGTCCCTGCAAAGGACATGGACTCATCCTTTTTTATGGCTGCATAGTACTCCATGATGTATATGTGCCACATTTTCTTAATCCAGTCTATCATTGATGGACATTTGAGTTGGTTCCAAGTCTTTGCTATTGTGAATAGTGCAGCAATAAACATACGTGTGCATATGTCTTTATAGCAGCATGATTTATAATCCTTTGGGTATATACCCAGTAATGGTATGGCTGGGTCAAATGGTATTTCTAGTTCTAGATCCTAGAGGAATCGCCACACTGTCTTCCACAATGGTTGAACTAGTTTACAGTCCCACCAACGGTGTAAAAGTGTTCCTATTTCTCCACATTCTCTCCAGCATCTGTTGTTTCCTGATTTTTAATGATCGCCATTCTAACTGGTGTGAGATGGTATCTCATTGTGGTTTTGATTTGCATTTATCTGATGGCCAGTGATGATGAGCATTTTTTCTTGTGTCTGTTGGATGCATAAATGTCTTCTTTTGAGAAGTGTCTGTTCATATCTGTTGCCCACTTTTTGATGGGGTTGTTTGATTTTTTCTTGTAAATTTGTTTAAGTTCTTTGTAGATTCTGGATATTAGCCCTTTGTCAGATGGGTAGATTGTAAAAATGTTCTCCCATTCTGTAGGTTGCATGTTCACTCTGATGGTAGGTTTCTTTTGCTGTGAAGAAGTTCTTTAGTTTAATTAGATCCCATTTGTCAATTTTGGCTTTTGTTGCCATTGCTTTTCGTGTTTTATTCGTGAAGTTGTTGCCCATGCCTATGTCCTGAATGGTATTGCCTAGGTTTTCTTCGAGGGTTTTTATGGTTTTAGGTCTAACATTTAAGTCTTTAATCCATCTTGAATTAATTTTTCTGTAAGGTGTAAGGAAGAGATCCAGTTTCAGCTTTTTACCTATGGCTAGCCAGTTTTCCCAGCACCATTTATTAAATAAGGAATCCTTTTCCCATTTCTTGTTTTTGTCAGGTTTGTCAAAGATCAGATGGTTGTAGATGTGTGGTATTATTTCTGAGGGCTCTGTTCTGTTCCATTGGTCTATATCTCTGTTTTGGTACCAGTACCATGCTGTTTTGGTTACTGTAGCCTTGTAGTATAGTCTGAAGTCAGGTAGCGTGATGTGGGGCAAGTTTCTTAAAGGAGGTAGCGCGTTTGAACTGGGCAGTGAAAGACAGGTAGAACTCTGACAGCTAGTGGTAAGAGAATCGGGGAATAGTATTCCTGGGGGAAGGCAGGCCAGAATGACATGTTTGTGCAAAGGCTGAGAGGTGACAGTATGGAGGCATACTCAGTAAATGGTGAGTAAAATAATGTTAAAGAAGGAATCACTAAGGGCCACATTGTGGAGGAGTTTGAATCCAGCTGAGTTTGAACTTTATGTTGACTTAAGTGGGAAGCTATGGACAGTCTTTGAGCAAGAAATTCAAATCAACAGCAAATTTTTATCAAGAGACTACTATGTACCTGGCATTGTGCTAGGTTCCAGGAATAAAAAAAAAGAATAAATATGTTTCCTTACCTTTAAGGAGCTTATAGTCTAGTGAGTGAAATATTCACAGCTGTATTTCGGAAATGTAATTGGTGTCTATATGTGATGAAGTGGGGAAAGAGTAGAAAAGGGATATTAGTTAGGAAGCTACTTTAAAAATCCAAGTGTGAGGTGGTGAAGGCCTGAATTTAGGCCTAGAAGAAGTAGAAGGAGAGACATACTCTAGATACACTGCAGAGTTAAAAAGAAGACTTAGCTACTAATTAAATTAGAATAGTGATACCATAAACTAAGCTTGTGGGAGGATGAGAAGCTGTGTTTTGGACATGTAGAGTTTGAGGTACTTGTTGGATATTCACGTGGAGATTCCCAGTAGTCTGCTAGAATACAGGTGCAGACCTTAAGAAATGTCAGGAAAAATTTAAGAATTATACTCAGAAATGAAAGCAAAATCTGTGGGAATCTCTAAGTTTATAAAGAAAAGAATGTAATGTGATAATGGAACAGTGCTGAGCCCTGAACTTGGACAAATGTCTAAATTTCAGAGTGGGACACTGAAAAAGGGGGCCAAGGGAAGAGACTGATTAGAGATCACCAATATATTACCCTAGTATATGTCTTAAGAGTTCCATTTACAGCAGATACAAGCTTAGTACATCTTTCATAAGGAACATTTTTAATCAAGGGATATTTATTTTTATTCATATCCTGCTATGTTTAGAGAACATCTGAGTAGTAATAAAGAGAAGAAACATGATTTTAAATTCATTAAATTAAAGCCTTTTGGAACAGAATAATGATAAAATGTTTATTAATTTGAAAACTATTCTTTATTTAGCTTTTAAACAGTTTTTAATTCATTTGCTTAACACTTTTTTCTCATTGGGCACTTAAGTTTGAGTATAATTTTGGTTTATAAAAAATACTTATGAAGAAACACATAGGAAAAGAATACCTTTACATCCAGTTCTTCAGAGTTTAGCCCAAATGAAACCAAAGCTGCATAAATCAGTGCTAGGTGATGAAGTGTCTTTTCTGTAAGCAGATACCTACAAAGAATTATATTACTATATTTCTATTCATTTGATATCAGATTATATTTATTAAAAATTCATTTTGTTTTCCACATTTCATAATATTTTTAGAATAACCTAGCTAAGACAATACTAGTGTGGCAAATTTGTGGGGTTTTTTTTTCCACTCTGTACTCTTGAAAAAACATCTCCATCTCCATTATTTAATAATACTGTCAAATCTACGGGATACATGTGTGTTAGGGGAGGTGTGAGTTGTGGGAAGAACTTAACCCATCCCTTTCCTGACTCCAGGGATGGCTTTATGACCAAATCCTAGCCAACTAGAATACTCCATCCCCCTGGTCAAAGTAACAGGTTCAGACATGGACACATGACCAGAACCAGGATACGTGGAATCCTCCCAGAATTCCCTAAACTGTTAGAAAATGCATCTTTTTCTTTTCCTTCTGTGGTTACTAAGCAGGTCAGATGTAAGTGCTGAATGGTGGGTAGATATTTCTACTACCTTTACCCACTTTATGTACCCTAAGCAACAAAGAGGAAATTACTAGCTTATATTATGAAGAAGTCCAGAGGAAGCCATTGTTGGATTCTGGGACTCAAAACAATACCATCAAGATAATGGCTCTCTTTATTTCTCGGCTCTTCTTTCCTGTTTTGGATTCTTTCTCAGATTAGCTGTTTCCATATAAGAAGCTGATAAGAACACTGTGCCTAAACTGTTGACAAACAATGTAGTTTCTGTTGAACATCTGCTTTTCTTCTTAGAGTCTAGAACTTTGATTAAGTGTCAGGCAGAGGGTGCCTACTTGACCAGCCCTTAAAAAAAACCCTGGGCAATGTGTGTCTAATGAGCTCGTCTGGTAGAGAAAATTTTACAAGTGTTATAACTGTTTGTTGCTGAGGAAGTTAAGCACATCCTGTATGACTCTACTAGGAGAGGACTCTTAGAAGCTTTCTCCTAGTTTCCTCTGGACTTTGCCCCATGAGCTTTTTTCCTTTGCTGACTTTGCATTATAGGCTTTGTATTGTAACTTTGCACCATAATAAATCATAGCCATGAATACAGCTATATACTGAGTCCTCCTAGCAAACTATCAAACCTAGTATGGTCTCAGGGACCCCTGACACTCTTACTCAAACAAGAATTAATGGCATGAACACTAACATAATTCAAACAATTTCTTTTGTATTTTCAGTTTTCCTAATTTGGTCAGTTGATTAAGATACTTCCTAAATGTTCTAATTCTCTAAAAATATGAATCTGAGATATCTAGAGGTCTGAAATCATTATATTTTATAATATATGATTGTGAATATTTATTCACTCTTTACATCTTGAACATAAAACTATCTCAGAATATTAGATAATTATTTTCATGAAAATCTGGGTAAAAATAAGTTTGAATCTCCTTTTATTCTCCCTTGTACCTCAATTGCACTACTAGAACCATAGGTAGACAGTAATCTAAAACAACTTTTAAAAATTTCCAAATAAGTTATTTATCCAGAACACTTCCAAGTTCCAGATAAAGCTTAAAATGCTTTACAAGAAAGTTCAAAGCTTAAAATGCTTTACGCCCTTTATTATTCTTCAAAATGAAGGTTTTAGACCGGAAATATTATTTTTCAGTTCTGGTAGAAGGGAAAAACCAGGCTAAATCACTTGGTAGAAGTTATTTGTTAATAGAAGGAGGAATAAAAAACAAGGTATTTAGACTCTTACGTTCGAACTTATACCAACCTGATAACAAGTGTATACAAAAAATTTAGTACAGTAGTTAGACAGAAATCAGACAAGTCCAGAATTACAAAATAATAAAATATTAAAGCAGCAATTCTTAGTGAGATGGGGGAAAGGGGGATGGCTTTCACAGAATGTCCAGGGAAACGTATCATCTCCAAAATTCAAATTTGTTTTCCTGTGATCATACCTCCAGCTTGAAAATCCTTGACTTAAAGCAAACTAGATGAGCATGCAGAAAATTGCATAGCCATTTCCATTCAAATAAGAGGACTTAGGATTAAGAAATACGAACATAACTTTGGATGAAGAAATGTTTACCTACTCTGAATTTAATGTTTCTTTGGTATATAAAATTATCCAACAATATCTGTACTGTAATGATAATGCCATCAGCCTCATAATGATATTGTCTGATGCCTTCTCATAATTCAATTCTTCTAGATCCTATCAGAAAATAAAGAAAATGTAAAAATTCATTAGGTTGAACAGTTATTATGAAATTATGTTATCATTATTTCAAGAATCTATGACATATAAATAAGTTGAAAAGAGGCATGGGTATGAGCCCCCATTTCATGGAAAAATTAAAATCATGCAGGAAGTAGTAGGAGAAAAGCTATAGTAGACATAAAACACCTAATGACAGCTTCAGCAAGGAAGGCTCCTGAATCTCCCGAGGTCCTAGATATGAAGAAAGTAGCCTATGGAGTGCCCCTAGTTTGGCACGCCATAGGCTAGTCCAATTTTCTATTGCCTTTGGAATAATCAGATCCTAGTCCTTTGTGGATGCAAGTCCTTTGTGGACTAGGATCTGGTCATTCTAAAGGCAACAGAAAATATGTTTAAAACCTATGAGATGATGTGCACTGCATGGTTATTCAGAGGAGATGAGAAAGCAGCAGTTAATGGACTTTCTGGGAATCTCTACCTAATGGTATGGAATCTCCTTTTCCTTTAACATAAGTAATTTTTGATACATTAAGGAATTCAAAAAATGACCTTCCTCTAACAATAAGTTATATAATTGGATTACAACAGTTTTGCCAGCCAGGCACAGTAGCTCATGCCTATAATCCCAGCACTTTGGGAGGCTGAAGTGAGAGGATCACTTGAAGCCAAGAGTTCAAGACCACCCTGGGCAACATAGCACAACACTGTCCCTACAAAAAATTAAAAAGTTAGCTGGGTGCAGTGGAGCGTGCCTGTAGTCCCAGCTACTTGGGAGGCTGAGATAGGAGGATCACTCGAGCCCAGGAGTTCGAGGCTGCAGTGAGCTATGATCGTGTCATTGCACTCCGGGCTGGGCAATGGTGTGAGACCCTATCTCTAAAAACAAACAAACAAACAAACAGTTGTGCCAAACAGAAAAATATTGTTTAAGAACTTTAAATATACAAGACACAGTATCTCTTAAAAATCTCTAATAGAGTTGTGTTTTTCCATCATATAATTCTTATAACATTTGCTTATCAAAACACATATTGGCCATTAATATATAGCAATATTTATACTGCATATCATCAAACCTGGTTTCTGCTCCCACTCCCACCCCAATAAATTAATTTCTTTTCAGTTGGTTCTCCGATCAAGCAAACATATCAGGGAGATTCACCCAAGAATTTATACATAGAAAATTCCAAACTATATGAATTTTTGAAGAGAAATTCTCTTTCTAAAAACTAGCTTACTTAGAGACAACTCCTGTTTACACTGGAAATGCAATGAATGATTGGAAATTCAATATTATCAATCATCAATTAATACACTATCTCCTTGTAATAAAAGTGGCTGGAAATTGCTTTTTTAAAGCTTTCAATACTATAATTATTCTATAAATATACTTAAAATAGGTTAATATACAATATTAAATATTCTTTATTTGCCCTATCTTCTTAAAGTATGTTAAAAAGCTATAAGGCATCAGAGAAGTTTGATAATAGTCATTTTCCACAGTGACGATTTTAGCACTTGTGGCCCATTTGCAAAATTTAGAAGAAATCACTAATATAGTTAAACTTCCTACAGAAAAGATAATAACAAATTACATAGCCATATATTTTAGTCTATTTTAGTTTATATATTTTCTACCTAGTTTTACCTGCAAAATTATGGCAGTGTGTTCATCAATTGTCACCACTACATAACACTCTGAACTTCCAAAGAGTTTCAATGACTCACTGCAGCCTCTCTCTACTAGTGAGATGTTATAGCTGTAAAATACAATATTCTTGAGTGAAAAAATGAAATGCTAATAAAATTATTTAAGAAAAGTTGTAGTTCCCTCCTGCATGTTAAGTTATTTGGATTTCTATGCTTTTTCTTTTACATGTCAATTTGTTCTACTTTATAAAATTTGAAGAATAAAGTTATGATTTTTTCAGTATATAAAACAAATCAGCTGAGATGTGTGTTGCCTTAGGCATTGTGCTAAATGTTACTGCACGTAACACTATTACAAATGTTTTGACCAATTTATTCCAGCTCTTTAAATAATAATTCATGAAATCAAAACATTATGGGACTAAAATATTCTGCATTTATCAGAATTTCCTTTTTTTATTCCTTAAAAATGGCTTACATTTTAAGCACTTTTTATTTTATTACTGTATATTGTTATTATTTTTAGAGACAGCTCTGTTGCCCAGCCTGGAGTGCAGTGGTGCTATCATGGCTCACTGTAGCCTTGAATTCCTGGGCTCAATCGAACCTCTCATCTCAGCCTCCTAAGTGGCTGGTACTACAGGTACATACCATCATGCCCTTAACTACCTTTTATAAGCTCATAGTTTCCTATGAATGCTCCACAGCCTTAATGCATAAAAACAAAAGCATGGAACATACATCTGCATTTTAACTAAGGTAACAGTACAATTATCCTTCCTTGACATGGAGCCCAAGGTCCAACATTCCTGTGACAACTTGTGTGTTATGATAAAGTGTTTTACGATTTTATAACATCTAATGTTGGTATGACCTTAGATCTAAAGATTTAAAACCTTGAGAATTCATTTAGAACTTCACGGTCCTGTTTCCCAGGCAGTAAAGTTCTATAAACAAGAATACTCATTCTCAATATTATCAATGACTCAAAGACATGAACATATAATTCACAGAAAAAAGCACACAAAATGTTCATATTTGCTGGTAACAAAAGAAATGCAAGTAAAACATGAATTTAAACAAAAATTAAATATTATTTTTGTCCATAAAATTGATATTACCCAAAAATATAATATTCAATAATTATGAGGGTGTAGTATAGGGAAAGAAGTATACATTGATATAAACTCTCTGGAAAACTATTCTTTTGTGATATAATTCCAGGCTTGAATCACAGACACATGGAGACACATATACAGCATAATATTTAGCCTATCAGAATATATATACACACACACACACACACACACACACATATATATATAATGTACACTTTTGTTAAAATTGTGAAATCAATAACTTACTTGGATTCTAGCAGCTGAAGTATGTCTGGAGTATTAAGAAGTCCTTCAGATGCAAAAAACACATATGGAATCTGAATTTCCAAAAGAAAACCTCCAAATCTATCCAGCAAGGTGCTTCCTAAATAAGAGAAAATTTATAAATATTTCTCTTTTATTCTCATCTCCCAGCTCTTTCTCTTTTTTTTTTTACTAAACATGAGGATAAGTAGGAGTAGTATAAAAATAATATTCAATGTAAAAAATCAGAAACAGAATAAAGACAGGCTTGAAGAAGAAAATAAAAACCATGTTATCCTACCGAGAAATAAGTTAATAGAGTTTACTAATACCACTATACACTAAAAACAGAGTTTTGCATATATTTCCAGACTTTTTTCAGTATATTTTCTTGCTTATACTCACACATGTACACTCACTTCAATAAAGAGAAAAAATAGGGTCATTCTCTACCTGAAATGTTGAAACTTGCTTTATTCACTTAAGTATATATTGGGCATGTGCTGTATTAAATATATACTGATTTACATAAAGATTTTAAATTATGTGCAATAACCCATAGGGAAAACATTTTACAGATCAATAAGAAAAGAATAAATACCTCAATAGATACATGGTCAAAAGATATACACAGGTAATTTATAAAAGAATAGTTACACAAGATCAATTCCAAATAAACCATTATGGTGACCGTATTGTTAGAAATGAGTTGGAATGTCTCAGAATCTATTTAGACTTCCCACTCATATTTGAGGTGAATAGAAAATAATCGATGGCAAGTACTGAGAGAGATGCACTCTCACACTGAGTGCATTTTATACTCAAAATGTATCAGATTTATGGATCTGAGAATTCACAGCCTTAGTCATGACTGACAAATACAAAGAAATAAAGTGATGTATGAAGTGGTTTAGACTTTCTTCTAAGTATTTGTAGATAATTTGTTTTACACATTAAAATTTTCTGAATCAGTTAGCATACTATTACACAACTGTCCCCTAAAAATCAATAAAAATACTATTGCATAAAAGCTATCAGATTAAGATTGGATATAAATGTAATAAAATTGTGCTATTATAAGTAAAATTTAGAAGTTAGATAAAGGAATGAAAACATATAATTAGTAAAGCTTACTTTACAAATGAGGACTACGAGGTAAGAGACAGTTAAAGGACTACCCCAGGTCACACAGATAGTGGTGGGGTTAGAGGTTGAACTCAAGGCTTCTAATGTCACAGCTTATTTTTATCTATAAATCATAAACAAAAAATAGAAAATTTTCATTCTAATAAAGCAAAAAAAGGATTTTGGCTTATATTCTTACTTTCTAAAACTGTGTCTGGAAGAATCACTTTAAAGGCCATGTAAGGAATATTCAACTCTTTGCAGTGTTTAGTCCAACAAGAGTCTTCCACATAATTGTATTCCACCACAAATGAGAAATTACTCCAGGGGAAATCTGCTCCAATATATTGATTATGTACAACTACACAGGAACTTGTACTAAAGACAAAAGAGAGCCAAGAAAATGGCATTATACTTGTGTTATTATTTTGTTGAACTATTAAAAGATGACTGTTTTCTGGCTGTTCCATCCTTCTCTAATCTATGCCTCATCTTAGAAAGGCACTGGTGCGTTTTCTGTTGATTTGCTCTTCAATAGTGTTAATTTCTTTATATTTTTCTTCTTAATGATCATACATTTTTATACCAGGATATAAAAACCTGTAACCTATTTCATATCCTCAAATGGGAGACAGCCTGATTTTATTACCTGAGTACTATCAATAAGAGAAATCAGCATGAAAAATCAGTCTCATTTTCTTACAAATATAAGGTCTTAATCTTAGATAATTACATAATAGGATATTATCTGGCAACTTTAAAATGGGATTTTTTTTTCTTAATGGGCTTCATAAATGATTTAACAACAACAAAAAAGATGGACACTTAAATATCATAAATTTAGCTTTCTTTTCTAATAAAATTTCATAAACATTTTCAAATCTCATAAAACATACCACCTACTATAATTAAAATTCTCTATTGCTGCTATCTAGAGCAATCTAGAAGTTAAAAAGTACCTATGTCCAGTTTTTATGGGCTTCTATTTGATTTACATTTTTAAAATTATTTGGATCCCAATATTTGAAAAAAAATAATTTCTATGTAAAATGAGGCAAAATAAAGAGTTTTACACAATTCAACACTTGATTTATTATTAGCAGGCCCTTACTGAAAGAATTTCTAAAGGATATACTTCAGGAAGGAGAACCCTGAAGAAAGAAGATGTAAAAAACAATGCTGAGCAAAGAAACTGGTACAAATATACTCTAAATAGGCACTTCTGTACTACAATAACAATATTATTATTATTATTTGGGGATATTAAAATAAGATTGAATTACATTTCTGGACGCCAATAACATATAATACACAGGACAATGATCAGAATTAAAGTGCCCTATGTAAAGCATTTTTCAGGAAGAGGGTAGAGGCATTGCTTAATTTCAGATTTTGTTAAATTTTTAAAGTTAACTTCTAGGAAGATTTTGCTTTTCCTGTGAAACTGGTACGTTTGTTCCTCACAGATGAAGGAATGAATTTTTACCCCCTTAAAACACCTTCAGATTCCAGAAAATCTTTTCTTTCATTTGAATGAAGGACAGTCAGTGTTAAACCTGTTGGAAAAAAGAATAATTTTTTTCAGTGTCTTGTTCAGATACATATTTTTGGTATGTCATATATTTCACTACCATAAAAATGAATTAAAAATCTGTGAATAACAAAACTGCTTAAAATACAATTTGCTAGATTATTTTTCTAAGTTTAGCATATCAGAAACTTTGAACCATAACCAATATTTCTCTTGCGTGTATATATAGAGCATGGAAATTCTAAATTTATTATATAAAATAATAAAATTGATTAAAAACTTATTTTTGTTAATTTTTATTTTTTATTTTTTATTTTTTTTGAGACAGAGTCTCGCTCTGTCGCCCAGGCTGGAGTTCTGTGGTGCGATCTTGGCTCACTGCAACTTCCGCCTCCTGGGTTGAAAGAATTCTCCTGCCTCAGCCTCTCAAGAAGCTGGGATGACAAGTGCCTGCCACCACGCCCAGCCAATTTTTGTATTTTTAGTAGAGACAGTGTTTCACCATGTTGGTCAGGCTGGTCTTAAACTCCTGACCTCAAGTGAACCCCCACCTCAGCCTCCCAAAGTGCTGGGATTACAGGCACGAGCCACTGCACCCCATAGAAACTTAATTTTAAAGTAAGCAAATTAAACACTCACCAATCCTGTGCAGTTAATTTTGTTTTGCTAAATATCAGGGTGGATTTTATCTTTGTTCTCTAGCCAAAAATTTAAGTACATAACTAAATAAGAGACTGTATTTCAATGTAATAGGAATGCCTTTATTCTCTTTCTACTGAGTATTTAGAAGCAGAACACTTATTGGGAACTGTTTCTTAGATTCACTCTTGCTTCTCATACTTTAAATTTCTTATTTTACTAATGTTTAAACAAAATATAATAAATTTCAAAATATTCTGTACCCATCCACACAATTTATTTTTGGTAGACATAATTGATTCAAGAATGGCTAATTCTAGTTCAAATAAATTATATACTCTATTAGTGTATTTTTTCAACCATAAAGTTGACGAAGGTGTGATATAATAATAATGAGAGTAATGGTCAATAATTTCATATAACTTTACTTGACATGACAATAGTTCTGGTAGTGATAAGAAGTGAGTACTATTTCTCTTTTATAATTCATAAGGTGATTCTTCTATTTAAAACCTAATTTGGCTGTGTGCAGTGGCTCACGCCTGTAATCCCAGCACTTTGGGAGGCAGAGATGGGTGGATCACCTGAGGTCAGGAGTTCGAGACCAGCCTGGCCAACATGGCGAAGCCCTGTCTCTACTAAAAAAATACAAAATTAGCTGGGCATGGTGGCGCAGGCCTGTAATTCCAGCTACCCGGGAGGGTAAGGCAGGAGAATGGCTTGAATCTGGGAGGCAGAGGTTGCAGTAAGCCGAGATCGTGCCATTGCACTCCAGCCTGGGCAACAAGAGTGAAACTCAAAAAAACAAAACAAAACAAAAAACAAACAAACCTAATCTGCTTAAATGATTGTATTCGCTATGATCCCAAAGCAGATTAATTACTTGGTAAGTGCAGTACTAGATCTTACAAACGCATAGAAAACAGAACTACGTTTTTACTTTCCAACACTAGGCAGAAAAATAAAAGCCTTGCTTCCAGAAACTGAAGATAATTGCCGTTCTGAAAAAGAGTAAAAACATCTTCCAGTTTATAGACTCAAAATTTTTGTGTCAGTAGACCTTGTTGAAATGAAGATAATAAGCTCATTGATTACATAATCCTGAATGCCAAAAGAGACAGGAGTATTCAGCATGAAACCCAGATATGCGATACAGAGTAATAATCTGTCAATAAGGGTGACTATAGTCAGTAATAACTTAATTGTACATTTTAAAGTAAAAAGTGTAACTGAGTTATCTGTAACTCAAAGGATAAATGCTTGAGGGGATGGAGGGGATTCTCCATAATGGGCTTATTTCACATTGCATGCCTGTATCAAAACATCTCATGTGCCCCATAAATTTATACACCTACTATGTTCCCACAAAAACTAAAACTAAAAAAAAATCTGTCAGTGTATCTTCAGTAACATCAAAGGAGAAGGTGTCCCACTGAGTAGGTTTAAATATTCTTCTCTGTGGAGCAGGCATATTTCCTCAGGTTCTTCACAAAAATATTCCTTTGGTTATCCAAGTCCCTTTCTTTTATAGTGCAAACATTGCTCAGCACTTTCCTGATTTTTTAAAAAAATGTTTCCAATTACCCTGATTACAGACAACTGTGGTAGTCTCAGCCCCATAACTGTTAACTATTGCTCTAACATTTTGGTACTAGTAAGGATCTTATGAATTTGGTGGATACAAATCATCTTCCCAGGATTGGAAAACTGAATGAAATAATAAGATCCAAGTTTACAAATCTAGACTCTAGATACATGATAACTTTGTCAAGAAATAGCACCTTATAAGACTCTGCTTGAGAGACCTTTCCATTCTCACATTACCATAATTTAAAATATTAGTTAACTTCCTGCACCGATGAGCAGATCTATGTGGCTATATTTGTATATTTCGGTTCAGTCTTTTTCACTAGTTCTAGTGTGTACTACGTATATAGAGAGGCACTAATTGGCACATTCATTTGTTTAATAAACTTTTATCGAGTGCCTTCTATGTTGTGGGCATTTTCCTGAGTGCTGGGAATAAAAATTAGGGTATGATCTGAATCCCCCAAAAGCAGACATTTTAGTGAGGAAAACAGATAAGAGGATCATTTCTAAGGGTGATAACACCCTTATAGCCTGGGGTGGGAAGTGGTGCCTTAGAAGTATGCACATAATGGCCTGAGAGCACAGAGGAAAAGCATTGAAATCAAGCCTTCCTCAACAAATGTTTTAATTAATTTTTTAAAAATGTGTAGGAGTTAGCTTCCTAACAAAGGGGGAAGAATATTCTTATAGCAGGAACAAGAGGTATAAAGGCATAGAGATATGAAACAGCATGATAGTTTGGTAAGGTAAGAGTAAAGAACTATTTTAGGAGATGAAGATGGCAAAAGATGCAGCTTATAGAGGGAAGAGAAACGGTAACCAAAGGGTGACATAGGTTGACAGTGGTGTTTTATTTTATTTTTAAGACTGAAGGGCTTAAACATTAAGGAAAAGAGTAATTAGAGAGAAAGGTTGGGCTAGGAAATAACTGATGGAACAAAGTGCTTGAGACTGCAGGAGGAGATGGTATCCAAAGCACAAGTGAAAGATTGGTCTTCAAAGGGAGGTTCATTTCTATAGAGAAAAGAGGAAAGGATAAAGAACAGAGAGAAATGCAGGTAAGTGGTAAGTCTGTAAATGGTGATAGAGACAGGAGGCAGCCAATGGTCCCCCGGCGAAACCCCTTCTTCAAGCCTAAAGCAGCCTGAAGGCTGAAAAACCAGACTGCTGGTCCTGGATGAAGCCCAACCTTTCTTAATTGATTCTTTCTGAATAATGCACACCTGCGCACTGGGAAGACGGGATGAGGCCTTGGGAAGTTCCTGCCACTTGCAGGAGGGAGGATCCTCTCCTGTCCTCTTCCTGTGTGGTAACCTGGGATTCAATCTGTGAGATGGGGGTCTATTAACAGGAACCCCTCTCGCTTTGCTGAGTTTTTTCTTTTTTACCAAATAAATTCTGCTCCTTACTCTTCAAAGTGTCTGCGAGCCTAATCTTTTCTGGTCATGTGACAAGAGCCTGGTTTTTCTACAACAATGGTAGGGAAGGAAACTGAGGAGGATACTTAAATGATTAATGAAAATTAGAAGGCACAATTCCCTTCCAAAAAATGAAAGGATGGGTAATATAGTAGGGGTTTTTTGTATAGTCATTCAGAAAATAGGAGTGGAACTAAGAATATATAAAAAGATTGTTAAGACGTCTTAAGAGCCCAGGTAAATTTAGAGGGCATGAGTTTGTGAGTTTGTAGTAGTACCAATCTATATGACTATGTGATTCTCTCCAATAGCGCTCAGCATCTCAGGTGTAGGAATAGAGAAGTTAAATGAATTGATTGATTCAGGGTTGAGGTTTAAATGAAAAGTACAATAGAAGCATAAGACTGATTAAAGTGATGGGTCAAATCACTGAGTCTGGAAAGAAAAGGAGATGAAACAAAAAAGTAGCTAGTGGATTATAGATCTCTAAGATGTTGAAGATCATGAAAGAGCTATAGGTATAGACAAAGAGCAATGTATCAGAATTTAAAGTTCAGAGGTAGGACCGTTCTGCATTATCACAAGTTCAATGGAATAGCCAAGGAACTGAAGATGAATATAATTTTTGTTGTGGAGGCCAGTGAAACTATAAGGCCAGGGTGTTGAATGAATCATTCACATTAGAAACATTAAAGACACCTAGAATAATGACAGGACTAGAAGTGTAAAGAATACCATGAGCTAGGTACACAATTGTCCATGGATGATGGGAAATAACCAGGTGGTTAGTAGATGATAAGTGGTAGAGAATGGTATGGCAATATGGCACAGCCTCAAAGGAGGAGGAATAATGTTTTGAAAATGATAATGGAAGGTAAGAAATGGCTTTCTCATCTCTATGCGGTATATATGTAGAGAAAATTATCAGCTTTTATATGAGAGGAAGTAGTATCATGCGGAGAAAGTTGGGCTTCAGTTAACACAAAGGAGATGAAGAAAGAGCAGAGTTTGCATAACAAGCAATGGATTCTACAGCACCAAGTGGAAAGGGTTGACAGAAGGGGCAGTAGTGGGTAGAAAAGTGTAGTAAGTGAGGAAAACAGACAAGAGAACTGAAGAATTGAGAATTGAAGAATGATACTAAAACGAGAGTCCTAGGTTCAAATCCTGACTCCCTAACTACCTGTGAGATTTGGCATGCTACATCACCTTTAGCATGAACTTTAGTTTCTTTATTTGTAAAACTGAGTTAATAAAACCTATTCATAGAATTGTAAGTAGCTAATATTATTTAGCAACTAGTAGGCAATCAATAAAAGTGTCAATTATTAGTAATAACAAATACATATAAACACCTTGTAGTGTATTTGTACTGCAAACTTATAGTCCAGATTGATTTAAAAGCTGGTTAGATCCCAATGAGTTATACGCTTTCTAAGGGTGAATTTCATGCTATGTTAATTATGTCTTAATTTTAAAAGCTGGTTAGATCAATACACTTTTATAAGTTCAAGCATTTGTTATCAAATGAAGCATAATTTAAAACTGCCTACCTTCTATTTTGTTAAGAATTTTAATGAGAAAATGTTTTTCACCGTCTGAGTCCATTCTTATTATAATCAGTACCTAGTCAAAAATAAAAATTTCATATATATGTGGATGATTATTCTTTTTCACAGTTTTGATACAGTGACAAAATAACAAACTTTAATTGGTTCTATGAAACTAATGACAATAAGATTACAAAGCAAATATTTCTGTTGTAAAAAATGTCAATACTTAAACTCAAGGAATATATTCTGGTAAGATCAAATATCAGTGAAGAAAATATTTTGGGATAGGGCATTCTTAGCATTCTTCAAGTATTCCCACATATGTGACTATCAATACATAGGTTGTCTCTGTTAGTGTTAAATTCAACTCACATGTTTAAATTTGTTGGAGAAAACCCGTGATCTGCTGCTATATTTTGCTACTTACCATTACAGTTTTGTGGGGGAGAGGTGGGAGAGCAAATCAGTTTCGATTTAAAATTTCTCACTTAGATTAAATTATTTTAATGACTTAAGAAAGTTATTACCCAAGAGACTATAAAGTTGCGGTTAAGAAATAGGAGGCACAGAACGAAAAATCAGAAAAAGGCCACAGTTTATATCTGGATTTTTAGTGTAAACTATTTGAAATGCTTTTCTGCTTGATAAGATTTTAAAAAGCAATTTCTGTTAAAACTTCATTAATGCAACCTTTATATGCTTGATGTAGGGTAGGCAAATAATTGTGAATGTAATCCAAGGCATAAACTAAATATTTGTTTTGGTGGAATCATATGAGATTCTGGCTTGGTATTTTAAAATAAATCATTGAGTTCTATTATTATGTATACGTTCATGGACTTATATAAGTACTAGACAAAATTTCTGACAATTGGAGAACCAATCCTTAGGAAAACTATGCATAATAAAAATTAAAGTTTGTTTATTTATTTAGAGACAGGGTCTGGCTCTTTTGCCCAGGCTGGAGTGCAGTGGAACAATCATGGCTCACTGCAGCCTCACCCTCCTGGGCTCAAGAGATCCTCCCACCTCAGTCTCCCTAATAGGTAGAACTACAGGTGCACACCACCACGCCTGGCTAATTTAAAAATTTTTTTTATAGAGACAAGGTCTCACTATGTTGCCCACACTGGTAAAGTATTTTTAAATTTGAGACATGAATAATGATGCAAATCATCCTTTCTATGGGTCTGATTCTGTTCTGTTACCTTATTCAAGGACTAAACCATCAAGGGACTAAGTAGTATAGACTACTTCATAATTTTAAAGTTAAATGCAAAAATGTATCTTACATCCAATTCTTACTTAAACTGATTATTTTACCGGCTTTATTCCAATACTTAACCTTAATTTGCTGTTGACTTTGCATCCAACTTAGTATCTGACATTGCAATTCTTGTATCTTGTAGTTGGTTTCAGGCTTTTTCCCCCTAATAAACTGTACAATCTCCAGCTGTCTCCAAATGTCACCCAAATAGGGGCCTAAAATGCTGTTGTAGATATCTTTTGCCTTCGACAAATATCCTATTGAAGCAAAATTAGAAAAAAATTGTCTAAGTATTTGTTTTTTAAGAAACTCCGTGGTAAAAAAGGCTTAAAGAAAATAAGTCAAAGCAGAGACAGTTAAAATTTCCTTTAATTGTTTTCTGATTTTGATCAAAGACACTAATAAAAACTTTAAAACTGAGTGAAGCTTAAAAATATGTACCACATACTCTTTTTAAGCTGCATATGTACATTAATATATGCTACACACTCTCTAAATACATAACCTATCCTGCCTCCTGGCTTGTTGAATGCTATTGCACTCTTCCTAAATCCCAGGATCTATATTTACATGGAAGTCCTGTTGAACTGCTACTTAAGTGGAATTTTCTTGGTATTTTATCCGTACAACTTTTGTACTTGATATCTGCTTATTTATGTATATCACTTAGCCTATAAGCTCTTTCAGGGTAGAACATGTGGTATTTATACATATTTAATTCATATGGCTGCTAAAACAGCAGTGCCTCATTCAGGCTCACTAAGGGCATTTTTAAACATAGATTCATCCTTGAAGGTTCATATTCAGTACATCTAGATTATGTCCTAATGATTTCTATGTCTAAAAAGCTCTCCGTGTGATTCTGCTGAATTTCACCAGAGTTACCACCAGAGCACCTGGCATGGTAACTTATGTAGATCAGGTGTTTAATGAATATTTGGGTAACAAATGAAATAATAAATTTGGGTAACAAATGAAATAAATTTAAAAAATTTAATGTCTATGTACAAGTTTTATGTATGTGTGCATATTAATTCTATTTTTATATTAAAATTGCTAGACTGATGGGCAACTTAGAGACTGACTTACGTTCTTTCTGCCTCATCTTCAGACCTCCCCCTGATTCTCCATATTGCCATGAGAATTAACCTTTTGAAAAATAAATGTAATCCAGTAGCATCCCTGAAATTCTTTTGTGTAGCTTAAAGGGCTCTCCATGATTTGGCTTTTTCTTATTTCTCCAGGCCTAGCTCCTGCTTGCCTTCTAACTTGTCCTCTTCAATCTAACCACATGGAACTGTTGGCAACATTTCCACTGGTACATTCCTCTGGGCTCTTAATTCTGCCTAGAATAGTCTTTTATACTATATCTACTTGGCAAACTTCTACTTATTTTTTTAAAAACATACCCATCTTAAGGATAATAGTCTCCATCTTTTGTGCCACTACCATATATCTCTGTTGTAATACCTATCACATTCCATAATAAATACTGAATTTATTTCTGGGTTAAAGCCCAGAAGAGAAACGCTATTATTTGAACCTAAAACTCACTACCTTGCCAGCTTGGGAGAGGGAGCAAACTGGAAGCTAGGAGAAAACACAGAATTCTGGCAGCCAGACCTCCGTGGATTTTTTTTTTCCTCTGCCATTATACAGAGAGAAAGAAAGGACAACCTAACTTGATCTTGGCTTTCAAGAGGTATAGAGGAAAGAGAAAGCCCTCTACTAAAAATGTCCAAAGCAACTACATTATTCGTATGGCTGGATACCTGGAGATTAAGAAGTTAGTTTTCCAACAAGAATCTTACTTTTATGGTATTCCTTAAGGTAGATAAATAGTAATGCCAAAGTATGATTTAGTAACTGCATGTCTTAGAGGAACAGAAAGAATTCAGTCCAAGTATAAAGCTCTCAGTGGTCTCACTTAACTAGGGTAAATTATAGACTACACTACTTAAAGATAAATATTGTTTAAGCCAACCTCCATAAATATTATTTCTTTCTTTTCTCCCTTTTTTTTTTTTTTTTTTTTTTTTTTGAGACGGAGTTTCACTCTTTTTGCCCAGGCTGGAGTGCAATGGCGCAATCTTGGCTCACTGCAGCCTGTGCCTCGCGGGTTCAAGTGATCCTTCTGCCTCAGCCTCCTGAGTAGCTGGGACTACAGGTGTGCACCACCACGCCAGGCTAATTTTTGAATTTTTAGTAGAGGCAGGGTTTCACCATGTTGGCCAGGCTGGTTTTGAACTCCTGACCTCAGGTGATCCGCCCACCTCAGCCTCCCAAAGTGCTGGGATTACAGGCGTGAGCCATGGCACCCAGCCCATGAATATTATTTATTTAATCCAAGGCTTTGGTAAGTATTGAGCATACTGTACTTGTCTAGATTATGCACTTGGCCAAGTATTATTACTAAACTACAGCTATCTTTAGAAAGCCCAACATGGTGCTATTCTTTTCTTCTTCAATTAAACCACTTGAATGTTGATACTGGACCAGGTTGTCTTGTCTCCATCCTCAGACAAGTAAGGATTGGGGGCTAAGAACCCTACTTTACAGTACCTAAACAAGCATAAGTGTGTAGTGTCACATGCCCTTTTATTTAGTCACCTGACTTCATTGTGCTTCTCAGCTTCTATAATAGATTGCTAGCTCTACAAACAGTGAGATTGGTTATTACTCATGATATTAAAACAGAATTTCAGAATCTAGAATATCTGAGGTCCCACTGCTTTAGAGGGAGTACATTTATGATTCACTGCTGTTCAATATTTACCAAAACTTTGGATTAGAAAAATAATATTTATGTCTGGATCATAAATAAGAGAAAATGTCTGGGTCTTAGATCAGAGGAAATTTATTTTTACTTTATGTTTGAAATAGGTTCTAGGAACTCTAAATTATAAAACATAATTCCATAAACATACCATTGTTAAACAAGTCTAGGCTGGGTGTGGTGGCTCACACTTGTAATCTCAGCCCTTTGGGAGGCCAAGGCGGGTGGATCACCTGAGGTCAGGAGTTCAACAGCAGCCTGGCCAACGTGGTGAAACCCTGTCTCTACTAAAAATACAAAATTAGCCAGGCATGGTGGCGGGCGCCTGTAATTCCAGCTTCCTGGGGGGCTGAGGCAGGAGAATGGCATGAAGCCAGGAGGCAGAGGTTGCAGGTTGCAGTGAGATCACACCTCTGCACACCTACCTGGGCAACAAAGCAAAACTCTGTCTCAAAAAAAAAAAAAAAAAGTCTAAATAATCTTGCAATAAGGGGCCTAAAGCAGTAATGTAGTAAGACAGACATTTTAATTTGATAGGTTATAAAAAATTCCAAAATCTTAGAAATTCCAATATGTTCAAAATAGTTTGATTTTATTACCCAAGTAATTCATATACTAATATAGACATGACTAAAAAAGAAATTGGAAAAGATCTTACTCCTTATAGTTATATTTTACATAGCAAAGACTCAAAGCCACAAAAATGCAATGAGGACCCAAAATGTTTATGACAAAATGTCAAATCTCACATTAAAAAGTCATGCATGATAATGATTATACAATCAAATCTGCTAGATTAGAGAATCCTAAACCTATTTTTCTAGGTGATGACAGTGTTAAGGACAATTTCTTTTAATGAATACAAGCAGAATAAAATGTATATATTTCATTAGAATTATGTCAAAATGTATGTAATGCTTAGTATAATAGAAAAGAAGGCTACATCATTTCTTATAAGGTGTATCTTTTTCAGAAAAGTAAGTTATTTCAGATGAAATATTTAATAGGAAGAAAAGAGGAAATAAAATATTCCCCACCAACCCAATGCTGTGTCCAAGCTGCATGTTAAAAGGACATCTCTAATTGTTACCAGAAGATGTAAGAGAGCGGCATGCTTGAAAGTCATTTCTCTTTCATCAATTGTACCTAAGTAAGCAAAAATGTATTTTAAAACATAGACTATACATTACAGTTTTAGAATATGTATCAGAATCTGCCTAATAATGGGAGCTAACATTTATTATTGAGTGCTTACTATATGCCAGGCTGTATATAAGCTGGCTATTTCATTGAATCTATAACAACAATCCCATCAGACAAGTTTATTATGATCCAAATTTTATGAATGAGGAAATAGTATTAATGAAGTTAAGTAACTGTCCAAGGTCAGTGAGTGAGTAAATGGTAGAGCTGTCATTTAAACTCAGCTAACCTGAGAATTCATGCCCTTGTTGCTTCCAAAGAATATTCAGCTATTTCTACTGCTATTGGGAAAAAGAGTCAACGCTTCCCAGTTATGAAACAAGAATAAAAATAGATTCATAACTTGCCAACTGATTAAGATAAAAGTAGAGGATCATAACATGAAGAAATACCTTGAAATGGAGGTAGACACCTAGGAATATTTATTCAAAGGTATAACTCAAACAAGAGATAAACTCACAGGGACAGCCTTATTGCCTAATTGTGTTCCATTTAGTTCCAGAGCTTTTTTGGACGATAGACTGGATTTTTCTGCATATAAAAGTGAGACCAAGAAGATGGGATTCTAGACCCCCTGCCCCAATTTAACCAGAGAAGCTCTACTTTTCTTTTTCATATATTGAGATCTCATGAAATTTATTTGAACAAAGAATTCTGCTAAAAAGTTTGCAAATTGATGATCTATTCAATGAAGATCAAGGCAAATATGTAGTAGGGAATTAAGAGGGAAAGCCAATTATGGGTAGTATATTCAGCCCCTAGAAGGACTTGTGGGAACAAGTCAATCATGACCTGCAAGAGATGAGAATAGGGCAGAGAAAACATATTTGGGGAACTGGAAATGTAAAAATGCTTGGAAAATGGAGTACAGACTAGGAAACTAGTGTGGGAAATGGTCTGACTTCTTTTAATCTAGGTTTACTTAATTGTTACTTGTAGGCTTAGTTTTATCTCAACTCTGGGGCCAATGAAAGAATATTAAGTATAACAACTATTCACTTGCTCGGGATTAATGCAATATTGTTCCAACTGGATACCCAAAACCATGTCCCTTTTTTGTCCTCTATTATACTTCATACATAGTTATGCTGTATATTTTATAATAATCATCATTCTGCTCAATGATGTTCAAAACCTTTAGAAGCTCAACCCATATTCAGCTAATTTAAAACCTGAGAATTACAGGACTGAAACTATATCCAGAAGACATGAGTTTTTATTTTATATAAGTCTTGTCTTCTTTCATAAAGGCCAGTTTGCTGACAATTGTTCTTTTCTATCCAGTATAATCATTACCAGAATGCCAGCTCCCCAAAGTGTTGATCTTGATGCCTTTCTGTGGCTCAGGTATTTCAAGTAGTAAACTATGGATTAACACCTTCCTCTCAGATCAGGTATTCTATCTCAGTACTACTACTGTGACCTCGCGGTTTTGGTGACTAAAATGTTGCTCCCCTCAAAGACTGGGCACTCTACATGGAAGAAGATGAGATTCAACTTGTTTTTCATTTGTAAAAGAGAGTTAACCTTTAAAAAATATATAGGACATCTAAGTTTAATGAATTTAGAAAACAGACTTTAAAAATAAATTAAGTAGATTCCAGGTAAGATGGAGTAAGTACACTCCACCCTGTCTCTTCCACTGAATACAACTATAAACACAAAACAGAATACATGAAACAGCTATCTGAAAACTCTAAAAGGTAAATGGTAGCAAGTGGACTGGGGAAGGAGACCAGATTTCAAAATGCCACCAAACAAGTGGTGAGTTTCCTATTTTTTCCGCTTCTTGTATTTACTGGCTTAGACTAAAACAGCCCAAGGCCCAGAAGTGATTACCACCATGTGGACAGAAAGAGCTCTAAGAGAAGTCCTCATTTTGTCTAATATAGAAAACTAGGTTGATGTGTTTTGCTTTCAGCATTTTCAAAATGTTACTCATTGTCTTTGCATTTATATTATTTATGTCAAAAAATCTCATGTCACCCTTATCTTTGTTTCCTGCATGTGGCATGTCTTTTTGTTCCTCTGGCTCCTCCTACAGTTCTCTTTTTATTATTGGCTTTGAGTAATTTGATTATGTGGACCTTCTTTGTGTCTCTTGTACTAAGTGTTCATTGAGATTTTTGCATCTGTGGGTTTGTAGTTTTCATTAAGTTTAGAAAGATTTGTCATTATTTCTTCAAATATTTTTTCCATTTACTCTCTTTTCTCCTCTCTTTTGAGAATGCTAATTACAGTATGTTAGGCTACTTTAAGTTGTTCCACAGCCTACTGATGCCTTCTTTTATTTCTTTTTCATTCTTTCATGCTTTACAGTTTTTGCAGAGTGATTGTTTCTATTACTGTGCTTTCAAGTTAACTTTTTCTTCTGCAATATTTAATCTGCCATTAATTGCATCCACTATATTTTTCATCTCATGCATTGCAGTTTAGTCTCTAGAAGTTTGATCTAGGTCTTTTTAAATGTCTCTAACTTTTCAAACATACAGAAAACAGTAATAAGAAGTGTCAGCGTCCTTTTCTGGTCATTCTAATATCTTTGTTGATTCTGGGTTTGTTTTGATTTATTATTCTCATTATGGATTGTACTCTCCTGCCTCTTTGTATACTTCATGATCTTATTGGATGCCAGACATTGTGACTGTTACCTTGTTGGGTATTCTTGTATTCATATCAATCCTCTTGTGCTTTATGATGGGATGCAACTAAGTTCCTTGGAGATAGTTTGATCCTTGGGGTATTGCTTTGTGATTTGTTAGGCAGGTTCACAGCAGTGCTAAGTCTAGGGATAATTATCCCCCACTACTGAGGCAAGATTTTTCTGAGTATTCTCCTTAATCCTCTATGAATTACGAGTTTTTCTAGTCTAGCTGGTGGGAACAGCCACTATTCCTGCCCTGTGTGAATGCAGCATAGTAGTCCCTCTAGTCCTTTCAGATGGTTTGTTTCTCCAACTCCAGGTAGTTTCCTCACATATATTCTTTGTTTGTTTGTTTTTGTTTTTGTTTTGAGACGAAGTCTCACTCTGTTACCCAGGCTGGAATGCAGTGGTGTGATCTCAGCTCACTGCAACCTCTGCCTCCCAGGTTCAAGCGATTCTCCTGCCTCAGCCTCCCAAATAGCCAGGATTACAGGTGCCCGCCACCACACCAGGCTAATTATTGCATTTTTAGTAGAGATGGGGTTTCACCATGTTGGCTAGGCTGGTCTCGAACTCCTGACCTCAGATGATCCACCCGCCTTGGCCTCCCAAAGTGCTGGGATTACAGGCATGAGTCACTGCACCTGGCCACCTCACATATATTCTTTGATCAATCATCTGCTGAATACTCGAGGGAGAGGCTCTGCACAATTCTATACTCTCTGTGCGAAGCTCTCTGCTCTCTAACATTCTATTTTGAACTCTTATCTGTCTTGGTCTCCCTGGACTCTTACCTCCTGTTTCCTCAACTTAAATTGTCTACCAGGCTCTGCCTCAGGTAACTCTCCCTACACCACAGCCTGCCAATTCTTTCAAGGCAGTTAGCTAGGGTAATGGTAGGGCTCATTTCACTCATTTCCTCTCTCTCAGGAACCACTGTTCTTCATTGCCTGATGTCCAGGGTCTTAAAAACTGGTTTAATGTATTTTATCTTTGTCTTTTTTGTTGTTATTTCTGGTAGGAGGGTAAATCTAGTCCCTGTTACTCCATCTTGGCAGAAATAAAAAGTCTAGGATTGACTTTAATTAATCTAGTTTTTGACCTCCTTTTTTGGGAGGAGACTGAGTGGTTCATATGCTGACAATAATAAAGTTAATTTAATTTCTGCAATAGGAATCTGTCAAGTAATATATGTCAATTAGGAGCTTCACTGAGAAGTAATGCCAGGTGATATTTCTTACCTTTTTCTCTACTTAGCTGATCCTCCAGTATTGGTTTGGCTGGGTATCACAAGCTGAATTACAGTCATGCCACCATCTATGGCTAATTTCTGAATCTTCTATACCCAATTTTTACTAATTTGATACAATAATTTCTAAGCATATCTTTTTAAATAACGTGACTTTTATTTGTACTCACCTTGGCGAACAGCATCACTTACTACTTTTTCTTGTTCCTTTAAGAGAAACCTTGTTTGGTCAAAAATAACAGTGGCAAATTTCCAATTAGCAGTAGGGAGGGTACACAAGGATACAAGGTTTTTTAAGATAGGAGAAGCTGCTGCTTCGAGGAGGCAAAATGCTTGGCACTGGCTATCTGCAAAAATAAAAGCATTAATGGCAGTGTTTTAATAAAGATGGTATGCTCTTTTTGATGAACCAATTAAATGTTATTTCGTGGAGATCCGAACTTCTATCTGAATTATTTTCTGAGTTAAAAATAATGAGATTGTATAAAAACTTATTTTAAGATATTTATTCTAAATAAACTAATAAAAACAAACATGGAATTATATAATTTTATGGCTATATTATTTATTTATTTATTCATTGAGACAGAGTCTTGCTCTGTTGCCAGGCTGGAGTGTAGTGGCGCCATCTCGGCTCACTGCAACCTCCGTCTCCCGGATTCAAGCTATTCTCCTGCCTCAGCCTCCTGAGTAGCTGGGACTATAGGCGTGCACCACCACGCCCAGCTAATTTTTGTTTCATCATCTTGTCCAGGATGGTCTCGATCTCTTGACCTCATGATCCGCCCACCTCGGCCTCCCAAAGTGCTGGAATTACAGGTGTGAGCCACCGCGCCTGGCCTATATTATTTATTAGAGAGGATTTATTCCATAATTAACTTGACATGGCAAATATAAAGACCCATATAACATGAACTGCATTTTTTTCTTTGCCATTCTCCACTGTTAGCATATGATCTTAAGCCAAACAATGAAAAATTTTTTCCAGTTATCACTAGAATAACATTATTTAAAGATTTGCATAATCATCTAGAGACCAAAAGAATGAAAAGATACTTGAGAACCTGGGTCATATTTCCTTACTGATTTTAATAATGAATCTGATGTTCTTAAGCAGGTTGTTCTTTAGGAGTCAAAGAATACTCTTCTTTATAGCATAACAAAAAAATCAATATAGGAATCAATAGAAACTTATTTACATCACTCTGATAGCAGGTAAGAGAACAGAGAGAGCATGATTAGCAGTTCATTTTCCAGACTGGGCAGAAGAGTCCGAGGAGGTACAGTTGTTCTCAGATTGATATAGGGAAGCAGCAGCAGTTTAAATGAAAGAAGAAATAACACTGAGTCGCTTGGGTAGGGCAATGGGGAGAGGCAGGGGTAGTGAACAGGGCATTCCAGATTGGGATATAACTTGAAAGTAGGAGTGGAATGAAGAAATATCTGAAACAAGTGAAGAAAATGACATGGAAAATGAGGTATGTCCTAGCTATCTAGGAAAGGACTTTCAAACTAAGCAAATCTGAAATGCATTTTAAAAGCATATAACATACCTGACGCTTGAATTTCAATGACACTATCTGTTCCCCTTTCCTGATTTATTTCCTCCAGGGTTTTATTAATATGAACAATAGGACTTTCTTCTTGAAGTGTCAAAGAACATGCTTCTTTATCTTGAAATTCCAATAAAAAATATAAATTTTTGTTGTTCAAGAGAAACTTAATGTTGTTTTACCTTAATTTTTTTTCTAAAATATGATCACAGTTGTTAAATTTCTTCATTGAAACACATCAGTATTAAAGTGAACAACTATTCAGATCAATGGAACTAACACTGCTAGGTAGGAAGATGAATGGTAAAAATGGAAAAACCTTTGGTATCAGATCAGTATTTTGAACTCAGTTCTGACTCAGTTTCCTCATATGTAAAATATGGATAAATATATCTGCTTTAAACACCAAGTACAGCTTCTGACACAGAAAGTATGTACCGTTCTACTTAATTTCTCTGTGACTTTCCACATACCCTTTCTTCTACTACTAACCCTCTCCTCTGTCCCAAACCTTCCCTATTTCCATCTTTTTTTAACCAGGCAATTCTTTTTCTTTTCTTTTTTTTAAGACAGTGTCTCCCTCTGTCACCCAGGCTGGAATGCATTGGTATGATCAGGGCTCACTGCAGCCTTGACCTCTTGGGCTCAAGCAATCCTCCCACCTCAGCCTCCCAAGTAGCTGGGAGCACAGGCATGCACCACCATCCTGGGCTAATTTATTTTTTAAATTTATTATTATTATTATTTTGGTAGAGATAGGGTCTCCCTGTGTTGTCCAGGCTGGTCTCAAACTCCTGGGCTCAAGGGATCTGCCTACCCAAAGTGCTGGGATTACAGGCATGAGCTACCATGCCTGACCTGGGCCTAGTCTTACTGCTGCACCCTGCAGGTCTCAGGCATCTTCTAAAAAAAGTCATATATAACTGCCCACCCTACTTCCAGGCCAGCAAAGGGCTCCTCCTTTTGTTTCTTCAGCATTCTGTGAAGACTTCTTTACTGGTACTTGCCACATTGAATTGAAATGATCTATCTGCATATCTGACCTACTTTATTATACTGTGAGCTTCTCAAGGTCAGCAACAGCATCATATTTATCTCTAATATGTAATTTAGTGCCAGGCACAAAGTATCTAATAAATGTTAGTTTTTTTTTCTGTCCTAGGTATTACAGAGGATTTCTTCTTTCCTAAGTATTATAGAGGATTTACACACAAACACAGATATACATAAAAATCTAGTTATTTTAACCATATAGTAGTATTATCCATCAGTAATATGATTACAAAATAATTCCAGAAACACATTACCATCTTTACATACATGGTTAAAAATATAATAATGGACTATATTCTAAACTAGATTAAAATGCTATTTTCAAGTAATACTTTCAATTAACCATAACTAATTAGAATAGATATGATCAAATAATATTAATTATTAAAATTTTTGAGGGGGTCTAAGAATTTATAGTATTTCTTGCCTCTGAGTTAAGTGTAAAATAAGACAAAAAGTAAAATATACACCAAAATATTAAGGCAGGGTCTCCCTCTGTCACCCAGGCTGGAGTGCATTGGTATGATCTATTAAAGGCTAAGTTGGGGAATAGAATTTAGTTTGAGAGTCAAATGAGCTTGCTAACTAAACACCAGAATTAGACAGAGTTACCCACCCAGTCCTAGGGTATGCTGGACTGGGATAGGATACCCCACTGGGTCCAGGGAGGGCGGGGGAGGTCAGGGGCACTGCCCAGAAAAGAGTCATGACATAGAAAAACCAAGGAGAATTCCTGTTCTTCTTGGGCAACCATTCCCACAGCTTATGTCCAATTTATTATTTTGACTTACAATTCAGATCATTCTTTCCATCCCCTCTGGAGAGATGTATAAAAAGGCAAAGAGGCCAGGAACTTAACACTTAATTGAGGAAACATCAGGAGTACAGAAGCATTCCCTCATAACATTAATGTTCTTTTAATTGTTTAGTAAATGAATGGCTAATTTTTTAAATAAGAAAAGATAAAATAATATTTAAAGATTTCAGAATTTTGTGATCTTTTCAATTTTTATTCTTTTTTACATTTCCTCATTTCTTGCTGCTTTCCCTCACTTTCTGTTGATAATATACCCTATCATAAGCCATTATCACCACTATGGCAACCAGAAGATGTCAGTGTTAATTTTGGGGTGGATTCCTTTTTTGTACCAAATATAAATAGAATCAGAAAACATGAAGAAATCTGAGAATAACAAATCTTTGAAAAATTCTTATTTTTGTATCACATTTATAAAATAATTATTTATATTTTGCTTATTTTTATGCAGAAGCGATGCTTGAATTATGGTCCAAATATTGGTTAGAAAAAGCTCAGTTACATACAGAATCTGGTAAGGTAAGTTATAAGGTGGCCAAACTATTACATAAAAAGTAACTTTAAGTTGAATATGTAGAAATAGAAAAGATCACAAAATTCTGAAATCTTTAAATATTATTCTGCATTTTTACCATGAGAAATGCACTGATTGACACAGTAATATTACTTTTTAAAAAAATGACAGCTCACCATAACCTCAAACTCCTGGGCTAAGGCATCTGCCCACCTCAGCCTCCTGAGTAGCTGAGATCACATGTGTGTGCCACCACACTTGGCTAATTTTAGAGATGCGGTCTCATTATGTTGCTCAGGCTGGTCTCAAACTCTTGGCCTCAAACAATCCTCCTGCCTCGGCCTTCCAAAGTTCTGGGATTAGAGGTGTGAGCCACCATGCCCAGCCCCAGTAATATTACTTTAAGCAGATTTATAAAAGGCTGTCACATCTTTTGGAAAAATAAATATACCCATCATGACATTAAGAACTGAAGATCTTGTGTCTATTAATAGTATATGAGACAGTAAGACCTAACTGTCTCTAAGTCACATAAATATTTTTGTATTCTTTAACTGTGAAATGCGGTAATACTACCTACTTTGATTCCTCAACAATGTTTCTAAACAGATCAAAAATGACAATAGATGTAAAAGTGCTTTATAAAGCATAAAGATACCTGTATTTATGATAATATTATTAACCTTATGAAGAAAGAAAGAATAGGATTTATCAAACAAATTGATCATTAGAAAATATTTCTGGTGTTTCTGAATGTAACAATATATAAATATCAAAAGTTTCCAATATCCCTAGTCATTAGGTTGCATCAATGTGTACTGGATTTTAGGAATAAACAATAGCAGCCAATAAAAAAAAATATTGTTGTATTTATTTCATCAGGGTAACCTATGTCAAACTTATTCTGGAATGCCTATTTTATTTTTATGAGAAGTAAAATGATATGACACATTATATTACCTTTGATGTGGCTGTAAGCAGTGAATATAAGACAGTTACAACTCAAACAGAAACTGTTAGGTAATGTTAGAAAGAAACAATTAAGTAGACAGAAAGTTTTCTTTCAAGTACACATAAAAATATAATTTAAAATACTGAGACAGGACTGACAGCTAAAAGAGAAAAAAGAATGCAGAATTGACCAACAAAAGTTAGAGATACTATGAATTTGTAAGGCCATGTTGTAGAAAGCAAGTTTTACAAATAGTGGCTTTTGTTATAAATTCAAATGCATTTTTAGACTTTTTGAAACATATGTATCTGTATCTAAATCATGCCTATATATCCATATCTATCTGTAAACAAGAAGTTATCAAGAATCAATGACATTTTCCTTGACTACAAAAAATAACATAATTTTATCTAGAAGAACTTTATCTCCTTGCCTTCTATAATAAATTATGTACTTAGTCCTTGAGCCTACCATATCTACGGCAAAATATTATTAAATTACTTACCATGTTTTTCATCACTGTTTGTGACTTCAGTCTTTGAGGTGCAAGTCTTATATTTATTTCGCAGCATAATAAAGTCGCTCAAAAGGTCCAAATCATTCTCTTGTTTTTTGCCATGTTCAAAAGATGCTTTTTTAATTATTGAAGAGGAAGGTGATTTAATAGATGGTCCTGTGCAGTCAAGTTCAAAGTGATCGTTATTTTCTTTCTTTTGGATTATTCTGTTTACTGGTTCTTGGTCATTCTTTGGTTTTTCTTCTTTTGCTGCTCCTTTATCAGAGAAATAGTCATCAGAAAAACATAGATCTGGTACTTCTTTTGCCAGAGATGGACTCTTTTGTGGAAGTGATAAATGAGCATTTGTAGATTTTTCATCAATAAGTGCAATAGGTGAAGAATGACTTTTATGTTCTAGACATGCTGAAAACAGAAAATAACAACACACAAGTAACTTCCACACCTAAACGAGTGTTCTATTAGGTATTTGAATAACTTTTAGTTGTGGTTTCTTATTAATGTAATTTGATCTTTATGAGCACTTTGTTTACTGCTTTGAAAATCAATTTTTGGTCTGAATAAAATAAATTTTTAAAAAGGATCAAAATTTAGCACCCTTCTTCTTACTATAGGAGCTAGTTTACCAAGCAAAGAAGACATTCCAGTAAAGCCCTTTTGCTCATAGGCTTATGAATCATACCCTTGCAGGTAACAGTTACTCCATGGGTCAAACACTTACCTACCAGGAAAGCCACAATGGAAAAAAATACTTGCAATACATATAACTGACAAAGGACTGTATCCAAAATATATAAAGAACTCCTTATAACTCTATATTTGAAAAGGAACCCAATTAAAAATTTGGCAAAAGACTTGAACAATAGTTCACATAAGATATGCATATTCTACAAAATAGACGAATCTTGAAAACATGCTAAGTGAAAGAAGTGTCACAAAAGGCCACATATTGTATGATTCCATTTATATAAAATGTCCAGAAAAGGCAAATCTATAGAGAAAGAACAGTGGTTCCAGAGCTGAGTAAAATGGGGAGTGACCACTAATGGGTACAGGATTTCTTTTGGGGATGGTACAAGTTTTCTAAAATGGTTTGTGGTGATGATTGCACAACTCTGGGCTTATATTAAAAACCATGGAATGGTTTACTTTAAATGAGTCAATTGTATGGTATGTGAAATGTATCTTGATAAAGCTGTTACAGGAATACCTCAGAGATATTGTGGGTTCAGTTCTCGACCATCACAATAAAGTAAATATGTTAAGGTGAGTCACACAAATGTTTTGATTTCCCAGTACAAATGTAAAAGTTATGTTTATGCTATACTGCAGTGTATTGTGTACAATAGCATTATGTCTAAACAAACAAGTACATACTTTAATTTTAAAATACTTTATTGCCAAAAAATGCTAATGATCATCTGAGCCTTTACTAAGTCATAAACTTTTTGCAAAGGTGGGGGGTTCTTTTTTCTTTTTTTTTCTTTTTGAGACATGGTCCTCCTCTGTAGCCCAGGCTGGAATGCAGTGCCACAATCATAGCTCACTGCAACCTCCAACTCCTGGGCCCAAGCAGTCCTCCCACCAGCTGAGACTACAGGTGCGTACCACCATGCCAGGCTTTTATTTTTATTTTTATTTTTAGGAGAGACAAAGTTTTGCTATGTTGCCCAGGCTGATCTTGAACTCTTGGGCTCAAGTAATCCTCCCACATTGGCCTCCCAAGTGCTGGAATTACAGGTGAAAGCCACTGTGCCCGGCTAGGGGGTCTTGTCTCAATGTTGACAGCTGCTGACTGTCAGAGTGGTGGTTGCTAAAGGTTGGTGTGGCTGTGGAAATTTCTTAAACTAAGACAACAATGAAGTTTGCCACACTGACTGACTTTTCTTTTCACGAAAGATTTTTCTGTAGCATGTGCTGTTTGACAGCATTTACCCAGAGTAGAACTTCTTTCAAAATTGGAGTCAAGGTCAGGAGCGTGGCTCATGCCTATAATCCCAGCACTTTGGGAAGGCCGAGGCAGGCGGATCATGAGGTCAAGAGATCGAGACCATCCTGGCCAACATGGTGAAACCCATCTCTACTAAAAATACAAAAATTAGCTGGGCATGGTGGCGCATGCCTGTAGTCCCAGCTACTCAGGAGGCTGAGGCAGGAGAATCGCTTGAACCTGAGAGGCGGAGGGTACAGTGAGCCAAGATCATGCTACTGCACTTCAGCCTGGTGAGAGTGAGACTTGGTCTCAAAAAAAAAAAAAAATTGGAGTCAATCCTCTCCAACCCTGCCACTACTTTATCAACTATGTTTATGGAATATTCCAAATCCTTTGTTGTCATTACAACAATGTTCACAGAATCTTCACCAGGGACAGATTCTATCTCAAGAAACCATTTTCTTTGCCCATCCATAAGAAACAACTCCTCATTTGTTCAAGTTTTGGCATGAGATTGCAGCAATTCAACCACACCTTCAGGCTCCACTTCTAATTCTAGTTTTCTTGCTATTTCTACCACATCTGTAGTTACATACTTGCACCACTAAAGTCTTGAACCCTTCAAAATCATCCATGAAGGTTCAAATCAACTTTTTTCTATCTTGCTAATGTTGATATTTTGGCCTCCTCCCAAGAATAAGGAATGTTCTTAATGGCATCTAGAATGGTGAATCCTTTCTCAAAAGTATTTCAATTGACTTTGACTAGATCCATCAGAGGAATCACTATCTATGGCAGCTCTGGCCTTATGAAATGTATTTCTTAAATAATAACACTAGAAAGTAGAAATGACTCCTTGATCCATGGGCTGCAGAATGGATGTTGTGTTAGCAGACATGAAAACAACATTAATCTTCTTGTATATCTCCATCAGAGCTCTTGAATGACCAGGTATGCTGTCAATGAGCAGTAATATTTTGAAAGGAATCTTTTTTTCTGAGTAGTAGGTCTCAACAGTGGCCTTAAAATATTGTAAGCCATGCTGTAAACAGATGTGCTATCATTCTGGCTTTGTTGTTCCATTTATAGAGCACAGAAAGTGTAGACTTATCATAATTCTTAAGGGCCTTAGGATTTTCAGAATGGTAAATGAGCTTTGGCTTCAACAGTCAACAGCTGCATTAGCCCCTAATAGGAGTGTCAGCCTGCCCTTTGAAGCTCTGAAGCCAGACATTGACTGCTTCCTACTGGCTATAAAAGTCCTAGATAACACTTTCTTCAAATAGAACGCTGTTTCATCTACATTGAATATCTGTTGTTTAGTGTAGCCATCTTCATCAATAATATTGGCCAGATCTTCAGGATAACTTGCTGCAGCTTCTACATTTGCACTTGTTGCTTCACCTTGTACTTTTATGTTACGGAGATGACTTTTTTCCTTAAACTTCATGAACCAATCTCTGTTAGCTTCAAACTTCTGTAGCTCCTTACCTTTCTCAGCCTTCATAGAATCAAAAGGAGTTAGAGCCTTGCATTGTACTGGGCTTTGGCTTAAGGGAATATTGTGGCTGGTTTGATCTATCTAGACCACTCAAACCCTCTCCATATTAGCAATAAGACTATTTAACTTTCTTATCATTTGTGTGTTCACTAAAGTAGCACTTTTAATTTCCTTCAGGAATTTTTCCTTTGCATTCACAACTTGGCAACTGGCCAAAAGCAAGAGACCTAGCTTTTGGCCTAGGTCAGTTCTCAACATACCATTCTCATTTAATCATTTCTAGCCTTTGATTTAAAGTGAGAGTTGTGCAACTCCTCCTTTCACTTGAAGACTTACAGGCCACTGTAGGGTTATTAATTGGCCTAATTTTAGTACCGTTGTGTCTCGACAGACATAGAGTGGGCCAAGGAAAGGGAGAGAGATAAGGGAACAGCTGGTTAGTGGAGCAGTCAGAACACACACATTTATCAATTCAATTCACTTTTTTGTATGGGCAGGGTCTATGGCACCCCAAAACAATTACAAAATTAAAATCAAGGTAACTGAGCACAGATAACTATAACAGATATAATAATAAGAAAAAAATACTTACTATTGTGATAATTACCAAAATGTGACAGAGACACAAAGTGAGCACATGTTCTTCAAATATCCATATAATGTATTAAATCTATAAAATTATGTAAAGTCTTTATTGTGATATATAACTAATGAGATTAAAATAAAACATATCATTCATGTTTTATATTTTTGATATCTAATAAATTATGATAATTCTAAAGTTGGAAATGCTGTTGGGAAATGGCTGCAAAAGAATTGCTTGATACAAGATTGCCACAAAACTTCCATTTGTAAAAGACACAATTATCTGTGAAGCACAATAAAGTGAAGTACAATAAAATGAGATGAGCCTGTATTTTTAAAAAAAAAATTATATACAAATGGCCAATGAACATGTAATAAGATGCCCAACATCATTAGTCAGCAGGGAAATAGAATTAAAACCACAATGAAATAACCACAACACACCCATTAGAATGATTAAAATTTAAAACACTGCCAATACCAAGTGTTAGCAAGGATATGGGGTAACTGGATCTCTCACACATTGCTGGTGAAAATGTGCAATGATGAAATTACTTTGTAATTTATAAAAGTAAACATACACATAAGACTCAGCAATTTGACTCCTAGATATTCATTCAAGAGAAATGATAATGTGTGGCCTGGCATGGTGGCTCACACCTGTAATCCCAGTACTTTGGGTGGACCAGATGGGAGGATTGCTTGAGACCAAGAGATTGAGACCCCATCTCTAATTAATTTTTTAAAAATAAAAAAAATTTAAAGAGAGAAATAACATGTTTCCACAAAAAGACTTGCACAAAAATATTTATAACTTTTATTCACAATAATAAAAAACTGGGGGAAAAGCCCAGGGGAATTGATAAACAAACTGTGGTATATCCATACAATGAAAAATTTTTTAACAATAAAAATAAATGAACTAGTGATACACAACATCATGAATGAATCTCAGAAACATTATGCTCAGTGGAAGAAGGCAGACACAAACAAACTTATACTATTTCATTCCATAAGTGAAATTCTAGGATAGGGGAAACATATAATACATAGTGACAGAAAGTATACCAGTGGTCGTCAAGGACCAGGGGGGTAGGTTAGTGAGGAGGAGAGGTGGGATGGAAGGAGAATGACTGCAAAGGGGCATAAAGAAACGTTTTTATGATAGAAATACTCTGCATCTTAATTGTAGTGGTAGTTTCACAGGCATATACTTGTCAAAATTCATCAAACTGTACAGTTAAAATAGGTGCAGTCTTCCTGCATTGGCAACATTTGTGTATATTATGATGTATCAGTGACAAAAGAGTAGTGCATCCTGGGGACAATGAAATCTTCACATTTGGAGCCTTCCTACATTCCATCATAAGCATCTCTTTTTTTTGGCTCATTCTAATATGTGTCCTTTCCCTTAATAAACCATATCTGTGAGTGCAATAAAAATAAAACAGGTGCAGTTCATTTTATGTAAATTATACTTCATAAAATTGATTTGGAAAAAAAACAAATGCCTATAGGGCCAACTAAATAATGTAAATTAGTAAAATGTATGGCTATGGCTTAAATCACAATCTTTGCTTGTATAGATGAACTTTGTATTATTTCCTTCCAAAATGTAGTTTATAATTTTTTTTTTGCTTTTATTAGAGATATTGGTATAAGAAACATTTTACTTTCCTCTTAACTATACCTAAATGTAAGACAAAAAGGTCAGATGTCAAGTAACAACAGGACTCAATTTGTAAGTCCTGGGAACTACAGCGAGCTGGAGAGTGCATGGTCTGTCTAATGTGGTAAGCTGCTAACACCTCCAGCCAATTGTTGCCATATCAGAATCTGAGTCCAGTTTTTGGAATTTAAAAAATAAGTTCAAAATACAGATTATATATGTGAAATCTGCCAAATTTTAAATGTTGGTAACTGGCTGGGCACGGTGGCTCATGCCTATAATCCCAGCACTTTGGGATGCCAAGGCGGGCGGATCACCTGAGGTCAGCAGTTTGAGACCAGCTTGGCCAACATGGCGAAACCCCATCTCTACTAAAAATACAAAAATTAGCCAGGCACGGTGGCGCGTGGCTGTAGTCCCAGCTACTTGAGAGGCTGAGGCAGGAGAATTGCATGAACCCAGGAGGTAGAGGTTGCAGTGAGCTGAGATCACGCCAACCTGGGCAACAGAGCAAGACTCTGTCTCAAAAAAAAAAAAAAGTTGTTAACTAATTAAAACACCATATGAGTCAATAATATGTGGGCTGAATAGGATCCAAGTGCCACTTTTCAGATATTCTCTAGTGGTAATCTGGTATGTTCAGCAGGTGAATAGAAACTGTTTATTATTTCAGTTTTCTCATTATTTTCCTTTATTATTCTCTCTTTAAGCACCCCTACCCTGACCGCTTGGCATGGGTTCCAGATATAGTTATTGCTACTTAAACTTCAGAATTATACTGCTATATATTTAATTATACTGTTAAACATTCATTTTTTTACAAATTGAAGTTTTGTGGCAATCTTGCATCAAGCAAACGTATTGCTATCATTTTCCAACAGCATTTCCAACTTCGGAATTATCATAATAATTTATTGGATATCAAGAATATCAAATATGAATATGTTTTATTTTAATCTCAAATTAGTTACAAATCACAATAAAGACTTTACATAGTTTTATAGATTTAATACATTATATGGATATTTCAAGACCTCATAAAATCTTCTCCCTTTTCTTTGTCTACTAACCTGACCTAATCTTATTTAACATTCTTATTCCACCGTGGGTACCATCTAGGCCTAAGATGGACTGGTGTGTATTTGCTTGATATTGTCTGTTTATCTGTTCTCTTTCCTAGCCAACCAAATATCTTTGTCTTCTGTCTTTCTAAAAAATTTATTTTACATCCCTTATTGTTCTTTTTATAAGGAATATTCAAGAAGTAAGAAAGCAGATTTTCTTAGGTTACCGTTGAACCTGGAATTTGTGTTACCACTGTGGTTATATTACTAGTGAGCCACAGGAGTACACTATAGAAATGAGTGGAAACAGAGACAGGGATATGATGACAGTTAATTGTCTATCATATATTTATCCCAAGGAGCACTTATACATCTGTTATATATTTTGGTATTTGCTATTTGTAGTTTTTTTGTGATTAAAATATAATTTGAACTTTTAATTTTAGATTTAGGAGTACATGGGCAGGTTTGTTACCTGGGTATATTGCATGATGCTGAGGTTTGGGCTATGACTGATCCCATCACCCAGGTATTGAGCATAGTACTCAATAGTTAGTTTTTCAACCCCTTCCCCCACTTCCCTCCTCTAGTAGCCCCCAGTTTCTATTGTTGCCATCTTTATGTCTATGAATACCCAATGTTTAGCTCCCACTAGAACATGCAGTATTTGGTTTTCTATTCCTGAGTTAATTCACTTAAGATCATGGCCTCCAGCTGCATCCATGTCACTGCAAAGGACATGATTTCATTCTTCTTTATGGTTGGGTACTATTCCATGGTGTGTATGTACCACATTTTTTTTTTATACTTTAAGTTCTGGGACACATGTGCAGAACGTGTAGGTTTGTTACATAGGTATATACATGTTATGGTGGTTTGCTGCACCCATCAACCCTTCATTTATGTTAGGTATTTCTCCTAATGCTATCCCTCCGTTAGCCCCCAAC
The DNA here is from genome assembly GCF_000001405.40 of Homo sapiens. Lineage (NCBI taxonomy): Eukaryota > Metazoa > Chordata > Mammalia > Primates > Hominidae > Homo > Homo sapiens. The sequence continues at coordinate 111,735,344 of NC_000009.12, forward strand.
CCCACAACAGGCCCTGGTGTGTGATGTTCCCCTCCCTGTGTCCATGTGTTCTCATTGTTCAACTCTCACTTTTGAGTGAGAATATGTGATGTTTGATTTTCTGTTCCTGTGTTAGTTTGCTGAGAATGATGGTTTCCAGCTTCATCCATGTCTCTGCAAAGGACATAAAACTCATCCTTTTTTATGGCTGCATAGTATTCCATGGTGTATTATGTACCACATTTTCTTTATCCAGTCTATCATTGATGGGCATTTGGGTTGGTTCCAAGTCTTTGCTATTGTGAATAGTGCCGCAATGAACATACGTGTGCATGTGTCTTTATAGCAGAATGATTTATAATCCTTTGGGTATATACCCAGTAATGGGATTGCTGGGTCAAATGGTATTTCTGGTTCTAGATCTTTGAGGAATTGCCACACTGTCTTCCACAACAGTTGAACTAGTTTACACTCCTACCAACAGTGTAAAAGCATTTCTATTTTTCCACATCCTCTGCAGCATCTGTTGTTTCCTGACATTTTAATGATCGCCATTCTAACTGGCGTGAGATGGTATCTCATTGGTACCACATTTTCTTTATCCAATCCACGTTAATGGGCACCTAGGTTGATTTCATGTCTTTACTATTGTGAATAGTGCTGTGATGAACATATTAGTGCATGTATGAGATAAAAGACCTCTACAAGGAGAACTACAAAACACTGCTGAAAGAAATCATAGATGACACAAATAAAAGGAAAAACATTACATCCTCATGGATTGGAAGAATCAGTATAGTTAAAATGACCAGACTGCCCAAAGCAATGTACAGATTCAACACTATCCCTATCAAACTATCAACATCATTTTCCACAGACCTAGGAAAAACTATTCCAAAGTTCATATAAAACCAAAAAAGAACCTGAGTAGACAAAGCAATCCTAAGCAAAAAGAATAAAGCCAGAGGTATCACATTACCTGATTCCAACTATACTATAGGGCTAGGGTAACCAAAATGCCAAGGTACTGGTACAAAAAGAGATACAAGGACTAATGGGACAGAAGAGAGAACCTAGAATTAAAGTCGCACACCTACAGCCATCAGATCTTCAACAAAGCCAACAAAAATAAGCAAGGGGGAAAGAACTCCCTATTCAATAAATGGTTCTGGGATAGCTGGCTAGCCATATACAGAAGACTAAAACTGGATCGCTATCTTTCACCATATATAAAAATTAACTCAAGATGGATTACATATTTACATGTGAGACCTTAAACTATAAGAATCATAGAGGAAAACCTAGGAAACACCATTCTGGACATCAGTCTTGGGAAAGAATTTATGATTAAGTCCTCAAAAACAATCGCAACAAAAACAAAAATTGCCGAGTGGGACCTAATGAAACTAAAGAGCTTCTGCACAGCAAAAGAAACTATCAACAGAGTAAACAGACAGTCTACAGAATGGGAGAAAATAATCACAAACTGTGCATCCAACTAAGATCTAATATCCAGACTCTACAAGGAATTTTAACAATTGAACAAGCAAAAAACCACCCCATTAAAAAATGGGCAAAAGACATGAACAGACACTTCTCAAAAGAAGACTTACAAGACTTACAATGTATGAAAAAAGTGCTCAACATCACCAATCATCAGAGAAATGCAAATCAAAGCTACAATGAGGTACCATTTCATATCATTCAGAATGGCTACTATTAAAAAGTTGAAAAACAATAGAGGCTGGTAAGGCTGTGGAGAAAAGAGAATACTTATACACTCTGGGTGGGGGATGTAAATTAGTTCAGCCACTGTGGAAACTGTTTGGAGATTTATCAAAGAACTTAAAACAGAACTACGTTCGACCCAGCAATCCCATTACTGGGTATATGTTAAAAAAATCGTTCTGTCTTCTGTGTTTGAAACACTCCTTGCTGATAACAATTCTTATTCAGATTCCTTATCTCCTTAGACCAATCTCCCAACATAGACAGTAATTTCTAAAATTTATTTCTAAATATGTTCATTATCCTATAATAAACTATAAACTTTCCCAAATCTGGCTGGGCACGGTGGCTCATGCCTGTAATCCCAGCATTTTGGGAGGCTGAGGCGGGCAGATCACTTGAGGTCAGGAGTTCGAGACCAGCCTGGCCAACATGGTGAAACCCCATCTCTACTAAAAATAGTGGCGGGCATGGTGGCGGGCACCTGTAATCCCAGCTACCTGGGAGGCTGAGGCAGGAGAATCACTTGAACCCGGGAGGTGGAGGTTGCAGTGGGTCGAGATCATGCCACTGTGCTCCAGCCTGGGCAACAGAGTGAGACTATGTCTCAAAACAAACAAACAAACAATAAAAACAAACCCCCCCCCCCACACACAAAATATATAATTCATGCTAAATATGTTTAATTTACTATTAATATAATGCTGTACATAGCAACCCAAATAGCTCAAGACATACTCAAAAGACATTTTTGCCTTCTTAAGTTGTACAGTAAAAAATGAATTAGTATACTTTTAAGTAACAAACGAAGATCCTCTATTGTTAAAGAGTGATATTATTGAATGCTAATGTTCAGCTGTTAGGTCAAAAAACAGTTACTGCAAAATGCTGGTTTGCGTCTAGGCCAATGTGAACGGAAACTGCTAGCAATTTAATCATTTATAAAAGGAAACAAAGTCACTTTAAATGAAAATGGCTAGAAATTTAAAAACTGAGACTATAGAATTTTAGGACATAACAAGATTTTAGGGTTAGCTAGTCAAACTTCATCATTTTTTCAAGAAAATGGGACCTAGAGAAATCCAAAGTCATAAATTCTGGCAGAGCCAGGGCCTATATGGAATGCTAGAACCTAGTGATTTTCCCAATTACCTAGAGGAAATCCAGAATCTAACATTTTCACATTCTGAAAATGTTTACATAACTAATATTTACTGTGATGTACTTACATTCTAATTGAAGCACTTTCGTAGGCAAAAATATCTCAATTTTAGTGTCATTAGAAGACAAATTATCATGACATAAATATGTATTCAGATGTTCCAATGTTTCCATCATTTTCAGATTTAGTCCTGCTTGTTTCCACCACTCTGCCTTTTCCAGATTAATCACAAGGCTTTCTTCTTTAACAGAAAATATCTTTTTCAAATCTGTAACTGAATATTGGCTGTGGGGCTCTTGAATTCTTGGCACTTAAAAAAAAATAAAAAACAAATAGTTAGAAACAGTCTACAAAGCAAAAGAAACAAAACACAATAAACAGAACCACACTGGAATTTCTTTATGAAATGCATTTTTATGCATTAGAAAATAAGTGAAACTTGAAGTTATAGCTGGTATTTTTGTCTCAAGATGCTAATATTTGTAAAAGTTTAAGCTATTGTAGCAGTAGAAGTCACATAAAGGATTTATTTCACTCTTTGAAAATATCAAAAAGTTAAAATTATTCTGATATTTAGTAGAAGGAAATCTTATTTTGTTTGACCATTTTCAATTATTAAATTAATGTTTAACATTTTGAAGTAATACAAGCTTTATTAAATTAGAAATTCTAACTCATTATAATAAGCCTAAACAAGAAGAAATATTTGTTCAGATTTTATGATGACTATATCATCTTAGATATTGTGGTACAGCGCTTACTGCCTCATTACTTTCTAGCCTAAACGGGAGAAATCATAACATATGGAGGAACTGAAGTAGCACAACTACCTAATATTATTATCTGCATTATAAACATCAACCTGAAATTAGGATTATAAATTTTGAAACTCTAATTTTGGAATGGTGCTTTTATAATGACAGTAATATTAAGAAGAAATTAAAACTTAAAAATACTAATATTAATAATAGTAATTACAAGTTACTAAAAAACATCTGGCACTATGCTAAGTGCTTTCTTTACATGCATTATTCTTAATTAATCCCTAAATAATTCTATAAAATAGGTATAATTTTTAATAGTTTTATTAAAGTATAACTGACATGCAATAAACTACACATATTTAGAGTGAAAAGTCTCATAAGTTTTGACATATTTATACATTCATGAATCCATTACCACAATCAAGGTAATGAACATATCCATTCCCTCCGAAGTTTTGTATCCCTCCTGCCTCTTTATACCTCCCTTCTAATCTTCCTCATCCCCCAACCCCTGTCCCACTGTTCTGCTTCCTGACACTATAAACTACATTTTCTAGAATTTTATATAAATGGAATTATACCATATGAATTTTTTGTGGTTTCTGTCATTCTGCATAATTATTTTGAGATCATCTGTGTTGTGTATATCAACAGTCCATTCCTTTTTTTCAGGTAGAAATAATTGTAGATTCACATGCAGTTGCAAGAAATAATACAAGACGTCTTGTTCCCCCCTTTTTTTGCTTTAAAAGTATATTATACTATGTAACTGATAATTTCAATATATGATCTGATTTTGATGTCTAATGTTTCTGCTGTATCTCACTGATCATGCCAATATATTTTGTGATTGTTGTCTATTAGCATGTGTTTCTTTCAACTTTGTGGAAGGTCTTTGAAGCACGAGTTGAAGTACATTCTTCCAGAAAAAAAATTTATTTTCCTCTAGAAAGGATTTACTTTTGTCTCTATGTGTTTGGGAGGCACTGTCAACCTGGGACCACTTTAAATTAAATCACCACTATTTTTAAAAGTATATAGGTGGTTTGAATTCAGACTGCAACCAGGCATGATGGCTGCCTTCTGGTTAGCAGTACTTAAGAGAAATTTTTTTTCTTTTCCTCTCTTCCAGCTCCAAGGTAGAAATATGCAAATTTATTCGGAGTTCCCTTCTATATATGGTGGTTTACTTTTGTATGCTCTTATTTTGATGGTAGTTTGTTGAATTCCCAGTTTTATGTAGGGGTCCCCTATCAGACCCTCCACGTAGGATATTTCTTGACTCTACACTACATGTCGACCTCAAAACAGAAGTTCAAAGTCTCCAAGGTTTAATAGAAAGCTTGGAGTGAAAGCCAGCTTTGGTGCTTACTTGCTTCCCAGGATTCCTGTTTTCACTTTGTTTTTGGCCTCCAAATGCAACTCAGTGATTCATTTAAAAATTTTTTAAAACAATACCTTATCCAAAGTTCCATTTCCGTGATGGAATAGTTCAGACACAGACAAGAGTTTAACTTACTCAGATAAATTTTGAATATACATGTGAAATGTATAACCTCAAAATTATTTTGTTAAACTATAAACAAGTTTTGCTAAAATGTTATTTATTTATTTTTGAGATGGAGTCTCACCATGTTGCTCAGGCTGGAGTGCAGTGGTGATCTCAGCTCTTGCAACTTCCACCTCCCTGGTTCGAGCGATTCTCCTGCCTCAGCCTCCAGAGTAGCTGGGACTACAGGCGTGCACCACCATGCTCAGCTAATTTTTGTATTTTTAGTAGAGAGGGGGTTTCAACATGTTGGCCAGACTGGTCTCGAACTCCTGGCCTCAAATGATCCGCCCGGGTCGGCCTCCCAAAGTGCTGGGATTACAAGTGTGAGCCACGGTGCCCGGCCATTTTTTTTGTTTTGTTTGTTTGTTCGTTTGTTTGAGACAGAGACTTGCTCCTTCACGTAGGCTGGAGCGCAATGGCGCCATCTCGGCTCACTGCAACCTCCGCCTCCCAGGTTTTCAAGTGATTCTTGGGCCTCAGCCTACCGACTAGCTGGGACTAAAGGTGCGCTCCGACACTCCCGGCTAATTTCCGGCCGTTGTTAAAATGTTTTTAAACGTCTTTTTTGGAAAGCTTGGGCAACTAAAACTTTTAACATTAGATGAGATTTTTTTTTATTTTTATTTTTTTTTACAAACAACTCACAACTTTGGAAATACAAATTACTTGTATGGGACAGTTTTATGTACTACTTGTATTTCATTTCTTTTCTTTTCCTTCTCCCATGTATAGGAATTACCCAGAAAATCAGCAAGATCCGGATCTTGTCATATACTTCTGCACCTAGCATAATGAACCTTATGGAAGATATCTTGGTATTTTAGCTTTAGGCGAAGTTATATATTCTGTTAAGAAATGGTCAAAGAAAAAGGATATCCCACATTTCTACTCGTTGTACCTTTTTACCTATACTTTCTATTTATCACTTAAAGGCAATTAATCTTTACCTGTAAGCAAAAATGGGTTCAAAGGGCTTCTACATCTTTCTAATTGCCACATCATGTAGTATTCATTAGCTGATTCTTCAGCAGTAAGCAAATTACTGAAAAAAAGAGTTAAAGTTTAATACATTAATAATATTGAGTCTTTTGTATAATAAAATTTTATTTTATTTTATTTTTTTGAGGCAGAGTCTCGCTCTGTCGCCCAGGCTGGGGTACAGTGGCACTATCTTGGCTCACTGCAACCTCCGCCCCAGATTCAAGCGATTTTCCTGTCTCAGGCTCCCGAGCAGCTGGGATTACAGGCGTCTGCCACCATGCCTGACTAATTTTTGTATTTTTAGTAGAGGCGGGGTTTCACCATGTGGGCCAGGCTGGTCTCCAGCTCCTGACCTCAAGTAATCCGCCCACCTTGGCCTCCCAAAGTGCTGGGATTACAGGTGTGAGCCACCGCGCCTGGCCCAAAATTTTATTTTTAAAAAGTATTTTTAAAGTACTTTTACACTCAAAATCAAGTGAAAAATTGACTTTATAAATGTGTAAACTGCAGTCGAGTTCTACAGACCAAATATCAAACACAGTACTCACTTCCTCCATCCTTGGGAAAGTTTGGTAATTTGTAAACTCAATTGTTCCTACTTGACTGTAAATTACTCCCACCTCTACCTCCCTCAATGGAACCTGGAGCCAGAGAGGGCTGACTTGGGAGAGTTTTAGCACTTCCCTCCATAAACTATGCTAGCGTCAACCTTATACGCCACCAAAAATAAAAATACAATCTAAGTAAAATTACCATGCTTACCATGCACATAGCAACCTCAACAAAAATTTTTATAAAATTGCTGTCCCCAAGTCCATTCCATATAGAAATTCTGGATCCTCTACTGGCTGAGGATCAGAACTGTGAAAAAGTCCTTCTCTGGAGATGGCAGAGTCCTAAAGTTTAGTTCAAGACCTTCAATCTTGGTGGGTTTGTGAGTGAGTGATGTGTGTCTGTGTATGTGTGTTTAGGGGTACTCGGGGGGAGAAGGGAGAAAATAAGCATGTCAATCAGTGTAAATTACAGCTCATCTGTAGCTATGATGCTACTAGCCTTCGTAGGGGAAAGACTATTAATTCATAAACCCCTTAATCTGTGTCCCAAGCTCCCTGCTACCCTGAGTGAGAACTGATTGTATTCTGTTTCTCTGTTCATATGGAACATATATGAGCATGCTAATTATAAGTATTGCCAGTTAAATTGACAGTCTAGGGCAGTGGAAAGCTAGGTTTTATGTCTAAGGCATCCAGTTTACCCACATAATCCAAAAATCTGGTCATGTGATAGAAAATTTGAGAATCTAGACAATTCCTGAATCTTACCAAGGTTTCTTTGACAACACCTCAGATTGTAAGCAACTATTTTAAAGTGAAAGGAACGTGTTATATTTAGCAGGCCATGTCCAATATAGACACACATTTTCACTCTTAACGGAGCTTTCTGAAGGCATGTCTGAATCTGATACATTGTTCATAAAAATATATTCACAAGTCAGCAGTCAGTTAGTAGCTTAATAAAATCTTATGCCATACAGACTTTTCTTTTTTAGCCCATAAAATCTAGCATAGAATCTTATATGTGGTAGGCACTAAAAATATTGTTAACTGGGTATTATTTTCAGCCAAAATGTTGTGCTCTGAAATAAAAATAATTGGGACCATAAAAATAAGTTAAAGCTACAATAACATTCTTTGTTATTTTTCCTTCTTTTTTTCAAAAAAATTTTAACACCTTTTCTCCTTGTTTTTAGTTTTACAGTTGAGATATACAGTAGTTCCCCCTTATCCATGAGTTCACTATACTCGGTTTCATTTATCTGTGTTCAACTGCAGTCCAAACTATTAAACAGAATATTCCATAAACAATTCATAAGTTTTAAATTGCACTGTTGCGAGCAGTGTGATGAAATTTCATGCCATCCTACACCATCTCGCCCAGGATGTGAATCATCCCTTTGCCCAGCATATCCACACTATATGTACTCACTACCTGCCCATTAGTCACTTAGTAGCATTCTCAGTTATCAGATCAGCTGTTGCAGAATCACAGTGCTTGTGTTCAAGTAACCCCTTCTGTATTTAATAATGACTCCAAAGCACAAGAGTAATGAGGATGGTATTTGTTATGGTCGTTCTATTTTACTATTTTACTATAGTTATTGCTGTTAATGTCTTACTATGGCTAATTTATAAATTAAACTTTATCATAGGTATGAATATATGAGAAAAAACAGTATATATAGGGTTCAATAACATTCGCAGTTTCAGGCATCCATTTAAGGTCTTGGAATTTATTCTCCCGGCATAAAGGGGGACTACTGTAAACTCATTTTTAAAATATGGATTTTTAAGCTTTTACAGTTGCCAAACAAATGGAAGTGATTTATCTCTTGCTGGTAAATGTAGTAGTGAGGGGAAAACTTCTTTCAGTTGTTTCAAATGGCTCTAAAACCATTAGCTAATTTGAAAGCCTTTTTTTTCTAACTTTGCCAAATCGTAAGTCATTAGTTAAGATTTGTTTCATAAATTCTTATTAGATATTTGAGTTATAACAATAGACATATAACTTGTGATTAAAAAGAGCTTATTATGGTTTAAATACTTCTAAAATCAAACTGAAATTAAAGATCATACTAATTTCTGCTAGTTTCTGTTTCTAAAAATGCCAGTCTGTCATAACAGATGGATTAGGGTGTATGGACTAAATAAAAGAGTAAAAGGGCACTAACAAAAACAGTATATGTCCTGCAAATAAATATCTTGTACCTTATCAAGAGAACTAAAAGTATTTAAACAAAGTGTATGTAGTTTCCATACTTGTCCTATGCTCTTTTTAGGGCTCATATCTGATATGGACAATTCTTAGTTCATGATAGAACTCTGTATAGCACAAATTTACTCTAGAAATGTAAATAATTCTTAGCCAGAAGATAAAGATATATTTAGGGCCCTCAGTCTTATGCTTTGACACTTTCCTGAGACCATTAATAGAAGCCTAAGCAGCCAGTGATGAATTATACAGCCTTGACTCCAGCTGGTCCCAGTAATCCAAATAGCACTCTCCTCTGGCAGATCAGCTAATTATAACAAGAATTCAAACCTAACACACACAGTTCCCACAGTTTCCAGTCCTGGAATAATTCATTAGAGACTTGTAGACTTTACTGTCATCTTCCTGAAAATATGTTATTTTAGGACACATTAAGTTCTAGGTTTACAGTAGACTAATTGTACTGGTTATGTTCCCAATTTTTTAACTGGCGTAAGAAGCAGAGGAATGGAATGGCTTTATTCCAGGATAGCAGACTAATCAATCTTAGAAAACATTAAGCTACATGTGTGCTGCATGGTTTAAGACAGCAATGAAAGCTATCTCAGACTCTATCAAAGGGCAAGGATGCTGGGCTATTAAGCTATGCAGTTTTGGCTCAAACTAGAATATAATGACCTAGCCCTGCAGTATCAATTCTACAATTTCAGACTATTCTGTGCAATAATGATGGGGTATTGAACAAGTTTACGAATCAAGCCTTGGTTCTGTATGTCTGGTCCACCCATTACTGAGACCACATTGACAAGAGGTGAACAAGGTCAGTGGCTGTCCTCTGTTAGAGATAGGACATCCATAAGAGAGCAAGGACTCTTGCACTCTTAATGGGAATAAACTGATAGCCAAATCTATTGATCAACGATTGTCCACACTGCTCTGTGATCTTTGGCTACTTCTGGCCACAGACCTATGACAAATCTTTTAGTAGACCTCTTAACAACCTTATAGATACTATTATTATCCCAGTATTGTAGATTTAAAAAACCTGAGGCACAGAACAATTAAGGTTGCAGTTAGAAAGTGATAGAGCTAGGCAATCTGGCTCTAGTTCAGAGCTTCTAACCACTTATTATGGGCTGAATTGTGTCCCCACAAAATTCTTATGTTGAAGACCTAATCCTCAGTACCTCAGAATGTGACTGTATTTGGAGACAAGGTCTTTAAAGAGGTAATTAAGTTAAACAGGGCCATTAATACAATGTGACTGGTATCCTTATAAGAACAGGAGATTGGGGTATAGACAATGATAGAGGAAAGAATATATGAAGGCAAAGGGACATCTATAAGCCAAGGAGGGAGGTCTTAGAATGAAACCAACCCGGCTGACACTTGGTTCTTTCACTTCTCACCTCCAGAACTGTGAAGGAATAAATTTCTATTGTTTAAGTCATCTAATCTGTGGTATTTGTTAGGGCAGCCCTAGCAAACTAATACACCACTACATTGCCTTTCATGGCAGTGACTGCCAGTAGAGACAGTGCCATTAGCAAGTGTCCAGTGGCAATGTCCTAAGCATACTATTCCAATGCCAGGATCTTCAAAATTTTTTAAGTTATTTATTTTTAATGATAATATATTCACATTAAAAATACTGAAATGTATAAAAGCCATACTGTGAAAAATCTCCTACACACATTGCTAGGTTACCTAGTTCTTTTCTGGATACAAGCAATATTACTTGTTTCTTGGGTGCCCTTCTAAAGATACTCTTTGCATATAAAACCAAATATATACATAAATTTATATATTCCTTTTAGTTACTTATTACAGACACTGTACTAGCTCTTAAATTTTTTCATAGAGGTATCTTGGAAATTGCTTTTATATGGAGAGATTTAAATAAAGACTGCTTGTTCTGAATTGCAACATGGGTTCTAGATATAATCTTTACTTACATTTTACAAACCGGAGATAATGGAAATGTCTGAAGTTCTGTACGTAATGAATTCACTGAAGAATGTTGGCATGTTAGGAATAGAGGAGTTAGTGGCATTTCTAACTCTCCTGGAATATATGAAAATTAAAGTTATGTAAACATTGAATAATATTAAGTAGGCTAGGCGTGGTGGCTCACACCTGTAATTCTAACACTTTGGGAGGCTGAGGTAGGAGGATCACTTGAGTCCAGGAGTTTAAGACCTGGGCAACATGGCAAGATCAGTCTCTACAAAAAGTACAAAATTAGCCAGCAGTGGTGGCACATGCTTGTAGTCCTAGCTACCTGGGAAGCTGAGCTGGAATGATTGCTTGAGCCCAGGAATTTGAGATTGCAATGAGCTGTGATTGTGTCACTGTACTCCAACCTGGGCAACAGAGCAAGCCTTTGTCTCTAAAAAAAATAAATAAATAAAAATTAAGTATAATTTAGAACATTTTGTAAGCAACTATTATGTTTGGTCATCTGTTAAAACAAAAATATTTCAATAAAAAGAAATTTGAGTTGAGATATAAAATGTCTTAAATGTCTATCTATATAAGGAATTACATATATATAACATTGTGTCTCAATTACAACCGTGGTGATTTTTAAAACATACATTAATAGCTAAACTTTATTGAGTTTACTGTGTTTAACATAAATTCCAAGAGCTTTATATGTATTAAGGCTTTTGATTCTGACAGCTTGTGTTGTCAGTACTTAGGCAATAGAATTATTTTTATTTCCAAAGAAAGAAAAAAATTATTATTTTTATTTCCATACTAATTATTAGTGATGTTAAACAAACTGTATTATAAAGAGTAATTATTCACCTTAATGACTCTGGACTCTAGATGGCCTAGCACAAAATTATATATCTATAGGGCGGGCTTGAAAAAGTGATTCTCATGTATTGCTAACTAGTAAGTGTGGTTTTATTACTTTCATAAATAAAGCAGTAAACTTTCAAATAGATAATTCAGAAGATCCAATTATAAATGTAATTAAGTATCAGGGCTATCAATATAGTTAAGCAACATACTTTGGCATTGTACTGGAACAAAAGATGATTCTAAGATTCAAAATTTGGTAGAATAATATTAACAATAATGATGACATAGAGAACGATAACATTGCTTTGGGAGATTAAAAATTCAAATTTAAAAAAAATGTGACAGTGGTCAGCAAGATTGCTAATATTGAGATGAAATATGAAATTTTATTTACTGAGCTATAATATTTTAAGGTTTCTACTTTTAATATTAATGCTATTTCCTCCATTCCTCTTCTACACTCTTTGTAACTGCCATCTTTTTGTTATTCAGGGGTTTTTTTGTTTGTTTTGAGACAGAGTCTAGCTGTTGCCCAGGCTGGAGTGCAGTGGTGTAATCTCGGCTCACTACAACCTCCACCTCGCCAGTTCAAGCCATTCTCGTGCCTCAGCCTCCTGAGTGTCTGGGATTACAGCCATGTGTCACCATGCCTGCCTGGCTAATTTTTGTAATTTTAGTAGAGATGGTGTTTCGTCATATTGACCAGGCTGGTCTTGAACTCTTGATCTTAAGTGATCCGCCCACCTCAGCCTCCCAAAGTGCTGGGATTACAGGCGTGAACCACCGCACTAGGCCTATTATTCAGTTTTGATGCCAGTAGAATTCTAAGTTAATAATAGTAATAAATATAAAGGAGCAAATAAGAAAAAATGACAGGATTATAACAATCCAATTTTAAACATGGAAACTGACTCACAGTACACTGTATATGTGAATGTACTGTACTTTTACATCATAAATAGGTAATCCCCAATAAGCTCAATGATTTATCAAAATTTCTACCTGGTTTACTGCACTCTTCTGGTTCACTCTGGCTTTGAATGGTCAAAATCTCTGTGGAGCTGAATTTTATATCCCCGATATCCTCAATTCCATGCTTGTTAGTAAGATCTGAAAAGGAAGAAACTCTGTTATTAGCAAATGTACCATTAAATTAATTTTCTGTAACCTTGTTCAGTGGCATTTTCCTTTTAAAGTATCTTTATTGTTTTATTGCATGTCAATTTTTCCTTTTAGAGAGAAGTAGAGATTTATACTTCTGAAGAAAATGCTAACTTAGGTAAATAACTATTCCCCCATGCACACTCCTTGTTGCCCTTCAACTGTCAATCAGAATTACCCAAGGAAAATAAAAATGGCAAAATCTACATAATCACTGGAAGGTAAGATAGGGTGGGCAATCCATAAGCCACAAACTTCAAAGAATGAGGTCGCTTTGAAGGGTTTCATCTCTATCAATATATGATGACTTTCTATGCCTTGCTTAGCTGGAACTCTACTTGTCTATATGAATACTGCCACTTTGGCTTTCTTTTTTCTTTCTTTTATCTCCCTTCTTCCCTCCCTCCCTCTCTTCCTTTTTTCCTCACTTCCTCCTTCCTTTCCAGCTGCCTGACACATTTTACCTATCCCTTTTTTATCTTTTGCCTGCCTTCCTTTTTTCCTTCCTTCCTTTCCTTCCTTCCTTCCCTCCCTCCCCTCCCCCCCTTCCTTCCTTCCTTCCTTCCTCCCTCCCTTCCTCTCTCCCTCCCTCCTTTGTTTCCAGCTGTCTGACACATTTTGCCTATCCCTTTTTTATCTTTTGGCTTTCTTTCTTCCCTCCCTTCCCTCCTTCCTTCTCCACCCTAGATGTCTGACACATTTTGCCTATCCTTTTATTTTCCCCTCCCTCCCTCCCTCCCTCCCTCCTTTCCTGCCTTCCTTCCTGCCTTCCTGCCTTCCTTCCCCAGCTGTCTGACACATTTTGCCTATCCCTTTATTTTTTACCTTTTGGCTTTTTTTCCTTCTTTTCTTAAGGCTCAACTCTTGAAAACAACATACTCAGTGGTTCTTTATTGAAAGACATAGACTTTGTATTTTGTTTTTTGAAATTATGATGCATCTTATAATCTGTATGTGCATTTAGAATGTTTCTTTCTTCCCTAAAAATTCTTAAGTTGATAATACATCTTGCAGTTGGTAGGATCTTTGAATCAGACATATGGTCATTATATTTGCTTTTTAAATTTAATCTAAGAATTGATCTCTCTTTTAATAGAGAAGCTTAACCAATTTATATTTACTCAAACAAAGGTGATACTTTTATAATCTTATTTTATGCTTCCAATGCCTTTTCCTTGCTTTGCTCTTCTTTATTTCCACAGAATTAATTCTATTGCTCAAAGTTTTTTTTATTTTTTTTTTCTCTGTTAGTTCAGAAGTTATACATGTTATCAACTTTTAAGTTCAGGGGTACATGTACAGGATGTGCACGTTTGTTACATAGGTAAGCATGTGCCATGGTGGTTTGCTGCACAGATCATCTCATCACCGAGGTATTAAGCCCAGCATCCATTAGCTATTCTTCCTGATGCTCTTCCTCCCCCTACATCACCCCCGATAAGCCCTAGTGTGTGTTGTTCCGTCCACCATGTGTCCATGTGTTCTCATCGTTCAGCTCCCACTTATAAGTGAGAACATGTGGTGTTTGGCTTTCTGTTCCTGCATTAGTTTGCTGAGGACAAGGACTTCCAACCCCATCCATGTACCTGCAAAGGACATAATCTCATTCCTTTTTATGGCTGTATAGTATTCCATGGTGTATATGTACCACATTTTCTTTTTCCAGTCTATCATTGATGGGCATTTAGGTTGGTTCCATGTCTTTGCTATTGTGAATAGTGCTGCAATGAACATACACATGCATCTATCTTTATAATAGGATAATTTATATTCCTTTGGGTATATATATACCCAGTAATGGGATTGCTGGGTCAAATGGTATTTCTGCTTCTAGGTCTTTGAGGAATCGCCACACTGTCTTCCACAATGGTTGAACTAATTTTCACTCCCAACAACAGTGTAAAAGCATTCATTCCTTTTTCTCCACAACCTTACCAACATCTATTGTTTTTTTACTTTTTAATAATAGCCATTCTGACTGGCATGAGATGTTATTTCATTGTGGCTTTGATTTGCATTTCTCTAATGATCAGGGATGTTAAGGTTTTTTTTTCATGTTTGTTGGCTGCATGTACGTCTTCTTCTTTTTCTTCTTTTTGAGACAGAGTCTTGCTCTGTCACCCAGGCTGGATGGAGTGCAATGGCGTGGTCTTAGCTCACTGCAACCTCTACCTCCCAAGTTCAAGTGATTCTCCTGCCTCAGCCTCCCCAGTAACTGGGACTACAGGCACTTACAACCATGCCTGGCTAATTTTTGTATTTTTAGTAGAGACGGGGTTTCACCATGTTGGCCAGGCTGGTCTCAAACTCCTGACCTCAAGTGATCTGCCCACCTTGGCCTCCCAAAGTGCTGGGATTACAGGTGTGAGGCTCTGCACCTGGCCATATGTCTTCTTTTGAGAAGTGTCTGTTCACGTCCTTTGCCCACTTTTGGGGGTTGTTTGCTTTTTTCTTGTACATTTGTTTAAGTTCTTTGTAGACTCGGGATATTAGACCTTTGTCAAATGGAGAGATTGCAAAAATTTTCTCCCATTTTGTAGGCTGTCTCTTCACTCTGATGATAGTTTCTTTTGCTGTGCAGAAGCTCTTTAGTTTAATTAGATCCCATTTGTCAATTTTTGCTTTTATTGCAATTGCTTTTGGCGTTTTCGTCATGCAATCTTTTCCCATGCCTATGTCCTGAATGGTATTGCCTAGATTTTTTTCTAGGATTTTTATAGTTTTGGGTTTTACATTTAAGTCTTTAATCCATCTTGAGTTAATTCTTGTATATGGTGTAAGAAAGGGGTCCAGTTTCAGTTTTCTGCATATAGCTCCGCCAGCTCCCCCAGCACCATTTATTAAATAAGGAGTCCTTACCCCATTGCTTGTTTTTGTCAGTTTTGTTGAAGATCAGATGGTTGTAGGTGTGTGGTCTTATTTGAGTTCTCTATTCTGTTCCATTGGTCTATGTGTCTGTTCTTGTACCAGTAACATGCTGTTTTGGTTACTGGAGCCTTGTAGCATAGTTTGAAGTTGGGTAGCATGATGCCTCCAGCTTTGTTCTTTTTGCTTAGGATTATCTTGGCTATTTGGGCTGTTTTTTGGTTCCATACAAACTGCTTGCCTGTTGTTGGTGTATAGGAATGCTAGCAATTTTTGCACATTGATTTTGTATCCTGAGACTTTGCTGAAGTTGCTTATCAGCTTAAGAAGCTTTTGGGCTGAGAACATCTTATTGTAAATCAATGCATTATCATTAATTTTATAATACATGTATTTCAATATTTTTTCTATCAATTAAAAAAGGCTACGTCTCAGTTCTCCTATTTATAAAATAAGGAATTTAGCATATTTTTTCACCAAAACTTTCTCCCTTTCAAACAGATTAATCTAATTAAAGCTGAGATCTTGAGGATCTTAGAGATCGCTAAGATCTTAGCTTTAATTAGATTAGCCTATGTTTCAAATGAGGTTATAATTGATTTCTTTCAAAATTATCTGGCTTTTGTTTTAAGAAAGCAGGAAACACATATATTAGTTCTCCCCTCTAAATCCTATAGAATGACAGTAGCCATCTATAAAATACATAAAGTGAGGAGAAGGGGAAGGAATATTCATCTACATTTCAGAGATATTAATAGAATCCTAGGAGATAAAAAGAAAATTTAAAAACTAGTATATAAAACAGAATGGAGTTTTACTTCTAGCAATAGCTCCTATTGGACCAATCTTCCTGTAGATAGCATTTATAACTCTCAACAAACTATGTAAAATGACTATCTGAAGGTACTACAGTCTAAAGCATGCAGAAATGGGAAGGGAATTGATACTGAGTGAATTTCCCATTTTTACAGCTTTTCACTTGAAGGGATGACATATTTCGTACTAGCTGGGTCAACTAGAACTTGGATAAAAATCTGTGGTCTTATTATCTTGAAGAATGAGAGGACAGTTCTACATGAATTAGAGTTCAGGGTTACCACAGCAGCTGGAAGATAAAGGAAGAAATCCAGGAAAAGAGAGAGCAACAGAGGAGGAGCCCCAAACTCTATGTATAAACTCTGCTTAAAAAATCTCTGGATGATCCCTGAACTACACATGTATGGGGCAGATTGAAAGCATATCAGCTAAGGCTATATAAAGATTTCAGCTCTTTCCCACCATAGTAGAGACAAAGTTTATAGTTTGAGTTCAGCCAAGTTAACAGCCTATTAAAACAAACAGAGAAAGTCGACTCTCTTCAAAGGAAGATAGCAAACTACAGTTTCTGTAATGTATCAGGTGCAATGTCAGGATACAATCCAAATACAGTTAGTAGAATGAAAAAACAGGAACATGTGACTCATTCTCTACAAAAAAATATGTTACTGGACACTAACCATGAGATGACTCAGATTTTGAAATTAGTATCCAAAGATTTCAAAGCAGTAATAACATAACATAGTAATCACTATGCTAAAAGATGTAAAGAAAAATATGGTTGTAATGAATGAGCAAATAGAAATTCTCAGCAGTGAAAGAGAAACTATAAAAAAGAACAAATGGAAATTTTAAAACAATATCTGAAGTAAAAAATTCACTGAATGAGCTTAACAGAAAATTAGAGGTGACATAAGAGTCAGTGAAATTGAAGACAGAGCAACAGAAATTACACAATCTGAAAAACAATAAGAAAAAAATTGAATAAAAATGAACAGAGGCCAGGTGTAGTGGCTCATGCCTGTAATCCTAGCACTTTGGGAGGCCAAGGTGGGAGGATCACTTGAGCCCAGGAGTTCAAGACCAGCCTGAGCAACATAGTGAGACCCTGTCTCAACAATAAAAAAAGAAAGAAAGAAAACATGAACAGAGCTTCAGTGACTGTGGAACAATTTATCTACCTAGTTTTTTAAACTATATATCTTTGTATTTTTGTCATAAAATATAACTCTGTGGTAATCAAGAACTACTCACAAAGCAATACGCTTGCTCAGTTGCCTTCAATGATGAATTCCACTAAACATTTTAAAAAAATCAACATCAATTACTTAGCTCCTCCTAAAAATAGAAGTAAAGTTAATGATGCTTAAGTCATTCTATGAGGCCCATATTATTCTGATACTGAAACCAAAGACATCACAAGAAAATAAAACTACAGACCAATATTTCTTATGAATATTGACACAAAATTAATAATCTAGTAAAAAAGTGGGATTTATTGCAGTAATGCAAGGTTGATTGAAAATCCCAAACTCAATGTAATATACCATATCAAAAGGATAAAAAATTTTAAAACCATGATTATTCAATAAAAAATAAGAATTCTAAAAAAATTAAAAATCTTCAACAAAATACTAGTAAATTGTATCTGACGGCATATTACAAGGATTATATACCATGATCAAGTGAGATTTTTTTCCCCTGAGATGCAAGGATAGTTCAACATATGCAAATCAATAAATGTGATACACTACATTAATAGAACGAGGGACAAGAACCATATGATCATCTCAATAGATGCAAGAAAGGCATCTGACAAGATTCAAAACCCTTTCATGATAAAAACTCTCAAAAAATTAGGTATTGACAAATCTGCCTAATATTACCACTTCTATGTGGAATCTAAAAAGCCGAACTTATAGAAACAGAGAATAGAAGAGTGGTTACCAGGGGCTAGGGTGTAGGGGAAATGAGGAGAAGTTGGTTAAAGGGTATACACTTTCTATTATAAGATGAACAGGTTCTAGAGACCTAACATACAGTATGGTGACTATAGTTAATAATAATGCATTGTACACTTTAAATTTACTAAGAAAGTAGATCTTAAATATTCTCATCACATACAAAAAAGTAACTATGAGATGATGATAAGTTAATTAGCTTTTTTATGGTAAATATTTCACAATGTATATGTATATCAAAATATGTTATACACCTGAAGTATGTACAATTTTGTCACAAAAACACTTCCTTAAAAAATTCAAGTAATCCCAAAGAAGGCAGAAAAGGAGGAATTGAGAAACAAAAACAAATGACACAAGCTTACAACTCAATAATAAAAAGAAAAATAACCCAACTAAAATGGGCAAAGGATCTGAGTAGACATTTCTCCAAAGAAGATATACAAATAGCCAACAGTATGTGAAAAGGTGTTTGACATCCTTATCCATCTGGAAAATGCAAATCAAAACCACAATGAGATATCACTTCACACCTAGTAGGATGGCGATAAAAAAGTTATATAATAACAAGTTTTGGAGAGGATGTAGGTAATTTGGAACCCTCACACATTGTTGGTGGGAATGAAATAGTGTAGTTACTTTGGAAAACAGTCTGGCAATTCCTCAAAAAGTTAAACATAGAGTTACCATTTGATCTAGCAATTCCACTCCTAGGTATATATCCAAGAGAAATGAAAACATATGTGTGGACAAAAACTTGTACATGAATGTTCATAGCAGGATTACTTTTAAGTTAAAAGGACAGCCCAAATATCTATCAACAGATGTACAGATAGACAAAATGTGCTATAGCCATACAATGGAATATTGTTTAGCCATAAAAATGAATGAAGTACTGATACGTTGGATAATGCCAATAAACTTGAAAATATTATGCTAAGTGAAATAAGTCACAGATGACATATTATATGATTCCTTTTTTATTGAATGTTCAGAGTAGGCAAATCTATATAGTTTTACTTACACTTTGAGCATGGGAAATAGGAAGGATGTTATGGCTTGAGATATCCCTGTAGCAGGCAACTTTATTGCTGTACTAAGCACTTTTATTATTATTGTTGTGACAACCCAAAGGTACCTGGGACACTGCCTACCCCCTGACCTTTCAATAATGTGTATAAGTTTCCTTGTTAGAAGTCCTCTGTGGCAGTGACTCTGTTTTACTTAGTACAGCAGCCGAGTCAAGTGAAGGCTGGGAGTTTAACAGTATAATCACTCAGTAAAGTCATTTGTTGTCCTTTACATTTGATTTACGGAGCTGAGATTTGTGTCCTGCCAATAAGCCTATGGCCCACCCTGCATTTTGAGATCTACTATATTTGCAAGTTCTGGTATGGATTTGATCTACTTTCCCAGGTTGGCTTTTCATTCCCTTGCTTTGATTTGCAGGCAGAACAGTAATTCCCTGATTTAGTTTTAATCGTAAGAATTCCTTCAAGTCTGTGGTCTGTTCATGGCAAGCATCCCTGTTCTCAATGGATATCGCAGATCCCCCTTCCTTTCCTCCATGATATTATATATCTTTGATCATTTTAAATGAAATTTATGAGAGGGCAGTTAAATATTTGGGCTTATACTGTCATTAAAAATAACTCAATAATATTTACTAAATTTACTAAGACTAAATGGGATGAAACCATCTAAGTTCTAAGTTATGACTCTCCTAGTCATTGACTCCACGAATCCATACTCTGAGCTCTTTATGGTGAGCCTCTCCATAGTTAACTAATGTCAGTATAGAAGTTGATAATGTTTTTATTGTTTATAAGAAAACAACTCTTCAAAAATTTGTATAGTCATAGGTGTTTTAGTTTTATTTGTATAATTATCTTGAAATGGTTAAATTTCAGAGACGTTTTAAACCTGAAAGTCATACAAAGAGAATGACGGCTGGGTGCAGTGGCTCATGCCTACAATCTTAGCACTTTGGGAGGCCGAGGCGGGCAGATCACCTGAGGTCAGGAGTTCAAGACCAGCCTGATCAACATGGAGAAACCCCATCTCTACTAAAAATACAAAATTAGCCAGGTGTGGTGGTGCATGCCTGTAATCCCAGCTACTCGGGAGGCTGAGGTGGGAGAATCGCTTGAACCTGGGAGGCGGAGGTTGTGGTGAGCTGAGATCTTGCCATTGCACTCCAGCCTGGGCAACAAGAGCGAAATTTTGTCTCGACAACAACAACAACAACAACAACAAGAAAATGACAATGAGAAAATAATCTCATCAAAAATAATCCTGAGATTTCAACATGTAACTTGCAGAACATTTTTGCAAAATCTGGAGGTTCAGAAAAATTTTAATAAACAAGAACCTATGTAACAAACATTCTTAAGTGGTTTTTACAAGTAATACATTTTACAATTAATTCTCACCTCTTTCAAAAAGCTTTTCCTTTTCATCTACATAGTTTATTATTTCTGGCACTGGGTTTAATAACTCCTTCAGTTCTGAGAGTGATGGAATATCAATTTCTGGTTTGAGGCTTGGAGGTATTAAGAATTCATACTCAATAAGAAAACTTGACGGCTGAAAAAACATAGTTTAAAAAAGTTTTTAGAGAGGCTTTCCAAATAAATATTTTCGAAATCATAAGTGGACAAAATTTGCTTAAATGATGTGCCAAATTTTAAACTAAATCCACATTCAAAATTGTTAAAGCTATATATACTTTAAAAAAACAGAAATGTAGCAGCTAAAAATACGTTCTATTATAAGCAATGTTCTCTCTGAGTATTGTATTTTATGGTCACTCATTACATTAGTGGTGTACAATATCCCTAGATGCAGAAATAGCTTCTTTTTGGCTAATAGCAAATTGTAAACATTTTAAATTAAAAACAGTCACTGCAGTAGATGAGAGATAATAAATGGTGAGAAGTGAAATGAGATCATGGAATGGAATAGATCTTTACTGTGATCCATGGAGTATGTTTCTCTTTCATTCCAACAGAACTTGACTCCTCAACAAGAGAGACTAAGTCCACAACTCTCAGGGTTAACCTGGGAAGCAAGAGGTACTGGAGGAATGGGGCCTATTGGTGAATTAACCTTTTTACCATCATGTTAAAATTTTTATTGTAAGGAAACCCCTTAAGTGCTTTAAGTCCATTAAAATCTCCAAATATAAAACATTTTAAGTTGTCCTAAAAAAATGTTTTTTGTGTTTTGTTTTTGAGATGGAGTCTCGCTCTGTCACCCAGGCTGGAGTGCAGTGGTGCGATCTCACTGCAAGCTCCGCCTCCTGGGTTCACGCCATTCTCCTGCCTCAGCCTCCCGAGTAGCTGGGACTACAGGCGCCCACCACTATGCCTGGCTAATTTTTTGTATTTTTAGTAGAGACAGAGTTTCACCATGTTAGCCAGGATGGTCTCGATCTCCTGACCTCGTGATCTGCCCACCTCGGCCTCCCAAAGTGCTGGGATCACAGGCGTGAGCCACCGCGCCCGGCCAAAAAATGTTTTTTTAAAGTAGCTTTGTGAACGCATCTAATCAATATGGGCCTAGATTTCTGAGCTTGTCCAGCTGCAAAAAGTTATTGCAATCGCAATAGCTAGAATTCTTTACATACTGATATTATGACCATTTTGTGTGCTATTGAAACTAAATGCATCTTTGAGAAGTTTGGCCTTTAATATGCAAAAGATGCTATCATCCTTGTTAAACACTGGCAGAAAACTAAAATTCAGTCTTGGACCCTCTATATTCTTACTCTTGCAATATTCTCATTAGCTCAAGTACTATTTTTTGTGTATAACTCACAAATCAATATTTCTAGTTCAGGTGTCAATTTTTAAACTAGACATGACTACTTAATTTCCTATACCAGGTATATTGATTACAATTATTGGAAGAGATTTTAAAGTTCCCTATGACTGGCCTGCACACCAGACCAATTTATCAGAATATATCTCAGGCTTCAACATTTTTTTTTAACTATTCAGGTAATTCCAACATACAGCCAAGGCTGAGAACCACTATTTAGAAGTAAATTTGACTTCTTAATTGATACATGTTCATTCCATTATAAAATCTTTTTAATTTGACAATTGTAGACAATGTATATTACACAAATTTTACAAAAATGTGCCTCACTACTTTTACTAAAATATTATTGAAAGCCAGTATTACAACCTCATTTAAACATATTGTATCTTCTAGTTTCTCTTGACAAAAGTTCACTTTATCCATACAAAAATCTTCTTTCACAAAAGCTTCCAAAGTTTCTTGAAGAGAGAAACATTCCCTTAAAAAAAAATACATTAATTAGTGTTTACTAAAAGCAAGTTACATACTAAATGTAGCCAACCAAAACACATAATCATTAAAATTAAAGTTGAGGTAAAACGATGATAAAAGTTATTGGCCGGGTGCAGTGGCTCACGCCTGTAATCCCAGCACTTTGGGAGGCCGAGGCGGGTGGATCACCTGAGGTCAGGAGTTCAAGACCAGCCTGGCCAACATGGTGAAACCATGTCTCTACTAAAAATACAAAAATTAGCTGGGCACAGTGGCGCACGCCTGTAGTCTCAGCAAGGCTGAGGCAGGAGAATCGCATGTGCCCAGGAGGCGGAGGTTGCAGTGAGCCGAGATTGCGCCATTGTACTCCAGCCTGGGCGACAGAGCAAGACTCATCTCAAAACAAAACAAAAAAAAACATTGTTGATAACATCTAAGCTTGTGATCATACTAAAACATTTTCACCTCTTAAAAATATTTACAGCATTGGTCAATTAAGTAAGTACCTGGAAAAATTAGCTTCTGTGAAGATCTGTCCTTTGAAATCTAAAAGAGGATCCTTTACCAAAAACAGTTTTAGTCTACTCAAGAGAGTAGGCAAAGTTGGTAGGTGTTTTCTACTACTTACAAAAAGTATTCCTTTATCATCAATAAATAAATCTGAAAAGAAATAAGAAATATAAAGGAATAAGAAAAAAACAAAAAGTTATCCAAAGAGATCTAGATAGTTAATGTAATCAGTCATTAGATACAGCTGGGTTTTTCAATCACATTTTAAACTCTGTAGCTCTTCATTGTACTGTGCATATAGAGCATGTAGCATAGTTCTGGAACAAAGGCAAAAGTACAATAAATTTTAGTATTATCTAGGACACCGAGGAATAGCCAAATATCCCAAAAGAGCTGTAACGGCTAATACTTTATCAATAAAGATTAATCAATGGAGGAAAATATCTTATGGACTTACACTTCAAAATAGCCAGGCGTAGCCTAAGCAAAATTTTAAAGAAATAGAAGTATTTGACTTCTGCTGACCTTGGTCTTCTCTGCATCATTTTACCTCTTAATATCTCCAATTCATCCCCCAGAGTCTCTGACATGTAGGGAATGGAGATGGTCTACAGTGCCTACAAATGAGACTGATTCTATTATTCTTAAGTTATTCACATGGTTGCTATAAAATTATTTACAGTGAAAGTTTTAAGCAAAGAATCTACTTGAGGAGTATGATATAGCTTATGTATTAAGAAACACTACTGCTAACAGTTAATTTCTGGAATAAATTTCTCCTCTCGGTCTCCACCCTGCCTTGTCTGGGTTTCTTTAGAATCTTGGCTAGCTGTCTAACAGCTTTAACAGTTTCTAAGTCACAGGAAGGAACATAAACTTGCCCCCAATTCTTCAATAAGTTTTTGAGTAGAAAGAGAAAAAGAAAAATATAAGCTCAGATGAAGAACTACTCAAAAAGCCAAGTTCCCAAAAAAGAAAGCCATCCTGAAGGGAGAGCAATGGTTTCTCATCCTGGGTATTGACTTTTCGGTTAAGTGACGCTGAATGGCATAAGAAAAGAATAGTACGGAGTTTTCAGGTAGTAATGTCTCCCACGGTTAACTACATAATTGGTATGCAGGCAGCAAGGGAACATCCCTTTGCTTGGTGCTAACTTGATATGCCTTAAGAGAACTTGTGGTATGAACTAGCTTCCTAAAAGAGATTTATCTGAACTTAAGTTCCTGACAATCTCATGGCCAAAAGCTTCCCATGACACACCAAAGGAAGTTAGTCAATCAATTCCATGTCTAAGGAGGGCTTATCTGAGACAGTTAAATATGGTTTACTGGTATAATCCATTCTGTAAGTATTAATGAAATCACATTAATAGTAAAAACCCAAACAGCATTAATTTATATCCTATATCCACCTTCTGCTTCTAAACAGATCCTCCAGCCATCTTCCCTATCTACAGCCTCATTCTGGATATTTCTGGAACTAAATGGCTGACATCTGAAGTCAGTTATATGGTCTTGTTTTCCATCCACCCTTTTTTGATGAAACCACTTGAGGGCAGCATCACACCACAACTAATATTCTTTGTAATTCTACCAAGGTTGTTTATAGCAAGAGTGCCACTTCCTTACTTTCTTTGAGTTATACAGCATGCCCTGGAGTTCTTATTTTACTACAGCTAATACATGTACTATACAGATATAAGGAGACTGTTTTCTTCTATTGTAGAGGAATATTAAATTGTCACCAGGAAACAAAATTTTGGCTAGTTAACTATGAAAAGAAGCAGAAAAAGGTCTACTAATATGAAAGAAGAGAGGTTTATTCTTTACAAAGGACACTTTTGTCTCCCTAGAAAATTCAAGATAATGAAATGAAAACAAAAGAGTTCACTAAGTTATCTGATAAAAATTATACAATTAATGTTTTTTTTTAATATATAAAAACTTGGTCATAAAAATTAATGGAAAAAACATAAAAATACCAATTTGTGAACTATCAAGGACTAAACATAAAAATATTCAGAAAGTATATGCAGGAAATGATAGAACTTTATTGAAGATCATTTTTTTAAAAATTTGAAAAAAAGGCAAGATAAAAAACACTTTCCTAGCTAGAAAGACTAACTATGGTAAAATTTTAAAGGATCCCATTACCATTTCAAGAGGTCTGTTTTAGAACTTGGAAAAGTGATTACAAAGTAAATCTGGAAGAATATAGTTATGAGAGTAGAAAAAAGTAATAAAATAGGAGATTATTTATATATTATAATTATACATTTAATAGTTAAAATTATATGATACTGACACAATAATAGGCAAAATAGATCATAATAGAAAATCCAGAAATGAATTCTAATGTGGTTAAGGATTTAATATATAATGTGAGTGGCATTTCTAATCAGTGGGAAAGAAAGGACTATTTCATAAATGATATTGGGGCAATTATCAAAAACACTTGGAAAAAGATTTTTATTCCTACTTTTAAACATACATCAAAATCTAAAATAAAACTAGGCACCTTCAGCTGGGCCTGGTGGCTCATGCCTGTAATCCCAGCACTTTGGGAGGCTGAAGTGGGCAGATCACTGGATGTCAGAAGTTCGAGACCAGCCTGGCCTACATGGCGAAACCCCCTCTCTACTAAAAATACAAAAATTAGCCGGGCTTGGTGGTGGGGACCTGTAATCCCAGCTACTCGGGAGGCTGAGGCAGGAGAATCACTTGAACCTGGGAGGTGGAGGTTGCAGTTAGCTGAGATCACACCACTGCACTCCAGCCTGGGCCACAGAGCAAGACTCCATCTTAGAACAAAAAACAAACAAACAAACAAACCTCATGCACCTTCAAGAAAATACAAACAAGTATTTATCTAATTAAGAAAGAATTTTCTAAGTATAAAAGGAATGAAAGAAACCATAAAAGAAAACAATTGGCAGAATTGGTTAGGTTCAAGTTAAATATATTTGGAGTTAATACCTTTACATATAAAGATAAAATATATGTCAAAATATAAACAAAAGAGAAAATCATTTCACAAAACAAAAAGATGCAGATGGCCAATAAAGACCAGTAATTCTATTAATTTACTTTTTTATGCCCAGCTTGTCAATAACAGAGATCACCAGTAATTTTAAAGATGTAAGTAAAAATATAATTTTTTTGCCCATCACATTGGTTTAAATGTATTACCACAACATCAGCAGTAATATATTCAATGATGATAATACTGGCATAAACAGGGCATTCTCATACCATACTAGTGGACATATAGCTAAAAAAGCACTTATACTAAATAGATCAATTTCTAGGAATTCATGCCAAGGAAATAATTGGAAATAAGAATACATATTTATATACATATTTGAAATTAAAAACATTAGTGGTCTCAAATTTGGAAATGTGTGATATGTACATAAGATTAAAAACTGCAGTCATTAAAAGCCATGCTTTTGTCTAGCACGGTGGCTCACACCTGTAATCCCAGCACTTTGGAAGGCTGAGGTGGGAGGATTGCTTGAGCCTAGAAGTTTGAGACCAGCCTGGACAACATAGGGACATCTTGTCTCTACAAAAAAATTAAAAATTAGTCAGGCATGGTGGCACAGCTATGGTCTCAGCTACTTAGGAGGCTAAGACAGGAGGATCACTTGAGCCCGGGGGTTTCAAGGCTGCAGTGAGCTGTGATTGCACCACTATACTCCAGCCTGAGAAACAGAGTCTCAATTTAAAAAAAAAGAAAGAAAGAAAAAGAAAAAGACACGCTTTTGTGGAAAAATCAAGCATAAAATAAAATATTCCCAAGATCATGTTAATATTTAAAAATAATATCATGTATATATAGTATGATCACAATAGTAAAACAATTTATCTTTGAATTATAGAATTATGAGTTTTTAGTAAAGGGACATTCTATATATTTAAGATGTAGATATCTTAACCTATGTAGAAAAACATAAAATTCAATCCTCATTCATGATTAAAAGCTGTTATCAAACTAGGAACAGAAGGAATCTTCCTCAACCCACTAAAGGAAATGCTTCTAATATTTCACCATTGAAAATGACATACACATGAAATGTTAGAAGCATTTTCTTTACCATCAGAAATAAGATAGCAACCATCATGCTTCTACCGAACAAAGTTCTAGCGGTTTTAGTCAGTATAGTCAGACAAAAAAAAAAGATTAAATATTGCAAAGGAAGAAACAGCCATCATTCACAGACAATATGATTATATATACTAGAATTAGTTATTGGAATTACTATGACAGTTTAAGAGGTAGATAAATATGATAACACTATAAAAATCAACTGCCTTTTGTTATATACAAGCAATAAACAAACTTATATTAGAAATATAAATAGTAATGGCAGCTAAAATAGAGTACTTATGGATAAATCTTGGATACATAACCTATTTCTGAAGAAAATAAAAAATATATAAAAAATAAATGATATATAAAATCTTTATGAAGAAAAATTTTAAACTTTTTTGAAATACATTAAAGACCTCAATAAATGAACAATAGGAGATTCAGGAGAGAGAACAAGAGAAAATTATCATCAAAGAAATAATTCTAGAAAATATCTTAAAATTGAAGTGCATAAAAGTATCTACATGGAAGGATACACCATGTATCCAGCCTAATATATAACAATAGACCCACAAAGCACACGCCATTGTGAAATTTCATAACACTGGAAGAAAAATATCATTAAAATTTTCAGGATGAAAAGATCTTATAAAAAATATTTAGGAATCAGAATGGCATTGGACTTCTCAACAGCAATATTGGAAGCTAGAATCGAATGGAACAATGCCTTTGAAATTCTGAGAAAAAAATATAATCTGGAATCTATAACTAGTCAAACTATCAATTAAATGTGAGGATAGAATTAAGACTTTTTGGATATGGAAGATTAAAAAAAATTTACTACCTACATTCCTATTCTCAGGAGGCTGTGAGTGGAAGTACTGTACTAAAAGGAACGAAAAAACTGACTAAACTGGCAGCTACAAGGTTGAAGAAACAGGAGGCCCAATACAAGAAAGAAGTGAACAGAATCCTCAGGGATGATGGTGATAACGACTTGTTCTAGAACTAAAATCCCCAAAGATAAAACTATTGGTACACTTGATGCTTCAGTGTATTAAGAGGAGATTTAGACAAACAGGGGAGAGTTTCAGGATCAAGTTCTATGTACTAAATACATAGAAAACAAAACAAAACAAAAAAACAGAAAACAAGCATTAACACGGAGTACAGTAATCTCCTCTTATCTGAGGTTTCAGTTACCCACAGTCAACTGCAGTCCAAAAATACTATATTGAATGGAAAATTCCAGAAATAGACAATTTATGCCTTAAATTGCACGGTGTTGTGAGTGGCATGATGAAACCTAGTGCCATCCTGTTCAGTCCCACCAAAATGTGAATGATCCTTTTGTCCACTGTTTCCACACTGATATGCCACCTATTCATTTGTCACTTAGTAGCTGTCTCAGTTATCAGAACGATTGTCCCTGTATTGCAGTTCTTGTGTTCAAATAACCTTTGTTTTACTTAATTCTCCAATTTTATTGTTAGCTATTTATTGCTGTTAATCTCTTACTGTGCTTAATTTACAAATTAAAATTTATCATTGGTATGTATGTATAAGACAAAACATTGTATATACTGTATAGGGTTTGGTACTATCAGTGATTTCATGCATCCACTGGTATTTTGCAATGTATCCACTGTGGATAAGGGGGGACTATTGTACAATAAAGAAATTATTGAATAACACAATACTATTTTCAGCTACAAATAGTATTTATGCATTCATAATTCTGTAAATACAGAATACTGATCTAACCAAAGTTATAACTACATTGGGAGAGTAGACCATAGGAAGTATGGGGGGAACGTGGTAGTGAGGGTATAAAAGATTGAGGACAGCAACATCTTTATTTTCATGGTGAGAGGTCAATATATAAGGTCTAAAACTAAAAACATCAGGAAATAGCAGTATAAGCATGTCATGCAGATAAACAAATGACAAAAGGAATATAGTTTCTTTTAAAACTGTTTCAAAGAGTTAAAAGTGGTTGCCTCTAGAGAGTGAAAAAATAAGGGGTGGTTGATGAAGTCAGGAAATTACTGCTTTTAAGAAAAGTGTTGGCCATGCACGGTGGCTCACGCCTGTAATCCCAGCACTTTGGGAGGCCAAGATGGGCAGATCACCTAAGGTCAGGAGTTCGAGACCAGCCAGGCCAAAATGGCGAAACTCTATCTCTACTAAAAATATAAAAATTAGCTGGACATGGTGGCGCATGCCTATAATCCTAGCTACCTGGGAGGCTGAGGCGGGAGAATCACTTGAACCCGGGAGGCAGAGGTTGCTGTGAGCCGAGATCACGCCACTGCACTCCAGCCTGGGCAACAGAGCAAGACTCCGTCTCAAAAAAAAAAAAAAGTGTTATACAACCATTTTAATTGATGGTGTGGAAAATATAAAATGACACAGAAAAGTGTTTATAAAATCTAAGTAAAAAACACTAAAAAGCATACAAATATTACCTTTGGCTGAAGATAACAAAGAATTATACCAAAGATTAACTCAAAACTCTGGGTTTTGGCTGGGCACAGTGGCTGACGCCTGTAATCCCAGTGCTTTGCGAGGCCAAGGTGAAAGGATCACTTGAGCCCAGGAGCTCGTGACCAGCCTGGCCAACATGGGGAAACCCTGTCTCTACTAAAAATACAATGGGTGTGGTGGCATGTGCCTGTAATTCCAGCTACTCGGGAGGCTGAGGCACAAGAATCACTTGAACCCAGGAGGCAGAGGTTGCAGTGAGCAGAGATTGCACCATTGCACTCCAGCCTGGGCGACAGGGCAAGACTCTGACTCAAAAACAAAACAAAACAAAACAAAAACAAAACAAGCTTGACAATATTTTCAGGGACCCAAGTTCTTTCCATCTTTCTTTTTGTATTTTTATATTTTGAGGTAAAATATGCCTATTAAAATTTACCATCTTTACTTTTTTTTTGAGACAGAGTCTCACTCTGTCACCCAGGCTAGAGTGCAGTGGCACGATCTCGGCTCACTGCAACCTCTGCCTCCCAGGTTCAAACAATTCTCCTGCCTCAGCCTCCCAAGTAGCTGGGATTACAGGTGCACACCACCACACCCAGCTTAGAGGCAGGGTTTCACCATGTTGGCCAGGCTGGTCTCATGATCTGCCTGTCTTGGCCTCCCAAAGTGCTGGCATTACAGGCATGAGCCACCGTGCCTAGTCCATCTTTACTATTTTTAAGTGTACAGTTCAGTGGTAATAAATACATTATGTTCTTTTTTCCCCCTCATCCCCCTTCCCTACTACCCTTCCCTGCCTCTGGTAATCACCATTCTACTCTCTAACTTCATGAGATCCACTTTTTTAGCTCCCACATGAGTGAGAACATACACTATTTGTCTTTCTGTGCTTGGCTTATTTCACTTAACATAAAGGCCTCCAGTTCCATCCATGTTGCTGCAAATGACAGAATTTCATTCTTTTTTGTGGCTGAATAATATTCCATTGTGTAGATATACCACATTTTGTTTATTCATCCACTACTGGGCACTTAGGTTGATTACATATCTGGCTATTGTGAATAGAGCTGCAATAAACATGGGAGTGCAGATGTCTTTTTGATATAATTTCCTTTCTTTTCCAGAAGTGGAACTGCTGGATCATATGGTAGTTCTATTTTTAGTTTTGCTGAGAAGTCTCCATACTGCTCTCCATAGTGGCTGTTCTAATTTACACTTCCACAAATGGTGTACAAGAGTTCCCATTTCTCCACATCCTTGCTGGCATCTGTTATTACCTTTTTGATACAAGCCATTTTAACTTGGGTGAAATTTCATTGTGTTTTTTTTTGTTTTTGGTTTTTTTGTTTTTGAAATGGAGTTTCGCTCCTGTTGCCCAGGCTGGAGTGCAGTGGCGCAATCTTGGCTCACTGCAACTTCTGCCTCCTGGGTTCAAGCAATTCTCCTGCCTCAGCCTCCAGAGTAGCTGGGATTATAGATGGCTGCCACCACGCCTGGCTAATTTTTGTATTTTTAGTAGAGACAAGGTTTTGCCATGTTGGCCAGGTTGGTCTCAAATGCCTGACTTCAGGTGATCCGTCCAGCTTAGCCTCCCAAAGTGCTGGGATTACAGACATGAGCCACCACGCCTGGCCAGCTCATTGTGGTTTTGATTTGCATTTCTCTGATGATTAGTGATGTTGAGCATTTTTTCATAAATCTGTTGGCCATTTCTTCTTTTGAGAAGTGTCTGTTCATATCTTTTGCCCATTTTTAATTGGATTTTTTTTTTTGCTATTCAGTTGTGTGAGCTCCTTGTATATTATGGTTATTAATCTGTTGTCAGATGGATAGTTTGCAAATATTTTCTCCCATTCTGTGGGTTGTCTCTTCACTTTATGATTGTTTCTTTTGTTGTGCAGAAGCTTTTTAGCTTGATGTAAACCTGTTTGTCTATTTTTGCTTTGGTGGCCTCTGCTTTTGAGATCCTATACAAAAAATCTTAGCTCAGACCAATGTCCTGGAGCATATCCCCAATGTTTTCTTCTAGTAGTTTCACAGTTTCAGGTTTTAGATTTAAGTCTTTGATCCATTTTTATTTGATTTTTGTGCATGGTGAGAGATAGGGATCTAGTTTCATTCTTCTGCATATAGTCTTCTAGTTTTCCCAGCACCATTTATTGAAGACTATCTTCTCATTGTATGTTCTTGGTGCCTTTGTCAAAGATGAGTTAGCTGTAAATGACTGGATTTATAGTGGGGTTCTCTATTCTGTTCCATTGGTTTATATGTCTGTTTTTATGCCAGTACCATGCTATTTTGGTTAATATGGCTTTGGAGTATATTTTGAAATCAGGCATTGTGATGCTTCCAGCTTTCTTCTTTTTGCTCAGGATTGCTTTGGCTATTTGGGGTCTTTTGTGATTCCATTTAAATTTTAGGGTTTTATTTTTCTATTTCTGTGGAGAATATCATTGGTATTTTGATAGGGATTGCATTGAATCTGTAAATTGCTTTGGATATTGTTGTTATTTTAGCAATATTAATTCTTTCAATCCATGAGTATGAAATATGTATCTTTCCTTTTTGTATGTCCTCCTCAATTTCTTTCATCAGAGTTTTATAGTTTTTCTTCTACAGGTCTTTCACTTCTTTGGTATTTTGATAGGGATTGCACTGAATCTGTAAATTGCTTTGGATAGTATTGTTATTTTGGCAATATTAATTTAGTAATATTCTTTCAATTCATGAGTATGAAATATTATATCTTTCCTTTTTTGTGTGTCCTCCTCAATTTCTTTCATCAGAGTTTTATAGTTTTTCTTATATAGATCTTTCACTTCTTTGGTTAGAATGATTTCTAGGTATTTTATATTTTTTGTAGCTATTGTAAATGGCATTGATTTCCTGATTTCTTTTTCAGATTGTTCACTGTTGGTGTATATAAATGCTACTGATTTTTGTATGTTAAATTTTTTTTTTTTTTTGAGATGGAGTCTTACTCTGTCACCCAGGCTGGAGTGCAGTGGTGAAATCTCAACTCACTACAACCTCCGCCTCCAGGGTTCAAGTGATTCTCCTCTAGCCTCCTGAGTAGCTGGGATTACAGGTGCACACAGCCACACCCAGCTAATTTTTGTATTTTTAGTAGAGACAGGGTTTCACCATGTCAGGCTGGTCTCAAACCCCTGACCTCAGGTGATCCACCCACCTTGGCCTCCCATAGTGCTGGGATTACAGGCGTGAGCCACCGCGCCCAGCCATTATGTTGATTTTGTGTTCTGCAACTTTACTGAATTCACTTATCAACTCAGTTTTTTGGTGGAGTCTTTGGGTTTTTTAAATTTTTGTTTCCAACTATTATTTTAGGTTCAAGGGGTAACATGTGTTACATGGGTAAATTGCATAAATCTTTGTTTTTTCTAGCTATAACATCATGTTATCTACAAACAAGGCTAATTTGATTTCTTCCTTTCCAATTTGAATGCCCTTTATTTCTTTCTCTTGCTCAATTGCTCTGGCCAGGACTTCACGTTTTATGTTGAATAAAAGTGCTGAAAATGGACATCGTTGTCTTATTTCAGTCCTTAGAAGAAAGACCTTCAATTTTTTCCCATTCAGTATGAAGTTAACTATCATATATGGCCTTTATTGTTTTGAGGTATGTTCCTTCTATACCTATTTTGATGATGGTTTTTATCATAAACAGATGTTGAATTTTATCAAATGCTTTTTTCAGCACCTATTGAAATAATCATACGGTTTTTATTCTTGATTCTTTGAATGTGATGTGTCACATTTAATGATTTGTATATGTTGAACCATCCTTGCATCCCTAGGATGAATCCCACTTTATCATGGTGAATGATCTTTTTTATGTGTTGTTGAATTCAGTTTACTAGTATTTTGTTGACGATTTTTGTATCTATGTTCATTGTTGATATTGGTCTGTAGTTTTCTTTTTTCTTGTTGTGTCCTTGTCTGGTTTTGGTATCAGGGTAATGCTGGCCTTGTAGAATGTGTTTGGAAATACTCCCTCCTCTTCAATTGTTTAGAAGCATTTAAGTAGGATTGCTATTAGTTCTTTAAATGTTTGGTAGAATTCAGCAGTGAAGTCATCAAGTTCTGGGCTTTTCTTTGATGAGAGGCTTTTTACTATGGCTTCAATCTTATTACTCATCATTGGTTTGTTGCGGTTTTCTATTTCTTCATAGTTCAAACTTTTTTTCCTTTTTTTGACATAGGGTCTCACTCTGTCACCCAGGCTGGAGTGCAGTGGCATGATCACAGCTCACTGCAGCATTAACCTCCCAGGCTCAATCAATCCTCCCACCTCAGTCTCTCAGGTAGCTGGGACTACAAGCACATGCCACCACAATTGGCTAATATTTTTTGTAGAGGTGAGGTTTCACCATGTTGCCCAGGCTGGTTTTGAACTCCTGACCTCAAGTGATCCACCCACCTCAGCCTCTCAGAGTGCTAGGGCACAGGCATAAGCCACCATGCCTGTGATTCAATCTTGATAGGTTGTATGTGTCCAGGAATGTATCCATTTCTTCTAAGTTTTCCAATTTGTTGGCATATATTTGTTCATAATACTTGCTAATGATTCTTTGTATTTCTGAGGTCTCAGTTATTATGTCTCCTTTTTCATTTCTGATTTTATTTATTCAGGTTTGTGCTCTTCCTACTTAATCTAGCGAAAGGTTTTATCTTCTGTTTTTTTTTTGTTTTTTTTTTTTTTTTTTTTTTAGTCTTAGTTTCATGTATTTCTGCTCTGATCTTTATTGTTTCTTTCCTTCTACCAGTTTGGGGTTTGTTCTTTCTTTTCTAGTGCCTTGAGGTGCAACATTAAGTTATTTTATTTGAAGTCTTTCTACTTTTTTGATACAGGCATTTATTGCTATAAACTTCCCTCTTGGTACTGGGCTCTTGCCATACCCCATAGATTTTGGTATGTTTTATTTCCATTTTCATTTATTTGTTTGAAGAAATTTTAAAAGTTCCTTCTTAACTTTTTCATTGGCCATTTAAGACCATGTTGTATAATTTCCATGTGTTTGTGCATTTTCCAAAGTTCCTCTTGTTACTGATTTCTAGTTTTATTTCATTGTGGTCAGAAAAGCTACTTGATATGATTTCTATTTTGAAAATTTTTTCAGATATATTTTGTGGCCTAAGATATGGTCTATTCTGAAGAATATTCCATGTGCTGATGAAAAGAATATGTATTCTGCAGCACAAAATACACAGTATGAAGTTAGCTATCATATGGGTGAAATGTTCTGTAAATGTTAGTTAGGCCTATTCTAGTGTGTAGTTTATGCTCTTTGTTGATTTTCTGTCTGGATGATCTGTCCATTACTGAGAGTGGGGTGTTAAAGTCCGCTACTATTATTATATTGCAGTCTACCCTTTTAGATATTAATGTTTGCTTTATATACCTAGGAGTTCTGGTGTTGTGTGCATAGATATTTATAATTGTTATACCCTCTTGCTTAATTGACCCCTTTCATGATCATCTTTGTCTCTTTTTACAATCTTAGATTTGTAGTCTATTTTATATAAGTATAGCTACTCCTGCTATTTTTGGTTTCCAGTTGCATGGAATATCATTTTTCACTGCTTCTCTTTCAGTCTGTGTGTCTTTATAAGTGAAGAGAGTTTCTTGAAGGCAGCATATAGTTTGGTCTTGCTTTTTTAATTCCTTCAGCCATTCTAAGCTTTTTATTTGAAAATTGAGACCATTTACATTCAGTGTTACTATTAAGTAAAGACTTACTACTGCCATTTTGTTGCCTATTTTCTGATAGTTTTAAGACTCCTTTCTTTTCTTTCCTACTGTCTTCTTTGGTGGTTACTTTCTCTGATAGTACGTTTTAATTTGTTGTTTTTTATTTTTAGTGAATATATTGTAGGTTTTTGGGCTGTGGTTACCAGGAGGGTTACAAAAAACATTGTATAGATATAAAAAGTTATTTTAAAGAGATAATATTTTGGATTACAAAGAAAGGAATAGAAACAAAGACAAACACACATACACACAAAATGCCACATTTTGACTTAGTTGTCTCAATTTACATATTTTTATATTACATCTCTTAACAGGTTGCTATAGCTATTGTTTTTGATTGGGCTTCATACTAGAGTTATGAGTGCTTACACACCACAATTATTGTAACAGAGTATTCTCAGTATTCTAGAGAATTCTTAAAATTAAGTATTCATGTACTTAATTTTACCAGTGGGTAAATAAAGGAAAGTTTTCTTTTTGTATGTTAATGTTGTTTTTTTTCCTTTCAGATTGAAGAACCCCCTTTAC
Source organism: Homo sapiens (assembly GCF_000001405.40). Lineage (NCBI taxonomy): Eukaryota > Metazoa > Chordata > Mammalia > Primates > Hominidae > Homo > Homo sapiens. The sequence goes on from NC_000009.12 coordinate 111,771,579, forward strand.
CATTTACTGTAAGATGATGGGTCTGATGGGGGTGGATTCTCTGAACTTTAGTTGTTTGGGAAAGACTATTTCTCCTTCATATTCAAAGGGTAATTTTGCTGGATACAGTGTTCTTAGATGGCTTTTTTTTTCTTTGAGCACTTTGAATATGTTGTTCCACTCCCTCCTGTCTGTATGGTTTTTCATTGAAAAGTCTGTTACCAGAAGAATTGGAGGTCCTTTATATGTTATTTGCTTCTTTTCTCTTGCTGCTTTTGAGATCCTCTCTTTGTCCTTGACCTTTGAGAGTTTGGTTATTACATACCTTGGGGTAGTCTTATTTGGGTTGAATCTCTTGGGTATTATCAGACCTTCCCGTACTGGAGATTTATATCTTTCTCAAGCTCTGGAAAATTTTGTATTTTTTCTTTCTGCCCTCTGCCTTTGCTCAGCTCCCTTTTGAACATCAAGAATTCTTAGATTTGGTTTTTGAGGTAATTTTCTATATCTTGTAGGCAGTTTTTGTTCTTTTTCTTTCTTTTTTCTTTTTTCTCCTCTGACTGTATTTTCAAATAGCTGGTCTTTGAGCTCACTGATTCTTCCCTCTGGTTGTTCCATTTGGATGTTGAGAGCCTCTAATTAGTTGTTCAGCTCAGCAAACGTATTTCTCAGTTCCAAAATTTGTTTGAGTTTTTAAAGTTAACTTTAAAAATTTAACAAATTCTCTTTGTTAAATTTCTCCAGCAATTTTCTGAATTGCTTTTCTGTATTATTTTAGAGATCACTGAATTTCCTTGAAACTGCTCTTTTGAATTTTTGGTCAGAGAGCTCACAAATGACTGTCTTGTTAGGGTCGGTCACTGGATTTTTCCTTTGTCCTTTTGCAGAGGTCACATTTCCCTATTCAGTGTTGTTTCTTGTGGGTATATGTCTATGTCTTTGCATTGAAGGATTGGTTATTTATTCCAGCTTCCTCTATTCAACTTGTCTTGGTTTTTATTGGATATATTTTCTTAGCAAATCTTCACTACTATTGCCTTTTTCTTGGCTATAGGTGATATCTTAAGCCCAGGTTTGCCTTGCCTCTAGCAAATGGTCAGGGCACTGTCTGCCCCAAATGGGAGAGTCTGAAAATGATTATCCCAACAGTGACAGAAGTCTGGCTAGAGGTTCGTGCCCAAGGGACCTGTGGCACAAATTAGCTATTGTGATTTGGCTCCTTTGCCTGAGTTACCGAGCAGAGTTTCCAGGGCTGGGGAAGGTAGTCCCTTCTCCCCTCTTTGTCTCTCCTTTCAGGCAGTCATGATGCTTTCCACAGGTTAAATAAAGAAGTCTCCTGCCAGGGAATCCAAGATGGAGGGAAAGCTAGTTGACTATGCCACTCTCACTTTTTCCAGCATAGAAACCATGAGTTTGGGGAAGATTTTCCATGTGGTTGTTGTCAGGCAGAATGGGCAGGGTGGGGCATCATGGATATGGAAGTTGGATTCTCCTACCGTCTGCTTGAAGTTTTTTCACTTCTCTGTGTCCCTAGGATCTGTCTCATCCTCATATTTGAGATGTGAGTTGTTGCTAGTGAAAATTTTGGCATTGTATATTTGTTTTTGGTTTCCCATATGAGCAGTGAAGCCAGCTTGCTTCTGTGCCACCATTTTAAAACGATAAGTCAGATTACTGCTTTTTATTGTAAACTTTAACAAACTATTTGACTCTCTAAACTATATGCATATGCAACTTTATTTATTTTATTTTATTTTTATTTATTATTTTTTGAGATGGAGTTTCACTCTTGTTGCCTAGGCTGGAGGGCAATGGTGTGATCTCGGCTCATGGCAACCTCTGCCTCCCAGGTTCAAGTGATTCTCCTGCCTCAGCCTCCCAAATAGCTGAGATTACAGGTGCCTGCCACTACGCCCAGCTAATTTTGTATTTTTGGTAGAGACAGGGTTTCACCACGTTGGCCAGGCTGGTTTCGAACGCCTGACCCCAGGTGATCCACCCGCCTCAGTCTCCCAAAGTGATGGAATTACAGGCATGAGCTACTGTGGCTGGCCTAACTTTATTTTTTAAAATAAAAATAAAAGCTACATTTATATTTGTTTATATGTTCCCAGGATACCTAGAGAGATGCTTAAGAGTTTCATGTATTAACAAATAATATGTGAACATTGTAGAAAAATTAGCAAATATCAATAAACCAACAACCATAAAAGAAAACCAGCCACTGTTTTATGTTTTAAAGATATATGTGTTTTGAAATTATAATTTAGTAATTATTTATAATTCTTATAAGACATAGCATATTTACAAATCCCCAAATATACTATGTTCCTTTTGATTTAGACAATAAGACCAAATTATCTACAAATCTGGCAGCAATCAATATAATTGCAAAGAAAATAAATAAAATTAAAAATCTAAATTTATAAAGTGATGTCCGGTGACACAGGACACCTGAGGAAATATAGGATATGGACAATGTGTATGCATTTGGGAAATTCAAGCATATTTTCTCTCAGTCAATAGTTGATTCTAGCCGACAGTAGCTTCTAGTTTGCCACATTTATACTACTATGTTTGTGTAACCCATTAGTTTTTATAAGCCATCTCTTTAAATATACTTATATAAACTTACATATATTAGTTTATCCCCACAAAAAATTATTAAAAAATAGAAGAATATATAATAGAAATAAATTATAGAACAAAATTTAAAAATCTTAAAAATTTTCTCCCAAATCTCAAAACCACTTTTTCTCCAGACAGGGTCTCACTCTGTCACCCAAGCTGGAGTGCAGTGGCACGATCATGGCTTACTACAGCCTTGAACACCTGGGTTCAAGCAATCTTCCCACTTCAGCCTTACAAATAGCTAGGACTACAGAACTGCCACCACACCTGGCTAATTTTTAACAATCTTTTTGTGGAGACAGGGTCTTGCCATGTTGCCCAGGCTGGTCTCAAACTCCTGGCCTCAAGTGATGTTCCACTTTTTACGAGTAGACTTGGACTGAAAATTCAAGTCTTCTGACTCCAAATTCAGGCTCTTTCTACTATATCATGCTCTCAAGTTTTAGTTCTTAATGCAACTAATCTCTCTATCTCTTCCAACTATAAGAGGAATTTCTCTCTCTCTCTCTCTATATATATATCATCACACAGCTATTTGCCAATGCTAAAAATTTTATACATAATTTATATATCTACATAAAAATAACAGTAAAAGAATCAAATTATTTTTCATGTTGAAGCTGTAGCATTTCTTAAATGATAGTAATAATCACATAATAGAACCTTAAGTTCTATAATTTAAAAAAAGAATAGGCTGTTATACATACAAGAAAGGCAATTTTCAGCAAGTTTTTACATGGTTGAAAGAATTCAACATCCTCTAGTAAGATGAGACATTTGGAATCCAGTTTGAATAAAATATACTTAAAAAAAAATTTTTTTTTTGAGATTCAGTCTTGCTCTTTTGCCCAGGCCAGAGTGCAGTGGCGCGATCTCGGTTCACTGTAACCTCCGTCCCCTGGGTTCAAGTGATTCTCCTGCCTCAGCCTCCCAAGTAGAGGGATTACAGGTGCCTGCCACCATGCCTGGCTAATTTTTGTATTTTGAGTAGAGATGGGGTTTCACCATGTTGGCCAAGCTGGTCTCAAACTCTTGACCTCAGGTGATCTACCCACCTTGGCCTCCCGAAGTGCTGGGATTACAGGCATAGTAAGCCACCGTGCCCGGCCTACTTTTAATTATTTTTGAGAGTATGTTTGTAAAACTGAGTATATTTCCTAACTTAATACTGGAACTATTCCATCTCCACTTTGAACCTTGGTTTCACATAAATTAGATGAGACTGAAAACATTTATTATGTTTTAAAAACTAAAATATAATCATCACTTCATAATATAGTAATTTAATATTACACTGGATTGCTATATCATGGGATCTTAAAAAGATGCCAATGTCATTATAGCAGTATGTTGAAGGCATACTATGATCAAATCTCTGCAGGTTGTTTTGAGGCCCAGCAAATTAAACTCCAAAAATAACCCAACTTACAAAGAGGATTAATATGAATGAGGAAATACTGCCCTAATGTGGCAAAGCTTAGAGTTATGCAGGTGGATCTTTAATAAAAAATTTTTTATTCAACTCAAACAAAAAACTCACTGAAAAGAATATGTGTATATCAGTAAGAAATGTTTTACAACAATATAAAATAAACGTTTTACCTTGGTTCTGGTTTTGAAGTGCTGAACATTTTTCTAAACAACTGACAGGGGTAAAGACTTCATTGTAGTCCATGTGGGTGTATAAACTGACCTCCTCTACTTCAATTTGGGAGTCTGGATTTGAACTTGGAACAACTTCCTCAAATTCACAATTAATCTGGGTCACCATTCTTGTAATTGTTTTTCTGTGACAATATAAAATTACTAATGTTATGTATGTCCTATTTTAAAACACTTTTATTAGTAGATAATATATGTCCACTGTGGAAAAAATTATCAAATTCCAACAGACACAGAGAAGAAACATCTATATTCCCATCATTCAAGATAAATATAAAAAGTATGTAAATTTCTCAATTAAAAAAATCTTTAAACAATAGTGGACTAATGACAACAGTATTCTATAACCTGTTCTTTTCTGTAAAAAAAATGAAGAATGAACACATTTACATGTCAATCAATGTACATTCACCTAATATTTGAATGGATAAACAGGGTATCAGTAAATCATAATTTATTCAACCAATTCTCTATTGTTGGAAATTTAAGTTTGTTATAATTGCTTGCTATTATAAGCAACAATGCAAAGAACATCTATATGCACTAATAATCTGAAATATATTTCTTCAAAACAGAAATGATAAAGTTAAAAGTATACAGATTTTTAGGTTTTGCCACACATTGCCAAACTGCCCTTGTGCTAGATATTCAATGTCGTTCCTCAATAAAATTACCCAGCCTTTTATGTTCTGTTCCGTAACCTGGGAAGCTAACCTCTATGAACTAACCAAGATTCCTTGTTCTCTGGCTTCTAGATGGGTTCAGCCATGGAAAGCACTGGCAGAAGATCAAAGGTGAGGGAGACAGGTTGGAATATTATTCCTCCCAAATACTTCTCTGTTAGGCCACAGCTTGGAATTGGCTGCACTCTTCCACCAAAAGTTACATCTTTTGTCAGACAGCCCTACTCCTGTAGTTCTTACTAGGTTGGTAACTGCCCAGGCACCTTGTTCCTTCAACCTTAGGGTGGTAACAACTTTGTAACCGCCCAACGGGTTCACCTTGCCCGCTGCCTAGACAAAGCTGATTTATCAAGACGGGAATTGCAATGGATAGAGACGCAGAGCCAGCTGTGCGGGACACCGGTCTTTTATTATTACTCAAATCAGTCTCCCTGAGCATTTGTGGATCAGAGTTTTTAAAGACAATTTGGCAGGTAAGGGCTTGGGAAGTGGGGAGTGCTGACTGTTCAGGTTGGAGATGGAAATATAGGGGGTGGAAGTGAGGTTTTCTTGGGGTCTTCTGCTCCTGGGTGGGATCGCAGAACTGGTTGAGCCAGATTACCAGCTAGGTGGTATCAGCTGATCCATAGAGTGCAGGGTCTGCAAAATATCTCAAGCCCTGATCTTTGGTTTTACAATAGTGATGTTATCCCGAGGAACAATTTGGAGAGGTTCAGACTCTTGCAGCCAGAGGCCGCATGACTCCTAAACCAAAATTTCTAATCTTGTAGCTAATTTGTTAGTCCTACAAACGCAGTCTGGTCCCCAGGCAAAAAGTGGGTCTTTTCAGGAAAAGGCTATTATCAATTTTGTTTCAGAGTCAAATCATACACTAAATTCCTTCCCAAGGTTAGTTCAGCCTACACCCAGGAATGAACAAGGACAGCTTAAAGGTTCGAGGCAGGATGGAATCAGTTAGGTTTGATCTCTTTCACTGTCATAATTTCCTCAGTTACAATTTTTGCGAAGGCGGTTTCAACTTCCTACTGTTGCTAGTCCTGAGGACATCTTTTTGGCTCTTTTAACCTTGCCCTTACCTGTTTCCTGATTGATAACAGGTATATCTGTATCATACCATTAGAATGGCTGGCATTACAAGAGATCTTCCAATAGATAAATATATTATTGGCAACTTAGTTATACATCCTAATATATGTTTTTCCTAATATCCTGGAATATTTCAGCCCTAATAATACCCTTGTACAGACTGAAAGAAACAAAATCAATATAACTCTCCAATATAATTGGAGAAAAGACCAATTGTGTCATATCTTAAAATCATAGGTGGAGAAAGCTTTAGAATTTATCCTTTACTCTAAGAAAATACAAAGTAGAAGAAAAAATATTTTAACTCTTCCATGTCCATATTATTCATTAAGATCATTGATTCCTATGTGGATCGTTATATACTGAACTTAGTGCTTACATAGGTGCTGTCTTTTTAAAATAAATGTTGCTGACAGGGTCAGCACTCTATAGCAATAATTGGTACTACAGTTTTGAGACTACCTAGTCAATTTTCTTTCTGTAGATATACAAGATCTATGAAGATCAGTGTTTCCTGGCTCTCCTCATCCACCTCCCTGTCCAATATATTTATTCTGTTTTCACTGGTGCCTCCTCCTTTGCATAACCTGTGGACACTGGTCTTTTCCAGGTTTCTACTCTAAATTATCTTTGCTTTTCTTCTATATCATTCTTTTTGAGTAAGTTCATCTACTCCTATTCATTCATTTGCAAACTTAACAAAACTATTTATTGAGTGTCTACAATGTGCTAACACCATTCTAGATGCTGGGAATGGGGTGGTAAACAAAACAAAGTTCTTTCCTTCATGGAGCTTATCTGCTAAAAGGAAGATAGACAAATAAGTATATAATATAATTTCAGGTGGTAAAAAAATGTTATGAATGGGCTGGGCACAGTGGCTCACGCCTGTAATCCCAGCAGTTTTGAGAGGCTGTGGTGGGTGCATCACCTGAGATCAGGAGTTTGAGACCATCCTGACCAACATGGTGAAACTCCATCTCTACTAAAAATACAAAAAATTTAGCTGGGGGTGTTAGTGGATGCCTGTAATATCAGCTACTCGGGAGGCTGAGGCAGGAGAATCACTCAAACCTGGGAGGTAGAGGTTGCAGTGAACCAAGGTCACACCACTGCACTCTAGCCTAGGTGACAGAGAGAGACTCTGTCTCAAAAAAAAAAAAAAAAAAAAAGAGACAGAGAGAGAGAGAAAGTACTGGTGGGGAATGGTGGCTCACACCTGTAATTCCAGCACTTTGGGAGGCCAAGGCGGGTGGATCACTTGAGGCCAGGAGTTTGAGACCAGCCTGGCCAACATGGTGAAACTCCATCTCTACTAAAAATACAAAAATTATCTAGATGTGGTAGTGCATGCCTGTAATTCCGGCTACTCAGGAGGCTGATGTACAAGAATCACTTGAACCCAGGAGGCGGAGGTTGCAGTGAGTTGAGATTGCACCACTGCACTCCAGCCTAGGCGACAGAGCGAGACTCTGTGTCAAAAAAAAAAAAAAAAAGAGAGAGAGAGAGAGAGAGATGAAGCACAGATACATGTGACAACACGGATAAACCCTGAAAACATTATATTAAGTAAAAGAAACCAATCACAATAAAAGCACATATTGTATGATTCCACTTATGTGAAATATCCAGAATAGGCAAATCAACAGACAGAAAGTAGATTCTGATTCAGTTAGTCCGTTTTGGAGCCTGAGATTCTGCATTTCCAATCTATTTCTAGGTAGTGTTAATGCTGCCAGTCCAAAGGCCTACTTTGAGTAACAAGATGCGAGATGATCTCTAAGATCTTTTTTCACCTTATGAAACAATAATTTAGTTTTCACCAAACTAGCCTAATTATTGCCTTTGCTAAACACTTATTGCATATTCCTGTGTCTATGCCTGGAGACATGCTGTTTCCTCTGCCCAAAATGCTTTCTCTCAAGTTAATTTCTCTTTGATTGCCCAGCCCAAGCTCAATTCCTACTTCTGTGAAGCTGACCTCTCCTAGTTATAAATGCACAGCTCTACCAATCTAACTCATAAGGTGAAAAGACATCTTAGAGATCGTCTCGCATCTTGTTACTCAAGGTAGGTCTTTGGACTGGCAGCATCATTACCACCTAGAAATAGATTAGAATTGCAGAATCTCAGGCTCCAAAACAGACTAATTGAACCAGAATCTGCATTTTAATAAGATCCTCAGGGGATTCATATGTACAGTAAAGTTTGAGAAGCACTGATCCATCATCATCATACTGATAAAATGAGGGTCACAGGTAAAATGACCAGCAAAGTAGTTAGCACTTGACTTTTCCAGTCAAGGCTTAAAAGCTACATATTTTAATTCATAGTGCAGAGCTTTTTTCACTATGCCTTTCTGCTTCCTCGCTGCTAGGAGTTTACTCATATGATACATACTTCTAATTGGCTATATGCCTTGTAATAGACTTTATGTTGGTCATCCTATATTACCATTTAATTCTTGCATTGTTAATTTTTTCTATGTTTATCTATTATTTTCCTAACCTGACTTTAAATTCCTAGGTGACAGAGATGGTATATTGGGCTTCACTGTATCCAGAGTCTAGACACCTTTCAATGTTTTTTTGTTTCTTTTAAGCACAACTAAGGAAAATTTAAATTACAGAAACTTGAAAATGTGAATAATAACAAAATCTCTCCTAGGCTGGATCAGCGTTCTGTGCATGAAGTGAAGCAACAGAGTAAATTATTAAATTGCACCAAAATCTCTACTTTATGCCTACGTTTACAATGTAGAACAGGTTAGATGTTCCTCCTCATATTATGCTCTGGGTGCCTATCTCTGTCATTGTACTTTGCACATTGTATTGTAATTATTTCTTTATAAAACTCTATTCTTTGTTTTCTTGTGTTCTTTGAAGGTTAAGACAATGTCTTATTCATTTTTATATCTGTATCTAATATATAGGATGATAATGAATATTTGATGAATGCTTAAATAATAAATAATGTTTTGACCAAATATATTACAAAATAGCCTTAAATCTGTATTTATAACATAGGTGGAAAAAAGACTAATTTTAATATAAAGGACTTTTTATAGCTACTTTCTACAGAAAGTTTACTAATTGATAAACTAATTGAAAGTTTACTAATTAAAAAAGAAGATATAAGTCACTCTTATTAACCACTCCTTTGTGGTTCAAATTAGGACCTTTTCTTCAGATAAAAGAAGAAAATCCATGAAGAGATAAAGGAAGAGATTTTCCCTCTTTAGGTATCTGGAGAACTTACTGTTTATCTTCTACTAGATGTAAAAGAGAAATTTGAGATTAAGGATACATACTTCTCAAGGAAATCCTCCACAAAGAAACTTGCTTTCCATTGGTCCAAGACTGAGGTATCTGTCATTCCCGGAACTGAAACAGCTGAGACTAGAAAGGATAATAGTTAACATTAATGTCTAGAATTTTCTTTTACACTTAATTCAAGGAAGCCAAACATTCACCTTTTACATTATGATTTTATCTTTATTTATTCACAAATGTATTTTTTCAAAGTGATACCTGATTCCAAATATTTGAATAGTCATCCTCATTATCATCAACCTACCCCCGCCCCTCAATCAACTACAGTTAGAACAATATCACCTGAACATATCACCCTCATTTTATAGCCTCTCTTTTGCTTATACAGCACTACCATCCCAAATAGTCCCTTTCAACTGCTCATGCTATACCTCATGAAGCTTCTATTAACCATTCCAGCTCAAGCTGATACATTCTCCTTGAAGGGCCATAATATTGTCAGTAGCACTTGGGTACTCAACCATATACAGTCCTATATTTAAAATTGTAGGCGGCACGTAGTGGCTCATGCCTGTAATCCCAGCTCTTTGAAAGGCTGAGGTAGGCAGATCACTTGAGGCCAGGAGTTCGAGACCAGCCTGGCCAACATGGCAAAACCCCATCTCTACTAAAAATACAAAAATTAGCCGGGCATGGTAGTGCATGCCTCTAGTCCCAACTACTTGGAAGGCTGAGGCAGGAGAATACCTCGAACCTGGGAAACAGAGGCTGCAGTGAGCAGAGATTGTGCCATGGCACTCCAGCCTGGGCACCTGGGTGAGAGTGAGACTCTGTAAATAAATAAATAAATAAATAAATAAATTTGTATGTGTACATAGCTTATCTCCCAAATTAGACCTTTGGTTCCTTAAGGAGAAAGACCATGTCATATACTACTGTCAGAATATACAACTGAGTATTCCACCTACCACCAGTGTTACTTCTTACTAGTTTTGTTACCTTGAACAAATCATTTAACATCTAAGCCTGTGCCTCATTGAAAAACATGAAAAAAAATACAAGAGTTTAGTGGTACTTTGGGAGGCTGAGGCAGGTGGATCATGAGGTCAGGAGATCCAGACCATCCTGGCTAACACAGTGAAACCCTGTCTGTACTAAAGATAGAAAAAAATTATCCAGGCGTGGTGGTGGGTGCCTGTAGTCCCAGCTCCTGGGGATGCTGAGGCAGGAGAATGGCATGAACCCGGGAGGCGGAGCTTGCAGTGAGCCAAGATAGCACCACTACACTCCAGCCTGGGAGACAGAGTAAGACTTCATATCAAAATAAAAAAAGAAAAAAAGTTTAGTGGTTAAGAGTACAGGTTCTGGAAACACTCTGCCTAGATTTTAATCCTTGGACTGCTACTTATTATCTATATGATCTTGGGTAAACATCTCAACCTTTTTGCACCTCTGTTTTTTTTATGTACAAACTAGGAAGAATAGCCTTTTCAGAGTGTCGTTGTAAAGATTAAATGTAATGTGGCATGCAAACTGCTTAGAACACTTTAGGTTCCATAGCCAGTCCCATAACCATTGCTTTCAAAGAGTCTTGATTCTCTTGCCTCTCTTTCTCTTGTACTAACTTAGAACAACCCCTACTCTACACTTTCTGTGTATGTACACTAAAACAGTTGAAAATTACTGGAAAAAAAATCACCCAGCCGTGCTAAAGGAACTCATTCCAAATTATGACTACAAATTTCAAATGGCCACCCAACATTGACAGATGATAATAGTATACCCCTTAATAAAACTGGCTTTCTTGACCACAGATGAGGTCTAAAAAAAAAACAAAAACAAAAACAAGAAACAAAAACAAAACTGGCTTTCTTGCTCTTTAAGACAGCTAATTCACATATTACCCCTTCAAATCTTTAGTGTCCATTCCATTATCCACTTTCAGTGTATGATCTTACCTTCACATAGAAAACTGATACAGAGAACTACCTCATTTTCCACCACCAATTCTACCAACTTACTGGCATAAGTACCTGCAAACTCTATCTTCCTATCTACACAGGGGAAGAATTATTTTAGTTCCTACTGAATACTAACTTCTCTAACTGTGCTCTTGATCCTATCCCCTTTTACTCCTGTTATCCTTTTTCTTTCCTGCATCATCTTATTCTCTTTTTACCAAAATTGTTTCCATTGGCAAACATTTTACAGTCTCTCTCATCATGTATTTTTTAAAAATCACACATAAAAAACAAAAAAGAATAACTCTTTACTCCACTTCTCCCATAAGTTAGTCCATCATTTAAAAATTTTTCTTCATAGCAAAATTCCCCAAAATATTCAAATTCACTCTCTCACTTTCCCACTTCCCATTATCTTCTCAACATACTCCAATCATATTCCAATATATTCCTATCACACTCCAATTATATTCCAATCATATTAATAACCAATATTCCAGGCAAACCACTCTTATCAAAGTCATCAATGACCTACATTTAGTCAAGCTAATGGTCAACTCACTATCCTCACATAACTTGAGCTTTTAACAGGAGCCCAACACATTGGACTACTACTTCCTTCTTGAAGCACTTTCTTCTTTAGAATTCTATGCCAGAATCATTTGATTTTCCTATCTCGCTTCTTAGGTAACTCCTTTTACATCAGACTTTTAACTGTTAGAGTGTTCCAGGGCTCTGTCCTAGGTCTTCTAATCTATTTATACTCATGCTCTCAGTGACTTCATCTAGTTTCACAGGTTTATGTGTAATTTACATATTGAAAACTCCAATTTGAAGCTCTAGCTTGAGAAGCAGGTTCACTGTATACCGATTACCAACTTGTTTGAGTATGGTGAGACAGAATACCCATACACAGGAAGTTACATGAAGTAGATTTATTACTTACAGATAGGTAACAAGGGACAACAGAAGCCTAGGATTCATTGTGAACTGGTCCCGTAAGGCTCAGGAAAGCTGCCCAGGGCAAATGAAGTCTTCATATGCCACACTTGCACAGCAGCTGAAGAACCCCAGAAAGCAGTCCACCTGGGTTTGATGTTCTGAGATCAAAGGACGTGCTAGGCTAAAGCACTGAAGGACATCCTGTTTTGTGGGTGGGGGAAGACTGGCACAGAGAGTAGGCTGTTCTGGCCAGCTCCTCCTTTATCTCAGAATGTTGCATTCCCAGCACATTTTATAGTTATTCTTAAGAACTTCAAGTGAGGAAAGGAGGCCAAGGCCACCCAGAAAACTGTCCTGAGCAGCTGTGCTCAAGATTAATGTAACCAATTGCCTTCTTAATGATCCATTTAGATGCCTAATAATCTGGCCGAAGCACAGCTGTTGACTCTGACCACAAATTGGCTTCTCTATAAGCCTTTCCCTATTTTAGGAAATGGCACTGTCATCTACCTGGTTTCTCAGGTCAAAAACCTAGAAGAAAATCTTTATTCTTCTATTTTGTGACCCCCTCACTGTTGACAATTTGTAAAATAAGCTAGATTTTAAGTACATCTCACATCTCCGTTACTATAAGCCTTGTCCAAGACACTGTAATATTTTATCCAGAGTTTAGATTCTGGGCTACTACAATAGCTCCCTGATAGATTTCTCTGTCTCTCCTCTTGACTTTTAAATCCCCACCCTTTCTATTCTCCAGACAATCATAACTATCTTTCTACAGCATAAATCAGGTTATATCATTCCCTTTCTTAAAATTGTCCAGTGACTTCCCATATCCACAATTGTCTTAGTCAGTCTATATAGCTATAACAAAAATATCATAGACTCGGTGGCTCAAACAACAAACATTCATTTCTCATAGCTTTGGAGGCTGGGAGGTCCAAGATTAAGGCACCAGAAGATTCAGTGTCTAGTGAGGGCCCACTTCCTGGTTCATGGGTGGCTGTCTTCTTGCTGGCCTCACATGGCAGAAAGGTCAAGGGAGCTCTTTGGGGTCTCTTTTATAAGGGTACTAATCCCTTTCATGAGGACTCCATCCTCATGTTCTAGTCACCTCCCAAAGGCCCCACCTTCAAATATAAATTTGGGGGGACACAAACATTCAGTCTATTGCAGCTGTAATCAAAATAAACAAACAAACAAACTCACTGTTATGGCCTACAAAGCCTTATTCGGAAATTGCCTACTTCTCAGTCCCTTTTTCATTACCCAGTCACAATAGCTTAATTTTCTGGTCCTTACACACATCAAGTTCGTTCTTGAGTCAGGAACTTTGCATTTGCTTGAAGGGCTTTTCCCCCATATTTTTCATGGTTGTTGCTTTCCCATGATTCAGGTCTCAACTCAAATGTCCTCCTCCTGAGAGAGACATTTCCCTAACTATCTTAGGAAATAGCACTCCCTACTCCCGCAATTTCATATCACTTAGCATTACTGTCTCTTCTCTATACATTTATCAATATCAGATACTAGTTTATATATTTAATGGTTTTGTTGCTGTATCCTCCTTACCAGTCTAAAACCCACTGAGAGCAGAGACTACTTCTATGTCTTTTAAGTACTGTGTCCTTAGTACTTATAACAGTGCTTGGTACATAATATATACCAAGTAAATGCTGTTAACCGACTTGACTCCTCCAAGGATGCTACTTCTTTACTAGTCCATGACTTGATACAAACAAAAAACTATTTTATACATATATGCTTAAAAATAATTTTATATTCGGTGTGCCATTACAACTTGAAGTAGGCCTCAGATAGTCAAGAAAAATTCTATTATAATAAAACAAATGTTTACAATGTTAGACTATTTTAAGTCTTCATCATCTACATATCTTTTATTTGGTTTATTCATATCAAATATAAGCTTTCCAATTCCTTATTTAGTTACCTAAATTCTATAATAAAATACTAAGTTGTTAACTTCTTGGAATTCTGACATGAGTAGATGCAATGAGTTTTTAATTAGTAAAACATTGCATATTCTTAATAATTTGCTGTGCTAAACTCTGAAATGGCTTTTAAAACACATTTTTAAGAAATGAAAACAAACATACCTCTCGTCCATGGCCTCCTAAATTTATTATCAGTAACTGCTACATGGTAACTTTCATCTTGATATAAACATGAAGGGATTCGAAGCAATAAAGCATCTCTGTAAAACTTCTTTCTAACCACATTCTGTGGAAGAAAGAAAGATTAGAAAATCTTTTAACATGTACTATTTATCAATATTCAGAATATATTAAAATTCTCTATACTTTGAAACTTATATGATTTTTCTTTAAAAGTAATACATGCTCCTTATAAAAAACAGGCATACCTAATCCCAGCACTTTGGGAGGCCCAGGCGGGCAGATCACAAGGTCAGGAGATTGAGACCATCTGGCTAACACGGTGAAACCCCATCTCTACTAAAAATACAAAAAAATTATCCGGGCGTGGTTGTGGGCGCCTGTGGTCCCAGCTCCTCAGGAGGCTGAGGCAGGAGAATGGTGTGAACCCGGGAGGTGGAGTTTGCAGTGAGCCGAGATCGCGCCACTGCACTCCAGCCTGGGCGACAAAGTGAGACTCCGTGTCAAAAAAACAACAACAAAAAAAACAGGCATCCCTCACTTTATTGTGCTTTATTCTATTGTGCTCTGCAGATTTTTTTTTTTTTTTTTTTTTTTTTACAAATTGAAGCTTTGTGGCAACCCCATGATGAGCAAATCTGTCTCTGCCATTTTTCCAAAAGCATGTGCTCACTTCCTGTGTCACATTTTGGTAACTGTCCCAACATTTGAAACTTTTCCGTTATTATTCTATATGTTATGATAATCTGTGATCAGTGGTCTTTGATGTTAGTTACCATTGTAATTGTTTGGGGGTGGCATGAACTGCACCATATAAGACAGCAAATTAATTGATAAATGTTGTGTGTATTCTGACAAAACAGCCTTCTGTTAGAAGAAGATGCCAACGAGGACTTTCATAGCTAGAAAGAAGTCAATGTCTGTGTTCAAACTTCAAAGGACAAGCTGACTCTCTTGCTAGAAGCTAATGCAGTTGGTGATTTTAAGTTGAAGCTAATGCTCATTTACCATTCTGAAAATCCCAGGGCCCTTAAGAATTATACTAAATCTACCCTGTCTATGCTCTATAAATGGAATAACAAAGCCTGGATGATGGCACATGTATTTACAACATGGTTTACCGAATATTTTAAGCCTATTGTTGAGACCTACTTTTGGGGGAAAAAAAAGATTACTTTAAAAATATTACCGCTTGTTGATAATGCACCTGGCCACCCAAGAGCTCTGATGGAGATGTACAAGGAGATTAATGTTTTCAAATATGTATTCTGCAGCCTATGGATCAAGGAGTCATTTCAACTTTAAGGTCTTATAGAAATAAATACATTTTGTAAGGATATAGCTGCCATAGATGGTGATTCCTCTGATAGATCTAGGCAAAGTCAATTGAAAACCTTTGAGAAGGGAGAACCATTCTGGATGCCATTAAGAACATTCGTGATCATCAGAGGAGGTCAAAATATCAACATGAACAGAAGTTTGAAAGAAGTTGATTCCAACCTGCATGGATGACTTTCAGGGATTCAAGACTTAAGTGGAGGAAGTACATAACTATAGAGGTGATAGAAATAGCAAGAGAATTTGAATTAAAAATGGAGCCTGAAGTTGTGGTTGAATTACTGCAATCTCATGATAAAACTTGAACAGATGAGGAGCTGCTTCTTATGGATGAGCAAAGGAAGGGGTTTCTTGAGATGGAATCTGCTCCTGGTGAAGACACTGTAAACATTGTTTAAATGACAACAAAGGATTCAGATTATTCCATAAACTTAGTTGATAAAGCAGCAGCAGAGTTTGAGAGGATTGAGTCTAATTTTCAAAGAAGTTCTGTGAGTAAAATGCTATCAAACAGCACTGCATGCTACAGAGAAATCTTTGGTGACTGAAAGAATCAATGTAGCAAACTTCATTGTTGCCTTAAGAAATTGCCACAGCCACCACTCTGATCAGTCAGCAGCCGTCAACTTCAAGGCAAGATGCTCCACCAGCAAAAAGATTATGACTCACTAAAGACTCGGGTAATTATTTATTATCATTTTTTAGCAATAAAGTATTTTTCAATTAAGTTATGCCCATGGTTTTTTAAGACATAGTGCTACTGCACTTAATGGACTATAGTATAGCATAAACATAACTTTTTTTTTTTTTTTTTTTGAGACAGAGTCTCGCTCTTGTCGCCCAGGCTGGAGTGCAGTGGCGTGGTCTCGGCTCACTGCAACCTCAGCCTCCCGCGTTCAAGCTGCACTCCAGCCTGGATGACACAGCGAGACTCCATCTCAAAAACACAAAAACAAAAAAATGAGAATAAAAAAAAAAAAGCTATTCTCCTGCCTCAGCCTCCTGAGTAGCTGGGATTACAAGCGCCCACCACCATGCCCGGCTGATTTTTGTACTTTTGGTAGAGACAGGGTTTTGCCATGTTGGCCAGGCTGGTCTCAAACTCCTGATCTCAGGTGATCTGCCCGCCTCAGCCCCCCAATTATAAACATAAATTTTATATGCACTGGGAAACCAAAAAATTCTCATGACTGACTTTATTGTGATATTTGCTGTTGCTGAGGTATGCCTGTATCAGATAACACAGAACCACATAACTGAGAAAGTCAAGGCCCCTTGTAATATCAGTAGTAGTTTGATGTATTTTCCTACAGATATTTTTTCTAGGTTAAGCTAAAATATATGTGTAAGTACTTGACAAAAAACGGGATGACATCATTTACATATCACTTAGCAATGTGCTTTTTTTCACTAAACAGTATAATGTGGATGCTTAACTTTCATTTATCTTTGCATTATTTCCTTTGTTACAACCAGCAAATTCATTTCTAATTTTTAAAAATATATCTAATAAAGGGAACTGTTTCTTTAAAGGAATGTTAAATCAGTTAATAAGTTTGTAAATGAGTCAGTGTTCTCTTTAATTTGGCTCTGCCTTTACTTTCCAACTTTATCTTCCATTACTCTAGTCTCTCTAAATAGACTAGTCTCTTCACTACCTCCCTTAACGTTCAGTGGTCACTCGCTGGTTAACACCATGGTCTACACTGTACCTCTGAAAACGCCCTGTTATTCTTCTCTATCAAGATCCAACTCATCTTTCAAGGCCCATCTTAAACAATATCTCTTCTATGAAGCCCTTCCCCAGTGATTCTAATTTCTCACATAATTCATTATTCTATGTATTTGGACAAATGATAATTTCTTGCATTATTCTCAAGACTTTAATGTTTGCTGAAGGTGTTATAACATATTAAATAAGAAGTCCTTATTATCCAAGGATAAGTGGTAAAGAGAAAAAGATTACTTAAGGTAATTTATATCAAATAAGGACCAAAGATTCACAGTAAATAGGAAAAAAAAGTTGATTAGTATTTAATCTAAAAAATGAAAGTTATAAAAAGTTTTATAACAAAATTTCATTTATAGTTATAAATATTACTTTTTGTTATAATTTTCCCACAAACTGTATTATATAATGATATGCATGATACTACTCATTGCTTCACCTTTGATCATGAAAAAGATATTTTTAGAAAATGTTTGAAGATTTTAAGTTTTTTTAAGTTTTTTTTAAGATTTTAAAATTTCAAGGCATCTCTGACTCCTTTGATATTCAAACCATTCTCTTCCTCTTGTCTGTCAACTGATCTAATTTTGCATGAACTTCATAATATCTTTACTTGTTATTTGAGCGGTTCCTCAACACCATTTTCATGAACTTGACCAAGTCCTGCATCTTTTGCAAGATTTGCCATTGATTAGTATAGCGTTTGTATTATATCACGGACTGTTGGATACCAGCAGAAACCAAAATATCGTGGGCAAAAAAAAGTTTCAGGATGTTTGAATACAGACTAATTTTGCAAGTGGCCAATACACATATTTTGTTATGATGACTTTTGATTCCTACCATGGATATCTTTTAACTACACATTTGCTTCTCTCAGTTATGAGGGAATAATAAAACCAGAAGATGCCTGCATGTCTTTCTTATTTCCTGTAAAATGTAGCACAGTTTTATTATACTGGAGTAATTTTTTTCCTTGGTAGATGGGGTCAGTGTTACAAAGAAAAAAATTTAACTTGTCAACTAAGATCATAAGAACAACAGACTGTTGCATGACAATTGTTCTAGTTAGTTTCCTAACAACGTGTCTGGGCTTGAAATTTAGCTCTGACAATTATAAAAGCTATTTAACTTATCTGGAAACTAGTTTTCTAACCTATAAAATTGTAAAACCTGTAAAATAATAGTATCTGCCTCATGAAGTACTTATGATGATAAAATCATAGTAGGATGGTGCAAAAGTAATTGTGGCTTTTGCCATTACTTTTAATTAACTAATGGCAAATTAACGGCAATTACTTTTGCACCACCCTAATATAATCCATCAGAAGGGCAAAGTATCTGTCCCACAGAAAGTGGTCAATGCATGCTATTAGTATGATTTTATAGAGATAACTGGGATTCTTTTTTCTCCACTCATTTCAAGAAAGATCATTCCAGATTGTTAGCAAAATCACCCCACACTTGTCAAGAGTTTCCATTTTTTTCTCCTGACAGCTTTGGATTCATTTTAATTGTTTGATTATTTTAATTTAATAATTTCCTTCCAAAAGTGGCTTTTTTTTTGAGACGGAGTCTCACTCTGTTGCCCAGACTGGAGGGCAGTGGCGCAGTCTCGGCTCACTGCAACCTCCACTTCCCAGATTTCAAGTGATTCTCCTGCCTCAGCCTCCCAAGTAGCTGGGATTACAGGCGCCCACCACCATGCCCGGCTAATTTTTTTGTATTTTTAGTAGAGACAGGGTTTCACCATGTTGGCCAGGCTGGTCTCGAACTCTTGACCTCATGATCCACCCGCCTCGGCCTCCCAAAGTGCTGGGATTACAGGCGTGAGCCACCGTGCCCAGCCAAAAGTGGCATTTTAAAGACATTAAATGTGGAAAATAATTTTCAATAAATCTAAAAGTAATTAGACTAATAAACAATCTAAGGATTACTGCAAAATTATCATATACAAGTTGAGCATCCTTAATCCAAAAATTTGAAATCCAAAATCCAAAACTTTTTGAGTGCCAATATGATGCCAATGGGTGGTGAAGATACTGGCACTTTTGCTTTTTGATGGTTAGTTCAGTGTACACAAACTTTGTTTCATGCACAGAGTTATTTAAAATATTGTATAAAATTACCTTCAATCTATGTGGATAAGGTGTATATAAAATATAAATAAATTTTGTGTTTAGACTTGGGTCTTATCCCCAAGATATCTCATTTTATATATATAAAAATATTCCAAAATCTGAAAAAAAATCAGAAATCTGAAATACTTTTGATCCTAAGCATTTCAGATAAGGGATACTCAACCTATATTGAATGTAGTTAACACTTCTTACATCATAATTCTCAGTAAATAGACAGTAAGCCACTAACACTCTACCTCATATAAATAGTCTATTGCATGATATTTCAATGCTGAAAACATATCTTCTTTCTTTCAAAGCAGTGTAAATTTCAACATCTGGAAATACAAAAATTAAAATTAAACACTGGTAAAATAGCAAGTCAAGTGCAGAAAATCTCAATCACAAAACTTTGGTTTACTCATTTTTAAAAAGGCTCTGAATGATAATCATTGGTAAAAATAATATACATTACTATAATTTTAAATCTAATATGAAAATAATGTATATTGATAGAAAATTGAATAATTTCTTATTGTTTAAATCATATAGCTGTTAGTTGGTTGGTGGAAATATATTTAATGTGATCATTTTGTTGCAAAAGAGGTTGAAATTTACAAGATTGCCGGAGTGGTGTAACCATATTTCTCAAGTGGTCTTGAGAATAACCATATTTCTCAAGTGGTCTTGAGAATAACCATATTTCTCAAGTGGTCTTGAGAATAACCATATTTCTCAAGTGGTCTTGAGAATAACCATATTTCTCAAGTGGTCTTGAGAATAACCATATTTCTCAAGTGGTCTTGAGAATAACCATATTTCTCAAGTGGTCTTGAAATTGGGTAACCAAGGGCAGAACTCTGTGCTGAAACAGTGGAGGATTTGGAAAATTGGGAAACAATTTGTGAAACTGTTTCCATTCTCTTACTTAGAAAATAAGAAGCCTAAAGTTAGAATTTTCTAGTAGCTAGCTCATTTGGAATAAAGCAACTATGGCATATTGGTAAATCAGCAAATCCATCTAATGAAGCAATAAGTAAAATCTAGAATGCTTAACTAGTCCGGGATGGTTCTCATTTACTTGAGAACTCAAGGAATTACAGTTTTGAAGTTACTCTAGGACAGAGTAACTTCTGTGTAAAACTTTTAGTAAAAAACTAAAAACAAACTTTTAAAACAATCCAGGCCAGGCATGTTGGCTCACACCTGTAATCCCAGCACTTTGAGAGGCTGAGGTGGTGGATCACTTGAGGCCAAGAGTTTGAGACCAGCTTGGTCAACATGATGTAAAATACAAAAATACAAAATTTTTGTATCTCTACTAAAAATACAAAAATTAGCTGGGCGTGGTGGTGTGCACCTGTAGTCCCAGGTACCCGAGAGGCTGAGGCACGAGAATTGCTTGAGCCTGGGAGGTGGAGGTTGCAGTGACCCAAGATCACACCACTGCACTCCAAACTGGGCAACAGAGCCAGACTCTATCTCAAACCAAAAACAAAAACAACCCAGAGCACAATTATTTTATTTGTTTAATGACTCAGAAGGATTTTTGGATATTACAATATGTTTTCCAATTAAAATGAGACAAATATGTTATCTGAATTGTCTTTAATATTGTTAGATTCTGTGGTGTGGAGAATATATAGTGTGGCCACCCTCTTTCACTCTTAAACAGGACCAACGTGGGCATTATTTTACTGGTGGTTACTTTTCTGAGAATATTTCCAATCATTGCACCTCTATGTCTTTTCCACCCAGTGTATCACTGATCTTTTTTTTTTTTTGAGACGGAGTCTCGCTCTGTCCCCCAGGCTGGAGTGCAGTGGCCGGATCTCAGCTCACTGCAAGTTCCGCCTCCCAGGTTCACGCCATTCTCCTGCCTCAGCCTCCTGAGTAGTTGGGACTATAGGCGCCCGCCAACACGCCCGGCTAATTTTTTGTATATTTAGTAGAGACAGGGTTTCACCGTGTTAGACTGGATGGTCTCGATCTCCTGACCTTGTGATCCGCCCGTCTCGGTCTCCCAGAGTGCTGGGATTACAGGCGTGAGCCACCGCGCCCGGCCTGTCACTGATCTTTCAAGCAAATATTGATTCTAGAACTTCCATTTCTTGGTGTTGCACTTTCAGAAAAAACTGATTGTCTCATTCTAAAAGCCATTGCAAAAAGTTAACAACAAACTCAACTTTACTGACTTTACCCATTCAGCTTATTGTCAGCATTTATATTAACTTTTCTTTTCTTGTGAAGCCTAGTATTTCTATCACTCTCACCAATTACCTTAAGAAATAATTACTTTTGTATTGAAGTCAACCACTGAAATTCATGCTAAATATGTACTACTTAATAAGATGCCATATGTTATATACATGCTTAGAATCCCGTTTATCAAGTTTATTTCATTGTAATACAGATATCGAATCCATCTAATAGTGGTGGGTGGAAGCAAAAACGATACATTGCTCTTATTTCTAAAACCAAAGATATGAGGAAATGAACAAAATCATGGTTAGAGAGAGGGTAATTTAAAATTATCAAGTTTTGAATTGCAGCAATTCTCGAATTTTTTTTTTTTTTACCTTTTTCTAAAGATTTTATTTCTTTTGTGCTACTTCCTAACAAACATCTACTGGACTACTGGACCAAAATGGAAATGCACACGATAATGAGGTCAGGCACAAGGCCAGGAAGTAAGCTTTCCCAAGATGATGATGATGATGATGATGATTTAATTAATTAATCAAATAATTTTTTGAGACAGAGTCTCCCTCTGTCCCCAGGCTGGAGTGCAATGGTGCGATCTTGGCTCACTGCAACCTCCAGCTCCCGGGTTCAAGCGATTCTCCTGCCTCAGCCTCCCGAGTAGCTGGGATTACAGGCGGGTGCCACCATGCCCGGCTAATTTTTGTATTTTTAATAGAGACGGGGTTTCGCCATGTTGGCCAGGCTGATTTCGAACTCCTGAGCTCAGGCAATCCTCTCGCCTCAGCCTCCCGAAGTGCTGGGATTACAGGCCTGAGCCACCATATGCCAGGCCCCAAGATTATTTAAAAGCACTCACAGGTGAGTGTGAATCTTCGGGCTGGCTTCCCACCTCTCCCCACCAGCCTAAGGCATCAGGAGCTTTCTGCCTTCTTCACTCCCTCGCATAAAAACCCACTTAAAAAAAAAAAAATAATAAGATCCGCCGGAAGTGGTGGCTCACACCTGTAATCCCAGCACTTCGGGAGGCCGAGGCGGGTGGATCACTTGAGGTCAGGAGTTCGAGACCAGCCGGGTCAACATGGCAAAACCCCGTCTCTATTAAAAATATAAAAATTAGCCAGACGTGGTGGAGGACGCCTGTAGTCCCAACTACTCTGGAGGCTGAGGCAGGAGAATCTCTTGAACTCGGGAGGCAGAGGTTGCAGTGAACCGAGATCGTGCCACTGCACGCCAGCCTGGGCAACAGAGCGAGACCCTGTCTTAAAACAGACAAAAAAACGTAACATGGCAGAGAAGGCGAGGTGCACCTATTTTCCCTTATTGTTTAGCCCATACAACTTCTAGTTGATGGGCTGAAATCCCACCAGCATCTCTGAGACCTTCACACCTTCTATTCTCAGGTTAAGTGGACAGTGGGTCTGGGGTTTTGTCTCTACAGAGCCACATCGGCCGGGCCTCACAGATGCGTTTTCCAGAGATTCCTGAGCTGCCATACTTCTTTGGTCCCATACGACCTTTTCCTCCCCTCAGCCCTCAAAATCACCCTCTCTCCTGCCTCCAGCCTCTCAGGGCTCTTACCTGAGGTAAAAATCGCCTCCTGCATCTCTTCCTGGGGTAAAATTCCCGCCCGCTGGACACGTGACCACTGAGCCTGCACTCTGTGCTTCCATTGGCCAGACCAGGCCCCGCCCCTTGGGCTCCGGGCACTTCCGTCCGCGAGTGGGCACAGCCTAGGGAGGTAAGGATTGTGGGGATTCGAGGCTGCAGCCTGGGCAGCGCCGAGGTCCTCGGGAGTGAGCAGAACCCTCATAACACTGGGCGGAGTGTGACGGTGGAGAAGTCGGCGTGAGGCTAGAAAGAGCTGGTTGTGAAGGGTTGGGAAGACCCGGCAAAGCAGTCCGGACTTCTTTGGGAGTGGCGGCTCCCATGTTGTTAGCGAGGCCGGGCAAAACGCGGCAGGGTTAGCCGGAGGGCGAGGGCAGAAGCCTTTCAGAGGTAAGGGTGGGAGGATTTAGCAATCAGACAGATTCAGGGAAAGAGGAAGGCAAGAGAGAGGAGGCAAACGTGCCTCAGGGGTCTGGCTAGGTGTGGGTCATGGCTTGGTAGCAGAAGAACTTTTGAGGAGGGGCAGGAAGATACTGCTTTTCAATTGGCACATGTGGATTCTATACCTTAATTAAAGCCACTCCCTTACATACACACATTTAGGTATCGCCAGACTCGCCTGATGAGGAATAATTATTCTTTCCTCCATATTTCTTAACTCCTGTCTTTTCCATGAAACGGCTTGGCATTAAACTCCTTCCCAGAAGATTGCAAGAAGTAACATGCATTTATTTACTTTACTAACACATGGGTGTCTTTTGAGTTGATTGTTCAAATACTAATTGTGAAATGTCAGTGGATAAGTCACTTTATTTTCTTAAGTTACTTCCTTTATTTTGTACAGGTGTGTGCAGTTTGCTTCGGTTATATGGATTTAATGTTTGACAATAATCAGTTTTAAAGATATTCACCTAACATTGAAGTGCATTAATCATCCTGTGTTCTTGGATGTCTACCTTTTATTAAAATCAATTTTAAATTAAATATCTTTGTAAAAGTTACAAAAATTGGCCGGGCCTGGTGGCTCACGCTGTAATCCCAGCATTTTGGGAGGCTGAGGTGGGTGGATCACCTGAGGTCAGGAGTTCGAGACCAGCCTGGTCAACATGGTGAAACCTCATCTCTACTAAAAATACAAAAAAAAAAAAAAAAAAAAAAATCAGCCGGGTGTGGTGGCATGCCCCTGTAATCCCAGCTACTTGGGAGGCTGAGGCAGGAGAATCGCTTGAACCCGGAGGCGGAGGTTGTAGTGAGCCGAGATCATGCCACTGCATTCCAGCCTGGGGGACAGAGCAAGATTCCGTATCAGAAACAAACAAACAGAAAAACCAACAACAAAAAAAACCAAAAAACAAAAATAACACATGCTTATCCTTACTATAAACAGGAAAACCATCCAAAGATGTATACAGAGAAAGTAATCGCCATTCCCACCCCAACTCCCAGGTAACCAATATTAACAATCTGGGTTGATTCTTTTCACACTTTGTTGTATGTTCATACAAATTTATTCAGATATGCATGTACAACGTTGATTGGCTAATTATATTTAAAAATTATTACTTTTAAAAATAGCTGCATAATATTTTATAGTAACTACGTGCCATGATTTATCTAAACATTCCACTACTGATGGATTAACAGATTGTTTCCAATTTTTTGGAAACAATGACAAATAATGCTGCAGTAAGAATTCTTGGACATATGCTCTTGAATACTTTCTGTGGCATAGATTTGTTTTGGCTTGCTGGCTGAAATTGTAAGAGCATTTCAAATTTAATAAATATTGCCAATTTTTCCTTCCAAAAATGTATAGCAGTTTACATTAACAATACCAGAAAGGGGTCATCATTCTCCTGAATACCCAACAGTACTGAATATATTGCTCTTTAGAAATTTTTGCCAGGCTGATGCATGAAAAATTCTATCTTGTTTTAGTTTGCATTTCTCTGACTACTGCTGAGATTAAACATGTTTTAGATGTTTATGAATCCTTTGGATTTCTTCTTCCATGAATTGTCTAATTATGCATGTGGCTGTGTATGTGTGTATATGTGTATGCATCTGTATGTTTGTGTGTGTATGAGATCAAGTGATTTTCCTATTGGGTAGGTTGTCTTTTTGAAAATCTAGTGTAAAGGTGCATTAGTTAAAATCAGGCCTAGCTGTATAAATAACAGAAAATTCCAAAATAATATTAAATATATTTCTCTTTCATGTAAATGAAGTCCAGAGGTACAAAGGTTAAGGACTGATATGGCAGCTCTGCCCCACTAAGTCCTCTGGGTCTTAACTTCCTACCAGCTCATTTTTCTGCTATTTCTGTGTAGTGGTCCTTGTTTTCATGGTCTCAGGTGGCAGCTTCTGTTTCAGGAAGCAGGATGGAGGAAGGACTGTAAAGGAACAAAGGCCAAAGGCACAATGTCTCTTTATATATATGTAACTTAAATTGTAAAATATAATGTTCACATAGAAATATAATGTTTACACAGAAACTGTACCACAATGTATAGTTATAAAAATTATTTTAAGGAAATGTCCATGGAGCCTCCCCTCAAGTGAAGAAACAGAGCATTGGAATTTCAGAAGCCCGCTTTTCCTTTCTAATCACAACTCTCCCTAGAGGAAGTCTCCCTCTAGACCTAGAGATTACTATAATTCTGACTTTATGGTAATCATTGCCTTGCTTTTCTTTAAAGTGTTTCACCCAAGTATGCATTTCTAAATGACATAGTTTGCCTATTTTTGAATCTTGGTGTTTGTGTTACTTTGGTTCTTGCTTCTTCTATTCAGTGGATGTTTATTGTATATGATGATTCAATTTCATCAATTTCATTCGATGTATTATATATGATGATTTCAGTTATATATGATGATTATTAAATAGGATACAATAGTATCCTGTTGTATAAACATACTTCAATTTATCCATTCAACTGTTGATGGACCTTTGGATTATTCTAATTCTTGTATATTACAAAGAATGCTGCTACAATATCCTTGTACATGTATCCTAGTACACATACATGTTTCTCTGGAATATAGATTTAGGAAAATGTTTTGGATTATTGAGCATACATATCTTCACATTTATTGACTAACACCAAACTGTTTTCCTAAGTGATTATACCGATTCACCCATCAGTAATGTTTAACAGTCTGTACTGCTCTATATCCTCACCAACTCTTAGCAATTTCATACTTGAAAATGTTGAGATCTAGTAGATGTCTAGTTGCAGCAAAGGCTGGAAGATGCAGTGTTCATTCTGAACAGTTATGTGCATAGTTACTATTTGGAAATTCTATTATTAATATAAGAAAAAAACATATATTGGGAAATACACAGCAATCTCTGCCACATTCAGAATACTAACTTAAAAATAGCTGCCAGGCTGGGCACCGTGGCTCACGTGTGTAATCCCAACAATTTGGGAGGCTGAGGCAGGAGGATCACCTGAGGTCAGAAGTTCAAGGACAACCTGGCCAACGTGATGAAACCCTGTCTCTACTAAAAATACAAAAATTAGCCAGATGTGGTGGCAGGTGCCTATAATCCCAGCTACTCAGGAGGCTGAGGCGGGGAGAATCGCTTGAACCCGGGGGCAGAAGTTACAGTGAGCCGAGATTGTACCATTGCACTCCAGCCTGGGCAACAGAGTGAGACTCCATCTCAAAAAAAAAAAAAAAAAAAAATTAACCAAGTGTGGTGGCACGCACCTGTAATCCTAGCTACTTGGGAGGCTGAGGCAAGAGAATCACTTGAACTCTGGGGGGCAGAGGTTACAGTGAGCGAGATCATGCCACTGCACTCCAGCCTGGGTGACAGAGTGAGACTCTGTCTCAAAAAAAAAAAAAGAAAAAAAAGAAAAGAAAAAAAGCTAAATTTTTTTTAGCACTCATTATGTGCCAAGCACTATTCTAAACACTTTGCAACAACTCATAAGCTAGATAAATTTACAAATATTACAAACTCCAGTTTACATAAGAGAAACCTGGGGCATTGACCACTTAAGTCTCTTATCCAAGATGAGCTTGAAAGTATGAGACAGAGTTGCAAATCCAAGTAGCATGACTTCAGAGCCCAAACTCTGAATGAGATCATACACTCTCTAAAAGGAATATTTGCTCTTGAGTCATCCATGTTTTGTAAATGTTTTGTGTTTATTTTGGTGAATTTCTAAAGATAGTTTTCTTTCTATATTTACAGATAATTTTATCATATCCAAATCATGTTTTTTTCTTAGTAGATAATGTTTCTGCATCATTATTTCTAAAATTGTGCATATGATGAGAATCTTAGAACAACTGCTTTTCCCTATAAGTTTTAATTCACCATTATTTGCACCATTGTTATTTTGAACCTAAATGGAAATAAAACAAGTTGAAATAAAACACCCTTCAATATAAACTAAGATGAGGATGGGAAGGAGGAGAAAAATTCCTCTACTGTCCAGACCAATTCGACACATTTACGGAAATCTCTTGTAATAATATCAAACTTCATTATTGTACTCACACGCTGTGCTGTTAAGGCTATAGTAATAACATTTAATGTTTATTGAGAACATACTTTGTGCCAGACACAATACTAGGCACTGATGATGCAAAAAATAGGGAAAACAAATCTTTGCCTCCAAGAAGCTCACAAATCCTTGTCTGAGTTGCTCTTATTTTTCTTCTCTTTAGGTGATTCTAAACACTGCTGCCAGGATGATATTTCTAAAACAGCTAACTGTTTTTGAGTGGTATTCACTTCCCTGCTCAAATTGTTTCAGCTGTCACCACAGCATAACATCTGAAATCCTTAGCATGGAACAATACTCACTCAACCCCATTTATTGTGGAATCCTGAACCATTGGCCATTCTCTGAAAGAGATTCTCCCACTCCTAAGTCTTTGTTCCTGCTAATTTATTTTGTACTCTGATCACATGTTGAAATCCTACTTATTCTATACATTTTAGTTTAAATATTTCCTCTTCCCACTGACACTGTTAGTGAGAATCAGTGGTTACCTTTTGTCATTCCTACAATTTTTGTTAATATCCCACTTTGGGCACTTTTCATGTTTTGCATTATAATTTTTTTGTTCATGTCTGCCTTCCCCACCAGCCTTCAATCTTCTTGAGATTGTGGGCCATGGACCATGTCTTAATTATGTTTATGTAAGTAGCACAATGCCTTATCCAGAGTAAGCACTGTGATGAATATTTAATTTAATTCACTTCTTAACATCTGGCACTAGGTCATTTTGAAATAATGACTATCAATTTTTTTACACTTCCTGTTAAATGTAGGCTTTCAGTGTTTTTGCAGGAGCAATTGTGTGTGAAATATTACACACACACATATACATGCCTATGCAAAATGAACATGGTATGAATATAGCAGATAATCAGCTCAAGATAGAATTGCAAATTAGCTCAAACCAGATCATGCAGAAAATCTGGATATATGGAATGAAAAGTATTGCACAAATGTGTTGCATAAGTAATTTATTGTCTTCTGGCTGCTAATTTATAGGTGTAACCTCACATACTATCTTTTGATCGCCATTAAGGGACTGTTTTGCACCAATAGACTGAGAGCAAACATTTTAATACAACATATTCAGTCTAA
Organism: Homo sapiens; assembly: GCF_000001405.40. Lineage (NCBI taxonomy): Eukaryota > Metazoa > Chordata > Mammalia > Primates > Hominidae > Homo > Homo sapiens. The sequence goes on from NC_000009.12 coordinate 111,800,545, forward strand.
TTAAGCTGGATAATTACTGCTGGAGAAGAGCTATGGTAGCAACAGCATGTAAATAAATTTTTGCAAGTATAGAAGGGAAACCTAACATTTCATATTCATGTAGATTACCTCTTTTCAAATACAAGAAGACAAATGTTATTCTAGCCCGTTTTGGCAGTATTCATCTCCGTAAATACTATTACTTTTCTCTGTCCCGTATGTTCAACCCTTCAACATTTTTCTGGTTATGAACCATTTCACATATCGTATGCTTATTGGATCTTTTACACACATTGAAAAATTCAGGTAAGCTAAGATTCTTGCTGTAAACTTTACCCATGTGTAGACTTCACTTTGTAACCCAGAAGAAAGAGTGGTAATTGGGTCACCATTTCCATGGGAAAAGTAGAAGTACTAACGCCATACTTTCACCTCTCCCTGGGTAATATTTACCCTAAAACCCTGCACATTATATGGTTCAGTGAAGTTAAGCAATTTGCCCAGAAATACATAGGCAGATCGAGAACTCAGCTCTTCTGACTTCTATCCTGTGAGTTGTAGTTGTTTACTTATTGATTTATCCATCAATTATTTTTAAGCATATATTATGTGCAAGGAAATATGCTAGTTGGGGAGAGCAAATTGACTCTACTCTTTCAATGTGATAGGGAAAATAAACCATTTATATAAATATTATTCCCTAAGAAAATTAATGTTATAAGAGTATGGAAATTTTAAAAAGTACTTTATTATTTCCACAAATAAGTTACAGAGAAGCAAAAATTTGATCAGATAACTCATTTATTATTTCACCAGATTAACCACACCAATGGGAAGTCTAGCTGTTTGGACCACAAAAGCCACAACATAGCACCACTATGTACTTAATGGAAGGTGAACCAACTTGCAAAACAAATAACATCCAAAGGTCTAAACTGCAAATTCAAACTAGAATAAGTTATAATAAATGTCTCAAATATCCAGGGTAACAAAACATTATCCTTATAAAATGTGGAAAAACTATTATTTCTTTCTCTCACCAAAATAAGGCTTAATGTTGTTTAAGGTATCCTTGATTGCTTTTATGCCTTGTATTTAAAAATGAAGGAGATGGGCATTGGACTAAACTTGGGAAGAAGGATGTTACATTAATAATAATTTCATGGCCGGGCACAGTGGCTCATGCCTGTAATTCCAGCACTTTGGGAGGCTGAGGCAGGCCGATCACAAGGTCAGCAGTTCAAGACCAGCCTGGCCAACATAGTGAAATCCAGTCTCTACTAAAAATACAAAAAATTAGCTGGGCGTGGCGGTGGGCGCCTGTAATCCCAGCTACTCAGGAGGTTGAAGCAGGAGAATGGCTTGAACCCGGAAGGCAGAGGTTGCAGTGAGCGGAGATTGTGCCACTGTGTTCCAGCTTGGGCGACAGTGCGAGACTCTGTCTCAAAAAGTAAAAATAATAATTTCATATGCAAGAAAAGTCATTTTACGAAAAGCTGAAGGTAGACCTTTCCCATAAATAAAATGATTTTGTAAAACAATTCTCATAATTTTATATTTTTAATTTAGACTTAATCTTGTATCTCAGAATGTAAACTAACATGATTTTTGAATACCTACTATGTGCTCAGTATGTACAACTTCAGGAGAAAGACAACTTGTGTTGTCTCTTACAGGAAAGAAGAATAGCTAGAAACAGTAATGTTATTGACCACCAACTGACCATCTATTGATCATTTAATATACTATTGACCACCTTCTTTAACCTTCTTCTTTGTTTTCTGGCTTCCTGGATTATTTCACCTGTTCTGTGCCTGGGCTCTTTATCATCTTGGAAGAAAATAGCAAAACCAGGAAATCAGGCTCGTTAGTTACACTACAAATATATGCTGTGCATATATTTAGCACAGCATATATTTGTAGCTAGACCTTCAATGCCAGTTGTCAATCATTATTTCCCTTCATTTGTTATAGAGAGAGTGTGTTGGTATATGCCAGCAATATTCTAGGTGTGAGAAATAGAGTCTCAAACAAGACATTATCTATGTATTTATTTATTTAGAGACAGAATCTTGCTCTGTCACCCAGGCTGGATTGCAGTGGTGCGAGCTCAGCTCACTGCAACCTCCGCCTCCCGGGTTCAAGCGATTCTCCTGCCTCAGCCTCCCGAGTAGCCTGGCTAATTTTGTATTTTTAGTAGAGTCGGGGTTTCACCATGTTGGCCAGGCTGGTCTCGAACTCCTGATCTCAAGTGATCCGCCAGCCTCAGCTTCCCAAAGTGCTGGAATTACAGGCATGAGCCACTGCGCCCGGCCCTATCTCTATTTCTAAACAGCCCCTTATCATATTCTAACAACATCTAGACCAGTGGTTCTCAATTGGAGGTGAGTTTGTCCCTCAAGCGGACATTTGGGCATGTCTGAAGATGTTTTTCTTGTCAAAACTCGGGGAAAGCCAGCCTGGCTATGCGGCCCCCACCTGTTCCTGCTACTCGGGTGCGGCCTTCACCTGCCAGGCCCTTCCCCGCTAGCTTGGGGCAAGCAGAGTTGCATCCAGTGGAAATAAAGCCGTTCCAGGATTATTGAAAACTGAGTAGCAACCTTGGGGGTCCTGGGTCATCACATACTCCCCCAAATGGAAGGTCCTTCTCTGGCATCAATTCCCGTCTCAAGGCCCCGCCTTCAACCTACGGTGGTCCTCCCCTGAGTAAGGGTCTTCAGGCTCTATCACGGTGGTGGAGTCTTCCGCACCCAGCGCATCGACCTTCACCAGCAGGCCTCCCCACCAGATGTCCTCCGCTGGATGCCTAAGCCTTGGGAGCAACAGGGCCTCCTTGAGAAGAGCCTTCCCGCCGGGCAGAGGAGCTTGGGTCCCGAGGGGACAAGGAATCTGGGTTGCCCTCATCCCCAGAGCTTGTATATAGATTATAAATATGTAAGGGGGAAAGGGGTGGGTTGGGAGGGGTTGTAGGGCTGGAGACCCACTTCCCCTCCTCCCCGTTCCCCTGGTCCCCTGTCTCTGGGGATGTTTGTTAACAAAGAGTAATAAAATGATTTAAAAAAAAAAAAAGGGCCAGGTGTGGTGGTTCACGCCTGTAATCCCAGCACTTTGGGAGGCCGAGGTGGGCGGATCACGAGGTCAGGAGTTCAAGACCAGCCTGGCCAACATGGTGAAACCCCGTCTCTACTTAAAGATACAAAAAATTAGCCAGGCATGGTGGCACACTCCTGTAATCTCAGCTACTCAGGAGGCTGAGGCAGGGGAATCGTTTGAACCCGGGAGGCGGAAGTTGCAGTGAGCTGAGATGGTGCCATTGCCCTCCAGCCTGGGGGACAAAGCGGGACTCCGTCTCAAAAAAAAAAAAAAAAAAAAAACTGGGGGAAAGGGTCCTGATATCTAAATAGGTAGAGGCCAAGAATGTTACTAAATGCCCTGCAATGAACAGAACAGACTCCATGCTCCCGGAGAATGATGTGTTCCAAAATAAGAATAGTATTTACTACTGATTAAAGGAAATTTAAGAAATCTTGATCTAGACTAATCTAGTCCCATACTCTTCACACTCTTCTAGTCGTATATATGAAACCTACCTCATTTCCTGCAGGTGACCTCACATTCTGCTTGAGTGGGAGGTTGTCTCTTTTTATCTCATAATGTCTATTTAGCCTCATTTGGCATTTTCTTACTCTCTTCTTTCTGTTTTCGTTCTAAGATATTCTCTTTCAATCTCTGTGACTTATCTTATTCCCCAAATTATTTATACTGACAAAAATGCATTCTGTATCACAGAATACAAACAGATAAAAAGGCAGAGTACTATTTCCCTTAGATGCAATATCTCATCCCCACTCACCTCCTCCAGAATTTAGTTCGTAGGTGTTTTCCTGTCATGTACATCTTCATTTCCTCTCCTATAATGGATTTTCTGTGTCTAAAACGTGGTTCATTATATTCTATCCTAAAATATTTTCTAACACTCTTATTTTGAACCTTCTACTTTTAAATTTTTCTGTATTCCCTATGACTCCACTACCTCTTTCCTAGACTACTGTAATTTTCTCCTAGCTGTTCTCCCAGCCTCTAATCTAGTGTACATAGTGCTGTAGAATAAAATTATATTCACTACTCTAATTAAAGTCCTTCAGTAGTTAACCAATAATAACTTTGATATGTCAAGCATCTCCTATTTTCAAGGTACTAAGCTTGGTACTTAGGTTAGTATTAGTCTCTCTATTATATGAAAGAGGAAACTGAGGTTTAAAGAGGTCAAGTGGCTTGCTCAAAACTGCATAGCTAGGAAGTGAGGGGCCAACCCAAGTCTAATGCCAAAGTTTGCACATTTCATACAACTCTATTTCCTAAGGAATGAATTCTAAACTCCTTAGCGTGGTCTTCAGGACTCTTTGTGATTTGGTTCCAAGCTTTTTCTGGCTACTGCTGACCTTCGTCCACCCCACACTATTGTTAAATTACTGTTGTTTTCCCTATACTATCTTTGCTTTCATTTCTCCTGTTTGCCCCTTCTCATATTGTATTGTCTTAGTCCATTTTCTATTGCTTATAACCAAATACCTGAAAATGAGTTATTTATAAGAAAAGGAACTTATTTTTTAGTTATGGAGGTTGAGCAGTCCAAATCAAGGGGTCGCATTTGGTGAGAGTCTTCTTGCTGGTGGGAACTCTGCAAAGTCCCCAGGTGGTACAGGTTATCACATGGCCAGGGGGATTAGCATGGTAGATCAGGTCTCTCTTCTTCTTAAGAAGCTACCAATCCCACTCCCATGATAACCTATTAATTCATGAATGGGTTAATCCATTCATGAAGGCAGAGCCCGCATGATCCAATCACCTCCTACAGGCCCCTTCTCTCAATACTGCCACACTGGGGATTAAATTTCAACATCAGTTTTGGAATGAACAAATATTCAAACCATAGCATATACCCTCTATCTACATTATCTTTCTCACACATCCCCATAGGTCCAAGCACTTACCCATCTTTCAAAGCCCAATTCAAGCTTCCCAGCTAAATTCCCTGATCTTCTCTGATCGGTTCTTTTGTTTTTACTGGTAGAGCTTTTCTCACTTTCAAATTTTGTTATCATTAATTGTATGTATGCTCTTTTGTCCTTCTTCTACTCAGGCCTCCTTTAGAGCAGGGAATTTGTTATGTGATGTAACATTTTTGTGTAGCATTTTACAAACACTCTTTCACGTGTGTTAAGAACGTGGCAAAGAGTCGGAGCTCAGTAAATGTTTATTTGGTTCTAATCTTCATAGCAACTCTCCAAGGTATTATTATGCTTTACTAATAGTAAGGAAACTAAAGCTCAGAGATGTTAAGTGACCTGCCCAAGGGCATAAATGTTCCAGGATGACACAAGCTCCAACTGGAAAGTTCTGTCTCCAGTTGAAAGTTATTTCTACTACCTTACCTATGGCATCAGAGTTTTGTTTCCCCATGTATATCCTATCTCGATACCGTGGTAAATGTATGAGTAAATGTCTGTTAAGATTCTTTCATGAGAATCATGAGAGATTTATTGGTCACCAAAAAGAAAAGTATTTGAGGATATGACTCATTCTCACACGTAGTATTTATTATTCACTTACACAGAAGGAAAACAACCCTCCCATTCTGATAAAATATCTTAGGCAACATTATGTTGAGGTCTGTATTCTCCACGTAAGAACACCAGTGTTTACACACCTTTAACAAACAAGCTCTTATATTTCATTTAAAATCAGTAGCTAGTAAGAAACTTGAGGAAATAATTTTTTCATCTTTTTTCATTTTTACGTAGCCAAATTATCATTCTCTTTCTTATAGTTTCTGCCTTTAGGGCCATATTTAGAAACTTTTCCAGCAGTGGTGTGAGTTGCCAGCAACTCAATCACTTTGCAAGTGTACAGCTGCCTCCCTGTCTCTGCTAATAGAATCTTCAGCTATACAGACAACTCTATGATGAGCAGAGGGCCTCTAATAATCTCTAGTCCTAGTTGTATTGTATAAAATCCTTGTCCTTGGAGAGGGCTGAGCATTCTGTAGGTCCATGCCAATGGGAAGAACCTCTTACCAAAGACTTACAATAATGTGGATATCAAGGAAGCATAAAAAGCCAACGGTAGAGTGAAGAGCCAATGTGGATAAGTTTGAGGGGTTTAAAATGTCATCAAATCCAAAAGGCAGGCTAGAAATAGATTTCCAAACACTGGATATGCAGACCTAGTGATCACCAAAGTGTGATTACTTAAAACTATGCCCTTGCCAGGTGCAGTGGCTTATGCCTATAATCCCAGCACTTTGGGAGGCCGAAGTGGGTGGATCACTTGAGTCCAGGAGTTCGAGACCAGCCTGGGCAACATGGTGGAATCCTGTCTCTACAAAAAATACAAAAATTAGCTGGGCATGGTGGCGCATGCCTGTAGTCCCAGCTACTCAGGAGGCTGAGATGGGAGGATCGCCTGAGCACAGGAGGCAGAGATTGCAATGAGTCAATGTCGTACCACTGCACTCCAGCCTAGGTAACAGAGCAAGATCCTGTCTCAAAAATAAAATAAAATTATACCCTCAAATTCTTTGACATTCCTCTGATTTAGGGGTAGATCTGTCCCTTCCTCTTGCATCTAGGTAGGCTTAGTAATGCATCAACCAACAGAGTATGGTGGGAAATGAGGCTGTGGATATTCAAGGCTGGGTCAATGCAGTTTCTGATTCATTCACTCACTCTTAAAGCCTTGAGCCATACAAGAAGCCTGACTAGCCTGAAACTAACAAGCTGTAAGAAGCCAAGTTATATGGGGCTCTGGTTCTTAGCCCTCATCTTCAAGTCATTCCAGCCAAAGTGTCAGACGTGAGCAAAACAATTTTCAGATTATTCCAGTTTGGTCATTTTGCTCCTTGTAGGGAGGTTCCTCAGTGACTAACACAAATGTCTCTGGATTGGTTCCTTCCCTTTCATATCATTCTGGTCCAGAGGTTGGCAAACTATGGCCTGTGGGCTAAATCCAGCCTGCTGGCTGCTCTTTGTATAGCATACTAGTTAGGAATGATTCCTACATTTTAAAATTGTCATGATCATTTGGAGGAGAAGAGGCACTCTGGCTTTTTGAGGCTCCGGCGGTTTTTTCATTGATTCTTTCTCATCTTATGAGTTTATCTACCTTAAATCTTTGAGGCTGCTGACCTTTAGATGGGGTTTTTATGGGGACTTTTACTTAAAATTCAGTTAAATTAAAATTGTTACATTTTAAATGGTTACACAAGTACCTTCATAATATCCTTGATCTGTCTCTTTGGCCTGCAAAACCTAAAATATTTGCTATATTGTCCTTTACAGAAAAAGTTTTGGCTGGGAGTGGTGGCTCACCCCTCTACTTCCAGCACTTTTAGGCAGGAGGACCACTTGAGGCCAGGAGTTTGAGACGACCCTGGCTAACATAGTAAGACCCTGTCGAAGAAGAAGGAGGAGGAGGAGGAATAAAAAAAAAGCCTGCAACTTCCTGATTTAGTCCCCCATATAGAAGAGGGATGGAATAAAATAAGAGATTATTGTGAGGCCTATCTAGATAGTATTGACTTCAGTACCCCAGAAACAGAAATTAGACAGATAGGAACTATTGAGACGAATCTCTCTAAGTGTGACATAATGCTCAATAATCTACTTTAAACTTCTGTATTTCTTTCTTCAAGTCCTAATTTCCCAAGGAAAATGACATCCTTCTTGCTCCTTAAGGAAGACTTTGATATTCCAAAGAGATGTACGTCCTATGTTGCTGAATTATTTCATAATTCTAGAATGCTGGAGCCACAGGGCATTTAGGGATTTTCTAGTCCAACCCCTGTTCCATATTGAAGGAGGCTAGGCTAAATGGCCTAAAGAACATGACTACTGTGAAAGGAAAATTAATCTTGGGACCCCCAATCACTAAGCTAAAGGGAAAAGTCAAGCTGGGAACTGCTTAGGGCCAACCTGCCTGCCATTCTATTCAAACTCACCCTGCTGCTCACTGAGATGAATCCACGTCTGATCACCTCCTTTGGAGAGGCTAACCAGAAACCCAAAAGAATGCAACCATTTGTCTTCTATCTACCTATGCCCTGGAAGCCGCCTCCCTGCTTCAAGTCTTCCTGCCTTTGCTTTGAGTTGTCCCACCTTTCCAGACCAAACCAGTGTTCATCTTGCATATGTTGATTGATGTCTCATGTCTCCCTAGAATGTATAAAACCAAACTGTGCTCTGGCCATCCTGGACACATGTTGTCGGGACCTACTGAGGCTGTGTCACAAGTGCACGTCCTCAACTTTGGCAAAATAAACTTTCTAAATTAACTGAGACCTGTCTCAAATTTTCAGGTTCACACTACTCATCTAGAGTAAAAGTCCTCATGAATTCACTGCAAGACAAGAACACAGGAAAGCAACTACCACACAGAAGAGATGTGGACCCCAAAACGTTGGTCTCTTACATCCAACCAGGTGTAATTGGCAAGTAACACAGAGCCAAGCACTACACCTGAGACATCCTCATCACAGTCACAAAGACTGAATCTAAAACTTTGTCAGTACCCTGTGACTTATGGATGACTGTATTTGCTATACAACAGTGTGCTGGTATAGATATAGGGGTGGTGTGGGTGGGCGTGGGCACTAAGTTGCTAAGTAGTCTGCGCTTACTGTCCCTAATTGTTCCTGCTAAATTCAGGCATCCTTAAGGTCCTCTGAGAGAAGAAAACCCTCAAATCTTATTGAAGAGAGGCTCTTATTTCATATTCTCCTTCTCTTCTTGCATCTTTTCCCCCATGCTTTCTTCTCTTACTATCTTCTGTAAAAAAATTTTCTCTCTACTTCTATTCCTGGTCTTCCTTGCTTTGACTCTTCCTCCTCATATTCATGCCAAACTGTTTTTATTTAATTTATGCCTATAATCCCAGTACTTTGGGAGGCCGAAGTGGGTGGATCACTTGAGTCCAGGAGTTCGAGACCAGCCTGGGCAACATGGTGAAATCCCATCTCTACAAAAAATACAAAAATTAGCTGAGTGTGGTGGCACATGCCTGTAGTCCCAGCTAAATATTAATATTTAATATTAAATAAATTAAATATTTCTGTATTTATTTAACACAAATGATGGGTTGCTTCTAACTGGAGTAGCAGGTGAGAGTTTGGACAAAGGGAAATGATCTGCAGTAACAAGGCAGAGACATCTGAAAGTCTAGGGAATATATTGAAAAATGTGATGAAAAAAATTCATTGATTTACCAATACATATCATGATGGCTGAGATGAGAGGAAGTTGAGAAGCGTATAGCTCTTCCCAAAGGAAATATATACAAAATATCCCAAAGGATATGCAGCAGACTCATCCTTTTAATAATTTCCAAGTAAATAGTCAAAAACCCTGCTTAGGAAAAACTCAGAAAATATTGCTTCCACTGGCTTCAGATGGCCTGCTGAATTCCTATGACTCTGTAGACTTCCACTAAATCCAAAATTGAGGAAATTTAAGGGACACTGCATTAATAGTATAATCACCCCATGCTTTCTGATACATGCCAAGGTTCTTCTTAGCTGAAAGTAATTTGACCTGGCTATTTGCTAAATGGTTCAAGTCTGAATGCTGGAAGATTTAACTAACTGCCTTGTGAGAACTACCTAAAGCTGATGCCATGTGGGTAGGCTTGTCCTGTAAGAATTGTTGAACCAGCCTGCTTACTGCTGAAACCTCCTTTGCAAAAATTATAAATGAGGAAATTATGGCAGTGAAAGAGATCAGACCTAATCCACTCCATCCTGCTTCTAACCTTTAAGCCATCTTTGTTCATTCCTAGCTGTAGGCTGAACTAGCCTTGGGAAGGAATTCAGTTCATGGTTTGACTCTGAAACAAAATTGATAATAGCGCTTTCCCCAAAAGACCTCCTTCTTGCCTGGGGACCAGTCTGCCTTTGTAGGACTAACAAATTAGCTACAAGATTAGAAATTATGGTTTAGGGGTCATGCAGCCTCTGGCTATAAGAGTGGGAACCTCCCCTATTGCTTCTAGGGATAACATCACTATTGCGAAACCTGAAATTAGTGCTTGAGATATTTTGTAGACCCTGCACTTGATGGATCAGCTGATACCACCTAGACTGGCAATCTGGCTCAACCAGTTCTGTGATCCCATCCAGGAACAGAGCACAGCAAGAAAACCTCACTTGATCCCCTGTGATTCCATCTCCAACCTGACCAATCAGCACTCCCCACTTCCTGAGCCACTACCTGTCAAATTATCTTTAAAAACTCTGACCTCCCCCTTCCATGCTCAGAGAGACTGATTTGAGTAATAATAAAACTCTGGTCTCCAGCACAGCTGAGTCTGTGTGAATTACTCTTTATTGCAATTCCCTTGCCTTGATAAATCGACTCTGTCTAGGCAGTGGGCAAGGTGAACCCACTGGGCGATTATACTACTACCCACTTTTTTGCTGCTGAGCTCAGCTGTCTGGTTGGGCTTCTATCCAGTGCCTCCTCTATTCCAACAGATGTATCCGTCTTACATAATAGGACTATTCTCAACTCAGACCATCCTACCTCTACCAATGAGTTGTGAAGGCAGAACACGTGACCAAAAGAAAAAAAACAGAAGCAGAAGAAGAAAGTTTAAATAACCCCTACACAATCTGATTTTGGATTTCAACTAAGAAAATAGCATTTTATCTGATAAAATGATATATGATTTCAAAAATCCTACTGAAGCTAATTTCTCTAATTCAACTAATTTGAGAATGCTTGTCAGAACCTTCTTAGAGTGGTGCCAACAACATTTCTATACTCACTTGTATATGAGAAAGTTTAGGCAGAAATCAGAATTTTGATTTGCTAAAATGTAATCTTTGATGGTTAAAAAAATTCATTGTTTTTTTTTACATAAACATTAACATGAAGCCAGACTTTGGAGGACTAGATTATGAATAAGGTGGCTTTTTAAACTTATTGTTTAAATCTCACACTTTTGAGAATGAAAAAAGCAAATTAATAATCATGCCAGGGCAATGGGAAAAAACTGAGGCTGTTGCAGTCAAGTCAGGAAGTTCAGTCACTCTAATTATCAGCCACATTTTGTGAGAACGTATTCAGAATTTCCCGTGTGGTAGGAGAAGGGATGCTGGAGAAATTTTCTCCCTGCATCTGCTTTCTCACTTCCCTTCCTCATTTCCCTAGAGTTCCCTAATGTCTCCTCCAACATCCTCAGCTACTTTTTCTCATCTTTATTCACTAGAATGTGAACTGAATTTGACATAAAAATGAAGCATCAAAACTAGTTTCACAGCCAGGCACTGTGGCTCATGCCTGTAATCCCAGCACTTTGGGATGTAGAGAGGGGCAGATCACCTGACGTCAGGAATTCAAGACCAGCCTGACCAACATGGCGAAACCCTGTCTCTACTAAAAATACAAAAATTAGCCAGGCATGGTGGCCCGTGCTTGTAGTCCCAGCTACTCGGGAGGCTGAGGCCTGAATCTGGGAGGCGGAGGTTGCAGTGAGCCGAGATCACGTCACTGCACTCCAGCCTGGGGAACAGAGCGAAACTCTGTCTCAAAAAAAAAAAAAAAGAAAAGAAAAGAAAAGAAAAAAAAAACATCTAGTTTCACATATACTTGAACTTCAGTGGCTGACTATCCTTTGCAGCAAAACAGGTGTAATTTTTAGGAAACTCAAGAGTGGCTACCAGTGTGGCTGCAGATGGTACAGCATTAATGTAAAAGATACATCTGTATATCCTATTTTTCTTTAGAGAAGAAATTTCATACCCCCTTTCTGGCATGTAAAAAAGCAACAGTATTAGAAGGTTAATTAGAAGTTGAATGAAGTTTCATGCAGACTAGCTTGTCGATCAACAAACTTGACCTGATTCTATCTTATCTATGTGGCACTCACGTGGATTCTCATATCTCCCCCAAGCAAAAGGAGAACAATCTGCCTTATTCACAGCATTTGTGCTGAATGCCTGAGATGCACATGCCATGCATGTCACAAGGCAATCATGTCTTCACAAAGTTAGAGAAAGAGGTAAACCTATGATGGCTGGCCCAGTGACCCCTAGGGACTTCAAGAAATCCCAAAGGAAATGCAGCAGACTCACTCTTTGAATAAGATGTCACCCTTTGAAGAAAATGTCAGCAACAGAAAAGTCAGAGGTAGAGCAACGATGGGAAGAAGATGTGCTTTCAAAAAACTTTTGAAAAGTGGCTTTTAAATAAAGTGGGAAAAAGCATGTCTTTACTTACAACTTAGACAAATACCAGCTCTCAAGCTTCTATGTGAACAGGGTCTGTTAATGAAGTTGTCTTCAATGTGTCTCCAGATGTGTCTCAGGCACATGAGAATCATCGTCAGAAGAAAGAGGGAGCCACCCTTTTGACAGACGTTGCAACGTAATAATAATGACAGAATTATAAATAAGTAAGTTATGATAAAGAATAGCCAATACTTACCTGGAACTTACTATGAATCAGGGACTGTCTTGAGTACTTTTTCTGTATTATTTCAAGAAAACCTGGGCTTAGAGTCATGCAGGCCTAAGTCTGAGTCCTGGTTCTGTTACTTTTTAGCTGTGTGGTCATGAGGAAGGAGTTTCTTAAACTTCTTTAATATTAAGTTTCTCCAAATATAAAATACTCTTAGGGTTGTTGTGGAAACAGATTAGATCAGGTATGCACAAGCACCAATAGGGTCCGTTTCCTCTTGTGTTGGACATTGCAAGCCTTCAGATGATAAAACTTGGGTGTTTGGGGAACATTGTCTGAAGGTCATTGAGTAGTTAACCATTCTAATATCACATGGTATGGAACATTCACATTAGTGCCCATTAACTTTGAGAAGATTGTGTGCCTCTTTCTGCTCATTTTTATGACCTATTTTCTACAAACATTGAGAAGTGTGGGAGGAAAGAGCCCGATAGGATTCATCAAAACCAAAGAAGATATAACAAGAATGGCAAAGACGGTATCATGAAAGTGATGGAATTAATTTGCATTTCCCTTCAGGGTGCGAGATTTCAGATTTTTTCCCCAGAAGGGTATTCATGGAAAGGTACTACGTGTCTGCACTACCTCATCAGAAATGTTTATTTCTCTTTTTTTGAGACGGAGTCTCACTCTGTCATCCAGGCTGGAGTACAGTGGCGCCATCTCAGCTCACTGCAACCTCCACCTCCCACATTCAAGGGATTCTCCTGCCTCAGCCTCCAGAGTAGCTAGGATTACAGGCACCCACCATCACGCCTGACTAATTTTTGTAGTTTTAGTAGAGACGGAGTTTCACCATGTGGGCCAGGTTGGTCTTGAACTCCTGGCCTCAAGTGGTCTGCTTGTCTTGGCCTCCCAAAGTGCTGGATTTACAGGCATGAGCCACCACACCGAGCCAGAAATGTTTATTTCTTGTGAACTGGTGCTCATTAAAATAGAGTGCCCCCAGCCAGGTGTGGTGTCTCAGGCCTGTAATCCCAACACTTTGGGAGGCTGAGGTGGGCGGATCACTTGAGGCCAGGAGTGCAAGACCAGCCTGGCCCACATGGCGAAACTTCGTCTATACTAAAACTTCAGAAATTTCCCGAGTGTGACAGGCGTGCCTGTAATCCCAGCTACTTGAAAGGCTGAGGTAGGAGAATCACTTGAACCTAGGAGCGGAGATTACAGTGGGTCAAGATGGTGCCACTGCACTCCATCCTGGGCAACAGAGAGAGACTGTCTCCAAATAAATAAATAAATGCATAAATAAAAATAAACTACCCCTTACATAATTTCCTCTTGTCAAAAACTTCAGATACACAATATTTGCAGCTCCACCCATTGTGAATAAAGAGAGTAGATAGTTTATGTTGCTAATTGTTAGTACTAAAAGACTTGCTAATTAAATAGTCAACAACCACAAAACTGCTTTGGGAATGAGGCTGGTCCTTGTAATTAACCTCATTTTGTAAGTGAAGGAAGGAACATGAGCACAGAAAAAGACTATGGGACCTAGCCAAAGCCACAGCTAGTAAAGGACAAGGATAAAAACTAGAATTGATGAATCCTGAATCCTAAATTACAATGCCTTGTTCATCAGCTTTTGTCAACCTTCAGCAATTTTAGGTGCTTTCCTGTGGTTGTACTTGTGGGATTCAAAACTGGATTTTGTTATTGTTGTTCCTTGGCAAAATAAATAAACAAAAGCAAATTGTATTTAAAAATAAACACACTTTTATACATAAACATGCACACACATGTAAAAATCTATTGAGAAAATTACTTCTTAAATAGTGGCCTACTAATAATTACTTTTAGGATCAGTGTACAAAGTACAAAGGATCAGTGCCTCTGGGTTGCGGGGAGGGCTTGCAGGCTTAGACGCTGTATGAAGGGGTGCTAGAACACTGTAAATGTAAAGTGGTTTACTTCCATGCTCTGTGATGCTATTCCTGGCTCTTTCAATTCAGCCAGCCCAATCATGTTAAAGCCAGCCACTAGTACCAGCTATTTTTTTTTTTAGACAAAGTCTCGCTCTGTTGCCCAGGTGGGAGTGCAGTGGCGCAATCTCAGCTCACTGCAACCTCTGCCTCCCAGGTTCAAGCAATTCTCGTGCCTCAGCCTCCCAAGTAGCTGGGATTACAGGCATGCACCACCACACCCAGCTAATTTTTGTATTTTTAGTAAGGACGGGTTTCACCACGTTGGCCAGGCTGGTCTTGTCAATTCCCAACCTCAAGTGATCCACCCGCCTTGGCCTCCCAAAGTGTTGAGATTATAGGTGGGAGTGAGCCATCGCCCTGGACAAGTACCAGTTCTTAATGCTGGTATTTGCCTAGGATCTTGACATTTGCCTGTGATCCCCTTCCCCCCTGCATAAAGATCCTGTAATTTGAGCTCAGTTCCTTGAGCTCTTTGATACTCTCAGACTATACTATGATTATAAGAAACTACTTAAGTCCCTTCTCTGGCTGACTGGTCTCATATTCCCACTAATAATAAATAACATAGTTTGTATTCATGATCTGGGTTACACCCAAGCTAGCAGCTATATAATACTTTTGTAACCATAATAGGTTCATTGCCAATGTACACAGCAAGTCAATACACTGAGACAATAGGTTGTGTGTTGCAGAGAAAGAGGTTTAATCATAGCGCCACTGAACGAGGAGATGGAAGTAAACTAATATGTCTCCCCGAGAAGTTTGGGGCTAGAGTTTTTTTTAAGGCTTTTGGAGTGGGCCAAAGAGTGGAGATTGATTGGTTGAAGAGTGCAGGGTGAAGTCATGGGACAAGGAGATGAAGAAGCTGTATTCTTTTGCTGATCCCGTTCTTCTGTGGGGTTCTTCAAACTGGTTTCTAGAATTCGGGGTCTGAGAAAGATCATAAGTAATCCTTAAACAAAAGCCTTATTATCCTAATGTCGGAGATCCTATCTGTAGGAACAATGGAGATGCCAATGAGTCTTGAACAGTCTTATGACCCTAATGTCAGAGACCCTATCTATAGGAACAATGGGGATACAGATGGTCAGCATCTAGTGCTGCATGACTTTTACCAACAAGGAAGTGGACCAAAGTGCAGCCTGATTAATGCTTAATTATAACTATATTTCTGTCCTGAACCTGGCATGCAATTCTTGTCAACCCTGTGGGAGTGGCTTCATTTTGAGACATAGAGAGCTTTTTTCCTGTTGTGCTTTCTGGATCAAGCTAACCCCTCCAGGTCAGTGGGGTGGCAGCAATGGTTTCTAAAGGTACTCTCTATGCAGCGAAGAACAAAAAGTCATATTCTTTTTTTTTTTTTTTTTTGAGAGGGAGTCTAGCTCTGTTGCCCAGGTTGGAGTGCAGTGGCACCATCTCGGCTCACTGCAACCTCTGCCTTCTGGGGTCAAGTGATTCTCCTGCCTCAGTCTCCTGAGTAGCTGGGATTACAAGCATGTGCTACCACGCCCAGCTAATTTTTGTATTTTAGTAGAGACAGGGTTTCACCATGTTGGCCAGGCTGGTCTTGAACTCCTGACCTCAAGCGATCTGCCTGCCTCGGCCTCCACAAGTGCTGGCATTACAGGCTTGAGCCACTGTGCCTGGCCTCCAAAAGTCAAATTCTTGGCTTTGAGTTCTAAAGTAGACTCTTGAAATTCATAGCAGAGACAATAGACTGGAAAGCAGAGATTTCTAAATTGTGAGAGTTGGGCTGTTTGAAAGAGAAAGTATTTTTAAGTTCAGAAGCTTGGCTTTGAAAATCAAGAGTCAAAGTCCAAATATAAACTTTAGACCATAATTATCAGACTCTGGAAGAATATAAGATGAGGCACAAGCAGTTTTCCTAAGCCAAAAGGAAGTAAAATTTCTACCACTAGGCAGGAGAAAGAATTGGAGAGCACATGAAGGAACTTGGCCTCATGGATGTAGTTTCTCTCCTTTATGAACTTCAAGCTGAGTCCTAAGAAGGAGACGGGGAAACACATCAGCTATTCTGCTGAGGATTAGGGGGCCTCTCAGAGCAGGAAAATCATCATCAAGCTCCCCAGGTGTTGCTTGGTATGATGGCACATTTGGCAGTGAAGCCTGTCTATAGCAGGGCACCTGATCTGAGGAGGAGCAATGACTAAATGTGCTGTCCAGGTAGACGGGCCTCAGGGCAGCTCCTAAGAGGCCTGCACACCTCTGAATAACGTGGGAACATAACTGCCCAACGGGTTCTCCTTGCCCACTGCCTAGACAGAGCCAACTTATCCAGGAATACTGTCTAGGCCCGCTGCCTAGACAGAGCCGACTTATCAAGAAATTTCAATGGAGGAAAAGTATAATTCATGCAGAGCCAACTGTACGGGAGACTAGAGTTTTATTATTACTCAAACAAATCAGTCTCCCTGAAAACCAGAGACCAGGGTTTTTCAGGATAATTTGGTGGGTAGGTGGTTGGAAAGCGGAGAGTGCTGATTGGTCGAGTCAGAGGTGAAATCATAAGGAGTCAAAGCTGTTCCTTTGCACTGAGCCGGTTCCTGGGTAGGGACCACAAGACCAGATGAGCCAATTTATCGATCTAGTTGGTGCCACCTGATCCACTGAGTGCAAGGTCTGGAAAATATCTCAAATGCTGATCTTAGGTTTTATAATAGTCTTGTTATTCTCAGGAGAAATTTGAGAGGTTCAGAATCTTGCAGCCTCCAGCCACAGGACTCCTAAACCATAATTTCTAATCTTGTGGCTAATTTATTAGTCCTACAAAACCAATCTAATCTCTAGTCAGAAAGGGAGTTTGTTTTGGGAAAGAGCTGTTATCTTCTTTGTTTCAAAGTTAAACTATAAACTAAATTCCTCTCAAAGTTAGTTTGGCCTCCACCCTGGAATGAACAAGGACACCTTGGAGGTTAGAAGCAAGACGGAGTCGGTTAGGTCAGATCGTTTTCACTGTAATAATTTTCTCAGTTATACTTTTTGCAAAGGTGGTTTCAGAAAAACCTTCAAAAGTTCCCAGTATGGCGGCTCCTCATAAAATGAAAATAGAATTATCATATGATCCAGCAATTTCACTTCTAGATATTTACCCAAAAGAATTGAAAGCAGGGACTCAGATATTTGTACATCCATGTTCATGGCAGCTTTATTCACAATAGCCAACAGCTGGAAACAATCCAAATGCCTATCAACAGATAAATGGATAAATAAAATGTGATGTATCCATACAATGGAATAGTATTCAGCCTTTGAAAGGAGTGAAATTCTGAAACATGCTAAACATGGATGAACCTATAAAACATTACGCTAAATGAGCTGGGCATGGTGGCTCACACCTGTAATCCCAGCACTTTTGGAGGCCAAGGCGGGTGGATCACGAGGTCAGGAGATCAGGACCATCCTGGCTAACACGGTGAAACCCCGTCTCTACTAAAAATACAAAAAATTAGCCGGGCATGGTGGCACGTGCCTGTAGTCCCACCTACTCTGGAGGCTGATTCAGGAGAATCGCTTGAACCCAGGTGGTGGAGATTGCAGTGAGCTAAGATCGCGCCACTGCACTCCAGCCTGGGTGACAGAGTGAGACTATGGCTCAAAAAAAAAAAAAAAAAAAAAAAATTGTGCTAAGTGAAATGAGCTAGATGCAAAAGGACAAATCCTGTAGGATTCCACTTATGTGAAATATTTAGAACGGTCAAATTCATACAGACAGAAAGTAGAAAAGTGGTTACCAGGGGCTAGAGGGAGGAGAGAATACAGAGCTATTCTTTAATAGGTACTGAGCTTCAGTTTGGGGTGATGAAAGTATTGCGGAGATGGATAGTGATGATGGTGGCTCAACAATATAAAGACGAGCAAGAATGCCACTGAAATGTACACTTTAAATGATTAAAATGAAAATTCTTATATATATTTTACCATAGTTTTAAAAAATCTAATTAAAAAAAACTAAAGAAGGACAAAAATGACTGAAAGTGAGGCCAGTGGACCTGGAGAGGTCAGGATGAGGAAGACTTAGAGTGACTTGTGAGGTCCTGGGGACTGATGAGCCAAGTGGGCACAGACATTTCAGCACCGTTATAGGGGGGATAGGCAACCAATACAAAAGAAACAGATTATTCATCTTAGAAGAAGCCAACTAGGTGGTTTGCTGAAGCCCATAAACCATGTTCCTCTTTCCCAAAGTCAGGATGATAGACCACCCAGGAGGACTTGGATCATTCAGAACCTAGATGTTACACCCCAAGAAGGGAGAGAAGGAAGTAAAAGGAGAAAATCCTAATTTGACTATTTAACCAAAAAAGATTGAGTTTAAACTGCAAGTAACTGAGATTACTTTGGATTACAGAGTTAGGTTTTCCATTATCAGTGAAATAACCCATGAGCTAAAGTGAGTTATAAGGAAATCATTTACATTTTGCACACATGAATGTGACTGAGAAATGTATTTCCATTGTGTTGTTATATACCTTTTCTAAACCTAAAACTAAGGTGTTTCTCAAATCTGTGGCAATAATGGGGCACTTTGGTGTGGAACAGGGAGTTCTTGGTTCAAGATTATTGCATCTTCTTTGCACTCACCATCTGATACAACCACATAGTCATATTGATGGTCATCTTCTAGACCAACCCCAGAACATGGGTATTTATGAAGCTGGATCTTTGGGGTACCTACAGTTAAAACAATGAACAAACATGGCTCTTCAGGTCCCATGTGGCACCTAGGCCTTTGAGAACATCTCTCTTTTTTTTTTTTTTTTTTTGAGACAGTCTCGCTGTGTCGCCCAGGCTGGAGTTCAGTGGCGCGATCTCGGCTCACTGCAAGCTCTGCCTCCCAGGTTCAGGCAATTCTCCTGCCTCAGCCTCCTGAGTAGCTGGGACTACAGGCGCCCGCCACCACACCCGGCTAATTTTTTCTATTTTTAGTAGAGATGGGGGTTCACCGGGTTAGTCCGGATGGTCCCAAGCTCCTGACCTCGTGATACAGCTGCCTCAGCCTCCCAAAGTGCTGGGATTACAGGCGTGAGCCCCCGCGCCTGGTCCCGAGAACATCTTTATACTGTTTGGATAACCCTCCTACCAGCATCTTCCAGTGGTTAATGATAAGGATCAAGAAGGGCCTCCTAAGCTAGTAGCTATTAATAATTGTAAACATGTATTATATACTTAATGCTCACACTGTGTTGAGTACTTTACATGATTATCTCATTTAGTCCTCACAACAAATCTTTGAGGTAAGTATTACTATTAATTGCATTTGGCAGAAAAGCAAACTGAAGTTTAGTGAAGGCAAATAACTTGCTCAAGATGACACTGCTGGTAAGTAGCAGAGCTAGAAGGAACCTGGAAACCTGACTTCCCAGCTCAAGTGCTAATGATGGCATTACTTTGAGTATTGTTACTGGGACATCCTCCTGATCTACTCTAAAAATCTAGATCACCAACATATATATTCCTGGATGCAGTATTGCTAAGAACTGGTTTTAACCTCTAGATCTGTGTTTGAGGACTCACAGATTCATTACTGGTCCACATATACCAGCAGGGCTTCTGCATGATACCCAGTAGGACTTTCTTAAAATTGTGGAAAGCATTCAGTGTATCTTGAGATGTACTAGTCTTATGGATAATTCATCTCTTCAGTTCTATCCAGACCACCTCATAAAGGAGAATATATTAAGCATTGCCAGGCTGCATCATCAAGCTATGAAAAATAGCTTGCCTCTCAAGCCTTCCCTACTTCCCCATATCATTGGAAGCTTTACTTCTATCCCTGTGGTATCAGGGAATATCTTACTCCTAGAGGAGCCAGACAACAGTGACTTCCACAATAGCCTCATGTGGGAGTGAGAGTTAATAACTTGAAAGATGGCCGGGTACGGTGGCTCACACCTGTAATCCCAGCACTTTGGGAGGCTGAGGCGGGCAGATCACGAGGTCAAGACCATCCTGGCCCACATGGTGAAACCCTGTCTCTACTAAAAATACAAAAATTAGCTGGGCATGGTGGCGCGCATCTGTAGTCCCAGCTACTCGGGAGGCTGAGGCAAGGACAATTGCTTGAATCCGGAAGGCAGAGGTTGCAGTTAGCTGAGATCACACCACTGCACTCCAGCCTGGCGACAGAGCAAGATTCCATCTCAACAAAACAAAACAAAACAAAACAAAACAAAACAAAAACTTGAAAGACTGCCCAAGAAAGGTGAAGGTTAGATCTCAGGGGATGATCTTGAAGCAACTGAGACAGACCTAGAAACTTGCCTCATATGATACAAGAAGACCCAGCTTCTTTGTCTCTACCCTGTAGGCACTGGGTAGACAGGTAGGTGATATTTTACTTCACAAACAAGGGAACTAAAAGTATGAACATTTCTCTGTTCCTCATTATCTCTGCCCTAAAATATTTTGGCTATCTAGCCCCAGTTAGAGCGGACTGGCACTGTCTGGTACAGGAGGTATGCAGCAGATGTTCTGCATCTGAGCTCCATTATGACTGTCCCCCAACAAATCATCCCCCAGCCAGCCCAAGGGAACGTGGAATTCAGAGGGGAACTGTTCTAACCAGGAGCAGCCAATTAGATCCAGGCCAGAGAAACCCATATCCAGGCACTTTATCTTTGTCCTAAAATGAACCTAGCTAACCTCTTCAGGCTATCCAAAACCCTGACCACTCCACATAGAGAGACATTTGCTAGCCTTACATGTCACTTTCCACTGTACACATACCAATGACACCTGAACCAGATATAAAGACAGACCCACAAAGGTTCTGCTGAGCCTAAGGATCTGCTCACCTATTTCTGATCCCGAATGCCCCTGGGACATCTTCCAGAATGTGTGCCTCCAAATAAAGTCTAGAAAATTGGAGGAAAATTTAAATGCAGATGAATCGAGAAGGAATAAAAGCCATTAGAAATTCTGGGAAAACAAGAAATATAGAAGAAAGTCACGGGGCTGGGTGTGGTAGCTCACGCCTGTAATCCCAGCACTTTAGGAGGCCAAGTCGGGCGGATCACCTGAGGTCAGGAGTTCGAGGCCAGCCTGGCCAACATGGAGAAACCCTGCCTCTACTAAAAATACAAAGATTAGCCAGGCGTGGTGGCACATGCCTGTAATCCCAGCTACTCAGGAGGCTGAGCAGGAGAATCGCTTGAACTGGAGAGGTGGAGGTTGCGGTAAGCTGAGATCGCACCACTGCACTCCAGCATGGGTAACAAGAGCAAAACTCCATCTCAAAAAAAAACAAACAAAAAAAAACAAAAGTCACAACCCAAATATGAAGCAAACAAACTTTCAGATGATGATGGTACAGTGTGTTTATAACACTAACAACTCACTTTTCTCCCCACACATAGCAATCGTAAAAATAAAAACAGCCAGGCACAGTGGCTCATGCCTATAATCCCAGCGCTTTGGGACACAGAGTTGGGCAGATCACCTGATGTCAGGAAATCGAGGCCAGCCTGGCCAATATGGCAAAACCCCGTCTCTACTAAAAATACAAAAAAAAAAAAAAAAATAGCTAGGTGTGGCGGTGAGTGCCTGTAATCCCAAGTACCTGAGATGCTGAGGCAGGAGAGTTACTTGAACCCAGGAGGTGGAGGTTGCAGTGAGCTGAGATCGCAGCATTGCACTCCAGCCTGGGTGACAAGAGTGAAACTCCATCTCAAAAAAATAAATTAATAAAAAATAAAACAAAACAAAACAAAAACAAAGGCTTGGGCACAGTGGCTCATGCCCATAATCCTAGCATTTTGGGAGGCTGAGACAGGATTGCTTGAGTCCAGGAGTTCAAGACCAGCCTGGACAAAATAGCAAGACACTATCTGTACAAAAAATTAAACAATTAGCTGGGCATGGTGGCATGTGCCTGTAGTCTCAGCTACTTGGGAGGCTGAGGTGGAAGGATCACTTGAGCCCAGGAGATTGAGTCTGCAGTGGGCTATGATTATGCCACTACACTCCAGCCTGGGAGACAGAATAAGACTCTGTCAAAAAATAATAATAATAATAACAAAAAAGGAAAAGAAAAAGAAAACTAAAAGATATAGTCAGGCTCAAATACCAGATAAAGATATCCAAAATCCAGAGAGCAATAGAAACTGTGAACAGCGAAAAGGACTGAAACTGGGTAGCTGGTAGTTTGGCTTTTGTAGGGCAAAAGGGATTGAAAATGCTTCATAGGAGATGGGAGACTGGAGCCAGGCACAAGCTCAAAGACCTGAACAGTGGTGGGGCACCCTCAATGTTATGAAGAGAGAATGAAAATGAGCTGCTCCTAACTGCTGCTTGGGACCGTAGGTTCTAGTGAGCTGTAGGCCTAAGGTTTACAAGGCCATAGCCTTGCAACCAAGAGATAAGTCAAACACCCAATGTTTATGACTAGATCTGCCCTGCTCTTAATATCTTCTTTGATTCACTGCTAGTAGACTGTGTTCTGATTTAGAGACCCGGACTGTGGAATAGAAGCAATAAAAAAACTGATGGGCAAGGGAAGGTAAGGAGAGGGGTTGAGAAAGACAGAAAAAGAGGCTGGGCAGAGTAAGATTCTGTCAGGAAAGAAAGAAAGAGAGAGAGAGAGAAAGAAAGAAAGAAAGAAAGAGAAAGAAAGAAAAGAAAGAGAAAAAGAAAGAAAGAAAAGAAAGAAAGAAAGAAAGAAAGAAAGAAAGAAAGAAGGAAGGAAGGAAGGAAGGAGAGGGAGGGAGGGAGGGAAGGAAGGAAGGAAAGAAAGAAAGAAAACGGAAGAGAAGGGAAGGGAAAGTAGGGAGGGAGGGAGGAAAGGAAGGAAGGAAGCAAGGAAGGAAGGAGAAAGAAGAAAGAAAGAGAAAGAGAGAAAGAAAAAAAGAAAGAAGAAGGAAGAAAGGAGGGAGGGAAGGAAGGAAGGGAAGGAAAGAAAGAAAACAATATATTTTCACTAAAAAACCCATACACCAAAATCCCAAAACAAATATATTGCTAATAAAGATAGCCAATAAAATCAACAATTGGAATAGTAATCCAATCCAGCTGAATGCTTTACACAATGGTATGACAAAGCCTTAAACATAAGTATGCTGAGGATGTAAAAAAATATATAAATTAAGATATAACTTCCCTAAAACAAAATGGGGAAAAAAAGGAAACTCTTTTAGATGGGTATCTAAAAGAACCAATTCGAAATATGGAAATCAAAAATAACAATCATTTGAAAAAGGAATGAACCACTCATACATACAACATGGATGAACCTCAAAAACATTATACTAAATGAAAGTAACTAGATGCAAAAGACCGGCCGGGCGCAGGGGCTCACACCTGTAATCTCAATACTTCGGGAGGCGGAGGCGGGAAGATCACCTGAGGTCAGGAGTTTGAGACCAGCCTGGTCAACATGGTGAAACCCCATCTCTACTAAAAACACAAAAATTAGCTGGGCATGGTGGTGGGCGCCTCTAGTTCCAGCTACTTGAGAGGATGAGGCAGGAGAATCACTTGAACCCGGGAGGTGGAGGATGCAGTGAGCCGAGATTGTGCCACTGCACTCCAGCCTGGGCAACAGAGTGAGACTCCATCTCGAAAAAATAATAATCTTTTTGGGGTGATGGAAATGTTCTAAAACTGAATTGTGTTGAGGGAGCCACAACTCTATAAGTTTACTAAAAATATTCAAATTAAACACTTTAAATGGGTGAATTTTATGGCATATAAATTAAATCTTGGCCGGGCACGGTGGCTCATGCCTGTAATCCCAGCACTTTGGGAGGCCGAGGTGGGTGGATCACCTGAGATCGGGAGTTCGAGACCAGCCTGACCAACATGGAGAAACCCCGTCTCTACTAAAAATACAAAATTAGCTGGGCGTGGTGGCGCATACGCCTGTAATCCCAGCTACTTGGGAGGCTGAAACAGGAGAATCGCTTGAACCCGGGAGGCAGAGATTGTGGTGAGCCGAGATCACGCCATTGCCCTCCAGCTGGGGCAACAAGAGTGAAACTCTGTCTCAAAAAAAAAAAAAACAAAACATAAATTACATTTCAATGAAGTTATTAAAAATTATATTATCATTGGAATAAAAAAGTGTTATAGTTAAGGATACACTCTAAACTGGACATAGTTGAAAATTAGGAATTGAAGACAACACTGGGGAACTCTCAGTATGCCATGCAGAGAGATCATGAGATTAAACATGATAGAGCATTAAAAGACAGAGAATAGATTTTGAGGCTCCAACAATTATCTAATAAAAGTTCCAGAGAAAGAGAATGGAAGTTGTTTAGAGAAGCAACATTTGAAGTGGAGATTGCTAAGGATTTCTAAAAAACGGAAGAAACACTAATTTATTTATGAAATATTCATCAGGTGTCTGTTTTGTGCCAGGCACTGGGAACTGAACTTAGTGAACAAATTAGATGTGCATTTTCAGTGCCAAGCAGGATAAATAAAAATACCAAGCTACATAATAATAAAACTGCAAAGCTTTAAGGAGATTTTAAGATTCTGTCTTAAAGATTAAATCTTAAAGATTTAAGACATAATCTTAAAATCTCCCAGAGACAAATGAATGATTATCTGCAGAGTAATGACAGATCAACAGCAAATTGAATATCAGCAATAGTGGACGTCAGAAAACAGTAATGATAGTGATGAGAAATAACCACGTGCACAGAATTTTTTTTACCCGGACATACTATGATTCATTAATGGGGGTGGGGGGAAAATATGTCCAGATATGCAAAAAAACAAAAGAACTCACCATCCATAGAGCTTCATTAAGAGGCCAGGCATGGTGGCTCATGCCTGTAATCACAGCACTTTGGGAGGCTGAGGTGGGAGGACTGCTTGAGTCCAGGAGTTCAAGACCAGCTTGGGCAACATGGTAAAACCCCATCTCAACAAAAAATTAGAACATTAGCTGGGTGTGGTGGCATAGGCCTGTAGTCCCAGCTATTTGAGAGGCTGATGATTGCTTGTGCCTGGGAGGCAGAAGTTGCAATGAGCAGTGATTGTGCTCCTGCACTCTAACCTGGGTAACAAAGCAATACCCTGTCTCAAAAAAAAAAAAAAAATAAAATAAAATAAAAAAATAAAAAGAAGATCCATTAAAGATGTCCTTTAGCAAGAAAAAAAAAAGAACACAGAAAGAAGACATGGAATACAAGAAACAATAAATAAAATGTCAGTAAGTTTATTTCCTGTTTTAAAAATACTAATTTCTGTGTCTTTTCACATAGATCGAAGCCCAGTAATTTTAGGGGGAGAAAAGAAAGAAAAGAAAAAATAGAATTAAAGCTATACCTCTAAATTACAGTAAGAAGACAGAGCTAGTATTTAATGGGTTGTTAAGCATCCTAAGACCTGTGTTTCGGTTAAGAGCATAATACAAATACTGAATTATTATAAACTAATAAGAAATATGTATAACTCATGATGTATATACAAGTTTAATTTAAAAATAGAAATATCAGCCAGGCACAGTGGCTCACGCCTATAATCCCAGCACTTTGGGAGGCCAAGGCAGGCAGATCACAAGGTCGAGAGATCGAGACCATCCTGGCCAACATGGTAAAACCCCATCTCTACTAAAAACACAAAAAAATTAGCTGTGCGTAGTGGCACCCACCTGTAGTCCCAGCTACTTGGAAGGCTGAGGCAGGAAGATCACTTGAACCCAGGAGGCGGAGGTTGCAGTGAGCCGAGATGGTGCCACTGCACTCCAGCCTGGCAACAGAGGGAGACAACATCTCGGAAAAAAAAAAATAAAAAACTACAATAATTACTTAATTAAGGGAAAAAAAGAGAAATACCAGAAATTTTATCAAGTAGGAAAAAAAGAAGAAAAGAAAAATTATAGTAAACAGAAAACACAAATTAGGTGGTAGAATTAGGTTAAAATATATCAATCACAAAATATATAAACGAATTAAATTCCCCTATATAAAAACAAAATTACCAAATTGAGTTTGTAAAAATTCTAGCTCTGTATGTCTGGGATACACATCTAAAACAAAACTACCCAGGCCAGGTGTGGTGGTTCATGCCTGTAATCCCAGCACTTTTGGAGGCCGCGGTGGGCAGATCACCTGAGGTCAGGAGTTCAAGACCAGCCTGGTCGACATGGCGAAACCCTGTCTCTACTAAAAATACAAAAATTATCTGGGCATGGTGGCAGGCGCCTGTAATCCCAACTACTCGGGAGGCTGAGGCAGGAGAATTGCTTGAACCCGGGAGGCAGAGGTTGCAGTGAGCCGAGATCGTGCTACTGCACTGTAGCCTGGGCGACAGAGCAAAACTCTGTCTCAAAAAAACAACAAAAAACACCGAGAAAAGTTAGAAATAAAAGGATGAAAAGAGACAGGTACTTTAACTGTTACCCCTGCAAAAGCTGGGGTAGCAATATTAATATAAGACAAATATTATTTAAGGCAAACAAACTAAAATGTGGCATAATTTTAATTGGCTGATAGTGTAAGAAAATAGATGCCATCTGACCTTGATGTTAGGAACAATTTCTTTTATATAGTCTAGGCATAATGACATTGAAGAAGAAAATGTAGTCCTAATATGCTACCTGGCCCAGCATTGGACAATATTTACATGGTCATACTAATGGAAATGTTGTTTGGTTTGCAACTTTTAGAGTCATCTCAGGGAAAAACCAAGGATGTCTTGGCAGGCAGAATGAATATGTTATCAACTTGACAAAGTAAAAATAAAAGTATGTGGACATTAGAGATTAATGGCACATGGAAGGAGGAAGAAAGTACAAGAATTAATATAGTGTACAAGAGTTAATATTCTTATATAGAGTAGGAGTCAAGAGGCCCCGTCAAAAGTTGATGGAATGAGAAATTGGAAGTTTAAGCCCGAGCACTGTGGCTCATGCCTGTAATCCCAACACTTTGGGAGGCCGAGGCAGGAGGATTGCTTGACTTCAAGAGTTCAAGACCAGCCTGGGCAAAATGGCAAAACCCTGGCTCTACTAAAAATACAAAAAATTAGCCGGGCATGGCGTTGCATGCCTGTAGCTCCAGCTACTTGGAAGTCTGAGGTGAGAGGATGGTTTGAGCCCGGGAGGCAGAGGTTACAGTGAGCAAGATCTCACCACTGCACTCCAGCCTAGGTGACAGAGCCAGATCCTGTGTCAAAAGATTTATTTAAAAAGAAAAATCAAAAACAAAAACAAAAAAACCATGCAGCCTGAACAAATTACTGGGGATGTAAACCAGAGCCACTGAGTGTGTGTGTCTTGAGAGGAGCTGTATCTCCGTGGGGTTTCTGTGACTTTTCTTGGCATTAGCTTTGACACCGGAATTTTGGTTCTACCATTGTCGATTAACAACCATAAATTCTCACATCCACTAACACTGAGGTCATTGGTATTGTAGTCCTTCGTGCCTTGAATGGCATATCTGAATTTCTGCTTTCCTGCTGGGGGCAGCAATCAACAATTATTAGTATTTCTTCCTGAATATAAAGAAGCCTGGCCAGAAAAGGATGGGTAGCCTTGCAAAGATTTTGACTGAGGTTCTGATTATTCAGCTAGAACCCTTCTCTTCCTTTCAGATACAATTTTCCATAAGGAGTGAATACCTTTTGGAAGGAAGTTGGAAGTCTAGGTGACAGGGTAAAAGGAGGACTTACTTATCTCAGTACACACTTTGGTACCTTTCAAATTTGAGGCATGAATTTTATTTTTTTTATTCAAAAGGTCTATTAAAACATACCTACTTTAATCTTTAAATGCTGAATTGATATGTTATTAAGCTTTTAAGGCTCTCTCTGCAAGGATTTTTAAGAAGAGCCAGCCTTTTGGAGCCTAAGCCCAAAGATCCTGTTGACAATTTTACAGGGAAGAAACCCAACAAATTTTTAATGACGTTGGCGGTGTTATTGCAGATAATAATTATGAGAGTGCCAATGATAAACAGCAACCCATTGCATCACCCCACAACCCAAAGCACTGAAGCTTTGTGAAGAGTGAACACCCTGATTGCCCCAGAATGGCATGTCGGTAATGCCACTGCCAACTTCCCTGAAGGCTGGCCCTGTTCTTGACATGGCTCCACTTGCTCTCGAGAGTTTCTTCTCTCTACTCTCTCAGCAGATCATTCTGTCCTTCATCACCGGATTTGGTAACCCTGACTCTAGGAATTTTCTCCACTCATTGTCGGATGCTGTGGTTGAGAATAACACATGTATTTGGGAAGAACCTACCTTTCAGTGAATTATAAATGCTCACTAGTCAAGCATCATGCACGGAAAGCATATTATTAAATGATGTGTTCGTATCTCTCAGGTGCCAAGCACGTCCACTAAAGCATTGTCTGACAATTGCAGACCTGCAGACAGGGATTGTGGGGAGAGACATATGAAAATCATTGCTACATAGACATACCACTTAGCCCAATTAATCACACATCAGCTGTCTGAATGCTGCCTGGCCCAAGGCAGACGCTGAAGTTCCATATACCTCATCGCATAGACTTGATCTTTGTCACAGAGGATTCACCATCCCTGCTGCTCCCTCCCTCCTTCCCTCCCTCCCTGTCTTCCTCCCTTCTTCTCCTTATCTTCCCTTCACTCACCAGACATCCTTTGAGCTATGTGTGCCAGACGCTCTTCCAATAAGAAGGTGTCAAGAATCCTATGCCAACTTTAAATTTAGGAAAGTCTGAAAGATGCTAACATCAGGAGATGAGGTGGGGTTTTTTCAGACTCTATCCTAGAAACAAGTGGAACAAACTCCATTTGAAACTGAGCAATTCGGCTAAGCGCGATGGCTCACGCCTGCAATCCCAGCACTTTGGGAGGCCGAGGTGGGCAGATCACTTGAGGCCAGGAGTTCAAGACCAGCCTGGCCAACATGGTGAAACTCCACCTCTACTAAAAATACAAAAAATTAGCTGGGCATGGTGGCACATGCCTGTAATCCCAGCTGCTTGGGAGGCTGAAGCAGGAGAATCTCTTGAACACAAGAGGTGGAGGTTGCAGTAAACCGAGATCGCACCACTGCACTCTAGCCTGGGCGACAGAGTGCGACTCTGTTTCAAAAAAAAAAACAAAAAACTGAGCAATTCTCATAAGAGTTGCATCTGCTTGAGTAACTCCCTCTCCTGTAGCCATACCTGATTTGGTTGGTGGGATTCTGTGGGCAATCATAAGTGTGACAGATGGAAAGATTCCACTGCTTCCTCTGAGTTCTTGGAAGGAGGAATAGAAAGGGTTGATGCCTCGTGTGGTTGTGCAAGTTCGGCCATGCAAAGAGATGCCTGGAGAAGGTAAGTCAGGGCAGAAACCTAGCACCTGCTCTGCTCGCTGAGCTATGAGGCTAAGGACCCAGAGCACAGGGCACCTTTTTCTTATTTCCACAGAGGTACTGTTTGTTCTAGGAAGCAGACCTGTGTTCTCTGATTGTAATTCTCTGATGGGAAGGTCAGGAAGTTTACAAATCAGAGTGGAAACCCACTGCAGAGAGACCCAAGTTTTACAGGGCAAGGTACAGAGTGGACATCACCATCCACATCAGGTTCCCTACTTTGAAACACCCTGGGGCCAGGATTTTTCTGGATATGCATTTGAAAGTCCTGACACATTTCTAACTTGTGATCCAGACTTCACGATGGTTCTTCTGTTTTCTACCCAATCACTCTTTACATTAGTCTTATTGATTTTTTTTTTTATTTTTGAGACAGAGTTTCACTTTTGTTGCCCAGGCTGGAGTGCAGTGGTGCGACCTTTGGTCACTGCAACCTCCACCTCCTGGGTTCAAGCGATTCTCCTGCCTCAGCCTCCCAAGTAGCTGGGATTACAGGCACGCGCCAACACGCTGGCTAATTTTTTGTATTTTTAGTAGAGACAGAGTTTCACCATGTTGGTCAGGCTAGTCTCAAACTCCTGACCTCAGGTGATCCGCCCACCTCAGCCTCCCAAAGTGCTGGGATTACAGGCATGAGCCACCACACCAGGCCAGTCGTATTGATTTTTATTTCCCAAATAAACATATCTCCTAAATGTCAATGTGTGTGCTTCATCCTAACATTTTCATATGGGAAGCTTCTAGAGCATTCCCCGGAAAGAGCCAACTAGACTTCAACTCTAGGAATTTAGGAGATGAGGCATAGAAATGCTGATTTCCCAAGACCAGCCTCATTGTCTCCTAAAAAACCTGCCTGGAAAAAAGAGCCAGGTCCCACTTGTGGTTGTGATCCTAACTCTGTACCTGCTCTTGAATAAGTCTGTAGATCTCTCTGGGCTCCACTGTCTTGATCGGTAAGCTAAGAGGATTGGGACTTTCTTGTTCTGGGAAGTCATGGTTATATCTTTTGGCTGCCAGAGGCTGGAAGCGCAAAATCAAGTTGGCAGCAAGCCCTGCTTGTAGCCCCCTGGACCCTGCATCTAGGATAAGAAGGAAAGTGTGGTTGGGAGAGCTCATGGCTGAGCTACCAAGGCACAAGAGCCCTGTTCCTCTTTCCCTATGCAGTTCATGCCAAGAGGATCGAGGATATAATTAGCCTTGGCATACTAAATATGACTGTTCTTACTTCACCTGGAGCTTCTCCTTTTGTTCCTTAAGCCCATGTGGAAGTTGCCATGCCTCCCACCTTTACGTGGGTATGCAGGATGCTACGGTAAAACATGAGGTGTTTTGAAGTCCCGGTTCCACCCTTTATTAGTTAGGTGACTGATTCCCAGTTTCCTAATCTGTAGAGATAATAATGCTTATGTCATGGAGTTGCTGTGAGGAGGAAATTAGATTCTATATAAAATCCACACCAAACAGGACCTGGCTGATCCACGTTAACTTCCTTTCCCCCACTCCACTCCCCACCTCTGTTGTTCCCTCATCCAGTGTACACCCACCCATGTCAGTAGAAACTATTATAAGTTTGCACCCTAGAGGAGTGGATTGACTGGCTAATGACACAAGCTCAGGCATGAAATAGATATGCACTTGGCTGTTTGTGGCTTGAAAAATCTCACCCCTGACATTTTTTCATTGTGAGTTTCATTTGAAGGGAGGTCTTACTAGAATGACAAAAATATGTTTTTCCCTTTGAAGTGCTGGGTGCCTCCAGTTACATTATATATAATTGTCCTATGTGTGTGCTTGGAAGAGCTTAGCATCCAATGGGTCTGCTCAAATGGCATTGAGAAGTTCCCTGAAGTTTCAACCTGAGGCTCTCTGATAAATTGATTTTTCTCCCACCATTCATTTGTGATTTGAAGCCCAACTATGCTGTCCCATCTGTCTCTTTTAGTGAAATGTACAAGCTGCAACAACCATATACTGTCTCTATCTGTATAAAACAGGAGAGTGGGTATAATATATATTGGTTAAGTCCATATTTAGAGTGGCTCAGCTGTTTACTAGCTTTGTGACCTTGAGTAAACTAGTTAACTCCAGTTTCCTCATCTAAAAAAAATGAGGTCAACCTGATAAATCTGTTGTGAAGATTAAAAGACTCAATATATATAAAGTGTCTGGTACGTAATAAGTTCTCATAAATAATAATTATTAATAATGTTGATGATCTCTTCTCCACATGATAAGTACTCATATCTTAGAACAAAGCCAAGAATGGTGCAGTTAATTACAATAGAATAGGGTCGGTAGAGAGGAGCCAGTACCTAGAACTTGAATGAGCAATTTCAGAAATATACCCAGCTACTGGTCCTGGAAACCTTATTGTGAGTCACATCATTGTAACTGGAAGGAGACCCAGTGGCCTCCTTGATGGAAGCAGATGAAAGATATGACTATTCAATATGAAGGGTGGCATTCTGCCTATTAATCTCATTTATTTATTTATGTTTCTTATTTTTTGAGGCAGAGTCTTGCTCTGTCACCCAGGCTGGAGTGCAGTGGCGCAATCTCAGCTCACTGCAGCCTCCGCCTCTCTGGTTTAAGTGATTCTCATGCCTCAGCCTCCCCAAGTAGCTGGGACCACAGGCATGTGCCACCACTCCTGGCTAATTTCTGTATTTTTAGTAGAGACAGGGTTTCACCATGTTGGCCAGGATGGTCTTGAACTCCTGAACTCAAGTGATCCACCAACCTCAGCCTTCCAAAATGCTGGGATTATAGGCATGAGCCACCGTGCCCGGCCTATTTTTCTTTTTCCTTTTTTTTTTTTTTAATTTTCAAAGTAGAGTCTCACTCACTCTGTCTCCCAGGCTGAAGTGCCGTGGCACAGTCTCAGTTCACTGTAACCTATACCTCCCGTGTTCAAGTGATTCTCCTGCCTCAGCCTCCTGAGTAGCTGGGATTACAGGCATGTGCCACCATGCCTAGCTAATTTTTGGTGTTTTTAGTAGAGACAGTGTTTCACCATGTTGACCAGGCTGGTCTCGAACTCCTGATCTCAAGTGATCCACCCTGCCTTGACCTCTCAAAGTGCTGGGATTACAGCTGTGAGCCACCACACCCGTCCTATTTATTTATTTTTCTTTAAAAATGTGTTAAAACTAATAGAGATAAAGTCTTACTCTGTTGCCCAGGCTGGTCTTGAACCTCTGAGCTCATGTGATCCTCCCGCCTCAGCCTCCCAAAATGCTAGGATTACAGGTGTGAGCCACTGTGCCCGGCCTATTCTGTTGCTTCATGATGTAAGGGAGCCCACGTCTCTCTTCCTGCCAGGTGGGCCACCTGAGCACAGTAAGGTCAGAATGGGTGGAATGATGGAATTCCTGACCATCTTTGCATCATTGTCTTGATGATCATGACCCAGCCATCCCCTGGAACTTCTGCATCACAGCCTTTAGCTCAGTCTGCTGCTGTGAGCAGTATATGAAACTTGTATCCGTGATAACTTGGCTCTGCCAGGACTTGGGGTACCTGATGGAGAGGATTTCTTGGAGGAAAAGGCCAAAGGGCTGCCCCAACTTTGGCCTCATATCTAAATCCTAAGAGTATACTTGCTTCTGGTTGCCAAAGGCCTGAATGCTCAGAAAGAGTACAGCACAGAACCTGTTGATAAGGATTCCTCTGGCTTTGCTTTACTCTGCCATGCCAAAAAAACAAAAAAAAAAAAAAAAAAAAGCAAGAATCAGGTTGTGTTAGGACTAGAAAGCCTTCTTAGCAGTCAGAGCATGCAATTACTGCCCATTCCTGATTAGCTTCAACTTGCTGGACCAGCTGAGGAAATCTAGGGTATTCACAAGGTCTGAAGTCAGGGAGTTTCATAACCTCATCAGAATCTAGGATGCGTGGACGACTGCATTCTACAATGACTCAGGCAAACTGAATACTGAGGGATGCCCTTTGGCTTCTGCATTTAAAGACATTAATTTTTACCAGTGTAGAGGATAAGCGATAGATAAAGACGGGATTGGTTGGGAAAAGTTCCCTAGAGGAAGTGGTCCACATATTCTCTGTCCACTTCTAAGAGCAGAGTCCCATTTTTTTTTTTTTTTTTTTTTTGAGTGAGTCTCTCACTCTGTTGCCGAGGCTGTAGTTCAGTGGCGTGACCTCGGCTCACTGCAGCCTCCACCTCCTGGGTTCCAGCGATTCTCCTGCCTCAGCCTCCTGGGTAGCTGGGATTACAGGCACACACCCCCATGCCCAGCTAATTTTTGTATTTTTAGTAGAGATGAGGTTTTGTCATATTGGCCAGGCAGGTCTCGAACTCCTGACCTCAGGTGATCTGCCAGCCTCAGCCTCCCAAAGTGCTGGGATTACAGGTGTGACCCACCACACCTGGCTAGCTTCCCACTTTTGAACCATTCATTCTGTGACACCTGAAGTCCTCTGTATCTTCAGCCTCTTTTTCCTGACATAATTGATGCAGGTTCTCCCCTGTAGACATTTCCCCCACAGTCCTTTCCATACTCCATCTACCACAGGACCAGAAATAAGATGAGCATTCATCTTACATCCCAATGCCTTCTACAGACCCTTGCTTCTATGCCCTCAAGTAAAAACTTTTCTTCTGTTGAATTTCAGGCTGCCACATTAAACCACAGCCCTCTTCCTTGACCTACTACCATCGTACTGGCCCCGATCCACCTCGGGTCCCACAATCACCATGAGTGACCACAGTGTCCATGTACATAACCCATCCAACAGCTCCTTGACCTTGTCAACCCTATGACCTCCATGTAACTTTAGTCACCCCCATTCTTGGATGAATCTTGGATCTCATTGATTGCCTCAAATTACTCCACCTCCAGAAACTTAAATTCTAGTATCCTATCCTCTTCAACTTTCCATTTCTCTCACTCATTTCTGCTTCTAGACTTACTCTTTGATCTTAACAAGACCTTCCTTTGATTTTTCCATTTTCTTCCAGCCTATGTGTCTCTCCCCTATCCAACCTAAATTCTTGGCTCTTCAACTCAATTACTGTGTTGACAAAACTGTCTATTTTTTTGTCCCCTCAACCTTCATCTAACCCAACTGGAAAAACAGCTAGACCTTCCATGAAGCAGATCCCTGGTCATTTCTCTCTCCTATTCCCCCATAGCAATGAACTCCTTCATTCTCTTTCAACTCCCTAGTTCCTCTGTATCCCATTCTACCTCCTCTTATAAGATGATCTCATTTAATACCTTACAAAGGAAATAGAAAGTATTGAAGAGTAATTACCTTAAGTCTCTGTTCCTCAACTCCAGTATGCAAAATTACCTTCATCTGTCCATATCTTTTTCTCTTTCCTCTCATCTAAAGCTAATCCTCTTACCTAAAGCTAATCTAAAACTAGAGCCACCTGTACTCTGAATTTTACCCTGTCTACCTCATCATGGGCCTGATTCCATCAGTTAACTCTCTGGTATCATTAGTGTCTCTGTCTCTACTTGCATCTCAGAAACTTCTGCCCCAAGTAAGCCCCTGCCCACTGGGCCTTCCCCAGGCCTGGGAAATACCCTCTTTGACCATATCTTCAGGAGCACCATTGACAGAAGGAAGAAAGCCAGAAAAGGTGAATGATTTTTAGGAATGGGAATTTGGAATTGGGACTTTACTTTTTTTTTGAGACAGGGTCTTACTTTCTCATTCAGGCTGGAGTGTGGTGGCACAATCACAGCTCACTGCAGCCTCGATCTCCTGGGTTCAGGAGATCTTCCCACCTCAGCCTCCCGAATACCTGGGACTGCAGGTGTGAGACAACACACCAGGCTTGTGTGTGTGTGTGTGTGTGTGTGTGTGTGTGTGTAGACGGGGTTTTGTCATGCTGCCCAAGCTGGTCTCGAACTCCTGGGCTCAAGTAATCCTCCTGCCTTGGCCTCCCGAAGTGCTGGGATTACAGGTGTGAGCCACTGTGCCTGGTCTTGGGACTTTACTTTTTCTAAGTACAGGGTTTGATGGGCCATTCCAGCAGAAATGTCAGGTGGGAAGTTTATAAATGCATATGTTATCTTTAGGAGAGAGATTAATCCCGGACATACACTGTCTTCCTTACTCTGAGACATCAAAGGCATGTACTTAGGTATTAACTGGAATGGGGAAGTGTCCCTGGCTGTTTCTTTTCCTGGAGTTTTTCCCAAAGGGCCTTTAAGTTTTCAGCATATAAACACATTTATTTTAAAGGCATTTCCATGACGTTGAAGGCACAGATGTTACAACTGAATTTTATCCCAACCTCCACATGTGGAATCCAGAAAAAAATTCTCTGGTCTTATGATTGAACAGGAAATGAAAGACAGTGTCACTCTAGGTCCTCATTAGGAATTCCTATATTTTTACACCATTGGAGAAACATTTAGGGAAAATGTGCAGCCATGTTTTTAAAAAGATTCCCAAAACTCTTGTTAGAGAATAACTTTGCTCTTTCTCTGGGAGTCACAGCAA
This sequence comes from Homo sapiens, assembly GCF_000001405.40. NCBI lineage: Eukaryota > Metazoa > Chordata > Mammalia > Primates > Hominidae > Homo > Homo sapiens. Next base: position 111,836,748 of record NC_000009.12, read on the forward strand.
ACTATTCTAAAGATGCTTCCGCCTCCCGTTTTGAGCACCACCTTCTAACATAGTGCACGCTACAATGAGAGTAGGGAGCAGGAGAGGCTAAGAAATGCTGATTTCTTGGCTAGCATGCCTTTGGCCTTTGGTTGAAACTACTCCTTGGAAGGTTATTATATTCCAAATTCCCTCTGATGGATAATTGATTTGTCAATCTCAATTTTTTCATCGTATATTTTAAAAATTATCTTATGTTGTTTTGAACTACCAAGATCAGCACACTCTTTTTCATGATAACACACTTTGGTTATAAATATCATTGCAAAGCGCACTTGAACATTCATCAGAAACTTGAAGATTTTGTTAAACTATGAGGATGGCATTCATCAGGATGGCATTCATCAGATTTCATTAAACTATCAGGATGGTATTCACTGAATAACTGCAATGCAGCTCTGCCAAATGGTCATCTGTCTTCTCTTTGAATCATGGGTCATTATACAGGTAGATGAAAACCTGCAAATAAAAAGATAGACGAGAATTATAAGACTAGAAAAGTCTTTTAAAGATTGCCTACTCTTTTTCAGACGCTAAACTATAAAAGCCATTTCAAAGGATAATATTTTATAATCTATTCCTGTCTCTTTCCCTTTCTTCTTTCCTCTCTTCTTCCTTTTCCTTCTCTTTACACAAAACATTTCCTGAGCACTCATAACATGCCAGGTGCTATGTTAAGTATGAATGATATAGTAATGAACTATAATCAGTTTCTGCCTTTATTTATTTATTTTTGTTTTGGTTTGGTTTGGTTTTGAGACAGAGCCTCAGTCTGTCGCCCAGGCTGGAATGCAGTGGCGTGATCTCAGCTCACTGCAACCTCCACCTCCCGGGTTCAAGCAATTCTCCTGCCTCAGCCTCCTGAGTAGCTGGAACTACAGGCACCCGCCACCACGCCCGGCTAATTTCTTTATTTTTATTTTTAGTAGAGATGGGGTTTCACCATCTCTTGATGGTGAAAAGAGATCACAAGTTGGCCAGGCTGGTCTTGAACTCCTGACCTCAGGTGATCCGCCCGCCTCGGCCTCCCAAAGTGCTGGGATTACAGTAGTGAGCCATCGTGCCCAGCTGAGTTTCTGCCTTTAATATTCTGTTTAGAGGAAAGAGAGAACGTTACTACATCCAGAAACCCAGGTGGGATATCTATGTTTCTTAACTCCACTGGATGATCAGGCAATATGTTTATGGAGGTGAGGCTTGAACTCATTCTTTAAAGGACAAGTAGAATTAGGGGAAGCAGGCAAGGGGAAAAGGACATTCCAAGCAGAAGAGATATTATAAGTAACATCATGGAAAACTGAGAGCACATGGTGAAATTGTATAGGTGGCATGACTTGAGCAAATTGTGTGAATGCAGATACAGGAGAGTCCTCATCCGCCCTACTAATGATGACATTTACGTACAATAAAATTAGCTCTTATTTTTAACGCTCTTCTCTGGTAGAATTCTTAAAAAGCTGAGAAGAATAAAATCTTATTCTATGTCATTTAATCAGAACCAAATACGAGAAGAGGAAACTCAAAGGAAAATTTTCATCCATTCAATTCTTTCTTAGTAGTTATTATTCGCTAAGGGCAATGGTTGTTAATAGGAATAGTCAAGGAATAATTTCTCGATTATTCTCAGCTGATTTTCCTGGCAGTATTTCATTCAAATCAGAAGAGTGTTAATTCCATTTTTCATAAGATCGGGGAGCATGACCATCTGTGTCAAGAAGAAACGAAACCTCAAAGAGTTCCAAGTCAGTTTGGATCAGTCTCAGGAAATCCTGACTTTTATTTGATGTGGCCCATAAGTCCAATTATTGTACTCACAAAAAAGGCTCTTCAAAGACTGGCTATTAGCCTCATTTTACATTCAGGGACAGGAAATGATAAATCTTAAAACAAGGACACAGGACTTTTAGAACTGATGTCAATGAGAGTCTCTCTCTTATCTTTCTATCCTTCTTTTTGATCTGCTTCCTTCCTCTTTGCCTATTTTTTTTTTTTTTGGCTCCCTGTTTTCTTCCTTAATTTATATCTTATGCCTACCAGTGTTTCCCTAGGTAGTTTAATATTTCTAATGGTGATACTTGTATTTATAACATTTTCCCTAAAAAATATTTCAAATAACTCTTCAGATCATTCACGTCCCAAGGATTGTCAGATAGGTTCCTTTTATGACTTCTTACACACTCCTATGTTTGACAGAGCCACACCTGAAATGGTAGGATTATTGTCTTTGCGTCACTCAGATGCAAGTCTTGTGGAGGATTCAGTCTCTCCCTAGCCCTGCCCTGTGAGATAGTTTTAACAGAAATGTGTATGAAGACATGCATGGCAGAATTACCAGATCAGCTGGTGACTCAAAGCTAAGATCATAAATTACAGACTCTATATCCAAAATGATCTCAATTGGCTGGAATGCTGGTATGAAATCAATAAGACAAAATTTAAATCAGATGTAAAGCCCAGGTGTGGTGGCTCACGCCTGTAATCCCAGCACTTTGGGAGGCCAAGGCTGTCGAATCATTTGAGGTCAGGAGTTCAAGACCAGGCTGGCCAACATGGCGAAACCCCGTCTCTACTAAAAATACAAAAATTAGCTGGGTGTCGTGGCACATGCCTGTAATCCCAGCTACTCAGCAGGCTGAGGGAGGAGAATTGCTTGAACCCACGGTGCTGAAGTTACAGTGAGCCGAGATTGCGTCACTGCACTCCTGCTTGGACGACACAGCGAGACTCTCTCTCAAAAAAAAGGAAACCTGCTAGATCTCAGAATTATAGCAATAGTTTCAGTTGACCTCATCTCCTTCCTACATGTGTTCCCCTCTCTGCCCATGTCCTTCTGACCTTGTGAGTTCTGAAATGAGTCCAAACTTCTCCCATCACAGTCCCTCTCTCTAAGTATACAGATTTATCTTTCTATCATGACTGAGGTATGCACAGAGTTGACTTTATGAGTGTACGATCTGTGTTGCTGCACAGAGTCCTGCACTTAAAAGCACCCCATACTCAGTTTAATGTCTCCTTCTGGAAATTCTTCTTTTCTTTTCTTTGTGCTCACTTTGGCAGCATATACACTAAAATTGGAACAATACAGAGAAGATTAGCATTGTCCCTGAGCAAGCATGACACACAAATTCATGAAGCATTTCATATTTTTATTTATAAAAAATAAAATTTTTTAAAAAGTTAAAAGTAATTTTAATTGGCAAATAAAAATTATATATATTTATCATGTACAAAATGATGCTTTCATATATGTATACATTATGGAATGGTTAAATCAAGCTAATTAACATATTCATTACTTCACATGCTAATAATTTTTTTGTGGTGAGGACACTACAAATCTACTCTCTTGGCCATTTTTCAAGTATGCAATACACTATTGTTTACGATAGTCATCATGTTGTGCAATAGATCTCTTGAAACTTCTTGAAATTCTTAACAATTTAAAAATTTTTTTTAGAGACAAAGGATCTTACTGTGTTGCCCAGGCTGGTCTTGAATTCCTGGACTCAAGCGATCCTCCTGCCTCAGCCTCTTGTGTAGCTGGGATTACAGATGCAAGCCCCCATGCCTGGCTGTAACAACTCTTGAATAAAGAGTCTGGCATTTTCATTTTGCACTGAGCCCCACAAATTATATAGCCAGTCCTCGGTATAGGAAACATCCTTTTCTTCTCTGAGCAGTTGAAGTTTTCCAAAAGGAAGTTTTTCTATGAAAATGAGGTAGCAAACAAACAAGATGGCTACACCAAAAGTTAGCAAAAATAAAATTTCAGATTACAGGTGAATCCCAAAGTGAACTAGCACCAAGCCAAAAATGCAATTAGTCAGCACAGTAGAGACAGTCCATAGCGTTTGGCTCCTTTCCACTTCATTTGTAGCTGCCTAAAATGTTAAATTAAGATATGCACATGATCTGAGATGGATTTTGTTTGGCAGCAAAACCAAACTGTAGTATCTGTAGGATTCTGGCTATGCTAGGAATAGACCCTAGGTCACTGGCCCTAGCTCCATCATCACTTGCTAGTCCCATTTCTGACCCACTCCTTCTGTTCTTTCTACCCATTTCAGATCTCCAGGTCTCTGGCTTCTTCACTTTGGCTCCATTTACTTCATATCTGTTTTCTAGCCAATTGAAAAGGTCAGTTTGTTATGCAAACTGGAGAACCCTGGCTTCCTTACTTATTATTAGCAAAATGTAAGCTTGCCAGATTTAACTAATTAAAATGTAAGATCCACAATTACTTTTGAATTTTAGACAAACAATGGATGCATTTTTAGTATATGTTCCATATATTGCATGGCATGTACTTATAGTAAAAAATTATTTATCTAGCTTAAATTCAAATTTAATTGAATGTTCGGTGGGGTGCAATGGCTCACGCCTGTAATCCCAGAACTTTGGGGGGCTGAGGCAGGAGGATCACCTGAGGTCAGGAGTTTGAGGCCAGCCTGGCTAACATGGTGAAACCCCATATCTACTAAAAATACAAAAAATTAGCCAGGTGTGGTGGAAGGCACCTGTAATCCCAGCTACATGGGAGGCTGAGTCAGGAGAAATGTTTGAACCTGGGAGGCGGAGGTTGCAGTGAGCTGAGATCATGCCATTGCACTCCAGCTTGGGCAACAAGAGCAAAATTCCATCTCAAAAAAAAAAAATTTAATTGAATGTTCTGCATTTTACCTTGGGACCCTGTCATCATGGGCACCCATGGATCATGGGCTGCCCTGAACATACAGGAGATGCCTACTATCTAACCTCCTTGGAGGCCATTGGCATGTCTTCAGTTTTCTTGGGACCAAAACTCTCTCGGTCTCATCTGATGTCAAATTCTCTGCTCCTGCAGCTTCTGCCCCCTCTCAAGTTCCCACTTCAATAAAAGAGCAGAAATTACTAATGAATCCTGGGTTTATTGAGCAATCATACCTCTTTCTCAATTTACCTGAACAATTCTTCCCATTTACTCAAGTTCTCTTTCATAATTCTATTCCCAAGTACCCCCAGAAAAGTAACTGTTACCAGATTTTGCAATACAGATGTTGACCGGTTTTCTCATCCGTATATCTACGGTAGCCACTGTATTGCATGGTATACAGTGGAATTCAATAAATGTCTGTTGGGTGATTGAATTAGTTAATTAAAGCGTATATTCCCTATAGGTTTTTTTGTTGGAACAGATAGAACAGAGTGTTCTATTTTATTCCAGAGGGAAGGACCAGGGCCAATAGCGTGAACACTTAGGGAAATCATTTTGACTTCAACATCTGGAAACTTTTCTTAGCTCCAGAGGTCAAAGTGGTGGTGTTGAGAAGTCAAGATCTTCCTACCCTGGCAATGTTCAGAAGGAGGTCTAATTTCCACCACTATGGCATTGCTGTCACAAACAGAATTTCTGGACTAGGGGCAGTGAGAAGTAATTGTTAAACTACTTCCGAACCTAAGAATCAAGAACGTTAATGCACCCTCTCCACAAACACACTTTTATTTTTTCAACTTAAAAGTTGCACTTGATACTGAATTCTGCTCTTCTGAGAACAAGGACATATAACAGATGCACGCACACATTAATGATGTGCCAACTCCCTTTTGTTTCAAGTCTTATAGAGCATAAAGACAAAGAGGTCATTTCTAGTAATGGAGAGTAAAAAGCCCTTAATTTTTCAGTTTATCTTTGATTTATGTTTCTGTGTTTGTGTGTGGCCAGGCTCTCCTTGGCCTTTTCAAAAGGAACTGGCATAACCACTGAAAATGTGTGGTAACTGACTACATGTCCCTGGGGAGAAATCTTATGTTACTCAAAACACAGTTGCTAATGAACAGCCTGTGTTAGTCCCTCAACATAAGAGAAAAAAAGCTATTTGTAGGTATGAAGGTAAGCACAACCATTCCCCCAATAACCCTGGAATTCTTATATATCTCACCATTCTTTTTTTTTTTTTTTTTTTTTTTTTTTGAGGCAGAGTCTCACTCTGTCACCCAGGCTGGAGTACAGTGGCACAGTCTCAGCTCACTGCAACCTCCGCCTCCCAGGTTCAAGCGATTCTCCTGCCTCAGCCTCCACAGTAGCTGGGATTACAGGGACCTGTCACCATGCCCAGCTAATTTTTGTATTTTTAGTAAAGACGGGGTTTCACCATGTTGGCCAGGCTGGTCTGGAACTCCTGACCTCAAGAGATCCGCCCACCTTGGCCTCCCAAAGTGCTGGGATTACAAGCGTGAGCCACCACCCCCAGCCTCACCATTCTTTTAATGTTGTAATATGTGAGAGAAAGGGAGAGATATTCGAGGTGAAGTAATTGTGCATATTTGAGAAGCATATGCTGTGTATGAGGTGGGGGTAGGGAGATAGAAAGGTATCGTGGGGAGGGGACAAGATGTGTGATGTCCACAGGACTATGGTGGGGAGTTTATGATAGCTCAGCATGTTGCGTGCCTGTGAAGACTGAGTAGAGGCAGCTGTCACAGACTGTGTGTGTGTGCAAGTGTGTGTGCACACATGCATGAGTGTATCCATGCATGTGCAGTAAGAATAAAGATGGTTGATGGAAACCAAGTGTGTGTTGTGGGTAGGATGGTGGGCAGAGTGTATATATGTGTAATTGGTCAGGGTTTATATGAGGGTGAAGGTAGGAAGTGTGGTAACTGACTACATGTCCATGGGAGAAATCTTATGTTACTCTAAACTGTGTTTTGAGTAAGACAAGTTTGAGTTTTATAGAAGAGGAATAAGTCTGTGTGAAAGAACTGAGCACAAGTGCGTTTGTGTTTTTGTGTATGAAAGAAACTGTTGGTGGCAGCTAAATGTGAGGTATGGATAAAGTGGTGGGGACAAAGTCTGTAAATGTATATAACAGGGTATTGTGGGAGTAAGGATTGGCTGTAGTGTGTGTACGAGTGTGTACAGAAGTGAACAGAGTGTGTGTGAAAGAGAGAGAGAGACAGAGAGCAAGAGGGAGGGAGGGAGGGAGGGAGGTAGCTTTGGGAAATTTGTGCTTATTTATGGATGGGGTATATTTTTTGAAGAGTCATTTGTGTATGGACAGGTTATATGTTTATGTTTGAACAAAGTGTGACAGAGAAAGTGTGTACGTGAATGCACACGTGTGCATGAGAGTGTTAGGTCAGAGTATTCAAGTAGCGGATAGAGCCATAGTGTGTTGTCCAGTGGTAGACCAATGCATACGTGTTTGTGGCAAGTGTGCTTGTTTGGCAAATGTGTGTGTGGTGTAGGCCCCATGGTGACGGTGAGTGAGACCCAGAAAAAGGAAAGCCAAGTCACCATTTGCAGTTTTTCTGTCTGACCTGCTTATCCTGTTTCCATTGTCTCCAGAGACCAGGAAGGTATACTAAGCACAGGTTCAGAGCAAGCTGATTGTGAATAAAAGAAGACCTTTAGTCTCCTCCCTATGGATTAGTCATGCCTAAAAGACAAAAAGGCAGTGAGGTGCCAACACAGTGCTTCCTCAGCTATGCCCTGGGCATGGCCTTCCATGTGCTCTCTGAGAGCCCAGGGGAAAAGGGTACACCCAGGATGTATCCACCCTCAGGGCTTTGTGCCGTCATCCTCTCAGCATCGCCAAGTCCCAGCCACGTGACACACAGGCCTCTTTGCTTATATGCGGTATTAATATTTCATTCACTTCTGTCCCAGAAATTTGTAGACCTATAGAATGTTAGATCTGGAAAGACCCTCAGAGGTGCTCTAGATAGTGGTTCTCATTTGGGATAATGGGGGAAAGGACAGTGGCTACAACAGAATCTGAGAGTTTGATTGAAAGTGGGGATGACCGGGGTGGCTCAAATTCTAGGGAGCTTTAAACAACGTAATAGGGGAAATCATAAATATGCCACCTGAGTTTCAGTGCAAACTGAAAGATGAGCAATCGTGACCTTTACTAGGCACTGTGAAATACACATTTATAAGAGAATAATTTTATAATAGATAATGGACTAAAAATATCAAATGGTATAGAAAAACGTTTTAATGCATCAATGTGTTTCTTGAGAAGAGACTCTGGTCTTCTCAAATTATAAAGCTGTGTGCTTAAGAAATAGGAAACTCTGCCAGGCGCGGTGGCTCACGCCTATAATTCCAGCACTTTGGGAAGCCAAGGTGGGTGGATCACTTGAGGTCAGGAGTTTAAGACCAGCCTGACCAACACGGTGAAACCCCGTCTCTACTAAAAATACAAAATATTAGCTGGGTGTGGTGGCTGGCACCTGTAATCCCAGCTACTCAGAAGTTTGAGGCAGGAGAATCGCTTGAACCCAGGAGGCGGAGGTTATAGTGAGCCGAAATCGTGCCATTGTACTCCAACCTGGGTGACGAGAGAAATTCCCGTCTCAAAAAAAAAAAAAAAAAAGCAAGAAATAGGAAATCTTCCACCCTTTTTGCCTCCTCAATTTGCCTTCATTCCTAACATTGGCCTTCAGATTTAACTAGAGAACTTAGAGAAAATAACTTACTGAGGCTTTTAACAAATCTGTCATTTCCTTTTCCCTTTTCTTTGATCCCAAGGTTTTTCCTCTTACTGCTTAAAAAGTAGAGCAATAAAAAAGAACCCCTAATTTATGTTTTATTGATTTAATTTTTTTAATTTTTAATTTTTGTGGGTACATAGTAGGTGTATATATTTCTAAGGTACATGAGATGTTTTGATACAGGCATGCAATGTGAAATAAGCCTATAATGAAGAATGGGGTTTCCATCCCCTAAGCATTTATCCATTGAGTTACAAACAATCCAATTATACAGACAATCCAAATATACTCTGTTATTTTAAATTATACAGTTAAGTTATTATTGACTATAGTCACCTTGTTGTGCTATCAAATAGTAGGTCTTATTTATTCTTTCCTAAATTTTTTGATGCCCATTAACCATCCCCACCTCCCCTGCACTACCTTTCCCAGCCTCTGGTAACCATCCTTTTACTTTTTATGTCCCTGAGTTCAATTATTTTGATTTTTAGATCCCACAAATGAGTGAGAACATGTGAAGTTTGTCTTTCTAAGGACTCATAATTCAGAATCAAAGAGATCTCTCTTTAAATCTTGGCTCCATCTCTTACTGTATGACCCTGGAAAAATTGCTTAACCTCTCAGAGTCTCAGCTTTCCCATCTATAAAACAGTACAGGGCCGGGCGCGGTGGCTCACGCCTGTAATTCCAGCACTTTGGGAGGCTGAGGTGGGCGGATCACGCGGTCATGAGATCGAGACCATCTTGGCCAACATGGTGAAACCCCGTCTCTACTAAAAATACAAAAATTAGCTGGGCGTGGTGGCGTGTGCCTGTAGTCTCAGCTATTCGGGAGGCTGAGGCAGGAGAATCGCTTGAACCTGGGAGGAGGAGGTTGCAGTGAGCCGAGATCGCGCCACTGCACTCCAGCCTGGGCGACAGAGTGAGACTCCATCTCAAAAAAAAACAAAAAAAAAACCAAAAACAAAAACAGTACAATACTGACTACTATATATAAAAATTAAATAGTATATATATACTAAATGTATGACCCAGAGCAGGCCATAGGCAAATATGTGCCCCGTTTCCTTCTTCAACAGATGCTTTTACCTCTACCTGTTACGCTGACAAGTACCATTTGTCCAGTAGAGTCAATGAAGGCAGAAAACACCCGAACTTCATCTGCCAGGGGAACCCAGAAGGACCACGAATAGGATGAGATGAGTGAGGCACAGAATTTAAGGAGCTATCAAAGAAATTAGTAATCAAGAGAAATATTTAATGTAATATTTTTAAAAATAAAAATTAATGCTTTGGGTGATGAACATGTTCTAAAATTAGATAGTGGAAATAGTTGCACAACTATATGAATATACTAAAAACCACTGAATTGTACACTTTAAAAAGATGAATTTATGATACGTGAATTATATCTCAATAAAGCTATCATTTAAAAGCTAATATAAAAAATCATGATAAATTAAATGTCAAAATTTTAATGAAAGTAAGGATCAAACCAGAATCTACCCAAACCCAAGGACACCAGATTCCAGATCTCAGGACCACAAACACTGCTTGAGAAAAGTGTGAGAAGGAAAAAGAAGGGACCACATACAGTGAGAGAAAAAGAATATACATTCTGTTTCCTTCTTGTAGTTTGTTTGTTTGTTAGTTTTTTCTGAGACGGAGTCTCGCTCTGTTGCCCAGGCTGGAGGGCAGTGGCATGATCTCAGCTCACTGCAACCTCCGCCTCCCGGGTTCGAGTCATTCTCCTGCCTCAGCCGCCCGAGTAGCTGGGATTACAGGTGCCCACCACCACGCCGAGGTTAGTAGAGACGAGGTTTCACCCCGCTGACCAGGCTGGTCTCCAACTCCCGACCTCAAGTGATCCGCCCATCTCGGCCTCCCAGGGAAGTGCTGGGATTACAGACATGAGCCGCCACGCCCGACCCACAAAGACATTTTAAAGCAGGAATATCTGAAGTGGCTTTTAAAGCTTCTTTTATGTGTCCTGTGCTGTGTAATCTCTTCCGGATAACTCCCTGCTCTTTAAATGAAGACTATGTGTATGGGCGGCCATTTGTGTAGAAGCCAGCGGAGGGGCTGAGTTTCATGTGCAGATTGGCCTGCTCAGCATGGACAATGGAATGGAGGAAGCAGAAGCTCAGAACGCAGAAGAGGCTCTGAGATGTAAGCCCCCCGGACCGTCCGGAAGCCTAACAGTGGGCTCTGGACTCCTGCCAGCCATGGAATTAGGAGGGTTGAGGCCATTTTATCTCTAGCTCTCAAGGATCAAAGAGGCCGTATCTGAGATCCAGGTTAAGAGTAGATATAAATCCTGTTTGGAAGGTTTTCGTGATCCCCATGGAGGAGAGGCGGAGAATCCTGCCAGTACCTTCCATTTCTATCTAAAGGGGCAGTTGGAGGACGGAAGAATAAGTTGGATTGATACCAACTATTGCTTCAACAGACTCGTCCAAATGCTTGGGAGTCCAATTCTCCGAGGTCCATATCTAACTTTGTTATTTGACATATTTCAAATATGTCACACTCAGGAAATTAAAACCTGTATCAAGTTGAATATCTGAGCTAGATAGATATGTTTCTTACTTTGATAACAGATGTTCCAATGTAAGAGTAGATGTTTGCCATTTTACCTTGTATATGTGAGTCTCTTCTTTCCACCTGATCCCACATTAAATATTTCCCACTGGGGCCGGGCGCAGTGGCTCACGCCTGTAATCCCACCACTTTGGGAGGCCAAGGCAGGCGGATCACGAGGTCAAGAGATTGAGATCATCCTGGCCAAGATGGTGAAACCCCGTCCCTACTAAAAATACAAAAATTAGCTGGGCGTGGTGGTGTGCACTTGTAGTGCCAGCTACTCGGGAGGCTGAGGCTGGAGAATCGCTTGAACCTGGGAGGTGGAGGTTGCAGTGAGCCAAGATCGCACCACTGTACTCCAGCCTGGGCAACAGAGTGAGACTCCATCTCAAAAAAAAAAAAAAAAAAAAAAAAAAAAGATGTCCCATTGGGAAGTGATAGTTTAATGTGAACCACAATAGATTTTATAGTTTCATAGGATGCCATGTAACTGTTTACTGGTTTTTCAATCCTTACTTCATGTCAATAATCACTTTTATTCCCAAAACTTGCTGGTCATACCTTATATTCGTTTTACTTTGAGCAACCCTCAAAAACACTCATTCCAGCTCAAATCAGAAACTCCAAAGGTAGGTCTTGGCATACAGGATTTTTGTTTGTTTTTTGTTTTTTGAGACAGTTTCACTCCTTCACCCAGGCTGGAGCACAGTGGCTCAATCTTGGCTCACTTTCATCCTTCGCTCTCAGGTTCAAGCGATTCTCCTGCCTCAGCCTCCTGAGTAGCTGGGACTACAGGGGAATGACATTATGCCCAGATAATTTTCGTATTTTTAGTAGAGATGGGGTTTCATCATGTTGGCCAGGCTGGTCTTGAACTCCTGACCTCAGGTGATCCACCCTCCTTGGCCTCCCAAAGTGCTGGGATCACAGGCATCAGCCACCGCACATGACTGGCATAAATATTTTTTAAAAGCACCCAGGTTATTCTAACGTTCTAATTCAGTTGAGAATTGCAGAATCTGAATCATTGGAGGCATGTGTGTTTTGGAAAATCTTTATCTCCTCCTACCAGTTCAGATTTGTTTACTAAAGTAAGAGTTAAGACGGTCTAATTCTATGGATTGAATAATTCATTATTTTTTATTTTAAAAGTTTTTTCCACAGGTAAAAATCATACTTTTATTTGAGTCACCAGGAGAAAGATTCACTTGTGGTTAGAGTCAAACGTTCAGAATCACGAGCACAAGCCCATGAAGGAAGGGACCAAAACAGACCAAAATAAGAGACAACAGGCTGGGCTCGGTGGCTCATGCCTGCAATCCCAACACTTTGGAAGGCCAAGGTGGGCGGATCACGAGGTCAAGAGATTGAGACCATCCTGTCCAACATGGTGAAACCCTGTCTCTACTAAAAATACAAAAAGTTAGCTGGGCGTGGTGGCGGGTGCGCCTGTAATCCCAGCTACTTGGGAGGCTGAGGCAGAGAATTGCTTGAACCCAGGAGGCAGAGGTTGCAGTGAGCCGAGATCACACCACTGCACTCCAGCCTGGGCGACAGAGCAAGACTGTCTCAAAAAGAAACAAAAAATAAAAAAAAATAAGAGATAACAACCCCATACAAAAAGATGAATGAGTGGCTACACACACACACACACACACACACACACACACACACACACCCCACGGATGAAATGTTTGGACAGAAGCAAATTTCACATGGTCATTTTTGTTTCTTTTTGAATACAGGTTTCTGGGGTAGTAATTTCTTTTGTTTCTTTACAGCTATAAGAAAAAAAAAAAGCTTCAAAGTGTATATGTGAGAGGAAAAGGCAGAAATTAAGCAATAAAGTAGTTTTCCCTGGAGGGACATGATGTGGACAAAACAGGAAGCAGTGTTGGGAGAATTTAGTTTCCTTATCCCTTGGGCTTCTTGCCTTTCATTATTTGCATTTAATACTCTGTTTTTCCCCTTTCCATCAAAGCACAACCTAAGGAATGCAAATTTAGAAATTAACTTATTAATCCTGAAGTATTCTGATAACTTAGTTCCTAAAAATAAAATAATAATCATTTAAATTACTCCACTGAGACTCAGTAATTTCATTTATTTATTTGCTCATTAAATAAACATATGATTAAGAACCTATTGTGTGCCCATACTGTTCTAAGCACTGGGGATGCAAAAATGGACAAGATAGTCCCTGACCTCAGGAAAAATTGACAAGGCAACATACAATTACAATATACTGTGTTGCAAGTTAAGGAAGAAGTAAGCAAGCACTCTGAAGGCACGCTGAAGGGCATTTAACTGAATCTTGGTGGTCGTGAAAGGGTTAGAAAGTGTCTAAGCTGAGACTCAGTGGATGAGGACTTATCCAAATAAAGATAAGACACAAGAGAATTCTAAGTGCAAAGGCCAAGAGAAAACCGCAGAACAAAACCAAACAAAAAATACTCAATAATCTATAAGTACTTTCGTATGACTATAGCTTAAAATTCAAGGTGGGTAGTGATTAGATATGAGGCTGGACAGGTAAGCACAAGTTTGATTTTGAAGGGCCCTATATATCACATTATGGAGTTTGGACTTTATCCAGGTAGGGTATCATTGAAAGATTTTAAAAGTCACCAAAATGGTTAAAATTAAGAAGACTAACAACACAAAGAGTTGATGAGGATGTGGAGCAAACTGGAATTCTGATATACAATACCTACAAATGCTGTATGATGCAGCAATTCTTCTTTAAGGTTCTATGTTGAACAGAATGAGTGCTTGTGTCAACCAAAAAATGTACACAAAAATGTGTGTGACAGGTTTGTTCATAATATCTAAAAATCTAGAAATGACCCAAATAGCCACCAATGGTCGAAAGCATTAAAAAATTGAGATGTATTCATAGAATGAAATATTACATAACAATTTTAAAAAATGAGCACTTCTACATGCCACATACTGGATGAATGTTACAGATATCATTATTATTATTATTATTATTATTATTATTATTATTATTATTATTATTGAGACAAGGTCTTGCTCTGTTGCCCACGCTGGAGTGCAGGGGCGTGATCTTGGCTCACTGAAACCTCTGCCTCCCAGGCTCAGGGCATCCTCCACCTCAGCCTCCCGAGTAGCTGGGACTACAGACACATGCCACCACACTCAGCTACATTTTCATATTTTTTATAGAGACAGGGTTTCACCATGTTGCCCAGGCTGGTCTTGAACTCCTGGACTCAAGCAATCTGCCCACTTTGGCCTCCCAAAGTGCTGGGATTACAGGCATAAGCCACTGCACCCAGCCTATAATGTAGAGTGAAAAGGTCGTACACAAAAGAATATACTGTATGATTCCACTTACATAAATTTTTAAAGTCATAGATCTTTAGTCTCTAGTGACAGAATTCAGACTTGTAGTCACCTTGAGGGTAGAATATGACTCAAATGGGGGCATGAGGGAGCTTTCTGGAGTGCCAGAAATGTTCTACATCTGGATCTGATGTATATATCTAAAAATACATCAAAACATATATTTAAGATTTAGACACTTTACTATGTGTGAGTTATACCTCAATACAAGTTCAAATGAAAGGGGGAGTATTACATTTTAGAGTGACCACTCTAGTTGTAGAACAGACTGGAAGTGATGAGAAAAATTAGCATTTATCTCAGTAAGAGACGGTGGGGCCTAAAATAAGGGGTGGGCAAATTTTGCACATAAAGGGTAAATAAAAGGAAACTTGGTATTTCCTGTGTGTGGTAGATGAGGGAGAGGGAAGAGTTAAGAGTGATTCAGAGGATTCCGGCTTAGGCAAAGGGGAGGGGTGGGGGGAAGGTGAGGACATGCACTGAGATGGGGAACACAGCAGGTGGAGCAAGCTAGAGGTCATATTCAGTAACTGAGAAAAACTCCGGGAAGGGGAAGAACTGGGTGTGGCCACATGGACCATCCACTCTCTCCCCCTGGGCTAATGAGCTGTTCATAATCTCAATTTGAGTCACCTGCATTTTATTGGCACTGGAAGGACAGGCTCCAGCCAGTCAGAGTGGCTGGGGGAAGTATTAAGGAACCACTGTCACCTTATGAATGATAATCTGTGGTTTGAAAACAAATTTGTGAAAAATAAAAACGGATTTAAAGCAATGGCCCTCAAGTATCCTAAATGCCGGGAAATGGAAAAGTAAAGGCAGATTATGCCAGAGGAAATAAGTATGCTGACCGTCTTTAGCCATGTGATGAGGAACAGAGATCTTGGGCCTTGGAGAATGCATTTATGTGGTTGTGTGGAATGAGGGGTATTGGGGAAAAGCAAGGGCTCTGGGGCCCTACAGACGCAGGTTCAAATCCTGTCCCACTACTTATTTACATTATGAATGAGGGAAAGTCAGTCAAATGTCTGTAGTCACCATTTCTTTATTTGTAAAATATAGCAAATAATACCCACCTTTCAGGTGTGATGTGGAAGAAATTAATTCATTATGGGTATTCAATATATGGTTTTCCCTTCCCACAAAGTGTGCCTCCCCTGTGAAAGTCATATAATCAGTCATAAAGGCTAAAATGGCCTTCTCGGAATACTTTACCAAATACCACTGTACCTTCTGTTAATTGGTTTTCAAAATCCTATTTTGCAACCTTTCCTGACTAATTGCATAAATAGTCATTGTCTTCCTGTAATGCATGGTACAAAAGAAGCAATCCTTAAAAGCTATGGGAAATCTCTTTATCTTGTCTATTCCATCTCTGATCTCTCATGTTTCTCTCACTAAAACACAGTTAAAAATTGCTGCAAGGATCATGCAGTATACCCAGGTAACAAACCTGCACATGTACCCCTTGAATCTAAAATAAAAGTGAAAAAAAGAAAGAATAGGCCAGGTGCAGTGGCTCATGCCTGTAATCCCAGCACTTTGGGAGGCCGAGGCAGGTGGATCACGAGGTCAAGAGATCGAGACCATCCTTGCCAACATGGTGAAACCCCAACTCTGCTAAAAATACAAAAATTAGCTGGGAGCGGTGGTGCATGCCTGTGGTCCCAGCTACTTGGGAGGCTGAGGCAGGAGAATCGCTTCAACCAGGGAGGCGGAGCGTGCAGTGAGCCGAGATTGCGCCACTGCATTCCAGCCTGGTGACAGAGTGAGACCATCTCAAAAAAAAAAAAAAAAAAGGGAATAAAGAAAGGAAAAATATACCTTTTTTTTTTTTTTTAAGAGTTGCTGTACGGAACCCAGAGATTGAATAAAGGACTTTATTGCTAGTAGTTTAAATCATCCCTTGGCAAATGTATTAGTTAGGATTAGTTTGGCAGCATTTAATCAAAAGCCCTAAAACAATAGTGGCCCAAAAATACAGAAAGGCATTTGTCTGTCAAGTAAAAGAAATCAAGAAGTAAGTATTCCTGGCTTGGCTTGGCAGCTCTGTGGTAACAGAAGGGACTTAAGCTACTCTATTTCTATCCACCATCTAAGCACATGGTTTCCAACCTCAAGGTACCTCGTGGTTCAAGATGGCAGCTGCAGCTTTACCCATCTCATGTAAGTTGCAAGCCAGAGGAAGAGAAAAGGCAGAAGAGCAATAAGGGTACTTCCAGATAAGGCAGTTTTCTTTGCATGGTTTTTATGAAAGTTCTACAAAACACTTCCTTGACCACATCACATTTCATTGACCAAAACTGGCTGCAAGGAAAGTTGGAAAACATAATTCCAGATGGTAAGATGCCCAGACAAAAATCCAGATTCTGTTACTAAGGAAGGAGTAAAGAATCTGTGTTGAGGTAGGCAACTAGTACTCTCTTCTCAAGGGTTTTATTCATCCAACAAGTATGTATTACATAACTTTTATTTAGCACCAGATCCTATTCCAGATATTGAGGTTTCATCAAGAAAAAAAAAGACAAATTCTTATCTTTATAGAGCTTACATTCTATTGAAATAATAATAGATAGCATTTATTGAGTGACTATTCTATGCTAGGCAGGGTTTTAAGAATTTTACTTCTGGCACGACACAGTGGCTTATGTTTGTAGTTGCAGCACTTTGGGAGGCTGAGGCAGGAGGATCACTTGAGGCAAGGAGTTTGAGACCAGCCTGGGTAACATACTAAGACTCCATCTCTACAAAAAATTTAAAAAATTACCTGGGATGGTAGCATGCACCTGATGTCCTAGCTCTTCGGGAGACTGAAGCAGGAGGATTGCTTGAGCCCAGGAGTTCAAGGCTGCTGTAAGCTGTGATTGTGCCACTGCACTTCAGTCTGGGTGACAGAGCGAGACCCTGTCTCAAAAAAAAAAAAACAAAAAAAAAAAAAAAAGGAAAAGAAAAGGGCTGGGCACAGTGGCTCATGCCTGTAATCCTAGCACTTTGGGAGGCTGAGGTGAGTGGATCACTTGAGGTCAGGAGTTTGAGACCAGGCTGGCCAACATGGTGAAACCCCGTTTCTACTAAAAATACAAAAATTAGCTGGGCGTGGTGGCAGGTGCCTGTAATCCCAGCTACTCGGGAGGCTGAGACAGGAGAATCATGTGAACCCGGGAGGTGGAGGTTGCAGTGAGCCAAGATTGCGCCACTGCACTCCAGCCTGGGTGACAGAGCGAGACTCTCTGTCTCAAAAAAAAAAGAAAAGAATTTTATTTGTATTAATTTATTTGATATTTGCAATAATCCTTTGGGATAGGTACCATCATTACCCATATTTTGCAGATAAAGGGAACTGAGACACAGAGAAGTTAATTTGCCCAAACTGATATAAATTATAACTAGTAGAACCAGAATTTGAATTCAGATAGTCGAACTCCAGAGTGCATGCTTTTAACTTCTACACTATATTGCCTCTCCACCAGTTCCCCATATGTCTCATTTTGCTTTCTCTTCTGGGCATAAATAATTGTGTGTATGCTTTGGAGGCTTAAATAGTTGGGCCCAGTTCTCCCACTTTTGAACTGGGTGAAACTGGTGAAACTGGGGCAGTAGAAGTTTGACACCTGGCTACGCATCCTATCAGGAGTGGGAGAAAGTTGCCATATACAGAATCCAGGAAACTATTAGGATGCTTACCGACTTACAGTGCTGCTTAGATGCTATAGCAAGTAGGAAGTGTCCTCCTTCAGTTTTTGAAGAGCCATTACTTGAATTGAGGCCAATTATGGCATCACTAGTTGCTCAATCCAGAAACCCGGACATCATCTCTGGTTCTTCCTACTCCTTCACTCCCACATATAATCAATTAGTTCTTTTGACTGAACCTCCTAAACAGTCCTAGAATTTTTCAGCTTATCTCTATCTCCACTGTCACATCTCCAAATTCATGACATTACCATCTTCGATTGTGTAAATCAGTTGCCACACATGTGATGTTCCTGCCTCCAATATAGTCTTTTTGGGTCCATTCTTTGCACTGTAGCCAGAGGATCTAATACCCAAAGCTGATCTCATCCCATCCTACTTAAAACCCTTCAATGACTCCATATTGCCCTCAGAATGAAGTCCAAATTCTTACATGTACAAAGTCTGATTTACAAAGTCTTGTATTCCCAAAGCAGGCTGAAAGACTGTTGCAGGTTG
Source organism: Homo sapiens (assembly GCF_000001405.40). Lineage (NCBI taxonomy): Eukaryota > Metazoa > Chordata > Mammalia > Primates > Hominidae > Homo > Homo sapiens. Next base: position 111,855,408 of record NC_000009.12, read on the forward strand.
AGTTTCCCAGGAAGCAGAGTCAGATGGAGATTAGCATGGAGGAGGTTTCTTAGGGAGTCTTCTTGGTGTCACACTGTGAAGGGGAGAGGAATGAAGCAGGATGGAATAGAGAAAGAAGTTGAACTATAATATAGTCTCAGTGGAGGCCTCAGCTGCCTTCATATCCCCATCTGAAACTGGGATGACCCATCAGAATCAACTCAAATTGGGGTGAGAGGACTGGGTCTTTATAGCTCCATATTGATCAGCCATTGGATATGGGTTGCCCTAGGAAGGGAGCATAACCCTGGATGAGGCCATTCACTCATTCTGCAGTCTCTTATGCTAACTCCAAGCCCTTTTTAGAACAATGACCCAAATTCAACACTTCCAGGTGCCATACCCTTGAATACTCAGGACCTCTCACCTAATTTTCCCAGTACACTGGGGAGGATAGGGTTCAGATGAGGCTGATGCCCTCAGGCTCATCCTCCCATTCAACGGCCTCTTACATCGCACACTGGACCCTTGGCTTTTTTATGAGCGTTGCATCTTCCAGGTTCCTGGGTCTCGCTGTCAGAGGTTTCTTTCCCTGAGCCTCCTCTTATCCCATCACAAGCAGGTATCATTTTAGGAAACTTCCCAGGGACTCAGGTAGTAGCTGAGTGCCCTTTTTCCTTCTATGCTAGTTAGTCAAATTCTTATTCTCTTTGGGTAGCAAAATAGCTCTTATATTAACCTTCACTGATCTCAAATTGATCCAAAAGTTGTGGGGTTTTTAAATTTTGTTTTATTTTGTTTTCAGACAGGGATCTCGCTCTGTCACCCAGGCTGTAGTGCAGTGGCGCAGTCACTGCTTACTGCAACCTCAACCTCCAGGACCCAAGTGATCCTCCCACTTCAGCCTCCCAAATAGCCGGGATTATAGGCACATGCCACCACTCCCAACTAATTTTTGTATTTTTTGTAGAGACGAGGTTTCAGTTTTGCCATGTTGCCCAAACTGGTCTGGAGCTCCTGGGCTCAAGCGATCCTCCTGCCTCAGGTTCCCAAAGTGCTGGGATTACAGGTGTGAGCCACTGCATCTGGGGGCTGATCCAAAAGTTTTATGGTAAAATTCTGTGCTTTGAGTCCCTGAACTTTGCCCTTATTTATTTATTTATTTATTTAAGACGGAGTCTTGCTCTGTCGCCAAGGCTGGAATGCAGTGGCACAATCTCGGCTCACTGCATGCTCCGCCTCCTGGGTTCACACCATTCTCCTGCCTCAGCCTCCCGAGTAGCTGGGACTACAGGCTCCCACCACCACGCCCGGCTAATTTTTGTATTTTTAGTAGAGACGGGGTTTCACCGTGTTAGCCAGGATGGTCTCGATCTCCTGACCTTGTGATCCGCCCACCTTGGCCTCCCAAAGTGCTGGGATTACAGGCGTGAGCCACCGCGCCCGGCCAACTTTGCCTTTATTTTTTATTTATTTATTTTTTTTGAGACGGAGTCTCGCTCTGTCGCCCAGGCTGGAGTGCAGTGGCGCGATCTCGGCTCACTGCAAGCTCCGCCTCCCGGGTTCACGCCATTCTCCTCTTTGCCCTTATTTTTTAAAGCCCAGTGTTTATTTTTTTTCTCTTAAGCATCAGGCTTGTGAAGTTGAAAACCATGACTTTCAAGATTATTGTCTCTTACAAAAGTCTACCTGAAGGCTCAAAATGCAAAAATTCAACTCATGTGTATGTGTGTGTGTATACAAAAATCTTTTCCTGTTCTTGGATAGTGGGGAGAATGATCTGAGCAAAACAAAGAAAAAAAAACCGGCCAGGCACGGTGGCTCACGCCTGTAATCCTTTGGCACTTTGGGAGGCGGCGGCGGGCGGATCATTTGAGGTCAGGAGTTTGAGACCAGTCTGGCCATCATGGTGAAACCCCGTCTCTACTAAAAATACAAAAATTAGCCAGGCATGGTGGCACGCGTCTGTAGTCCCAGCTGCTTTGGAAGCTGAGGCAGGAGAATCGCTTGAACCCATGAGGCAGAGGTTGCAGTGAGCCCAGATCACGCCATTACAATCCAGCCTGAGTGACATAGCGAGACTGTCTCAAAAAAAAAAAAAAAAAGAAAAGAAAAGAAAGAAAGAAAAAACAACATTATTTCAAATCAAATTTTACTCTGCTATACACAGGAACCTGTCTCATTCTACCTTCTCCCTGCCTCTTGCTCCCTGGGATCATCTCCCAAATAAATTACCTGTATCCATTTCTCTGTCTTAACTTCTGCCTTCAGGGACACTCAGTGAAGGGAAGTATATTCCTCGTTAATTCCTGAGCATTCCCCAGGGTATTGCTTCATGTGTGTTCAGGAACAGGATCTTCAAGATCTTGCATGCAGCCACCCCCTGAACTTCTCACCCTGCAGACTCTGCTACCTACAACTCTCATTAGATTCTGGCTGAGCCACTGACCGCAGGGTTCTCTCTTGGAGATTACACACCTGCTACCGTCAGTAGACCTTCAAGGTAAGGGACACTCTTCCAAAATGGAAACACATTTTGGAAATTGTGTGATTTACCATGGCTCAGAGGAGATCTGTCTATAAATTTTAATGGGATATGACTAATGGTTTGAGGATCATGGCAGGGTCACACAATAATGATTATAACCATCATACAAGTCCAAATCTGTCCTGGGGTTTCTTCCTGACAAGGCCAATTCTTGGCTCCTCATGTACTGCCTCCATGGTAGGAAGGTCAGTTCAAACCCTCTCTCTGGAATCATGGCTGGTACCTCCACATCCCAGAGTTCAGGCCAAACTGGCCCTCAGCCCTCAGAAAGAAGGGTTGTTTTTTCGTCCTACTTTATTCTAAAACCCTTATAAGTCCTCCATGTTCTCCGTTTTTTTTGTTTTTTTGTTTTTGGTTCAAAAAGATATCTTTTTTCCCAAGATAATTGTTGCTGGGATGTACATCACTTGCAGAGAAATTAACCCTTAGGCATGTGATCTGGTTCTATGGAACCAACAAGACACCAGCACACAGTATCTATAATCAAACACTCTCTAAATCTTGTATAAAATGTCATATTTAGGCAATCAATGTCCAGTTTAGGTTGAGTCTGATAGTTTCAACATCTGGGTCATCTCTGAGTCTATGTAAAATTTAGCTTGGTTCCTTTTCAGTCTCTTTTTATTGAATATTCAAAATTTTAGGGTCCAGTCTCAGACTTTGTTACAAATGTATATGAAAGAAGGTGGAAAATTGGACAATCTTTGGTTAAAAGTGACAGAAATATGACTTATGCTAGCCTAAGCAGAAAAGGAGAATTTATAAGCTCATGTAATAAAACCATGGTAAAGAGAGGAATAATGAGGCTGGGTGCGGTGGCTCATGCCTGTAATCCCAGCACTTTGGGAGGCCGAGGCGGGTGGATCACGAGGTCAAGAGATTGAGACCATCCTGGCCAACATGGTGAAACTCTACTAAAAATACAAAAATTAACTGGGTGTGGTGGCGAGTGCCTGTAGTCCCAGCTACTCGGGAGGTTGAGGCAGGAGAATCGTTTGAACCCAGGAGGCAGAGGTTGCAGTGATCAGAGATTGCACCACTGCACTCCAGCCTGGCGACAGAGCAAGACTCCGTCTCAAAAAAAAAAAAAAAAAAAAAGGAATGATGTTTGTCTTAAGGGTCCCTGGAACAAAGCAGTTGAATGCTTTTAGTACACTCTCCTGTCCCATCTCTCATCTCACTCCTTTACTCTTTACTGACTTTATTTTTTCAAGCTTCTCCAGTGAAGCTGAACAGCAGTTGTGGTCTTATGGCTTTTTAGCTTCTTGTATTAAAAATATTTTTACTCTGGGCACAGTGGCTCATGCCTGTAATCCCAGTATTTTGGGAGGCCAAGGTGGGAGGATTGCTGGAACTCAGGAGCTCAAGACCAGCCTGGGCAATATAGTAAGACCCCATCTCAAAAAAGAAAAAAGAAGTTAAATACATATATAATGTCTCTTTTATTTACAGTCTTTTTTCTCATTTTCATTATTCGTTTCTTTATATAGCTCCAGATTTCCATCTGATATCATACTCCTGCCTGAAGAACTTCCATTAGCAATTCTTAATGTGTAGGACTTCTGGCAATAAATTATTTCAGATTTTGCTTATCTGAAAAAATCTTTAGTTTACTTTATTTTTGAAAAATATTTTGGATGAGTATAAAATTCTAGGCTTCCAGCTTTTTAAAATTATTCTTTCTTTTTTTATTTTTTATTTTTGGAGACAGATTTTGCTCTTGTTGCCCAGGCTGGAGTGCAATGGCATGATCTCGGCTCACTGCAACCTCCACCTCCCAGGTTCAAGAAATCCTCCTGCCTCAGCCTCTTGAGTAGCTGGGATTACAGGCATGCACCACCATGCCTGGCTAATTTTTGTATTATTAGTAGAGATGAGGTTTCACCATGTTGGCCAGGCTGGTCTTGAACTCCTGACCTCAGGTGATCCACCCACCTCGGCCTCCCAAAGTGATGAGATTACAGGCGTGAGCCACTGCACCCAGCCTTTTTATTATTATTTCACTTCCTTAAAGATGCCACTCTATTGTCTTCTGGCTTGCACAGTTTCTAAGGAGAAAGATATTGTGATTATTTTTCATTTTTATTCTATTTTAAAAATTGATTTTATTGTGTATATTTAAGGTATACAATATGATATAATGGAATACATATAGATAGTAAAATGGTTACTATAATGAAGCAAATTAACATATCCATCATCTCACATTGTTACCTTTTTTTTTGTTTTTTTATGGCAAGAGCAGTTAAAATTTATTCATTTAACAGGAATCCCAAATACAGTACAATTTTATGACCTATAATCCTTATGTTGTACATTAGATCTCTAGACTTTTTCATCTTACATATTTGCAACTTTGAATCCTCTGAACTGCATCTTCCCATTTCCTCTCCTCACTCCCGCTTCCCTGAACCTAGTAGCCACTGTTTATTCTCCATCTGTGTATATTTGACTTTCTTTTTTTTAGATTCCACATATCAGTGAGATCATGCAATATATTTCTTTCCATGTCTGGTTTATTTCACTTAGCATAATGTCCTCCAGATTCATCCATGATGTGGCAAATGGTAGGATCACCTTCTTTTTTTAAGGCTGAGTAATATTTCTCTGTGTGTGTAACATTATCTTTATCCATTCATCCATCAATGAACACTTAGGTTGTTTCCATATCTTGGCTTTTAATGGGATATACTCCCAAACATATCCCATTAAAAAATTGTAAATAACACTGCAATAAACATGAGCGTGCAGATATCTTTATGAGGTGGTGATTTCATTTCGTTTGGGTATGTGCCCAGAAGAGGGATTGTTGGGTGATATTGCAGTTGTATTTTTAATTTCGTTAGAAACCGCCACACTGGTTTTCATAGTGGCTGCACCAATCAACATTCCTACCAAGAGGGTCCAAGAGTTCCCTTTTCTCCACACCATTTATTCCAGCGTTAGTTGTCTTTTCACTTTTCGTTAATAGCCATCCTAATGGGTATGGAGGTGGTATCTCACAGTGGTTTGATTTGCCCTTCTCTGATGATTATTAATGTTGATCATCTTTTCATGTAACTGTTGGCCATTTTTACATCATCTTTGGAGAAATGTCTATTCAAGTCCTTTGCCAATTTTTAAATCAAGTTATTTGTTTCTCTGTTATTAAGTTGTATGAGTTCTTTACAACTTTTGGACCCTAAATTGTTGCCAGATACATGACTTACAAATTAGTTGTCCTTAATCTATAGGCTATATTGTTGATTATTTTCTTTGTAATCCAGGAGCTTTTTAATTTGATGTAGTCCTGGTCATTGATTTTTGCTTTTGTAGCCTGAATTTTTGATGTGATATACAAAAAAATCATGCCAAGGCCAAGTCCAGGAGATTTTTCCTATATTCTCTTCTAGGAGTTTCATAGTTTCAGGTCTTAAATGTAGGTATTGTATCCATTTTGAATTGGTTTTTTTTTTTGTATGATGTAAGATAAGAGTCCTATTTCATTCTTTTGTATGTGGAAATGCAGTTTTCCCAGTACCATTTATTAAAGAGACTATCCTTTCCCCCATTATGTCCTCTTGTTACCCTTCTCAAAAATCAATTGACCGTATGTTTGGATTTATTTCTGGGCTGTCTATTCTGTTGCACTGGTTTATGTGCCTGTTTTTCTGCCAGAGCATGCTGTTTTAATTACTATTGTTTTGTAACATAATTTTGAATCCAGAATTGTGATGCCTACAACTTTGTTTTTCAAACAGTAATTTAAAAATATTTTGGGGACAGCTGCAGTGGCTTACACCTGTAATCCCAGCACTTTTGGAGGCCAAAGCAGGAGAATCGCTTGAGTCCAGGAGTTCAAAATCAGCCTGGGCTCTTAGGGAGACCTGCCTTCACACACACAAAAATTTTATTTTAATTAGCTGGGCATGGTGACACACACCTGTAGTCCCAGCTACTGGGGAGGCTGAGTTGGGAGAATCACCTGAGCCCAGGGGGGTTAAGGTTCAGTGAGCTGTGATTGCACCACTGCACTCCAGAGCAACAGCAAGACTCTGTCTCAAATAAAATAAAATAAAATAAAATAAAATAAAATAAAATAAAATAAAAAGCTGGGCACAGTGGTTCATGCCTGTAATCCCAGCACTTTGGGAGGCCAAGGTGGGAGGATCACTTGAGTCCAGGATTTCAAAACCAACTTGGGCAACATGGCAAAACCCCACCTCTACAAAAAAAAAAAAAAAAAAAAAAAAAAAAGTTAGCTGGGTGTGATGGCTTGCACCTGTAGTCTTAGCTACTCAGGAGGCTGAATTGGGAGGATCATCTGAGCCCAGGAGGTCGAGGCTGCAGTGAGTCATGATCGCACCATTGCACCCCAGCCTGGGTGATAGAGTGAGACCCTGTCTGAAAATATTTTTAAAAATAAATAGGCTGGGTGCGATGGCTCATACCTGTAATCCCAGCACTTTGGGAGGCCAAGGTGGGTGGATTACCCGAGGTCAGGAGTTTGAGACTAGCCTGACCAACATGGTGAAACCCTGTATCTACTAAAAATACAAAAATTAGCCGGCTGTGGTGGCAGGCACCTCTAATCCCAGCTACTCTGGAGGCTGAGGCAGGAGAATTGCTTGAACTCGGGAGGCAGAGGTTGCAGTGAGCTGAGATTGCATCACTGAACTTCAGCCTGGGTGACAGAGTGAGACTCCTTCTCAAAAATAATAATAATAATAGTAAATTAAATAAATAAACAATTTTTGTTGTTGTAATTCTTATTTTTGACTCTGAATGCAATTTTTTATCTGGCTGCTTTCAAGATTTGCTCTTTAAACTTTTATTCTCAGAAACGGTTGACTATGGGTCAATCAAACTTGGGTGATTTTGTTTTTGTATTTGTTGTTGGTTTTTTTTTGTTTTTTTGTTTTTACCCTGCCTGCAATTTTTCTGGGCTTTGTGGATTTATATCTTATGGTTTTTCATTAATTTTAGAAAATTCTTGACTATAATCTCTTCAAGCATTCCTTCTTCCTTGTTCTCTCTTCTCCTTCTGTTTCTCTAATTACACATATATTAGACTTTTTATATCATATTTTGAATACTCTCTTCTGTATTTTTCACTTTTTTTCTGTAAGGTTTCAATTTGGACAATTTCTACTGACTTATCTTCAATTCTCATTCTTTCCTTTGGCGTATCCAGTCTGCTACTGACTGTTGAAGGAATTCTTCATTTCTTTCATTTTTTTCTTAGCATTTCCATTTGACTCTTTATATTATTTAGTTTTTTAATGAAATTTACTATCTGTTCATGCATATTGTCTACCATTTTCACTAGATCTTTTAACATATTAATCATAGTTGTTTGAAAGTCCCTATCTGATAGTGTCAACATCTGGCTCATCTCTATCTGGTTCTGTTGAGTACTTTATCTCTGGGCTTTGATTTCTGTATAATCAAATTTTTTTATTGAATGTTAGACACTGTGCATAGAAAAACAGAAAAGTCTGAGTTAATAGTGTTTATGGCCAGAAATAGGTATAGCTTTCTATGGTCAGGCAAATATGGTGGGGGATTGAGTCAATCTAGTCATAAATTGAGCTGGATTTGGATTTTGTTGTTTTTACCTTTAGTGCACCACAGGCTTTATACCCTCCAGCACTGGCTGTTGTTACCTTATGCTTATAGGGGGTCCTAGGGTGCTAGAAAATTTCTCTCCATTTTCTTGCTCCTCTCTCAACTTTCAGGAGTTCCTATATGCCTGTGCCACAAAAAGAGTCTCTCTCCGTGCCCTTATACCTCTCCAAGTAGTAGACTGCTCTTGCTTGTTACTTGGTACTAAGCTTACAGAATCAAGAGAGTTCTTTGTCATCCTGATCCAGCCTAAGTCTTAGGCAGGCCCTGTGCTCAAAGCTTGGGCGTCTCAGCATGCCTGCCTTCTCTTCCTATTTCTGCATCAGCTTCCTGGGTCAGTTAAACTCTGCCCTGTATTTGTGGTTGGTCTTGGCCATGAGAGTTTCTTACACTTCCTTTAGGGCAGGTGACCTCTACTTGGTTTTGGTGCAGAATTCTGGGCCCTCAAAAAGTTTCCTATTCCTTCCTCAAGGGCAAAGGATTTTCGTTTCTATACTTCCCCCAGCAGCAATAGGTCTTTGCCTTTGTCAGAGAGGTAAGAGGTCCTTCTGCCACTGCAGAAGCAACCAATTTTGCCTCCACTCCTCTCCCAAAGGAATGGAATTTTGCCTGACCCTGAGAGTGGAAAGATTTACCGTCCCTCTCCAGTGGCTTAAGGCTTTTGTTTCCTTTGAGAGAAGGGTCTTGGGAATTGGGTCGGCTTTTGTGTCTGTTTCCCAAAAGCAGCTGATCAGCTCTCCTTCTTCACACCTGCACCCCCAAGGGTGGGGCTCCCATTGAGTATCCTCTCCTGTTTCTATCTTTCTTATGAGTACCCATTGGAGGCCATGGAATAGAGTTTGGCACTGAGTGCAAACTTCCCTTGTATCTGGGGCTTCTAGTCATTCCAAATTAATGCATGAGGCCAGGGATGGTGGCTCATGCCTATAATTCCAGCATTTTGGGAGGGCGAAGTGGGAGCCCAGGAGCTCAAGACTAGCCTAGACAACATAGTGAGACCTTGTCTCTACAAAAAAATTATTAGCCATGTGTGGTGGCGCACACCTGTGGTGCCACTACTCAAGAGGCTGAGGTGGGAGGATTGTTTGAGCCCACGAGGTCAAGGCTGCAGTGAGCCGTGATTGTGCCACTGACTCCAGCCTAGGTGACAGAGCCAAGATCCTGTCTCAAAAACAAGAAAAAACCAACACTCCCCCCGAAAAAGCCCACCACCACAACAAATTAGCATACTAGATCACACTTGGCCTGGAAGAATTGTTAATATTTTAGCTAATTTTTTCCTACCTGTTTTTATGGCAGTAACCTCTTTCTCTCATGATTTATCAAAAGTGAAAAAGTTTATGTGTCCTCAGTGGACTTCGGGGACTCAGGGGGAAAGGGTGGGAAGGAGGTGAGGGATGAAATCCTACAAATTGGGTGCAGTGTATACTGCTCAGGTGATGCATGCACCAAAATCTTACGAATCACCACTAAAGAACTTACTCATGTAACCAAAAACCACCTGTTCCCCAATAACATATGGAAATTAAACAAAATTAATTTAAAAAAAAAGAGTTTATATGTCCCACCTCTCTTTGGAGTAGCTTGTCACTCTTTGGAATTTAGTTTGCCTGGTTGCCTTACGATCTTAGTTCTGTGACAGGCTCAAGAAAGGTCATGATTTTATAGATTTTCTGGCTTTTTTTGTGTTGTTATAGTGAGAGTTGTATTCCCTTGAGGCTTTCTGCATTCTAAGTGGAAACAGAACTCTCTCCTATAGCTTCGTCACCAAAAGGATGCTTCAATTAGGAAAAGCCCCCAGATAAGAATCTGATTGGCCTAGTCACACTTGGCCTTCATCACATGCTCTTTCCCGCACCAATCAGTTCTCACAGAGGATGGTCCTATGATTGGCCTGACCTGGGATGGGGGCAGGAGATTTGGGATGTCTTACCAGAGGAAGGGGCTAAAAAAAATGTCTAATAAACAAAAATAGTCACCTAATGGTATAAATACAGATGTTTTATAAAACTATTTTTTAATGAAAAAAGCAACATATGTACATGGCAAAAAATTCAAACAGTATAAAAGGAGCCTACAGTGAGAAACAATTCTTCCTCCCAAATCATACTCCAGTCATCATCCTCAGAGGCAACCATTGTTAGTTTCTGGAATATCTAACCAGAAAGCATCTCTGCATGTACAACACACACACATGCAAACACATACCTCTACTTGAAATAGATGCTTTCTTAATCAAACCTCCACTTAATTCGTAGGATTCACCAACACTCTTCACTTTCTCTGTAAAACACACAATGAATAACTATGGTATCCATACATCTTTCTACCAGGTGAGTATGTTGGCTAGGTGTGGTGGCTCACACCTGTATTCCAACCACTTTGGGAGGCCAAGATGGGTAATTGCTTGAGCTCAGGAGTTCAAGACCAGCCAGGGCAACATGATGAAACCCTGTCTGTACAAAAAATACAAAAATTAGCCAGGCATGGTGACACATGCCTATAGTCTCAGCTACTCAGGAGACTGAGGTGGGAGGATCATCTGAGTCTGGGAGGTCGACGTTGCAGTGCGCTGTGATCTTGCCACCGCACTCCAGCCTGAGTGACAGAGTGAGACCCTGTCTCAAAAAAAAAAAAAAAAAAAAGTCAGTGTGTTTATTCTAAGCCCATTATGCCAACTGTGTTTATTATGATATTTAAGTAATTCAATGAAATGTAACACAAACTGATGAAAATGAGTGCAAAAGAAACCATTGTTTGTACGAAATGTTTTGGAAAGACTTGCTAAAGGTGAGTTCTTTCAAAAAGTGTATGAAATTAGCTGTGGAAGAAACAACTACAAATTATTTGGGGAAAAACTGAAAAATCAAGAAGTTTATGTTGATATTACTTTAAGGGTGTTTAAGTCTCCATTCTACTTGGAAAATCACAAATAATATTATTAAAATTAGAGTGTTACTTTAAATGGAAAGCTTAGGGCCAGCCACAGTGGCTCATGCCTGTAATCCCAACACTTTGGGAGGCTGAGATGGGCGGATCACCTGAGGTCAGGAGTTCGAGACCAGTCTGGTCAACATGGCGAAATCCCGTCACTACTAAAAATACAACCATTAGTCAGGCATTGTGGTGGGTGCCTGTAATCCCAGCTACTTGGGAGGCTGAGACAGGAGAATCACTTGAACCTGGGAGGTGGAGGCTGCAGTGAGCCTAGATTATGCCACTGCACTCCACCCTGGACGACAGAGTGAGACTCTATCTCAAAAAAAAAAAAAGCATAAAAATGCATTTTATGTGTTGTTTATGTAAGAAAGAGAATATGAAACTAATCAATAAATTCATACCCGAAGAAAAGGTTTTAAATTAAAATTAAATTGTTACATTCAAAAATGTATCATTTTAAAGGATTTCCTGGGGTTGCTTTTACTAACTTTTTGATTAACCAACCAACTGATTGTCTTTACTTCATTAGATAAAAGGATGTCTACTCTGTGTGTATGTATGTTTGTACGTATGAAAAAGGAAATGAAGAGTACTAGTGTGTGAGAGTGTATGTGTGTCCACACATGCGCATGCATGCTCGCTAATGTTAGTGCTCAGCAGTCAGGAAATATGTCTCTAATGAAATGATATCTGATGAGAAACCTGAAGGAAGTGAGTCATCCATGCAAATATCTGAGAGAAGAGCATTCCGGGCAAAGAGAAGGAGTGCAAACATCTGATATATACACGTGATGGTGGGCAACTAGAAAACTATGTAACTGACTGATTAAAAATTGAATTAGATGATGTGAAAGTTTCTCCAAGATACATTACACTGTATTATGCTATACAGTATAATAAAATCAAGGCATATGTTATGTTTGTATTGAACTTGGACTTTAGAACTTCATGTCCTATATAACTGTACAAAATATATAAATAAAAACTATTAGGAATACAAAACAAAATGTCAAGAAACAAACGGTGTAATAGAAATTGCAATTCAACACCATCAGTTAGTAACATTAAGCAGACAGTGTTCTAGTACATTTGTGCTGCTATAGTAGAATATCTTAGACTGGATGGCTTATAAATAACAGAAATTTATTTCTTGTAGTTCTGGAGGATGGGAAGTCCAAAATCAAAGCACTGGCAGATCTGGTGTCTTGAGAAGGACAATTCTTGGTTCATAAATGGCTGTCTTTTCACTGTGTCCTCACCTGACAGCAGACATGAGGGTGACCTCAGGAGTCTCTTTATATGGACACTAATCTCATTTATGAGGGCTCTGCACTCAGACTTAATCACCTACCAAAGGCCTTACCTCCTAATAACATCACACTGGGGGTGACGATTTCAACATATGAATTTTGTGGAGACATTAACATTCAGTCTATACAAGATAAAAATAAATTGGGTTTGAGAATTTGGATAAAATAAATATAAGTAAACTAATGAGAATATAATTTGTACCCTAATATGTATTTTATAATTTTTATTAATAATAAATTTATTTACAAATAATTATACATTTCTCTGATCTCTTTTTAGAGTTACACTTCTTATTTCTATTTTGCATCTTGCAATATTGACTAGAACTTTCAGATCTATATTAAAATGTAGACTAAAAGTTATTTAAGCCCTAAATTATTTGACCACTGTCTATCACTCTATTTCATATTGTACTAATATTCCCTTCTGCCACAGATCACAGCAGTATTATTTATGACAAATTAAGGGGATGAAATGATATTAACCTTGGTAATATTGATACAGATGATAGAAATTATGTAGGCAGATTGTAAGGGCAACAGAATCCTCAGCAGAATTTCCCTTTTAACGAAAAGCAGCCCCCAAATCATTTCTTTTCTAATAAAGAGCAGCCTGAAAAATTGAGCTGCAGACATAGATAAGCAAGCTGGAAACCTGCACAGGTGAATGCTGGCTACCTGAGGGCCAGGCATGTTCAACTTGGAGGCTCTATCTTCCCTTTTCTTTGTCACCACATGTACAGTAAAAAAGCAGGCAACATGGTGCCAGCCAGGTAGATAACCCCTCTGCATAATAAAAGACTAGTGTGGGGAGGCCAGCTTCTTCAAGCGCTATGCAAACGGCACACCTAGCCCTGACCAGTTCTTCACGCACTATGCAAATGACACACCTGGTCTGACCAATCTTTCGTGCCCTATGTAAATCAGACACCGCCTCCTTAAGCTCATCTATAAAACCTCCTGCCCTTCACCGCAGACCAGAAGACCTGCTTGGGACCCCCCCATCTCTGCAGGAGAGAGCTTTTCTCTTTCTTTTGCCTATTAAACTTCCACTCTTAACCTTACTCTGGTGTGTCTGCATCCTAGTTTTCTATAGCTGTGAGACAATGAATCGCGGGTATTTATCCCAGACAAGGATACCACTTCAGTATCAATGTAGCTGGCCAAAGTTGGGATGTGGAGGGGAAGAGAAAATGGAGGAAATATAGAAAGTAAAACTAGGGTTAGAAGTAAGAATCTATAAAAGTTTTTTTTTAAAAGAAGGAACAGCGGGGGTAGGGAGGGGGCTCAAGACATACACTTTTAATTTTCTGTGCTCTGTCGCATTTTAAAAAATTTGTAAATCATATTCCTGTGTTACTGTGATAATTTTTAAAGAAATAAAAGTAAAGGAAAATATTGAAACCCTGAAAGAAACCCTACTTTGTCATAGTGAGTAATTCTATTAATTTGTGGGTGTATTTGTTATTCTAGCATTTTATTTAGAATTTTCACATCTTTCTTTTTCTTTTTCTTTCTTTTCTTTTTTTTCTTTCGAGACAGCCTCACTCTGTTGCCCAGGCTGGAGTGCAGTGGTGCCATCTCGGCTCACTGCAACCTCCCTCTCCTGGGTTCAAGCAATTCTCGTGCCTCAGCCTCCTAAGTAGCTGACATTACAGGCTCGTACCACTACCCCCGGCTAATTTTTGTATTCTTTTTTTTTTTTTTTTTGAGACGGAGTCTCGCTCTGTCGCCCAGGCCGGACTGCGGACTGCAGTGGCGCAATCTCGGCTCACTGCAAGCTCCGCTTCCCGGGTTCACGCCATTCTTCTGCCTCAGCCTCCCGAGTAGCTGGGACTACAGGCGTCCGCCACCGCGCCCGGCTAATTTTTTGTATTTTTAGTAGAGACGGGGTTTCACCTTGTTAGCCAGGATGGTCTCGATCTCCTGACCTCATGATCCACCCGCCTCGGCCTCCCAAAGTGCTGGGATTACAGGCGTGAGCCACCGCGCCCGGCCTAATTTTTGTATTCTTAGTAGAGATAGGATTTCACCATGTTGGCCAGGCTGGTCTTGAACTCCTGACTTCAAGTGATCCATCTGCCTCAGTGTCCCAAAGTTCTGGGATTACAGACATGAGCCACCATGCCCCACCTAGAATTTTCATATCTATTTTCATCAATAAGTTTGGTTTGGCTAGTATTCTTTTTGTACGTGCTAACTCTAGTTTGGGTCTGAGGATTATGTTAGGCTTATTTAACAAAATGGGAAGTTTACCAATTTTTTTCAATACTCATTCATTAATTCATTTATTTACTTAGTCAATAAATCTTTATGTCATGTTAGGCATAATTTTAGGTTTGGGGGCCGCTATGATCTGAGTGTTTGTGTTTCTCCAAAATGTATAAGCTCAAACCTAATCCCCAATGTGAGGTTTTTTGAGGTGGGGCTTTTGGGAGGTGATGAGGTTATGAGGGTGGAGCCGTCATGAACTGGATTCGTGCCTGTGATAGTGTGAAGTATCTATTTGGTCTTCAACCCATTTTCTGCCATACAACTCCTAAAATCCTTCAAATCTCCAAAGTGATGTCTTTTCATATGCTAATGATTGACTGATGGCTGGCAGCCCCCAGGCAGTCTCAGGATGGAGGCTGGTCACCAGAAAGACCAAGGCAAGGTTAGAGGTTTGGGACTTTCACCCCATCCCTCCATTTCTAAGGAGGGGCTGAAGGTTAAGTTGATCACCAAGGTCCAGTGATTTAATCAACCTTGCCTACATAATGAAGCCTCCATAAAACCCCAAAAGGATAGGGTTTGGAGAGCTTCCCAATAGCTGAACACATAGAGGCTTACAGAAAAGTGAACAAGAACTCATCCACATGCCAGGAGGGTGGTGCACCTCAACTCCGCAAGGACAGAAGCTCCTGGGCTCAGGATCCTTCCAGACCTTCTATGTATCTCTTCTTCTGGCTGTTTGTATCCTTTAATATATCCTTTGTAATAAACCAGTAAACATAAGTGTTTCTCTGAACCCTTAATCAACTCAAAGATGAGGTTGTGGAAACCTCAGATTGAAACCAGTTGGTCAGATGTTCTGGAGGCCTAGACTTGGGACTGGTGGGAAGGAGGGGGTGGTCTTGTGGGACTGAGCCCTGAACCTGTGGTTTCTGAGGCTCTCTTCATCTAGATAAGGTCAGAACTGAATTGACTTGGAAGACACCCAGCTGATGTTTGCTGCAGAATTGATTGCTTGTGTGCTGTTGGGGTGGGGG
Organism: Homo sapiens; assembly: GCF_000001405.40. Lineage (NCBI taxonomy): Eukaryota > Metazoa > Chordata > Mammalia > Primates > Hominidae > Homo > Homo sapiens. The sequence continues at coordinate 111,871,040 of NC_000009.12, forward strand.
AACCCCCACACATTTGGTCACAGAAGTCTGTGTTGATTGTTGTAGAGTGAGAGGATAGAACTCTTTCCCCCCGCCCCTCACAGTGCCCTTATAAAACAGGCTCAAGGGAGCTTATTCGCTCCTTCCACTATGTGAGGACACAGCAAAATGCCCTCTATGAAGCAGGGAATGGGGTCTCACCAGCCATCAAATCTACAGTTGTTTGACTTTAGACTTCTCAGCCTCTAGAACTGTGAGAGATAAATTTCTGTTGTTTATAAGCCACCCAGTCCATGATATTTTGTTACAGCAGCCTGGGTGGACTGAGACAGGCTACAGCAGTAAATAAGAAAGACGAGGTGCCTACATCCATGGAGTAGAGCTTTCATTCTTGTGGAGTCCTAACTAGGGAGAAGGAGTCAGGCTGCTAGGACCAGGGGAAAGCAAAAAGAAAAATCAGATAAGCTGTAAGTCTACCTTTGTTCATGGTCTAGGACACACAGCCCTCCCTGCACAAATAACTCACAGTCTTTCTGTGCCAGCTATCAGCAGACCCCTGGCTGATAGGAAAATGCAAGTTAGCTCCTGCAATACTGGCGCTATCAGAACTGCACGGAGCCGTCTCCAGCACAAGCACCATCGTATGAAATCCCCAGCAAGCCTTTGCCTTCTTGCAGTCAGCTCCTCTCTTGCTGACTTGCGCATTGCTCTCTTGCGATGTATTTTCTCTAACAGATCTGTCTTTCTTTACCTACAACTGTCTTGGTAAATTCTTTTTACTGCCTGTGCCACCAGCCCCAGATAGCACTATCTGCAACAATTCTGAATTGAGAGAGTCAGTAAATAAGGAGATAAATTAATATGTTTTTAAAAATCAGGCATAATAAATACTTGCCAGAAAATGAAAACAGTGATAACTGATGGTCTGAGGAGGTGGTATTTAGGCTGAGATTCAAACAATAAAAAAGGAGGTAAAAAACTCCTACTTCAAGTGCCATGCAAACTTTATATGTTGTACCACTGCTATAATCAGAAAAATAATTTCACTGAATTAAAGATCATGTATTCTGTGTATGAGCACACAATGAAATTATTTTCTTACATGGAAAGTAACACCCTTCTACACACACAAATAGTCTCTCTTTGGATGGGAGTATAAATTCTGTTGTTCATTAACCTAGTCAGTGTCTAGCAAACAATACACCCTATATTTCTTTCTTGTACAATTTTACTGAAAATCAAGTGACATAAGTAAAAAATCTATGGAGACAAAGTGTCTGCATCACCAGAGTTTTCCATGTGTGACCTGGAGGATCACTGTGTCATTCTGTTCTGCTCTTAGAGTGACACAGTGACTCCTCTTACTTTTAGGAGACTTCTCTTCTATTTTCCCTATGCAGAACATACCCTGTCACTACAAATATACTAGATAGACTTGCTCTAGTGAGAATTAACTTAATTTTAAATAATCACTTACAGTTTGGAACAGCTACCTTTGCTACTTACACAATATCATAATGAAACAAAAGGTTGCTGGAAACGCTGAAAGCAAAGTTCAGGCAATGAGTGATATCCTAGAAATAAATACTGAATTACCTGTATTACTCCTTAGTCCCAGATTTGGGGAGCACCCAGGGTTTAATTAAGATATTTGGAAGCCGTAAACATTAGAAGCAAGTTTCCTCTGTCCTTACCAAATGCAATTCAAAATAAGAAAAAAATTCCAAGCCATGAATTATATCTAAAGAAGTATAGTAAATTTTAGATGTTCCCCCCGATGACTATATTGAGATTTTAAAGAAACATTAAAAATAAAATAGTTTAAATTTTCTTGTTTTGGGTGATCCCATTTTGCTTGAGTTCTCAACATTGATTAAGGTCAATTCTGCCATTTGTCAACTGGATCTCATTCATTCACTTCTACTTTAGTACTTTCCTTCCATAATCACCTGCACTCCTCTCTACTGAATCATTTACATTAGTCAGAAAACTTGCTTAGTATTTGATATGGTTTGGCTCTGTGTCCCAACTCAAATCTTATCTCAACCTGTAATCCCCATGTGTCAAGGGAGAAAGGTGATTAGATCACGTGGGAGGTTCCCCCATGCTGTTCCGGGGATAGTGAGTGAGTTCTCACAAGATATGATGGTTTTATAAAGGGCTCTTCTCCCTTTGCACTCTCTCTTCTGCCACCTTGTGAAGAAGGTGACTGCTTCCCCTTCCACCATGATTGTAAGTTTCCTGAGACCTCCGCAGCCTTGCAGATCTATGTGTCAAATAAACCTCCTTTGTTTATAAATTACCCAGCCTCGGTAGTATCTTTGTAACAGTGTGAAAACAGACTAATATAGTATCTCATTTCTTAAAAGAAAACAAAAATCTTCCTGGACTCTATTCCCTTTTTATATAGCTCCTTGTTTATCTGTTCCCCATCAGAGCACTCAAAAATGTTATCTATATCCACTCCACAAAAGGTGAAACCACTTGTTCAAGGTTGCTAATGGCCTCCTTGTTGCCGAATCTAAGGGTCAATTCTCAGGACTTATTTTATTGCACCTCTCACCAAAATTCGATATAATTAGTCATGTCCTTCCCTTTTACTCCTTTTTTCACTTGGCTTCCATGACTCTGAAGTCTTCTGGTTTTCCTCCCATGGCACTGGTTATTCCATCTCAGTTTCCTATGTTAATCCATTTTGTTAGTTTCTAAACAGCTGTGTTTAAGTGCCTTAGCGTTCAGTCTGAGACCTCTTCTTTATCAACACTGATGGCATTAACAATCTGTTTTTTATCCACACTTTATTGGTGGGATGGCTTTTTAATCTTTTGGGTCTATGGATAGAATGGTATTTCAATATAATTGACTTCCTTTTTGTACCAGTCCGTTCTTGCACTGCTATAAAGAAATACCTAATCTGGGTAATTTATAAAAAAAAAAAAAGAGGTTTAATTGGCTCATGGTTCTGCAGGCTATACAGGAAGCATGACTGGGGAGGCTTGGACAGCTTCCCTCCCACATCTGGCACCCTGGCAGTGATGGCTGGAAAGCTGGGTTTATCTGGGACAATTGACTGAAATACCTATGGATCCTCTCCAGCCTGGTGATCTCAGAGAGGTAAGATTTCTTTTTTTTTTTTCTGAGACGGAGTCTCGCACTGTCACTCGGGCTTGAGAGTAATGATGCAATCTCGGCTCACTGCAACCTCCTGAATAGCTGGGATTACAGGTGCCTGCCACCATGCCCGGCTAATTTTTTGTATTTTTACTAGAGACAGGGTTTCACTATGTTGGCCAGGTTGATCTCGAACTCCTGACCTCGTGATCTGCCCGCCTTGGCCTCCCAAAGTGCTAGGATTATAGATGTGAGCCACCACGCCCAGCTGAGAGGTAAGATTTCTTATGTGGGAGCTCAGGGCACCCAGAGTGTTCCAAGAGGCCTGGGTAGAAACAGCAAGGCTTCTCATGGCCTAACCCTAGGTGTCCCAGATTGTCATTTTTACCCGTTTGTAGGTCAAGCAAGTCATTAAATCAACCCAGATTCAAGAGGAGGGAAATTAGACACCACCTCTCAAAGGGAAGGGAAACAAAGCTCTATGGCCATCTTTAATCTACCACAGATGCCTAATAGGTGTCTCATTTGTAACATGTCCAAACAAAACTCTCAATTTCCTCTCTATACCTGCTCCTTTCTGGTGATCACCCTCCCAGTAAATTGGACCGATTGCTCAGGCCCCAATTCTTGGAGTCATCCATGACTGTCCTCTTAGTTCCATACTCTACATTCTATTCATTAGCAAATCCTGTTGGCACCACCTTGAAAATACATCCTCAGTCTGACTGCTCACTCTCTCTACCTCTATTGCTATCACTCTAGTATGACCCACTATCGTTTTTTTCCTGGACTACTTTCATAGTTTCCCAACCGGATTATCAGCTACCACTCTTGACCTCATGACTCCTCCACACAACAGCCTCAGAGATCCATTTATTTATTTATTTTTGAGACAGGGTCTTGCTTTGTTGCCCAGGCTGGAGTACAGTGGTGTGATCACAGCTCACTGCAGCCTCAATCTCCCCAGGCTCAGGCAATCCTCCCACATCAGCCTCCTGAGTAGCTGGGACTACAGACACGTGCCACCAAACCCAGCTTATTTTTGTATTTTTTGTAGAGACAGGGTTTGTAGGTCTCTGGCCTAGAGCAGTGGTAATGAGGATTGAAGAGCCAAAGTGAATTCCAAAGCTATCCCAGTGATAGGGCAAATTATTTAAATAAGACCCTCTTTTCTGTGGGGAAAAGAGAGATCAGACTGTTACTGTGTCTATGTAGAAAGAAGTAGACATAAGAGACTCCATTTTGTTCTGTACTAAGAAAAATTCTTTTGCCTTGAGATGCTGTTAATCTGTAACCCTACCCCCAACCCTGTGCTTGCAGAGACATGTGCTGTGTCAACTCAAGGTTTAATGGATTTAGGGCTATGCAGAATGTGCTTTGTTAAACAAATGCTTGAAGGCAGCATGCTTGTTAAAAGTCATCACCACTCCCTACTCTCAAGTACCCAGGGACACAAAACACTGTGGAAGGCCACAGGGACCTCTGCCTAGGAAAGCCAGGTATTTTCCAAGGTTTCTCCCCATGTGATAGTCTGAAATATGGCCTCGTGGGAAGGGAAAGACCTGACCGTCCCCTAGCCTGACACCCATAAAGGGTCTGTGCTAGGAAGGATTAGTAAAAGAGGAAGGCCTCTTTGCAGTTGAGGTAAGAGGAAGGCATCTGTCTCCTGCTCATCCCTGGGCAATGGAATGTCTTGGTGTAAAACCCGATTGTATATTCCATCTACTGAGATAGGAGGAAACCGCCTTAGGGCTGCAGGTGAGACATGCTGGTGGCAATACTGCTCTTTAAGGCATTGAGATGTTTATGTATATGCACATCAAAAGCACAGCACTTTTTTCTTTGCCTTGTTTATGATGCAGAGACATTTGTTCACATGTTTTCCTGCTGACCTTCTCCCCACTATTACCCTATTGTCCTGCCACATCCCTCTCTCCAAGATGGTAGAGATAATGATCAATAAATAGTGAGGTAACTCAGAGACTGGTGCTGGCGCAGGTCCTCCGTATGCTGAGTGCCCATCCCCTGGGCCCACTTTCCTTTCTCTATACTTTGTCTCTGTGTCTCTTTTGTTTCTCAAGTCTCTCGTTCCACCTGACGAGAAACACCCACAGGTGTGGAGGGGCAGGCTACCCCTTCACTTTCCACTCTCACTTTCCAAATTCCAAAAATGCAAGAGTTTTAGGTACATTTACAAGCTGCCCTGTCATCCATTGCCCAGGCTGGTCTCAAATTCCTGGGCTCAAGTGAGTCACTCGCCTTCGTCTTCCAAGAGATCCTTTTAAATGTAAGTCAAATCATGTCATCAATGTGCTTATAATGTTCCAGTGGCTTCATATCTCAAAGTAGAATCCAAAATTCTTACGAGGACTTTCATAACTTAATAATATCTAAATCCTGGCCACTATTCTGACCTTATTTCCTACCTTTCTTCCCTTCATTCACTCCAGTCCAGCCCCACTGGCTTATCTGTTCTTCCTCAAAGAAGCCAAATGTGCTCTTCCACAAGGCCGTTGCACTTGGCACTTCTCACTACACGGAATGCCCCTTCCTTACATATTTGTGTGGCTTAATCCCCTATTTTATTGAGGTCTTTGTTCAAATGTCATTTATTTAGAGAAGCCCTGTTTATCACTGCAGCACCCATATTTACTCTTTTTTTTTTTTTTTTTTTTTTTGAGACAAGGTCTCCCTCTGTCTCCCAGGCTGGAGTGCAGTGGCATGATTATGGCTCACTGTAGCCTCGACCTGCTGGGCTTAAGCAAGCCTCCCACCGCAGCTTTCCAAGTAGCCAGGACAACAGGCACACGCCACCACGTCCAGCTAATTTTTAAAATGTTTATACAGACAGAGTCTCACCATGTTGCCCAGGCTGGTCTTGAAATCCTGAGCTCAAGTGATCCTCCCACCTTGGCCTCCAAAGGGGCTAGGATTACAGGTGTGAGCCACCACATCTGGGCCACATTTACTCTGTATCCCCTCTATCACACTATCCTATGCATTTATTTTTTTAATACCTGCCTGCTGCATTAGAATATAAGTTCCATGAAAGCAGAAACTTAGTCTTATTTGCTACTATTTCCCCATCCCTCAAAACAGTGCCTATCACATAATAGGTGTTCAATAAATGTTTGTTGAATAAATGAATAAATGTGTTTAGTCTACCTATTGGGTGCTTCAACACTAGGAGCCAAAAGAGAATGTTTACTAAAACCTTGGGGGTAATTTGGTTCACTGTGGAATAGCACCTTCACCAATATTAATCATGATGTGGTTCAATTGCAAATCAAAGGAATGCATACAGTTTTTGAATCTGCCTCTCATTCATTCTCTCTGCGGGATCTAATAATAGTCCCTCTTGGAATAGCTGTGAATTGCTGAACAATGCAAGTACTTTATTTTTATTCCTTCTTTAGAATATTAGGTTATTTCCTACCTCTTTCTTGCATGCACATTTTATAGCCTTCTGACAGGAATCAGTTCTACTGATAAATGTGTGTACCTAGCAAAGGCTAGTTAATGATATAAATCATAGAGTAAATCAAGACCCATGTACCAGATAAATTGGCCAAGGTGATGGAAGGGCATAAAAGTGAGAAGAGATTAGGAAAGGCACTGTAAGATAGGAGCTTATAAATGCTAGTGAATGTTTACCTTTTTTAGTTGGTCTTAAGTTAGGACGTAGCCTGCTTCCAATTGCACCACATAGGCTAAGTGGTCAATAAAATATCTCGAGTTAACATAAAAATATAAAGTTCTATCTTTCTTTTTTTTTTTTTTTGAGACAGAGTCTCATTTTGTCACCCAGGCTGGAGTGCAGTGGCACGATCTAGGCTCACTGCAACTGCTGCCTCCTGGTTTCAAGTGATTCACCTGCCTCAGCCTCCCAGTTTCAAGTGATTCTCCTGCCTCAGCTTCCCAAGTAGCTGAGATTACAGGCACGTGCCATCATGCCTGGCTAACGTTTATATTTTTGGTAGAGACAGGATTTCACCATGTTGGCCAGGCTGGTCTTGAGCTCCTGACCTGAACTGATCCACCCACCTCAGCCTCCCAAAGTGCTGGGATTATAGGCATGAGCCACCATGCCCAGCCTAAATTCTGCCTTTTTGGAATGCTAAGGTGCCATAGCTACAGGAGGGATGAAGGATGGAGGGATAAAGAATATGTACTAGTGTAGGAATAAGTGGAGCACTGGTGACAACTCTGAGAAAGTAAAAAAACAAACAGAAAAAGTTCTTGCAAAATTCTGCTACCTGCCTGGAGGGCAGTAAGAACATTTAGAAAGATATTGCTGCTGGCCGGGAGCAGTGGCTCACGCCTGTAATCCCAGCACTTTGGGAGGCTGAGGTGGGTGGATCATGAGGTCAGGAGATTGAGACCATTATGGCCAACATGATGAAACCCCGTCTCTACTAAAACACAAAAAATTAGCCAGGCATGGTGGTGTGCGCCTGTAGTCCCAGCTACTCGGGAGGCTGAGGCAGGGGAATCGCTTGAACCCGGGAGGTGGAGGTTGCAGTGAGCCGAGATCACACCACTGCACTCCAGCCTGGTGACAGAGCAAGACTCCATCTCAAAAAAAAAAAAAAAAAAAAAAAGGAAAGATATTGCTGCTAATCCAGATATGGATGCTGTGATGGCCAGAGCCTTGGCACTCAAAGTGAGATCTGTACACCAGCATGGGCATTGCCTGGGTGCTTATTAAAAATGTGGAATATCAGGCTCCACCCCAGACCCACTGAATTAGAATCTACATTTTGACAAGATTCCCAACTGATTCACATACACAATAAAGTTTGAGAGTCTCTGGCCTAGAGCAGTGGTAATGAGGATTGAGGAGCCAAAGTGAATTCTAAAGTTGTCTCAGTCTCAGTACTACGGCAAATTATTGAGATAAGACTTTCCTTTCTACTCTCACTTTCCAGGTTCCAAAAAGGAAGGGTTTAGGTCCACTTACTAGCCATTTGACCTTGGATAAATTATTAACTCCCCTATGCTTCATTAATATGGCTCTGTTGTCACTAAGGTATCCAAAAAACTCTAACTGCTGACTCTATGAATTATTTGTAATCCTCCTCCTCTTGCACTGCCCGGTCAAGTGGTCATACAGTTCATTTGAATTTTTATGTATTTGATCTACCCTATTGTAAAGTTAACAAATTACTGGGGAGTAAATACTAAGACTAATGATGGTTCCAACAGGGCCCCGCTTCTAGCTGTGAGGAATGAGACGTTTGCCTCCCTTGGAACAAAGCTCTATAAATAGGTAATCTAACTGGAAAATTGCTCAACAAATGTATTAATTATGCTTAATGCTTGCATATAGAATAAATTTGGTGGAAATCACTAATGTACCAAAGGAGTAGCATCCTAGGTCATATAAGAACTAGTTCCTCTTCCCTTAGCATAGTGGCTTCGAACAAGTAGAAAATCATCATCGCCATTATTTTTAACCCTTAGGATAACTTTCCAAAGGCCCATTCATCCTCAGTGTGGAAATGGTGAGACTAAAGGGCTGACAAAACTAAAAATAAACAGAGCAGATTTTAAACTTAATTGATGATGGCTTCCAAGGACTTTAAAAAACTCAGGTGTCTCAAGGAAAAAGCTTGTCCTCATTTCTTATCAATGGATGACTAATCATTTTGAACCATTTTTATTTTAACCATTTTCAACTCTCTTTATCTACAATTTGTCCCCACCTTATGCCTAGTTTAACACAACTGCCAGTGAATTCTAGGGAGGATAAAAACACTTTATGGCAAGCAAAAGCTGGAAGGCAGCACTTGAGAATGAATGGCAGATGAAGAAATTCTGAAAATCCTCTCCTCCATATAAGCAATGTGAACACTTTGCAAAAATTGTCAAAATTAACTTTTCTCAGAACTCTGGAAATTAACAAAAGATCTACAACTATCTGAGAAGCTTTTATTCAAGAAAAATGGTTGAGGCTGGGCACAGTGGCTCACACCTATAGTCCCAGTACTTTGGGAGGCCAAGGAGGGTGGATCACCTGAGGTCAGGAGTTTGAGACCAGCCTGACCAATATGGTGAAACCCCATCTCTACTAAAAATACAAAAATTAGCTGGGCATGATGGCGGGCACCTGTAACCCCAGCTACTTGGGAGGGTGAGGCAGGAGAATCGATTGAACCCGGGAGGCAGAGGTTGCAGTGAGCCAAGGTCATGCCATTGCACTCCAGCTTGGGTGACAGAGTGAGACTCCATCTCAAAAAAAAAAAAGAAAAGAAAAGAAAAAGAAAAAGAAAAATGGTTGCATCTAGGTAAAAACAGTGAGCTTTGTGGAATTTCCATGTGCCCTATTTCCATACTTTGAAGTAGATGGAAACAAAACTACAGTTTACCAAAATTCATGGTATATAGTTAAATCAGTGCAGAAAGAAGTTTATAGCTATAAACGCCTATATTTTAAAGAAGAAAAAATATCAAATGAATAAATTAAACTTCCACCTTAAAAAACTGGAGCAAAAGAGCAAGCTAAGCTCAGCATAAGCAGCAGTAGGAAAATAATAAAAATTAAAGTAGAAATAAATGAAATAGAAAAGAGAAAAACAATACAGAAAATCAATGTAACCAAAAGTTTGTTCTTTGAAAATATCAACAAGATAAATATTTAGTTAGACTGACCAAAAGAAAAAAAGAGAAGAATAAAATTACTAAAATCAGCAATGAAAGAGGAAACTTTATGACCAAATGGAAATAAAAGGAATTACAATGGGATACTACGACAACTGTTTGTCCACAAATTAGATAACTTCCGTGAAATGGATCGCTTCCTAGAAAGACACAAACTACTGAAACTGGTTCAAGAAGAAAGAGAATATCTGAATAGACCTATAATAAGTCAAGACATTGAAATAGTATTAAAAAAGAAATTTACCCAAAAGAAAAGCCCAAGCCCAGATGCCTTCCATATTGAATTCTACCAAGCATTTAAAAATAGAAGAATTAATACAAATTCTTCAAAAACTTTCTAAAAAATAGAAGAAAAGGGAACATTTCTCAACTATTCTATAAAGCTAGTATTACCCTGATACCAAAACTGAAGACATTGCAAGAAAATAAAATTATAGACCAACATCTCTTATAAATATAGGCGCAAAAATCTTCAATGAATATTAGCAAACTGAATCCAGCAACATATAAAAAGAATTATACAATATGACCAGGTGGGATTTGTTCCAGGAATGCAAGGTTGGTTTAGCTTCTGAAAATCAAGCAATATAATACACTGTATTAGTAGAATAAGAAACTGTATGATCATCTCAATAGACACAGAAAAATCTTGTGACAAAATTCAACACCCTTTTATGATAAAAACACTCAACAATTGAGGAATATAAGGGAACTTCCTCAACCTGATAAGGGGCATCTATGAAAAACGCATAGCCAACAACATAATTAATGGTGAAAGATTGAAAGCTTTCCCCCTTATAAGTGGGAACAGGTCAATGATGTCTGCTCTTACCACTTCTATTTACATTATACTGGAAGTTCTAGCTGGGGGCAATTGGGTAAGGAAAATAAATAAAAACACCCAGATTGGAAGGAGAGAAGTAAAAATACTTATATTTAAAGATAACATGATCTTATACACAGAAAATCTTAATGAATACACACACACACACACACACACACACACACACACACACACAAGCTATTGGAATAAGCAAGTCAGCAAGGCTGTAAGATACAAGATCAATATACAAAATTCAATTGTATTTCTATACATTTGCAATGAACAATCCAAAGGTAAAATTAAGAAGATAATTTAATTTACAATAACATCAAAGAGGCCAGGTGCAGTGGCTCATGCATGTAATCCCATTACTTTGGGAAGCCAAGGTGAGGAGATTGCTTGAGTCCAGGAGTTCAAGACCAGCCTAGGCAACACAGCAAGACCCATCCCTAAAAAAAATTAAAAAAAATTAGCCAAACACAGTGGTGCACACCTGTAGTGCCTGCTACTTGGCAGGCTAAGGCAGGAGAATCACTTGAGCCAGGGAAATTGAGGCTGCAGTGAGTCATGGTCACACCACTGCACTCCAGCCTTGGTGACAGAATGAGACTCTGCTCTCAAAAACAAAAACAAACAAAAGCATGCAACAGCATGAAAGAGAATAAAATACCTGGAAATAAATTTAAGAAAAGAACTTCAAGACCCGTACACTGAAAACTAGAAAGCATTGCTAACTGAAATTAAAGACATAAATATATGGGAAGCCATCCCATGTTCATGGGTCAGAAGGCTTATTAAGATGGTAATACCTGCCGGGTGTGGTGGCTCACACCTGTAATCCCAGCACATTGGGAGACTAAGGTGGGCAGATCATTTGAGGTCAAGAGTTTGAGACTAGCCTGGCCGACATTGTGAAACACCGTCTCTACTACAAATACAAAAATTAGCTGGGCATGGTGGTGGGTTCCTGTAGTCCCAGCTACTTGGGATGCTGAGGCAGGGGAATTGCTTGAACCTGGGAGGCAGAGGCTGCAGTGAGCTGAGATCGCACCACTGCACTCCAGCCTGGGCGACAGAGTGAGACTCTGTCTCAAAAAAAAAAAAGGTGGCAATAGCATCCAAATTGATCTACCGATTTAATGCAACCTCTATCAAAATCTCAGCTTTTCTTTTTCAGAAATTAACAAGCTGACCATGAAATTCACATTGAAACTCAAGAGACACAGATGGGCTGGGCATGGTGGCTCACGCCTGTAATCCCAGCACTTTGAGAGCCCAAGGCAGACTGATCACGAGGTCAGGGGTTCAAGACCAGACTGACCAACCCTGTCTCTACTAAAAATACAAAAATTAGCCGGTCATGGTGGCGCATGCCTGTAATTCTAGCTACTCAGGAGGCTGAGGCAGGAGAATCGCTTGAACCTGGGAGGCAGAGGTTGCGTGAGCTGAGATTGCACCACTGCACTCCAGTCTGGGTAAGAGCGAGACTCTGCCTTAGGAAAAAAAAAAAAAAAGACACAGAAAAATCAAAAACAATCTTGAAAAAGAACAAAGTTCTCACGCTTCCCAGTTTCAAAGTTACAAAGTTACTACAAATTGACAATAATCAAGACCATGTGGTACTGACATAAGGATAGACATGCAGATGAATGAATGAGAGTCCAGAAATAAATCTATACGTCTGTAGTCAATTTTTGACAATGATGTTGACATCATTCAATGTTCTCAGCACCATTGTCAAAAGAATCCTCTTTTCAATAAGTGGTGCTAGGACAACAGGATATTCACGTGCAAAAGAATGAAGATAGACGCCTATCTTACATGATATACAAAACTTAAATCAAACTGGATCAACGACTTAAATACAGGAGCTAAAACTGTACAATTCTTAGAAGAAAACATGGGCATAAACCTTGTGACCTGAGTTAGCCAGTGGTATGTTTGACATGATTCCAAAAAACAAGTGACAAAACAAAAAATAGATAAATCGGACCATCGAAATACAAAATTTTATGCTTTACTTTGGGAGGCCGAGGTGGGCGGATCACCTGAGGTTGGGAGTTCGAGACCAGCCTGACCAACATGGAGGAACCCTGTCTCTACTAAAGATACAAAATTAGCTGGGCGTGGTGGTGCATGCCTGTAATCCCAGCTACTTGGGAGGCTGAGGCAGGAGACTCACTTGAACCCAGGAGGTGCAAGTTGCCGTGAGCCAAGATCCCGCCACTGCATTCCAGCCTGGGCAACAAAAGCAAAACTCCATCTAAAAAAAAAAAAATTGTGCTTCAAATGACACCATCAAGGAAGGGAAAAGAAAATCCACAGAATGAGGAGCAGTAATTGCTAATCATATACCTGATAAGCAACTTGTACCTAGAATACATAAAACACTCTTGGCTTGTTTTTTGTTTTTGTTTTTGTTTGAGACAGAGTCTTGTGCTGTCCGTTATCCAGCCTGGAGTGCAATAGCACACTCATGGCTCACTTGAGCTTTGACTTCCTAGGCTCAAGTGATCCTCACACCTCAGCCTCCTGAGTACCTGGGACTCCAGGTGTGCACCATCTCACCCAGCTAATTTTTGTATTTTCTGTAGAGATGGAGTTTTACCATGTGGGAGGCTGGACTCGAACTCCTGGGCTAAAGTGATCCACCTGCCTCGGCTTCCCAAAGTGCTGGGATTACAGGCATGAGCCACCATGAGCAGCCCATAAAGTACTCTTACAACTAAATAATAAAAAGATAAAACCACAATTTTAAAAATCAGAAGGATTTTAATAGATATTCCTTCAGAGAATATATACAAATGGTCAATAAGAACATTAAAATATGCTCAACATCATTAGCCATTAAGGAAATACGAATCAATACCACAATGAGAAATCACTTCACACTTACTAAGACAGTTATGACAAATTTTGGTAAGGATGTGGAGAAATGGGAACTTGCATATATTGCTGGTGGGATTGTAAAATGGTACAGTCACTTTAGAAGAGTCTGGCGGTAACTCCAAAAGTTAAACATAAAGTTACCATACAACTCAGCACTCTTAGGTATATACCCAAGAGAAATAAAAAATATGTGCCTATACAAAAACCTGTAAATGAATATTCATAACAGCTTTATTCATAATAGCCAAAACATGGAAACAACCCAAATCCAACTCGATTAATGAATGGAGAAACAATATCCATAAAATGGAATATTATTTGGCTATAAAAAGAAATGAAGTACTGATATGTACTGTGACATGAATAAACCTTGAAAATATCATGCTGTGAAAGAAGGTAGTCATAAAAGTCTGCATAATATGTTAATTCTTTTTTTTTTTTTTTTTTTGAGACAGAGTTTCATTCTTGTTGCGCAGGCTGGAGTGCAATGGCGTGATCTTGGCTCACTGCAACCTCCGCCTCCTGGGTTCAATCAATTCTTCTGCCTCAGCCTCCCGAGTAGCTGGGATTACAGGCATGTGCCACCATGCCCGGCTAATTTTGTATTTTTACTAGAGATGGGGTTTCTCCATGTTGGTCAGGCTGGTCTCGAATTCCCAATCTCAGGTGATTCGCCTGCCTCGGCCTCCCAAAGTGCTGGGATTACAGGCATGAGCCACCGTGCCTGGCCCATCAATTCTATTTTTATGAAATAGTCAAGATAGGCAAATCTATATAGAAAAAAATTAAATTAGTAGTTACCAGGAGCTGGGGGGAGGGGAAATGGGGAATGACTGCTAATGGGTATGGAGTTTCTTTTTGCAGTGAGAAAATGTTCTAAAGTTGGGCAGTGATGGTTGCACAACTCTGTGAAGATACTAAAAATCACTGAGTGGTATGCTTTAAAGGAGTGAATGTTACGGTGTGTGACTATATCTTAATAAAGCTATTATTTAGAAAACGAACAAGCTGGAAGAGCTAACCGGGAATCTTTCATATTTAAGACTTCCTAGAAATTTTCCATTTTGGAAAAACTCAGTGTGGTGGCTATCGTGGTTATCTTTCCAATTCTATTCCTCCCCCATTCATTACATAGTCACCTTGCAGTTTGGATGGGATTATCCTTACTACCAGCTTCAATAAATTCTAATTTGACTATTCTAGTCTGCCTTGCCATAGCCTAACAAATGGTATTCAAGGGTAACCATTAGAAAAATGAAAAGGCTTAAGATTTTTGTTAGGTCACAACTAACACTTGCTCTCTCTTCCTGGATGTGAAGTACTGATAATTGTTGGCAGCTGTCTTACAACCATGAGCGAGGTCAGCTTAAAGACAAAACTGCTTTGGGAAGCAAAGTTTGGCACTTTGGGAAGCCAAGGCAGGTAGATCACTTGAGGTCAGGAGTTTGAGACCACCCTGGTGAACACGGTGAAACCCTGTATCTACTAAAAATACAAAAATTAGCTGGGTGTGGTGGCACACGCCTGTAATCCCAGCTACTCGAGGGGCTTGAAGCACGAGAATCACTGAACCCAGGAGGCAGAGGTTGCGGTGAGCCAAGATCTTGCCACTGCACTCCAGGCTGGAAGACAGAATGACACTCTCTCTCAAAAATAAATAAAATAAAATAAAGTAAAAGTAAAGTAAAGTAAAGTAAAATACTGACACATAGAGGAGGGGCGAGCCAAGACTATCTCAGAAAAATGGAGCAAGAACTCCATTTTTTAACTGTGCCTGACTCTTGTTTGCTTTATATAGGGTGTGACTCTGTGACTGCCTCAGTTTCTCCTAGCCTGATTGTTAATAGTGTCTCCTTTCTCAAACGAGTCCTGCTTTAGATGGTCATTCATACGTCATACTCCCCATAACTGGATTTTCAGTTACAGATCAATGAATTTATTAGTTAACCCAGGTCAACTGTTTCTCAAGGCCATCCAAGTTTTGTTTGTTTGTTTGTTTGTTTGAGATGGAGTCTAGCTCTGTCACCCAGGCTGGAGTGCAATGGCGCGATCTCGGCTCACTGCAACCTCCGCCTCCTGGGCTCAAGTGATTCTCCTGACTCAGCCTCCCGAGTAGCTGGGATTACAGGCTCTTGCCATTATGCCCAGCTAATTTTTGTATTTTTAGTAGAGACGGGTTTTTGCCCTGTTGGCCAGGCTGGTCTTGAACTCCCGGCCTTGAACTCCTGGCCTCAAGTGACCTGCCCCCTTCGGCCTCCCAAAATGCTGGGGTTATAGGTGCCCAGCTGCACTTTCCTCACTCTTGGCAATGTCTTAGTCTTTCTTCAGGACCCAGATGACCTTCTCCATGAAGTCTTTCTAGATTTTCTGGAATAAAAGTAATCACTCCCAACTCCCAATTTTTCTCATACCTCTATATCAACACTCATTGCATTACAATGATACATTTTTGCATTTCTCTTCCTCAGCTGAACTTGAACTTCTCCAGGGGGAAAAAAAGATTATGTTATTTTTCACTTTGTATCCAAAGCATGAGAACACTGTGTACCTGGAACATCACATATTTTATTGTATTATTATTTTATTATTTTGAGACAGAATCTCACTCTGTCGCCCAGGCTGGGGTGCAGTGGCGTGATCTCGGCTTACTGCAATCTCTGCCTCAGCCTCCCGAGTATCTGGGACTACAGGTGCAGGCTGTTTTGCATATTTTGTAGAGATGGAGTTTCACTATGTTGCTCACCCTGGTCTCTAATTCCTGGGCCCATGCAACCTGCCAGATTCAGCCTCCCAAAGTGCTGGGATTACACGCATGAGCCACCGTGCCCAACCTCATGTATACATGTGTGCACACATGCACGCACACGTATGTGCACACATGCACGCACACGTATGTGCACACATGCACGCATACGTATGTGCACACATGCACGTATACGTATGTGCATACATGTATGTATACGTATGTGCATATGTGCGTGCACACGTGCATGTGCATATATGCATGCATACACGCATGCACACCTGTGTACACACGTGTGCATGCATGTGTGCATGTATGTGCATGTACATGCATGTGTGTACATGTGTATATGTGTGTGCATGTGTGTATGCCTTGTGTGCATGCATATACATGTATGTATAGATATGTGTGTGTGTGCATATATATATTGTTTTTTACTACAAAAAAAAAAAAAGACAGGATCTCACTATGTTACCCAGGATGGTCTTAAACTCCTGCGTTCAAGTGATCCTCCCACCTCAGCCTCCCAAAGTGCTAAAATTACCGGCATGAGCCATCATGCCTGGCCACCTTGTATGTTTTAATATTTGTTGAGGAATAAAGGAAAATAAATAACTAAACGGAAAATCCATTAATTTGTTTACTTTATCATCTTAACAGTCTTAATAATTTTGCTCAGTGTTCTCTATTATAGAGGAAATGACTGTTAATGATGGCTCCCATCATTAACTGTTGATGACTGTTAATGAGGGATCCCAAAATATTTAAGGTGGGTTGGCAACTGAATTTAGGCATGAGCTTATGTGATAGGGAAGGCCCTAATAGTTGTTTCTATCTCCTTGTATTGCAAAATGCTTTGTTTCGTGCTTTTTCAGGTATTAGACAACACTTCAAATTTATACCTACAATGATATAAAAGGCTAAAAACAATCAGATATGATTTCCAAACTATAAAATTACTAGACTAGGGGAGGATGCATCCTTTTCACAAATTAGTTGTTAGTTTGGTACCAATTTGTGTAAATGCTATAACACCTTTTGCCAATTCTGAGCTTCAAAAAATAATATATTTACGTAAACTTGACTCTGAAAACTTTCTCTCGTGTTAATCCTGATGCATTTAATTATATTTTATGAGGTACTTATTACCAAAAATTACCAAAAATAGTTTAAAGACTATTTGATATCACTGTTTCTTAACATCACAAGGCCAGTTTGTGTACCTTTCTAATATTATGCTGGCATGTAACGAATATTTTCTTTCAAGGCCTGAGATTTATTTTTCCCATGGAATAAAAATATCTTTGTTTGCTCCTTACTATTCAATTATATGTCTCCTATTTCCTACAATTGTCATCTAATTGCATTTGTTTCTGATTGACTACACCAGGTATATTAGCAAGAAGATGAGATCTACAATATACTCTGGTTTGTGTAATAATTAAGAATTGTAAAGTATTGCATGCTCTGTCACAAGGAATAATTTGCCAAAGATAAATCCTTCTAATAGGTAATTTTATTTTTTATGGGTTGAAACAGTAAATGGAGAAATAGAGAAAACAAAAGTTAGTAATGTAGATGAAATGAGACAAAATGAATGTACTTTCTCAATTAAGGAATAATAATAAAACTTTATATCCATTTCCCTCCCTGGAATTGTTATAAATATTTTACATATGTTAACTTGTTTAGTCCTCACAACAGTCCATTTATAGACAAAGAAACTGAAGCAAGTGGCTAGGCACAGTGGCTTACACTTGTAATCCTAGCACTTTGGGAAGCTAGGGCAGGAGGATTGCTTCAGGTCAGGAGTTCAAGACGAGCCTGGGCAACATAGCAAGACCCTTTCTCTACAAAATAAAAATAAAAATAAAAAAACTGAGGCGAGAGAGGTTAAGTGACTTGCTTAGGTCACATGGTGGACCAGAATTCAAACTCAGCCTGTCTGACTTTCACAGTATTCAGGCTTAGCCAATAGTTTATACTGTAACCTAAAGGAAAGCATTCTTAAGATAGGGAAGGTATTTTGTAGAGATTCTAAAGTCAGGAGGTCTAGTTTATCTTAACAACCTTTGTTTCTTAGTAAATGTTAAAGTCGCCGGGCGTGGTGGCTCAAGCCTGTAATCCCAGCACTTTGGGAGGCCGAGGTGGGCGGATCACGAGGTCAGGAGATTGAGACCACGGTGAAACCCCGTCTCTACTAAAAATACAAAAAATTAGCTGGGCGTGGTGGCGGGCGCCTGTAGTCCCAGCTACTCAGGAGGCTGAGGCAGGAGAATGGTGTGAACCCGGGAGGCGGAGCTTGCAGTGAGCCGAGATTACGCCACTGCACTCCAGCCTGGGCGACAGAGCCAGACTCCGTCTTAAAAAAAAAAAAAAAAAAAAAAAAAGGAAATGTTAAAGTCAAGTTTTAATTATATTGTTGGTAATTCTGTAAAATGATACAATAAGAAACAGATTTTGTTGGAATTTTCCTGAATTATTGTGTGAGAAAAAAAGCACTTGAAAAAGATTGTTCTTTTAAATTCCTTTTTTTTTGAGACGGTGTCTCGCTCTGTCGCCCAGGCTGGAGTGCAGTCGTGTGATCTCGGCTCACTGCAAGCTCCGCCTCCCGGGTTCACACCATTCTCCTGCCTCAGCCTCCCCAGTAGCTGCGGCTACAGGCGGCCGCCACCGCGCCTGGCTAATTTTTTGTATTTTTAGTAGAGACGGTGTTTCACTGTGTTAGCCAGGATGGTCTCGATCTCCTGACCTCGTGATCCGCCCGCCTTGGCCTCCCAAAGCGCTGGGATTACAGGCATGGGCCACCGCGCCTGGCCTTAAATTCTTCCACTTGTTGTTTGTGCTCTTAATGAACTGTTCTGCAACGACATTATGTTTCATAAAATTCCTCTTAACTGAAGCAAATGATATGGTGGAAGGAAAGAGCAAGGTGTTTAAATTCCCAGAGCATCTTAGCAGAAAAACATGATATACCTTCCTAAGTCTCAGATGGTGAAATTGACTTTCCTAAATCTCAGATGGTGATGTATACATTACATTTGTTATTAAACTAAATAATGCTAGACCAAAATCTACTTTGCAAACTGAATTTTGAGAGTTGAACATCTACTATATGTTGTTTAAATTAACTCAATACTGTACTTGCTTATTTAAATAGCATTGACTTTGGAGTCTGACAAAGCCGGGTCCAAACTCCATTGCTGTCACTTATTGAATGTCATCTGGGCATTTAACTTAATCTTTTTGTCTTACTGTACAGTTTATGACTGTTGTGAAAATCAAGTTAATAGTTAAATAATTTCCCTAGCATGTCATTTATGTTCCCTTGTTCAGTAAATATTAGTCAATCTCTCTCCACAATAAACTTACTGAGTTTGTTTACACACACGCACAAGCTGCATACATAGTCTAGGTGAAGATTTTAGCATTATGAGCTTAAATAAACTAGAATGAGTCATAACTATCTATCCAAAAATAAAGAAATTTCCAAAAACACTTTTAAAAAGATAATAGTTAAGGCCAGGTACAGTGGCTCAAGCTTAGAATCCCATCACTTTGGGAGGCCAAGATGGGTGAATCCCTTGAGTCCAGGAGTTTGAGACCAGCCCGGGCAACATGGCAAAACCCCATCTCTACAAATAATTTAAAAAGTATGCAGTGAGCCGAGATCATGCCACTGCACTCCAGTCTGGGTGACAGAGCGAGACTCTGCCAAAAAAAAAAAACCAAAAAACATTAGCCTGGTGTGGTGGCAGGTGGCTGAAGTCCCAGCTACTTGGGAGGCTGAGGTGAGAGGATCACCTGAGCCTGGGAGGTCAAGGCTGCAGTGAGCTGTGATTATGCCACTGTGCTCCAGCCTGGGTGACAGAAGGTGCTTAAGTGCCCACAAGGTGCTAAACCCTGGGATCTGATGGCAAACTAGTAATTCTTTTTAAGACAGAGTCTTGCTCTGTCACCCAAGCTGGAGTGCAGTGGTGTGATCTCACTGCAACCTGTCTCAAAAAAACAAAACGAAAAAACAAAAACAGTTGATATTTACATGGGGCATATTTGAACATCTTTTGAATTTAGCTTCCATTAAGAATAAACATTAGTGGTTCGAGCTAGGAAAGTATGGATTAAAACAAGATTAAGCATGAAATTTTAAAAGAAAATGAATATGTGATTTAATTTAATTTATTTATTTATTTTTGAGAAAGTCTCACTCTGTTCCCAGGCTGGGGTACAGTGGCACGTGATCTCAGCTCACTGCAACCTCTGCCTCCCAGGTTCAAGCAATTTTCCTGTCTCAGCCTTCTGAGTAGCTGGGATTACAAGCTACTCAGGATTACAAGCTGGTCCAGGAGTTTGAGACCAGCCCGGGCAACATGGCAAAACCCCATCTCTACAAATAATTTAAAAAGTATGCAGTGAGCCGAGATCATGCCACTGCACTCCAGTCTGGGTGACAGAGCGAGACTCTGCCAAAAAAAAAAAACAAAAAACATTAGCCTGGCACCTCCATGCCTGGCTAATTTTTGTATTTTTAGTAGAGACAGGCTCTCACCGTGTTGGCCAGGCTGGTCTCGAACTTCTGACCTCATGATCCGCCCACCTTGACCTCCCAAAGTGCTAGGATTACAGTCGTGTCCGGCCGAGTATGTGATTTTAAAAAAAAGATTTTAGGCCTGGTGCAGTGGCTTACACCTGTAATCCCAGCACTCTGGGAGGCTGAGGCGGGCGGATCACAAGGTCACAAGATCAAGAATATCTTGACCAACATGGTGAAACCCCGTCTCTACTAACAATACAAAAACCAGTCAGGCGTGGTGGCGTGCGTCTATAGTCCCAGCTACTCTGGAGGCGGAAGCAGGTGATCGCTTAAATCCGGGAGGTGGAGGTTTGCAGTGAACTGAGATAGCACCACTTGCACTCCAGCCTGGGCGACAAGAGCGAAACTCCAACTCAAAAAAAAAAAAAATTTTTTAATTAGGCATTTGGATATGAGTTAGCATAGCAGCTGAGAAGAACACAGCAGCTGAGAAGAACATGAACTCTAGTAAACTCTAGTCACTCCCCTGGACCACACCCACATATATAAACACAGGATACCAGTGGTTTATCAAGATCAGGCCCTGAACTGATAATTTGCCTGGAATCTTTGTATCATTTAAAGGCAATTTACAGTAACACAGTATCTTAGGATCTGAAGGCTTTTACAAAGTTACCATTTCATGCATAACAAACCAATGTAAGTTAATCACCTGAGCTGATAGTTAAGGTATTTTTCTACTTAATTCTAAACATGTTTAGAAAAAAGACAAGAATTACTTTTTTCTTGGCATTAGCACCACAAATTTCACGTCAATTGATTCTTTGTTTATGAAACTTCAAATTTACTCAATTTCTGGAGGATCACCTTGTTTTCACCTTATTTTTTAAGTTTTTATAGGGCTGAAAATTTACAGTATGCCTATCTTTTAAAAATAATAATACACTCACCATAGAAAACTGGATTGTGATGTTTAAAATGTTTACATGAAAAATTATTTATAACAATGACAAAGATGGAAAATATGTGATATTGAGACGAAAATTATGTTGTTGACTGTCAAGTAGAGTATGGGCTTTGGAGCAGGTCTTCAGGACATGATTAGTTGAACTAATATGTAATTACTCTAACTCTTTAGCTTAATTTTATAAGATAAAGGAGGAGGTATGGAAGTTAATGTGTATTTTTCTCACAACGAAAAACCATTTAAAAATCTTTACAGACAAAGGAGAAAGCTGAGAAATTTTTCCAGAAAGTTTTTCCAGAAAATTTCAGAAGTCACTGAAATTTTTCCAGTGACTTCTGTCAATGGATAAATAAACATTTTATCTATTCATTCAGTCAACAAATATTTAAGTGCCCACAAGGTGCTAAATCCTGGGATCTGATGGCAAACTGGTAATTTTTTTTTTTTTAAGTCAGAGTCTCGCTCTGGCACCCAAGCTGGAGTGCAGTGGCATGATCTTGGCTCACTGCAACCTCTGCCTACCAGGTTCAAGTGATTCTCCTGCCTCAGCCTCCCAAGTAGCTGGAATTACAGGTACCCACCACCATGCCTGGCTAGATTTTGTATTTTTTGTAGAAACAGGGTTTTACCACGTTGCCTGCCACCACGCCCAGCTAATTTTTCTATTTTTTGTAGAAACAGGGTTTCGCCATGTTGCCCAGGCTGGCTTGAGATCCTCCCACCTTGGCCTCCCACAGTGCTGCAATTACAGGCCTGAGCCACCGCGCCCAGCCGCAAACTGGTATATCTTATTCAGACATTTATAGCATTTCCAATGTTATACACATATTTGTATACATATATAAGTAGAACACCTTTAGTGGAACACTCACTAATTTTTTTTAAGAATTTACTTTTTAGAGTAGTTTTAGGTTCACAGCAAAACTGAGCAGAAAGTACAGAAGGTTCCCATATACCCACTGCCATTCCCTCCACCAGCCTCCTCCACTATTAACATCTTGCACCAGAGCACCATATTCGTTACAACTGATGGACCTACATTAACACACCATTATCACCTAAAGTCCATAGCTTACATTAGGGTTCACTCTTGGTGGTGTATTTTCTACGGGGTTTGCCAAATATATGACATGTATACACTATTATAGGATCATACAGAATAGTTTCACTCACAGCCCTAAAAATCCTGTCATCTATTTGTCCCTCTTTCCTCTGCTCCATGGCAACCACAGATCTTTATACTGTCTTCATACTCTTCCCTTTTCTAAAGCTGTTTTAAAACGAAGTTTGGGTAAACATAGTTTAACTAGGGTCAAGTATAATATAACTGATCTTTAATCTACTGATTATACTCAATTTAGCAAATTTGTTAACTCTTAAGAATATCTACTTTCACATTTCTTTGGCCTCTTTTTTTGTGTTATTGGTCATACTGTATAAAATCCTTTGTTGTAAGGTTCCAGAAAACATTTTTGAAAAAATGCAGAATATAAAACAATGCTTAAATTAAGCAATTGGTGTTCCTCAAATCTAAGAGGGCATTTAATGATAAGATGCAGCATTATTTTATATATCACTAAGATGCACTATTATTTTATATTTGAGTAAAAGAAAACCACAAGCCATTGGCTGGGCACGGTGACTCACGCCTGTAATCCCAGCACTTTGGGAGGCCGAGGCAGGTGGATCACGAGGTCAGGAGTTCGAGACTAGCCTGAACAATATGGTGAAACCCCGTCTCTACTAAAAACACAAAAATTAGCCGGGTGTGGTGGTGTGCAAATGTAGTCCCAGCTACTGGGGAGGGTGAGACAGGAGAATTGCTTGAACTCAGGAGGCGGAGGTTCCTGTGAGCCTAGATCACGCCACTGCACTCCAGCCTTGGCGACAGAGCGAGACTCCACCTCAAAAAAAAAAAAAAAAAAAAGAAAAAACGCCAATTAACTCTAAGATGGCATTGACTGTGAGATGCATTCCCATTTCAGAGAAATTAAAATTTGTTAAAGTGTTTTTTTGAAGTGTGCCTTAGAATTAACTACAATCGTAAATTTTTGTTTGGAACGTTATTTCGATGTTAGAATTCTATTCCACTTTTTTTTAAGACAGGGACTCACTGTCACCCAGGCTGGAGTTAAGTGGCGCGATCACAGCTCACTGCAGCCGCCACTTCCCAGGATCAGGTGATCCTACCACCTCAGCCTTCCCGGTAGCTGGGACTATAGGTGCCATAACCATGCCTGGCTAATTTTTTTTTTTTTTTTTTTTTGTAGAGACAGGGTTTCATCATGTTGCCCAGGCTGGTCTCAAACTCCTGGCCTCAAGCAATCCTCCTACCTGAGTCTCCCAAACTGCTGGGATTACAGGCATGAGCCACTGCGCCTGGCCCTCCATCCTGCTATTTTTATCAGCCAGTAACTCTCAACAGTGGGAATTTGATTTTGAAGCATTGTTCTTTCCCACTGATTCTGCACCAGTGGAGCCAAGGATGTTAATCGAGGAATGGTTCGGACATTAACTCTTCTAGTTGTAGTTTGTCATTTAATTGCAGATTGAGGTAGATCATTCAGTGACTATTAACTACCATAAACAGCAATAATAAACAACTTCTTTTCTTTTTTTTAAATTCATCTATTTTTTTTCGAGACAGAGTCTCGCTCTGTCGCCCAGGCTGGAGTGCAGTGGCGCGATCTCGGCTCACTGCAACCTCCGCCCCTCCAGGTTTAAGCAATTCTCTGCCTCAGCCTCCGGAGTAGCTGGGATTACAGGCGCCTGCCACCACGCCCGGCTAATTCTTTGTATTTTTAGTAGAGACGGGGTTTCACCATCTAGGCCAGGCCGGTCTTGAACTCCTGACCTCATGCTCCACCTGCCTCCGCCTCCCAAAGTGCTGGGACTACAGGTGTGAGCCACCGCGCCCAGCCACAACTTCTTTTCAAAATTGAATTCAATTCTGAAATATCTCAAGGGAGGTCATGGATTATTTAAAAGGAAATCACTTGCAACAATAAACATAAAACAATGCAGAAATAGTATAAACTCATCTAGATTGAAGAAACACAAACATTGAGTACTAGCATCTTCTTGGGATGACTTAAAATTAGGACAAATACTTAGTTACCTTACTACCCAAAGTGACATTTCTTCCCATTTTAGAGCTGTGCTGTCCACACGTACAATTAAAATTTTCTAGTAGCTAGCCAAAGTATTTAAAAAGAGAAATTAACTTAATAATTTACCTAATTTAATGTAGTATGTCCAAAATATTACCTTTTCAACATGCAATCAATATAAAATTTACTAACGAGATGGTCTTCCACATCTGGTGTACTGTTTACTCCACAGAGTGGCAAGCTGCCTTTCCAACCCTCACTTAGCCACATGCGGCTACCGTATTGGATGGCAGTCTTAGGGAATTTCAATATCAACTGATTCTTTAATTCTGAATTTGAGAATTTCTTTTTATAATACACACGGTCGCTAAGGCGCTTAGAGATCTGTGAGGCGCATGGAGATTATTTTACTCTCCGGTCCCTTTTGATCCAAGATCCCACAGCATTAAAAGCAGTAAGAGGGAAGGCAATGGGCATCCCTTGCGCCCAGGAACGTGGCCTGGAGGGCCTGGCTGCTCCGAGCAGTAGCAGTGCCCGGCGGGGAGGCTGCAGACGCGGCGTTGGAAGTTGGATTTCTAGACAAGCTCCGGCAGCTGCCCGGAACCCGTGTCTTTTTCTGGGGCACCCAGGAACAGCAGGGCCAGACGGAGAGAGAGCAGCCTCCAGCCAGGCACAGGGTCCCGAGCTGCCACCGACACCGAGGGAGCCCGGCCCAGGGCTGCAGCGCTTTCCGCCTAGGTGGGCGGCAGCGGGAGCGAGGAGCCGGAGGAAGCCCGGCCTGCGTCCTGCGGGCAGCAGGACACGATCTCCCCGGCGCGCTCTCGCCGGCGCCGCAGCGGGCGCGCGGGCGACAGGGTGGGCGTGGACCGATGGGGGCACCGCCCCTGGGAGAGGCGGGCGCCGCGGTTCCGGGGGCGGGACGCGCCGAGGAGTGGGGCGCGAGCCGCCGGTTTTGATTAGTGCGCGGAGCTGCGGCGGTGGAGCTGCTCGGCCGGGAGCCCGGCGGCGAGACGGAGAGGCGGCGGAGGTGCCCGCGCGCAGGGTCTGGTGGGCGGCCGCGAGGCTCGGGAGAGGCGAACCGGAGCGCGGGACCGCGGTCGCCCCGACCAGAGCCGGGAGACCGCAGCACCCGCAGCCGCCCGCGAGCGCGCCGAAGACAGCGCGCAGGCGAGAGCGCGCGGGCGGGGGCGCGCAGGCCCTGCCCGCCCCTTCCGTCCCCACCCCCCTCCGCCCTTTCCTCTCCCCACCTTCCTCTCGCCTCCCGCGCCCCCGCACCGGGCGCCCACCCTGTCCTCCTCCTGCGGGAGCGTTGTCCGTGTTGGCGGCCGCAGCGGGCCGGGCCGGTCCGGCGGGCCGGGGGATGGCGCTGCTGGACCTGGCCTTGGAGGGAATGGCCGTCTTCGGGTTCGTCCTCTTCTTGGTGCTGTGGCTGATGCATTTCATGGCTATCATCTACACGTGAGTGAGGGACCGCAGGAGGGGCTCGGGGCAGGGGTCCGGGCCTCGGAGACAGGCGAGAATGGGAAACGTTTGCGCTTTGAAGGGGACTGGGCTCGGGCGGGGGTGGAGAAAGCTGATCGTCAGGCTGTTCCCCCCGTTCCCTCGCCCCTCGGACCGGCGGTGGCGGTGGTCTTTGCGAGGGAAAAGTGTTGGGCGTGGGAAGGGTTTGCTGGGTTGCAGGCGACTGCCCAGCCAGGCTAAAGGAGACTGCTCTTACGTGTCAGGCTGAAGGTGGTGGCTTGGTTTGATTGTGCTGGGGATTCGTGTAATTTTTCATCTGGGCCGAGATGTATGGTGTATTGTTTTTTTCTCCCGACCTGGGCCACGTTTCTGTTAGGGTGGTGATTGTGTCCACTTTTCTGGGAGCTGCTCACAGCTATCTGGACACCTCTCTGTGGATTTTCTTCTTCCTGGAAGGGCTCTATGCGCTTAGATAGGTGTGAAGCACCTGTCCACCCTGAAAAATGTCCACCAAACCTCCGAGCTGGCATGATAGCTTTGAGTCCTGTCAGCTTGTACATCTCAGCGTGGTTTTCTTTCCTTTTTTCAGTTCCTCGTTTTATTGTTTTATGTAGATTTGTACTCTCCCCGTGCCGGCCACATCTTTTCATTTTTGTTTAACAAATACTTCTTGAGGCCTACTAGATACCATTCACTGTTATTGGCCAGGGGACATGGTGGTGAGCAGGACAGAATTCCTGTCCTCATGAGTCTTACATTCTAGAAGGAAGGAGCAGATAAAATCTAAATAAGGTTATGAGATTGTGACGAAGCGTGTAAGTAAAATAGAACTGGGTGATGGCGTGAATAGAGACATGGGTTATGTGGCTAGTTTGGTATATCCACTGTTTAAGGTGAAATCTGCCTCTGTAAAGAAATGAAAAAATTATATAGAGCACATTACTGATATCGATTCACTTGGATTTTTAGTCTGGGGGGAGAAAAGAGCAATTGTATATAGTAATCGTTACCATGAACTAGAATAGAGTGTATGTTAGTGGAAGAGACTTTAAGAAATTAGTTACTTTTAGTTTTTTGGTTTTTTTTTTTTCCTTTTTACTGCGGAAAAAGTGTGCCTTTGCTTTTGGAAACACTGTATTTTATTAGTATAGTGTGGCATTTCCTGGTACTGAGAAAGATGATGCTGGTACAGGTTATACTGATATTTCTTTGAAAGTGAAAGAAAACATGCCACTTGGATATTGTTGACTTTAGTTTTTGGAGTTGGTGAGCTTAGTCACAGCACATTCTGGAGTTCATTTAAAATATGTGAGTTCTTTTTCTTTAAAAAAATTGTTACTTTTTACCGTCATAAAAATAAAAAATGCTTACTGTGTAAGGAATTTATGCAATAGAGAGAGATGGAGAAAATTAAAATATGCACACACCAAAACTACATTACCTTGTTAACCTTTTGTGACTATCCTTCCAATCTGTGTGTGTGTGTGAGAGAGAGAGAAGGAGGGAGGGGAAGAGGGAAGAGAGAAAAGGACTATATTATGATTATTGTTCTGTAACCTGCTTTAAAGTTCATCTGTTTAATAAATGTTTATTGAAAAGCCGTTTTGTGCAAGGCACTGTTCTAGTTGCTGGAAGAGTGAAGAACAAACATACAAGGCCCCTGTTCACATGGAACTGTCCTGTAAAATGTCTTGACCGTTTTTTGCATGTCAATATCTGTATGATCTCTACATCATTTGTAATAGATGCATGATATTTTAGTTTACCAGGTACCAAGATTTATTTATTATTACTGATGGATGTTTAGGTTGTTTCCAATTTATCTAGATTACAAAGAACACTGTGATGAATTTATATGCATACATCTTTGAGAAATGATCTCATTTATATTTCCGAAAGAGGAATTATTGGGCCAGAAGTGGTGCACATTTTAAACTTTGATACATATTGGCCCCATGGAAATGTTATGTATATTCACAGTCCTGGTAACATTGTATGATGGCCCCATTTTGCCTTACAAACACTAAGTAGCAGGCATTTCACTGTTTTCTGTTTCTATTTTCATTCCTTTAAAGTTACATTGAGCACTTTTAAAATATGTTTATATGCTAGTTACATTTAGATGTAAATTACATACTCATAATCCTTTGCCTGTGCTGCAATCTGTTGCTGAATTCATCTTTCTGATATAAAGGTTGTTTTCTGTCACATGTAGCATTCTTTTCCCCAGTCTGTTTTTTGTCTTTTAACTTTGTACATATATTTGACATGGAGAAAAGTGTGTGTGCATGTGTGTTTTAGGTAGATAGGTCTTTCCGTTTCTTTTACATTTTCTAACTCTGTTATAATTTTTATATCTTCCTTATTCCTCCAAATTATTATATATGTTAGTCTCTGCTTCCTCTTAGTATTTTTTTCTTAATTTTTTCACATATTACCCTGAATTCACCCAGTATTTTACTTCGTTATATGAGAGCTAGAGCCCTAATTATAGTTTCTTCTAAATATTTAGAGACTTGTCCAGAATTACTTATCAGATGATTATTTGATTATTCCACTGTTTTGAAATATTTTTATTATAAACTAAATTCTGCTTTATACTTGGGTATGTTTCAAAGCTTCTATTGCCCTTTCTTAACCTATTTTAGATGGCAGATGTTTGTAGGATTTCTGCCAACAATGTCAAAGGTAACATTCAGATTAGAGACATTTCAAATTCAAGAGTCTTATTGTTGAGATTGAAGATTTCCTAAAAATAACTAAAGAGTATAGCCTTGGCAAGTTAAATAGCCTTTATGGGTTAATTTTTTTTTTTTTTTTTAATGGTAAGTGCTAGTGTGGCTTGATAGGTTGGGGCCTAAGGTGAAATTGTATAAAAGCCTAGACCTGATGGTAGTGTTTCTCTTCTAGCCCTTGGGAGCCACGTTGCTGCGTGATGAAGTGATCTAAGCAGAAACCTTGCTTCATGCTCTCTTCCCTATCCCATCCACCTCATATTATTATTATTTCCCTGTGTACATAAGGTCCTAATGTTTATCATCAGGCTTTATCTTTCGACTGGAGGTGCTAGGCTAGTGTGGAAATAATTTATGTGTCCTTAAATATTAGCTACCCTCAAGTAAAACAGAGGTCCTTTTTTACCTGGAGGTGTATATGTATATGTGTGTGTGTGTGTGTGTGTGTATTCTTTCTTTGATACAGGGTCTTGCTCTGTTGCTTAGGCTGGAGTGCAATGGCACGATCTTGGCTGACTGCAACCACCGCATCCCAGGCTGAAATGATTCTCCTGCTTCAGCTTCCTAAGTAGCTCCCAAGTAGCTGGGACTACAGGCATGCCTGGCTAATTTTTGTGCTTTTTGTAGAGACAGGGTTCTGCCATGTTTCCCAGGCTGGTCTTGAACTCCTGGACTTAAGTGATCTACCTGTCTTGGCTCCCAAAGTGCTGGGATTACAGGTGTGAGCCATCATGCCTGGCCCCCTGGAGATTTTTTAAGTTTTTTTTAAAGTTAATTCTGCTTTCTACAAACGTATTTCCTTTATTTTGTTTATTGTTATTTTTTTGAGACAGTCCTCTCTGTTGCCCAGGCTGGAATGCAGTGGCTCGATCACGGCTTCACATCCCAGGCTCGAGCAATTCTCCCACCTCAGCCTCCCAAGTAGCTGGGACTACCGGTGCATGCCATCACGCCCAGCTAATTTTTGTCACCCAGGCTGGTCTCAAACTCCTGGGCTCAAGTGATCCCCCCACCTTGGCCTCCTGAAGTTCTGGGATTACGGGCGTGAGCCACTGCGCCCAACCCAAATATGCTATCTCTAATGTACAGCAACTTCAATACCTGATGCACAGTTTTTGAATGGAATTTGCATACTCATTGTGTCAGGATAACTGCGATAAACTACCCGTCAAAAACTGGTTATGTTTTTCATGTAAATTTTAGCATTTGGGATATTATTTTTAGTTAGTACGATCTTTGCCTTAAATTCATGAATACTTGGTGTTCCAAGCCTTAGTGGAATGTAAATTGAGAACGTCTTTTTTGGGTTTAGTCCTGCCAATGCCCTTGGACTGTGGTCAAACGTTCATCAGTCAGGATCATTGCTACAGGGCTACTTTCAGGGAAATGAATAAGGCAGTCCAGCAATTCAGCCCCTTTAACCTGAGCCTGGGAAGATACGGAATTAGACTATAGTGTGATAGCTTTAAAGAACAAAGTGAGGGGCAGTGTGGGGAGGGAGAGCATCAAGAAGAATAGTTAATAGATACTGGGCTTAATACCTCGGTGATGGGATGACCTGGGCAGCAAACCACCATGGCACATGTTTACCTACGTAACAAACCTGCACATCCTGCACATGTACCCCTGAACTTAAAAGTTGAAGAAAAGAAAAAGAGCAAAGTGGAAATTGCAAGATTTTAGTATTCAGTGATGGTTCTATTGATTCATTATCCCTGCCTTTCTCTCTGACATTAGTTAGTTCAGCACACCTTCATATCTATCCTAGATGTTGAAGCTATGTCTACTCGCTGGTATCTCTAGCTGCAGCCTTGTGCCCCCTCGATTTTATATTTCTTATTGTAGCCTTTATCCTTCTGGATTACTAATCTTGGATCACAGTAGCTTAAAATCTTACCATGAATCCTCATTGCCTCCGGGTTACAGTTCAAACTCCTTAATGAGACAAGCACAGCTCTGTAGGAGCTGAACCAGCAACGTTGTATTACTGGCATTTCCCCAAATGTACAATGTGCTTTCTTTGGAATTGTCTTTACTTTCTTTCTTTTTTCTTTCTCTTCCTTCTTTCCTTCCAAAAATCTTGCTTAATTAACTCCTACTCGTTCAAGTCATTTTAGACTTTAGTTCCTTATTGGGTTAGGTGCCCCTTATGGCACCCAGCCATCTCCTATTTGTTTTCTATGGTGGTGGAATCTTCTACATTCTATAGTGTAGTAAGCCCATTGTCCAGTGGGCAGAGTTTGTGTTTTCCTATAGAGCTAACTCACTATTGGTTATTTTACCTTCTGTGAGAGAATTTGTGTTAGCAAGGTTAAGCTTGCACAAGAAGGTGTGCTTTATATTGCTTATGAAGCCCATTTTGAAGCAATACCATTTTTGAAATAAGTGATACAGGTAGTAAATTGGTCATGATATACTGATTATAAACAAACAGTAATATAGTCATGAGTGATAACAATAACAAAGGTCATTAGTCACTGGAAATTGCTGGCATGGACTATGTGAAGTTAGGGACTTGCTGATATAGCAGTGAACCTAATTTTACACGAAATACTAACAAGCTTTGTGACTTGGAGCAGGGAAGATAAATTCCTAGAGTCAGATAAATTGGTTCAGCAGAACCACACAGCGGAATTATAAAAACAACACATTCTGGGGTTGTTAAGCAAGGTGAACTTTTGCCCTTGTGGAATTCATATTCTTCCTTAGAAACCTAGAGTGAAATTCTCTCTTTTTTTTTTTTTGAGACAGAGTCTCATTCTGTTGCCCAGGCTGGATGGCAGTGGTGCGATCTCGGCTTACTGCAACCTCCGCCTTCTGGGTTTGAGTGATTCTTGTGCCTCAGCCTCCCAAGCAGCTGAGACTACAAGCACGTGCCACCACACCCCGCTAATTTTTGTACTTTCAGTAGAGGTGGGGTTTCATGATGTTGGCCAGTCTGGTCTTGAACTCCTGGCCTCAAGTGATTCCCCCATCTCAGCCCAGCAAAGTGCTGGGATTACAGGCATGAGCCACTGTACCCAGCCGAGTGAAATTCTTGTGCCTCACTTGTGAGGAGCTGTATTAAGGTTGCTGCAGAGGCTGCTTCCCGCCATCTGAAGGGGAAGGAGCCCACCCTCCTTGTTTAACCTTTACCTGTCTCCAGTGGGTTTCCCTGCATCCCAGGCTTCCCTCTTGCAAAAGCCAAATTTGAAAACAGAACTGTAAAAGAAGTTATTTAAAAATGAGACAGACAGGGCGTGGTGGCTCACGCCTGTAATCCCAGCACTTTGGGAGGCCGAGGCAGGCAGATCACCTGAGGTCAGGAGTTCAAGACCAGCCTGACCAACGTGGCAAAACCCCATCTCTACTAAAAATACAAAAATTAGCTGGGTGTGGTGGCAGGCGCCTGTAATCCCAGCTACTTGGGAGGCAGAGACAGGAGAATCGCTTGAACCCAGGAGGTGGGGCTTGCAGTGAGCCAAGATTGTGCCACTGCACTCCAGTGTGGGTGACAGAGCAAGACTCTGCCTCAGAAAAAAAAGAAAAATGTTCCCACCTTGGCTTTTTTTCTTTTCTTTTTGAGATAGGGTCTCGCTCTGTTACCCAGGCTGGAGTGCAGTAGTGCGATCATGGCTCACCACAGCCTTGACCTCCCAGGCTCAAGCAGTCCTCCTACCTCAGCCTCCTGGGTAGCTGGGACTACAGGCACATGCCACCACGCCTGGCTGATTTTTGTGTTTTTTGTAGAGACGGGGTTCCGCCGTGTTGGCTAGGCTGGTCTCGAACTCCTGAGCTCAAACAATCTGCCTGCCTCGGCCTCCACAGGTGCTGGGATTATAGGCCTTTCCATTCTTCAGTCACCCAGTCTTTCTAGACCTGTGGTTGTCAAGTTTGACTGCACTATGGAGTCACATCAAGGGCTTAAAAAAAAGAAACAACTGCTGCCTGGGTCTCACCCCTACAGACATGGTTAAATTGGTTCAGGCATCAGTATTTTCAAAACTCCATAGGTGACATGGATGTGCAGCCTAGGCTGAGAATGATTGCCCCAGGCTGTCTGCCCACAGTTGTGTCCAGCACCTGCCACCTCTTGGCTTCATTTAATTCTCCATTTAGCCTAGAGCCCACAGTTCATCACTTCATTATCTTGCCTCTTGCCTCACCTCGTATCAGTCTGCCCTGTTATCTTGAATCCATCCAATAATTATAGCTGCTCAACTTTGAAAATCCTACAGAGGGTAATCACACAGCCATGTGGACTAATACTACTACACATTGGTAGTCTCAGGGCTCAGCTAAACCTGCATTGCGGTGCTGCCTGGCAGTGCTTTTTTTTCTGTGTTTAGCTCTGACATCCATCACTTAAAAAAACCTCTTCTAAATCTTCATTCTACCGCATTCTTGGTAGATGACCTTAGCTCCTACTTCATACTGTGGATCCCATCATGCCTTAAATTAGTTTTTTCTTTTTCTCTCTTTGCCCTTCGGCTAGCTCTTCTTGAATTTTTAAAGAATTTCAAGTAGTCTTTAAAAAATTGAACTAGAGGCTGGGCTTGGTGGCTCACACCTGTAATCCCAGCACTTTGGGAGGCCGAGGCAGGTGGATCACCTGAGGTCAGGAGTTTGAGACCAGCCTGGCCAACATGGGGAAACACCATCTCTACTAAAAATACAAAAAATTAGCCGGGTGTGGTGGTGCTCGCCTGTAATCCCAGCTACTCCGGAGGCTGAGGCAGGAGAATCACTTGAACTCGGGAGGTGGAGGTTACAGTGAGCCAAGGTTGTGCCATTGCTCTCCAGCCTGGGCAACAAGAGCAAAACTTTGTCTTGGAGGAAAAAAAATTCAACTAGAGAGCCAAGGCGGGGAGGATCGCCTGAGGCCAGGAGTTCAAAACCAGCCTGAGCAATATAGCAAGACCCCATCGCCACAGAAAAATTTTAAAAAATTAGCCAGAGGCAGTGGTATGCAGTGAGCTATGATTGCCACTGCACTCCAACCTGGGTGACAGAGCAAGATTGTATCTCAAAAAAAACTAGAAAAATTAAACTAGAAGCCGTCTGTTCCACCCTTTGGCCCTTTCACTCACTGTCAGGTTTCAGTAGAAACTAGTGTTTGTTTACTGTTATCACATTTCAACTCCCATTCATTTACTTTTTAACCGATTTTTAGCTGTCTACCCTTATCCTCCATGAACTGCCCCAATTCTTGCCAAAAGTGCTCAGAGATAGCAGCAAGTACATATGTAATCTACTGGACATTACCATTCTTACCTTGGTCTCTCCAGCAGCATTCAGTGTTATTCTTTCTTGAACCCTTTGAGAAAGAAAACAGCCTGGCCAGATAAACCCTTCTGTCACTTTACTTGCATCCTGGCTGTCTTTCTGCTTCTTTGATCCCCACTTTTAGTCTCCTTCATGCATTACTCTTTTTTTTTTTTTGAGAGGGAGTTTCGATCTTGTCATCCAGGCTGGAGTGCAGTGGCACAATCTTGGCTCACTGCAACCTCTGCTTCCCAGGTTCAAGCAGTTCTTCTGCCTCAGCCTCCCAAGTTGCTGGGATTACAGGCGCACCACCGTGCCCGGCTAATTTTTGTATTTTTAGTAGAGACGGGGTTTCACCATATTGGTTGGGCTGGTCTCGAACTCCTGACCTCAGGTGATCCACCCGCCTCAGCCTCCCAAAGTGCTGGGATTACAGGCATGAGCCACTGAGCCCGGCCTCTCCTTCATGCATTACTGATTCAATAATAATATATTCCTTCTTGGCCATCTTCTAAGAATGCTGTGCCTCAGAGAGCTTGTGTATTTACCTTACGGTGGATGGCTTCTGTATTTTTATCTCTAGGCTAACCTTACCTGCTGAGCTCTCTGTATCTGTTTATTTATTTACTCTTCATTTATTCAAAATTATTTTTAAAAATTGAGAACATACTGTGTATTATTGCTTTGCTGGGCTCTGGAGAATTTATATTCTACTGTAGTGTTTCTCCAGTTGTAGTTTACTGCCAGCCTGCATCATTTGGTATGCTTGTGAAAAATGCAGATTCCTAGTCTCTTCATCTGGTTTATTCACTTGTGATCTCTACCTGTGGGCATTATTTATACTACAAGTTGCAAACCTCTGGTCTCCTAGATGAGATGTCACCACTTGATGTCTTGAGAGTAAATTAAAGTTCGTATGTTCAAAAGTTCATTACTCTTTCCCATCTCTCATTGTGCCCAGATTTTATGAATGGCACCACTAGTTACCATAGCCTGACCCAGGTATACCCCTCATTATCCCTCATTCCCCCTCCAGCAATACCATCATCAGTTATTGGCTAAACTCCTTGATTCTGAGTTCTCACCTTCTCTTGACTTTGCTTCCTTCGCTTGTTTCTTTTGTGTGTGTGTTTTGTTTTGTTTTGTTTTGTTTTGAGACAGTCTCGCTGTGTCGCCCAAGCTGGAGTTCAGTGGTACGGACTCGGCTCACCACAACCTCTGCCTCCTGGGTTCAAGTGATTCTCCTGCCTCAGCCTCCCGACTAGCTGGGATTACAGGTGTGCGCCACCATGCCTGGCTAATTTTTGTATTTTTAGTAGAGACGGGGTTTCACCATGTTGGCCAGGCTGGTCTTGAACTCCCAACCTCAGGTGATCCACCTGCCTCAGCCTCCCAAATTGGCTGGGATTACAGGCATGAGCCACTGCACCCAGCCTTTCACTTGTTTCTTATGCCTTTCTGGTTTGTGTGCTTGTCTCTTTCTTTTGGACCTTTGCAATATTTTTCCCTTGCCTTCCATCTCCCCTGCCTGTACTTTATTCTCTTAACTTCTATAAATACAAAAATGATCCTGGTTGCTTCCTTTTAGTCTTTCATGGTTATTTCTTGCCTAGAGGATGAGCTCCAGGCCTTTTCAGCCTTGTCTGTGAAGTCACGAAGAATTTATAGCAGAGATGAGTCTTAAAGCAGTGCTGCTCAAGCTTGAGTGTGCCTGTGAATCACCTAGAGATCTTGTTAAACTGAAGATTGAGTTTCAGTAGTTTTGGGGGATGAGGCCTGAAATTTTGAAGCTCTGAAAAGCTCCCAGGTGTTGCCAATGCTGCTGGTCCATGGGCCACACTTGGAGTATGAAAGTCTGGAAAGACCGCCTCCTAGGAGTAGTTGGATGCTTCCATCTCTCTTCTCTCAAAGTGTTCCAAACATACTTTGATGATAGCCTGTATCACACTGCATTTGCAGAGTCCCGTACAGACTCTACTTCTGAATGAGAGGTGGCGTGTGCACATGTGAGAACCACCTCTCCTATTAACACATGGAAATGCTGTAACGATTAGACACTTACACACCCAGAGCCTGAAAATGTGAAAAGAAAATCTGCATATTCCAGAAACCAAGAGGGAATGCAAAGCAGTGGGTTGGTCTGGTCTGCTAATTTGAATCCCGGTGGGGTTTTAATTTATTGATATTTCTTCTCATTGGTATATTTTCCTGATTCTTTGCATGCTTGGAAATTTTTTAATAGATACCAGACATTTTGAATTTCACCGTGTTGGGTGCTGGATGTTTTTGTTTTTCTGGACTGTTGACTCCAGCTCTTCAATTCATTTTCTTTCTTTTTTTTTTTTTTGAGATGGAATCTTGCTCTGTTGCCCAGGCTGGAGTGCAGTGGTGCGATCTTGGCTCACTGCAACCTCCGCCTCCCGGATTCAAGTGATTCTCCTGCCTCAGCCTCCCGAGTAGCTGGGATTACAGGCACGTGAGGCCACACCTGGCTAATTATTTTTTGTATTTTTAGAAGAGATAGGGTTTCACCATGTTGGCCAGGCTGGTCTCGAACTCCTGACCTCAAATTATCCTCCCGCCTTGGCCTCCCAAAGTGCTGGGATTACAGGCGTGAGCCACCGCACCCAGCCTACCTTATTTTCTGTGTCATAGGAATCACTGTCTTCCTTTGCTTGATGTCCAGTATCTTCAAAACTGTTGTCTCCTGTATTTTTTTCTGATTTTTTGGTTGTTTCAGGTGGGAGAGAGTAAATCCAGTTAGCGTTTCTTCATCTTGTCCAAAAGTTGAAGGCTTGGGGGGTGGGTGGTGGGAAGAGTAGGGCTTTTAGTACTAGTGCGAGGACAGAGTCAGTGCTGCACACTAGTTATAATAACCTCAAACTGTAAACAACCCAAACATCCATCAACAGAAAGTAAATAAAGTGTGGTATATTAGTAAAACTATCCTGTAACAAGAGTGAATACATGATAGCTAAATGTAACAACGCGGATGATTCTCACAAACATAACGCAACCCAAAGAGGCCAGACAGGAAAGATACATCCTATGGGATTCCATTTATATAAAAATTTAAAGCCAGCAAAACTAGTCTGAAGTCAGGACAGTGAGTACCCTTGAGGGGAGCATAGTACGTGGAAGGAGACACGAGAGGACTTCTGGGGTTCTGCTAATACTGTTTTTTGATCTGGGTACTGGTTACATGAGAGTTTCACTTTGAGAAAATTCTTTGAGCTGTGTACTTACAGGTGACTTTATAATATGTACATTATGTATCAATAAAAAGTACCCCCCACACCACTTCCCCAACAAAAAGGTCAAGGCTGCAAGCCAGATGCATTATAGGAAGGTAAGAACTGGATTCCCAGTATAGAACCTAGAAAGCAAGTCGTCTGCCCTAGGCTGAGGGTAGAAATGGACACCCATGAGAAAGCTTGTGCAACGTGTAGGAATCATAGGCTCAAGTTCATACTGTCTAGGAAATGCAGAAACCCTGATCTGAGACACTAAAAGAAAAACTAGTTAGAAACCAGTAAAACTTGTAAGACCCTGTCCGAGCCACTTATAATACTGCCCCACTTTAAGGGCTCCACCGTGGAGGCCACTTTTGAAACACTAGGCAATTGATCACAGTGCCCTCCCTCCCTCTCTCCCTCTCTGTCACCCAGGCTGGAGTGCAGTGGTGCGATCTCGGCTCACTGCAACCTCTGCCTCCCAGGTTCAAGTCATTCTTGTGTCTCAGCTTCCCGAGTAGCTGGAATTATAGGCGTGTGCCACCACGCCCAGCTAATTTTTCTATTTTTAGTAGAGATGGGGGTTTTGCCATGTTGGCCAGGCTGGTCTTGAACTCCTGACCTCAAGTGATCCGCCTGCCTCATCTTCCCAAAGTGCTAGAATTATAAGCATGAGCCACTGCACCAGCCCACAAGGCTACTTCTGACCTTGGAAACTCTTCTTTATTTTGAAAAAAACCACTGGGATTTAAAAAATGTTTTTGAAAAAAAATCACTGGGATTTAAAAAAATTTTTTTGAAAAAAATCACTGGGATTTTAGAGCTTTTTATTCTGTCATCCACATCTCAAACTCTTTCATGATTTCTGTGTAGAAATCTGTAGATTGGTTTCCAACACACTGGTCATGGCCAAAGGCATTGTTTCCACCTGTGGAACGATTCTCCAGAGCAAAGCTTTGTTGACATCTTTAAGAGTTTTGTAAGGAGAAGAGCTTCTGGGCATGTGCAACCCAACTTCCCCATTAAGCCACAGCTCCTTCACAGTAGGGAATTCACCTGTTGCTTGTTGCATTCCAGTGCATATGATAATGACTAGTGTACATTCGGGGCTGTAAAGATGTTGTCCAGTAAGTGACTGCAAAGCAGTCATGGAGTACCACTGTGTGCTGAGCCTAGTGCTAGAGGTGTTTTGTTTATTTGGTGACTTAATGGATATTCTTCTATTGTTTTGACAAACATTTCAAGTAATTTGTACCACATGGCTTTGTTGGTTGCGTTATGTAAGTCAAAACAGTATTCTGCAAGGTAGGATCTCGTACCCTAGGGGGTACACAACAAACTGACCTGTTGGGTTTTGGAAAGAAAATATTAGAGAGAGACAGGGACAGAGGGGAGGCACAAATACATTTTTTAAAGGCCCTGTGATATAGTCTGGCTTATTTTGAGTAGAAATTTCAGATATAGTACTTAACAATTCTCTTTATCCATAAACCTAGAGAGGGCTTTGTGGCTGTTGAGAGAGTCAGAATGAATCTATGATAAAATACTGCATTCTCAACATGAAAAGTTCTTCAAAGGAGGAGGTGTATCTAATGATATTTAAAGTAAAACATCTTGGGAGAAGGGAGAAGTAGGATCTACTCTAAACTTTACCAAAATGTAATCGCCTCTAGACTATTCAGTACAGCTTAGATGATCTTCGTTGCTACTGTTTTTGATCTAAAGCCTTGCCACAGGCACTGAGATTATTAGTGGGCCAGTTCTCTCTGCTACTTAGCCAGCACTTGACCTGCATGTTTTGGTAGTTTAATAGCACTTAAGGATCACACAGTGGGACCAACAGATAAAAATCACTGGGATTTTAGACCTTCTTATTCTGTCATCCACATCTCAAACTTTTTCATGATTTCTGTGTCTTTACCTGTCCCTCTCTCTGGGCTGCATTCTGGATAGCTTCTTCTAATCTAGATGCCAATTCTTTCGTAAATTGTGAGTACGTAAGATTCTGTATTACTTGTCTTTTGAGTTTCTGATGTCAGTGATTGTAACTGTCATTCCTAGAACTTGTGTGGTTCTTTTCATATTATTTGTGGTCATATATAATGATTTCCCTCATTTCCTTCTCTTCTCTTGGGTTTTGTTCAGGTACACAGGGAGGTTGCATTCTTGGCCCAAACCCACGTGGTGAGGTGTTCTCCAAGAAGACTTTTTTCTTTTTTGTTTTTGTTTTTGTGTGAGATGGAGTCTCTCTCTGTTGCCCACGCTGAAGTGCAGTGGCGCGATCTCTGCTCATTGCAGCCTCTGCCTCCCAGGTTCAAGGGATTCTCATGCCTCAGCCTTCCAAGTAGCTGGGACCACAGGTGCACACCACCATGCCTGGCCATATTTTGTATTTTTTAGTAGAGACGGAGTTTCACCATGTTGACCAGGCTGGTCTCAAACTCCTGACCTCAAGTGATCCACCTGCCTCCACCTTTGAAAGTGCTGGGATTGCAGGCATGAGCCACTGTGCCTGGCCAAGACTTTTTTCTTTTATTCTATTTCACTGAGGACTGAATCCAAGATAGAGAGCATCCGCATCTTCCCTCTATGGACCAGGATTTTTCTGCTTGCCTTTCAGGGAGTCCAGATTTACCCAAGGCTCTCAGAACAGTTGTCCTGTCATTCTTATCTCAGGCTTCTCTCCATCTCC
Source organism: Homo sapiens (assembly GCF_000001405.40). Taxonomy (NCBI): domain Eukaryota; kingdom Metazoa; phylum Chordata; class Mammalia; order Primates; family Hominidae; genus Homo; species Homo sapiens. The sequence goes on from NC_000009.12 coordinate 111,911,221, forward strand.
AGGTCACCAGTAGATGGTCAGGAGGCAAGCATGGACTCTAGCACTCAGTCACTGAAGAGGTTTTTTTCTCATTTCTGACCTTAGAGACTCTTCTTTATTGTCCTAACGGTTCAATTATGTATTTTAAAACATGCTTTTACTACACTTGTATTAAAAAGGAAGAGAGACAAGTTTATGAATATGTACATATATAATTCATATATACCATAAATGTGTGTATATATTTTGACTTGTATATGCATTTTTAAAACCTCTGGAAGGACAAGAAACTAGTAATGCTGGGGAAGCAGTAATGGAAACAGGCAGATGGGGGGCCAGTGGTGACAGATTTCTTTTATCAGACCCTCTTAATATTTTTAGTGATTTGAACCATATCAGTATATTACCAGTTCAGGGGCTGAACGTGGTGGCTCATGCCTGTAATCCCAGCACTTTGAGAAGCCAAGGCAGGAGGATTCTTTGAGCCTAGGAGTTCAAGACCAGCCTGGGCAATATAGTGAGACCCCATCTCCATAAAAAAATAAAAAAATTAGCCTGGTGTGGTGGAGTGTACCTGTTATCCTAGCTACTGGGGAGGCTAAGGTGGCAGGATCGCTTGAGCCTGGGAGATGCAGATAATTACACCACTGCATGCCAGCCTGAGCAACGGAGCAAGACCCTATCTCATATGTGTATATTCAACAGGATATATATATATATATATATATATATATATATATATATATATATATATATATTCAACAGGATATATATATATTCAACAGGATACATATATATATTCAACAGGATACATATATATATTCAACAGGATATATATATATATATATATATATCCTGTTGAATCAATTAATTGTGTAATATAAACTTTTTTCCCCAGCAGTCTAGATGTTCTTTACCTGGTGGGTTTCAGGCATCTAGTCTGCTATTTTGTTAGAAATAGAATAGTGATTACTTTTGTGGTTATATGCGTTTTAGATCGTGGTTTTACCTGTCTGGTCCTCCAGATGAACTCTGTAGAGCAATATTTTCCAAACTATCTATGGCAAAGCAGTTGTTCTTTAAAATTATCCAATCTGGCTGGCTGTAGTGGTTCACACCTGTAATCCCAGCACTTTGGGAAGCCGAGGCGGGCAGATCACTTAAGATGAAGAGTTCGAGACCAGCCTGGCCAACATGGTGAAACCCTGTGTCTACTAAAAATACAAAAAGTTAGCTGGGCATGGTGGTGCATGCCTGTAATCCCAGCTACTTGGGAGGCTGAGGCAGGGGAATCATTTGAACCCGGGAGGCGAAGGTTGCAGTAGCTGAGATCGCACCACTGCACTCCAGCCTGGGTCGCAGAGCAAAACTCTGTCTTAAAAAAATAAAAAAAAAAAAATTCCAATCTGCCATGAGCCAATACTTTGGTAAACTACAATAAAAATAAATTGCTGATCACATGCTTGATGTCATGGCAATGTTAAATTGCTATACAAGTTTCTAAAAGGTTTCACTCAATTGTTTCTCACTTGCAAACCAGTAAAAAGCAATGCTGGACCAGACCACACTTTGAGTAGCACTGCGATAGATGGTGCTCCAGTATTTTCTGGTACTTGGTGTATCAGAAATTGATACCACCCTGTTCTTTAAATTTCTTGTTGGTTTTAAAGTTTTTCCATTGTAAACCTGGTGTGTGTGTGTGTGTGCGTGTGTGCACGTGTGTGTAAAACTGTATGGCCTTATCTAAAACGTTAGATGTTTGCTACAGCACACACCTGCCTTAGTTAGAGACCAAGCCCATGGCTAAGTGGTCTGGGTGGTGGTACCGGTGTCCCTCCAGAAGTCTTTCCCAGTTTAATAGTGGATTTTATCAAATCAAGATGCATTGATGCAAGTATTTTTTGATCATCTAGAAGTTCTCATTGGTTGATTTTCACAGTAAGTCAGAGCTGCCATCTGCCTGGCAGCAATTGTAAGGTACCATTGATGTCAGAGATGTTAAAATGTGGAAGAACATGTGTCTTAGAATATCTTGCAGATGGACCCATGATGTTCTAGTGCCTAATTACTGTCGAATGCTTGGAGACTTGTTTATGAGAAGTACTTGTCACATATTTACTAGAAGTAGGAGGAAGGCTTCAGTGGCTTCCTTTAGAAACTTCACCACTGTATTGAATGGCATCTTGTTGCAACAGCCTGATGTTAACTGGGGCACGTTCTGTCTTCTCTAGCATTGCTTCTTTCTTTTTTTTGAGACGGAGTCTCACTCTGTCACCCAGGCTGGAGTGCAGCGGCACAATCTTGGCTCACTGCAACCTCCACCCCCGGGTTCAAGTGATTCTTCTGCCTCAGCCTCCCGAGTAGCTGGGATTATAGGCACCCACCACCACGCCCAGCTAATTTTTTTTTTTTTTTTTTTTAGTAGAGATGGAGTTTCAGTGTGTTGGCCAGGCTGGTCTCGAACTCCTGACCTCAAGTGATCCACCCGCCTCAGCCTCCCAAAGTGCTGGGATTACACAGGTGTGAGCCACCACACCTGTGTGGCATTGCTTCTTTCATTAGGAGCCCTGCTGTGCTGCAGCATCCTTGCAATGGACAAGCAGTGAGAACGTTGGCCATTTGGTCACTTATCTATGAACTGGTGGCACTGGTATATCTTCCAGTGTCATTAATAGACATTTTTCTCATCATTGAGTTTTTTTCTTACTTTCAGTTTCCTTCTGTTCTACCCCTGCCATTCTGACCTTATTAATATTGGGAGTTCCAGTTGTCCCATTATCTTGCTTGCCATGCAGACTGCTTGACACTTCTTTTAACTGTGTATTATCCCACTGCAAAGAAATTTCTCAGAAAGTTCTGGTTATCCTTTCATAATTTTCTGCTGCAGACGGTGTTTTATTTTACCTGTTTTTATAGTTCTGTGGCCACTTCAGTGGCAATTTAAGAGGAAGAGGAGTTAATCTTTGGGCTAACACTGCCATTCATTTCTTCACCATGTATTTTATTGAAATGCCTGCGCTATGCCTGGCATAGTTCTGTGAGTATAGCAATAGTCAGAGAGTAGTACATCATGGGTATTCAATCTTTTGGCTTCCCTTGGTCGTATTGGAAGAAGAAGAATTGTCTTGGGTCACATATAAAATACACTAACAATAGCTGATGAGCTTTAAAAAATCGCAAAAAATCTCATAATGTTTTAAGAAAGTTTATGAATTTGTGTTGGACCGCATTCAAAGCCATGCTTACCTGGTTCTACTTCCCTTCATGTTTAGATCCTCTTTTAGAAAGATGTCAAGTTTTAAAAATCTTAACTTAGAATTTAGGGATTTATTGATAGCTTGTCAGTGCTTTGATTTGACACTAATGTATTCTATAGAAATAATTTTTATATCATTTGCTTTTTAGCCGATTACACCTCAACAAGAAGGCAACTGACAAACAGCCTTATAGCAAGCTCCCAGGTGTCTCTCTTCTGAAACCACTGAAAGGGGTAGATCCTAACTTAATCAACAACCTGGAAACATTCTTTGAATTGGATTATCCCAAAGTAAGTTCAGTGTTACGGTTTTTTGTTTTGTTTTGTTTTGTTTTGTTCCCCTCATGATAAACATTTAGGGATTTTAACACTGTATAAGGTGAAGGTATTAAAAATTCATGATGATATTGGCCTCATAAAATATAACCTTTAGTAGTAGTCATCACAGAACAGAAATAGGTTGAGGAAGGGGTGTAAATTCCCTTTCTAACCACCTATATGTCCGTGTGAAGTAGAGATCCCTGAGTAAACCTTCTGAAACTCAGACATTGTCAAGTGCCTGGTAGTTTGAAAATAAAAATTTTCTTCCATAAGAGCTGGATATGAACAATAGGAAGAGGAGACAAGGAGAGGGAGAAAGCAGTGTTAGTGGTCTGAAATGGGTTGCAGTACAGCCAGAACTAAACGTGACTTCTCCGGAGAAACTGGCTTTGAGCCAAGAATAGATTACAGTTAGTGGTACTGTAGGGTTTCATCTTACCTCATTTTTAATTTCCTTACTGTTCTGATTTTAATAGCTAATTGTATTGCTTATACCATTTATCTATATAATCTGTATATCTGTAAACTCAGTGTACTCCCTTAATTGGAGACCTTCCAGTTTTCTTGAGATGAAAGTATTCTTTTTATCACTTTGCTTTAGTAGTCCACCTGTAGTTTCTTAGGATAACTTAATATTCTTTGATTTTTGTACTTAGCTTTACAGCAGCTTTGTATTAAATTGCTTGAGACTGCTTTTGAAAGGGCATTTTGGTGGTAACAGATCACTTGTGAGAAGAATGTGTCTTTAAGCTTCTACCCACTTGACTTTCAGTACAGTTTAGTTTTCCCTTTGCGGTCTCTATTCACTTGCCTCAATTTTTACCCTATTGCCTCAGTTTTTCCATAGCTGTTTTTGCTACTGGGAGAGTCGTCCCTCTTAATTTTTTTGGACAGGGTAGCTCAAATAATCAGAAGGAAGATGATATGCGCACTACACTTCTTATGGTGACTGGTTTTCATGCTCTTATTTCTTTTCTTTTAGCCTTTATTTTTCTCGGTAGCACCAATGAAAAGAATAGAGAAGACACAGATGTGATAGCCTTAATGCAGCACTTATTAAGTAGGTAGACATGAGTATCATTCAGTTGTATTTTTAGTGTTTTTATATTATTGCTTTGGAGTTTTGGAGTTTAGAAGCCAATTTTGGAGTATTGGAAGCTGTTTTGAAGCAAAAAAATTATATGTTCTAGTTTGTGTGTGTTTATATGCTTAATAATTTTAGATATTTGAATTAAATACATGTGTTAACTTCAATCAAATATATAATTTTTAAATAAGATATAATTGTATATACTTGTTTTTTCAAACTAAAAAATGGTAAAACTTAGCCTTTTGTAATTGAGAAAGATATAAATAAAATTAATTGTAAAATAAGCTTTGCAGTAAGAAAAATGGGAGATTTTCAAGCTCCATAAAAGTAAATGCAAAGGAGAATTAATGTTTACGAATGAAAGAAATTTTCTATTGATTATGAATGAATCTTAGAGCATAGCTTAGAGTCATATGCATTATCATTGTGAAACTTAATCTCACATTTCAGTTTTTTAACCATCCTCTTTCACTTTCCCCATTCAACCACTCTTAAAATTGGTCATGGAATTTTTACGTTGTAGTGCTTGTGAGATGATAGTCATGGGGTTTAAATGCTTGAGGAAGTCAGTGAGGGGTTTAGTTGTAGAAAGAATGGTTTTTTGTGTTCGTTTTTGTTTTTAAGACAGTATCTTGCTTTGTCACCTAGGCTGGAGCATAGTGGCACAGTCGTGGCTCACTGCAGCCTCAGCCTCCCAGGCTCAACCAGTCCTCCCACCTCACCCTCCCTGGTAGCTGGGACTATGGGCATGTGCTACCACACCTGGCTGATTTTTGTATTTTTTGTAGAGGGTGTTGCCATGTTGCCGGGGCTGGTCTTGAACTCTTGGGCTCAAGCAATCCCCCCACCTCAGCCTCCCAAAGTGCTGGGATTACAGACATGAGCCACCATGCCCTACTGAAAGAATTTTAAAAAGTAACCCCAGGGTTATATGTATCCATTGATTACGAGCATTTCTAATGACCCCATAACTGATTTCTTGTGAATGAAGATTTTGGCCAGGCGTGGTGGCTTGTGCTTGTAATCCTAGCACTTTGGGAGGCTGAGGCGGGAGGATTGCTTGAGGCCAGGTGTTCAAGACCAGCCTGGGCAACACAGTGAGACCCCCACCTTCAAAAAAATAAAAATTAAAAAATTGAAATAAAAAATTGTTTTGGAAATTACAGTTTAGAATGATCTCAAGAGCTCTTGTTTTCACTTAGAGTAGTAGCTCTTTTTCCATTTAGTTATATCATTTAAGTGGGTTGAGGAGAAAGCTATTTTGACATTCATTGTAAGATGAAGAATAGCATCTGCAGATTATTTTATTCTTTGTTAGTACAGAATTTTATTTTCTAATTATAAACTTATATTTAGCTGTATAAATAGAAAGTTTGGAAAGCAGAGGAGAAGTGCAAAGTACCTGCAATCTAAGGGAAATATTTGATTTCACAGCATTTTATTTACTTGGTGAAAACCAAATACAATGGCAAATGTTCCACAGGAGACTAAAGTTAAACCACTGAAATCACGCATATCTGAGCATGAACAGACAAGGCATTTGTGTCACCAAGAAGTCAAGGAGACCCAAAATAAACATTTACGTGACTGCCAGGCGCAGTGCCCTTTCATATTTGCATTTTGCCTGGTGTGAACATCGTTTTACCAGAGTATGGAAATGTTTTCATTTTGGACATAACTTTCTCTTCTAATATTCGATTGGGACTATCATAGGCCATTTGGGGGAAAATAATAAAACATATCTTCAAGTTTTAAAATTTTACTTAATTTTGGACATGTGCAAGAAAATTTACTGCTACTGGTACTTGCTCTGAATTTCTAGGTTTCAATTTTGGTGAGACTAGACTAGTTGCTCTGAAAGATCTCTGCGCTGTATTCATCTTACAAGTCTACTTTTATACTGATACTCATTCCTTGGGAAGACATAAAAGAATGAAAAGGTGATGCAGTTCATTTTCCACAGCATTGAACACTCATTTGTCACCAGCGTAGAAGGGATTTGGGGAGAGATTAAGCAGTAGCAGTAATAGTCAATAATCTGCGTCTAAAGTGGCTTGCTGGCTTTACTTCAGTAAATTCTGGCCATGTGAAGAATACCTAAATCAACTATCAGAGTTCTTAACAGTGAACCTGTCATAACTATGATTTTTTTTTCTTTTTTGCAATTATAGAATTGATTTTTTTTTTCCTTTTGAGGCAGAGTCTTGCTCTGTCACCTGTGCTGGAGTACAATGCCACAATCTCGGCTCACTGCCACTTCCGCCTCCCGGGTTCAAGCAATTCTCCCGTGTCAGCCTCCCGAGAAGTTGGGATTACAGGCGCATGCCACTACCGCTGGCTAATTTTTATATTTTTAGTAGAGAGAGGATTTCATCATGTTGGCCAGGCTGGTCTTGAACTCCTGACCTCAGTTGATTCCCCTGCCTCCGCCTCTTAAAGTGCTGGGATTGCAGGTGTGAGCCACCGTGCCTGGCCTGATTTAACAATTTTAATACAGGGATTCTTAGCAAATAAAATATCTCATCAAATTGTGAAGACACAGAGCTGATAGCTGAAAAATGATTCCTGGTTAAAATCTGATACTTTAGAAAATACTTGGAATGCTGCCTCCAATTTGGTGTAATTTCCAATATCAAAAACAAATGAATCTTATGTATTTGAGTCTGAACTTTTTTTTGGATAATATGAATATGAGTCTCATTTACACTCTGGCTAATCAGAAAGTATTTGTTTTTAATTAAAAATTATGTTTAAGCAGTGTAATCAATAAAAATTAAAACTTCAAGGCCGGGGGCGGTGGCTCACGCCTGTAATCCCAGCACTTTGGGAGGCCGAGGCGGGCGGATCACGAGGTCAGGAGATCGAGACCACGGTGAAACCCCGTCTCTACTAAAAATACAAAAAAAAAATTAGCTGGGCGCAGTGGCGGGTGCCTGTAGTCCCAGCTACTCGGGAGGCTGAGGCAGGAGAATGGCGTGAACCTGGAAGGCGGAGCTTGCAGTGAGCGGAGATCGCGCCACAGCACTCCCGCCTGGGCGACAGAACGAGACTCCGTCTCAAAAAAAAAAAACAAAAAACAAAAAAACAAAAAAAAACACTTCAAACCTTGCATCTGAATAAAGGCAGACTGTACCTCCCTTACTTATAACCTCCCTACTTAACACTAGTATAGCATTTTTCTTCCCATTGAGTATATTTCTAGTACTATATTTTTACAAAGTTTTCTCTTGCTGGGGAAAATAAAAGCTAAGATTAGTTTTTTATTGTACTTTATGGAATTGCATTACTTATAAACATTTCCTTTCATCATATGTACTCATACTCACAAAATAGCATTAAAAAAGCATTAAAGGCTGGGCATAGTGGCTCATGCCTGTAATACCAGTACTTTGGAAGGCTGAGGTGGGCAGATCACTTGAGCCCAAGCATTCAAGACCAGCTCGTCGTCTGTACTAAAAATACAAAAATTAGCCAGGTGTGGTGGTGCACACCTATAGTCCCAGCTACTCGGGAGGCTGAGGTGGGAGGATTGCTTGAGCCTGGGAAGTTGAGGCTATAGTGAGCCAAGATCACGCCACTGCACTCCAGCCTGGGTGACAGTGAAAGACCCTGTCTCAAAAAAAACCATTAAAGATACTATGCTGGCTGGGCACAGTGGCTCACACCTGTAATCCCAGCACTCTGGGAGGCCGAGGCAGGCAGATCACGAGGTCAGGAGATTGAGACCATCCTGGCTAGCACAGTGAAACTCCGTCTCTACTAAAGAAAAATACAAAAAATTAGCCGGGCGTGGTGGCGGATGCCTGTAGTCCCAGCTACTCGGGAGGCTGAGGCAGGAGAATGGCGTGAACCCTGGAGGCCAAGCTTGCAGTGAGCTGAGATAGCGCCACTGCACTCCAGCCTGGGTGACAGAGCGAGACTCCATCTCAAAAAAAAAAAAAAAAAAGAAACTATGCTATGTTTGGAAAAACAAGGAACTCTTTAGAGCAAGCCTGGCTGAGCAGCCTCCTATAGTAGGAAAGCTCGTTGTTACTTTTGCCGTTTGAAAAGTCACTTAACCTCTCTAATCATTATTGTGAAGGTCATTGCCTTTTTGGTGGCTCAGCCAAATATTGTTTTGAGAGTCTGGATGGGAGGCTGACTGACACTTTCTGTGACTTAGAGTCAGCTCTTAAGGAAATCTCAGGAGGGTGGTAGAAGTAGGGCCCTTTCCATTTTCAGATTTTTATCTGGTCTCTGGAGACCAGGTAACTGTCAAGTTGGTTTCAGTACCTCTTGAGTGGCAATTTTCGTCAGTCATCATTAGAGGTAGATATTGGATAGAATATATAATAACAGCAGTATGTAGGTAGAAAGTATGAGGAAAATATACATTGTTTTCCTCATCGACTTAATTATTAAGAAAACATGTTTTTCATTTGACAAAAAATCTTATTAGCTAACCTTCTTCATTAACCTTAGTCTTGGTTCTTTTGTGATCAACTGCAAATTTCTTTTATTTTTATTTTCCCCGAGACGGAGTTTCACTCTTGTTGCCCAGGCTGGAGTACAGTGGCGCAATCTCGGCTCACTGCGACCTCCCTCTGCCTCCCAGGTTCAGGCGATTCTCCTGCCTCAGCTTCCCAAGTAGCTGTGATTACAGGTGTGTGCCACCATGCCTGCTAATTATTGCATTTTTAGTAGAGACGGGGTTTCACCATGTTGGTCAGGCTGGCCTCGAACTCCTGACCTCAGGTGATCCACCTGCCCTGGCCTCCAAAGTGCTGGGATTACAGGCTTGAGCCACCACGCCTGGCCCACAAATTTTTTTATTGGCAGTTTTTGCTGAGATTATAGGTAGTGGGCAAACAATTGTTATTATGCTCACAGGCACTATAAACATTTTATTTCTACTTTTTACTTGTGTATGCTTATCATTGGAAGTAAATATAACAGACTTTGTCGTTCTCTTGAGTTAGTTAGCTTTGTTATGTTTTCATGGACATAATTAACCTCCCTTCTGTGCTTAAAAATGTTCGACCAGTTTTATGTTGTCGTCGTTTTGTTTTTTTTTTGAGATGGAGTCTCGCTCTGTCGCCCAGGCTGGAGTGCAGTGGCGTGATCTGGGCTCACTTCAGTCTCCGCCTCCTGGGTTCAAGTGATTCTCCTGCCTCAGCCTCCCAAGTAGCTGGGATTATAGGCGCGTGCCACTACACTTGGCTAATTTTTCGTATTTTTAGGAGAAACAGGGTTTCACCATGTTTCCCAGGCTGGTCTCAAAAACTTGACCTGAAGTGATCCACCAGCCTTGGCTTCCTGAGGTGCTGGGATTACAGGCATGAGCCACCGTGCCTGGCTGTTCAACCAGTTTTAGAAAAGATTTGGTAGGAAATTTCTTCATTGAGTCAACATGAATTTATTACCACTTCTGGGGAAAAAAATCACTACTTAGAATACATATCCTACAAATAATAGAGTAGTATTTTTGTATGTTAAGGACAAATACTTAAAAAATTTAGTTGTTGACTGAGCATGGTGGCTCACGCCTGTAATCCCAGCACTTTGGGAGGCAGAGGCAAGCAGATCCCAAGGTCACGAGTTTGAGACCAGCCCGGCCAATGAAACTCCGTCTCTACTAAAAATACAAAAATTAGCCAGACATGGTGGCGGGCATCTGTAGTCCCAGCTACTCCTGTTTGGGAGGCTGAGGCAGGCGAATCGATTGAACCTGGGAGGCGGAGGTTGCAGTGAGCTGAGATCATGCCACTGCACTCCAACCTGGGTGACAGTGAGACTCTGTCTCAAAAAAAAAAAAAAAGTTGGGTTGTTAATGGAAATTTAGGGGTTCAGTTCAGGATTTTATAAATCTGGCTGCATGTCAGATCACCCCAGAGATTCTGACTCAAAAGTCTAAAATAGGGTCCAATTCTCTTTTTAAAATAAATGCCCCAGGGTGATTTTTTTTTTTTTTTTTTTTTTTTTTGAGGCAGGGTCTCACTCTGTTTCCCAGGCTGAAATGTAGTGGCGCAGTCTTCGGCTCACTGCAGCCTCAACCTCCTGGGCTCAAGCAATCCTCCCACCTCAGCCTCCCAAGTAGCTGGGACCACAGGCATGCCTCACCATGCCCAGCTAATTTTAAAAATTTTTTGTAGAGACAGGGCCTCGCCTTTTTGCCCAGGCTCCTCTCGAGCACCTAGGCTCTAGCAGTCTTCCCACCTTGACCTCCCAAAGTGCTGGGATTACAGGCATGAGCCACCGTGCCCAGCCCCAGGGTAATTTTGTCACAGCTGGGCAAGTGTTAAGAAATGCCTTTCTTAATTTACTGTTAAAAATCTAAACATAGCACTGGGCAAAATAAAGTTGTAGGTATTTTCATAGTTACAAGGCTAAGCATGCATTTCAAGATCGTAAATGTCCATTCAAATCAAATTCTGTTTTGTTTCAAAAAGTTATGAAACAAAAAAGGGTAATCTTACTTTGTCCTTTTCATGTGATGAATTTGGAAGGGCCCTTTAAATTTATTATAATGGGATTTTATATGAAATTTGTTGCACCTTCATGAAATAATATTAAGTATAGAGACAAAGCTTCTAGAGAGAGGTTGTGTTTATTTTGCTTCCTTTTGATGTCACTTTTTACTCTGCTAGGCACCCTGTGAGCAGTTAGTAAATCTTCAGTAGTGATGGCCATGGACAAGCTTGAGATCCAGTTAATGGAGATTAACTAGGAGATTCCTATCTGGGAATGGCAAGACTGCAGTTGTGGGCACTGCCAGTCTCTTCCTTATTTATTCTGCTTGCAGATAGGCTCCTAATTAGAAGCTTCACTCCATTAAAGCAACACTTGTTATCATAAGTGTTTGCATCCATTGTGAATGCTCTCTTTTAAAACTTTGCATAATACAGTTGCTTGTTTTTTCCTGTGCTTTTTGTTCAATCAATACATGCTAGTAAGTGCTTATTTTTTTAAAGAATTTAATTTACATACAATGCTTTTTGACTAGTATGAAGTGCTCCTTTGTGTACAAGATCATGATGATCCAGCCATTGATGTATGTAAGAAGCTTCTTGGAAAATATCCAAATGTTGATGCTAGATTGTTTATAGGTAAGTAACAAATTCTGTAGTAACCATTTTCCATTGATAGTATTAAGTATCAGTAATCTCTGCATTGAACTGAAGATTAAGGTGTTAGCCATGTTTGTTTTAAACATGTTTGTTGGAGTACTGAGAGGTGTTTACGTCCTTTTGAGAAAAGTTATAAAAACAAAGGTTTTTTTTTTTCATATCTGAGATGAACAAAATCACACACAAAATAATATTTTTCCCATTAATCAGACATGAGGGTCTGTTATTTTTTGTTTCTTCAATATTTTAAATGTGTGGCCTTTTCTGTATCTTACTGACTATAATTGGAGTGAATGATAGAATTCACTTTTATTACATTACAAGAAGGGTATTTTTCCAAAAGCCTACAGGCTTATTTGAAAGACTTGTAGAGGTGTGTTTGCCATTAGTGTTTTTTTTTTTTTAACATAGAGCTGATGTGGTCTCTCTAAAAAACCAGTAAGTCGTATAAAATGATATCAGATCTTTGCTATTTGAAGATCGGGCAATGATTTAAATTTTTTATTAGCTTAAAATGCAAATTTGAAAATTAATATAAGTGTAGCATGCCTACGAATTAATCAGGACCATTACAAATCTATCAGCTCATGGTCAGAGATGCTCATTCTTCACATGTGCTATCTTAAATTATTTACTGTCATATATTTATGGGGTTTTTTTGGTTTTTTTTTTCTTTGATACGAATTTTTTGCTCTTATCACCCGGGCTGGAGTGCAATGGCACAATTTCAGCTCAGTGCAACCCCTTCCACCTGGGTTCAAGCAATTCTCCTGCTTCAGCCTCCTGAGCAGCTGGGATCACAGGCGTGCATCACCACGCCCAGCTAATTTTTTTGTATTTTTAGCAGAGACAGGGTTTCACCACGTCAGGCTGGTCTCGAACTGCTGACCTCAGGTGATCCACCTGCCTCGGCCTCCCAAAGTGCTGGGATTATAGCCTCCCCAGTAGCTGGGATTACAGTCAGGCACCACCACGCTCAGCTAATTTTTTTGTATTTTTAATAGAGATGGGGTTTCGCCATGTCATACTGGTCTCGAAGTCCTGACCTCAGGTGATCCACCCCCCTCGACCTCCCAAAGTGCTGGGATTACAGGCGTGAGCCCATGGTGCCTGGCCATGTGTGTTTACATTTAATAAACCTTTATTAAATATAATCTTACTGTATTTATGAATTTATACTGTTTTAATTATAGCTTCAAAATAACGCCTGTAGCTTTTTCCCTTAGGATTATTTTTTAAATTGACAAATAAAATTTGTATATATTTTTGGTGTACAGCACGATGTTTTGAAATATATATATATGTACACATTGTGGAATAGCTAAATTAAGTTAATTAACATATGCATTACCACACATATTTATTCATGGTGGGAAATCTCTCTTAGCAGTTTTCAAGTAAACAACATGTTGTTATATACTTTCTCATGTACTTATACTTTATTTGTGGTGAGAAATCTACTCTTAGTCATTTTCAAGTATACCATACATTGTTGTTACCTATAGTTGCCATGTTGTACAATTGCCATTAAATATTGACTCATACTTAACTACTAAGGCAAGGACTTAAGAATTAGAAAAAGTGAAACAGTGAATTTTCAAAGATAAATGATACAGTTTTCCTTTTGAGAATGGACAGTTTTTTCCTAAATATATTATTATGAATAATAGAGAATGTTAAATAATATGAAAGTATGTTTAATTATTAAATATGCAAGTATTCTCATTTCTATCATGTATCTTTATACTATAAAATATTTTTAATGTTGCATAAATCTTTTACTACTGTACCTTTACATTTTTAGGTGGCAAAAAAGTTGGCATTAATCCTAAAATTAATAATTTAATGCCAGGATATGAAGTTGCAAAGTATGATCTTATATGGATTTGTGATAGTGGAATAAGAGGTGAGGTTTTTTTCTTATTTATTTTATAAAACTATTAATTTGAAGATAAAATGCTAAAAGCAATCTCAGATACATTCATGAGTTCTTTTTATTTGCCTAAAAGAGTAATTTATTTCATCATCATTTCATGGTAATATGTCCAGTTATGCTTACTAAGATTTTGATTTTTTTAATCCTAAACTAGAATGTTACATGTATTAAAATGTTTTCATTTTGAAGAGAAAATTTCAACCATTAAATTAAAAATGGTTGTGGTTCATTATATAATCTGCAAGCTTTCCCATGGGTGTAACTTTTCCCTTGTTTGCCTGACACTTATCTTTAATGTGTTTCGGCTTGCGTAATACACCGTCTCACAAAGGGACAGAAATTAATAGGTGCATATTTTACTAAAACACATACACTTATCGGACTATACACATGACTTTTTACTTAAATGATTTTAGCAAGAAGCCTTTCATATACTGAAATTATAACTTGCATTTTCGAACACTCATAATAGTTTCAGTGTTCTATAATATTTTCTTATATTCTAATTGCCTTAAGCTTCTCAACCCCAATACTGTTCACATTTTAGGCTTTGTTGTGGGAGCTGTCTTGTAGGATGTTTAGCAGCATGCCTGGTCTCTACCATGAGATGCCAGTAGTACCCCCTTCTCAGTAGTAAAAGCAAAAATATCTTCAGATGTTGCCGGATGTCCCCTGTGGGGCAGAATTGCCCCCAGTTGAGAAGCACTGACCTAGAATGAGTATTTAAGGTCCAAATACAACTTTTCTTTATACGGTAGATTTAGTTCTTAAAGACTTGGAGGAAATGAAAAATAAGGTCATGTAAAAATGATATGAGATGTTTGCTAAAGATTGGGCAATAATTTAAATTTTTTATTAGCTTAAAATGCAAATTAGAAAATGAACATAAATGTTGCACTCCTATGAGTTAATCAAGACCATTACAGATCTATCAGCTGGTCAGAGATGATGTTCATTCTTCATATTTGCTATCTTAAATTATTTACTATCATATGTTTTTCAGTGTACAGATCTCTGTTCAATATAATCACGTTCCATTCCTGTGTGGAAATCTGATACTCACAGAGAAAATAGTCTCATTTCCTATGGTTGGAGAGTAGAGAAGCCAGCACGAGAACTGAGGTCCTTTAGCCTCTGCTCCTGAGCCTTTTCCACTAGGACAGATTGTCCTTATTCCAAATTAGAAGTTCCAACAGGGGGTAACTTTTTCAAAGTATATTCTGCCTCTGGTACATAGTAGGTATATACTGGGCTAAAAAATGTATAAATTAGCTTTCGAGAATTAGGCCCTTTTGAAATTTTGTATTCTCCTCAGAAAGGTGGTTGAGATTCATTTTATTAGATCCATATGTTTAAAATAATGTATTTTATTAAGAATGTAATAACAATTCACAAAATATATTTTATATTAATGGGCATTCTACTAAAAACAAATTTTCTTTTCTCCCCCTCTCTGCCTTTTTTTTAAATTGTAGTAATTCCAGATACGCTTACTGACATGGTGAATCAAATGACAGAAAAAGTAGGCTTGGTTCACGGGCTGCCTTACGTAGCAGACAGACAGGGCTTTGCTGCCACCTTAGAGCAGGTGAGTATGGTGGTTATAAATCATGTTCATAGTATCAGACCCCTCATTTCCCAGAAGCTTGAGACTATGGGAGCTGGAATTAGGTATCTCAAGTTAACTGTATTAAGTCCATTTGGGAACCTGCTGTGTTCTAGAAGCCCTGAGTTGAGAGCAGCTGTTTTCATTAGTGAGGAAATTCTTGGGACCCTGACTGTACCCTGGCAGTGAACAGCTGTGCGCAGGAAATGCCTGCGGTCTTATTGCCAGCTGAACACAGTCTAACCTCTTGCCTTGTAGTATTCACTTCCTGTTCTAGAGTTCAGTTCTTTATATTGTTCTTTCAAACATTCGATCTGAAAAGAACCGCTGGCCCCCTCCCCCCAGCCTTTTTTTTTTTTTTTTTTTTTTTTTTTTTGCGACAGAGCCTTGCTCTGTTGCCCAGGCTGGAGTGCAGTGGCACGATCTCGGCTCACTGCAACCTCCACTTCCCAGGTTCAAACGATTCTTCTGCCTCAGCCTCCCAAGTAGCTGGGATTTCAGGTGTGCTACCACACCTGGCTAACTTTTGTATTTTTAGTAGAAATGGGGTTTCACCGTGTTGGCCAGGCCGGCCTCAAACTCCTGACCTCAAGTGATCTGCCTGCCTCAGCCTCCCAAAGTGCTGGGATTACGGGCATGAGCCACTGCGCCCAGCCCTCAAAAGAACCTTTTTAAAATACCACAAAGTATTTCAAATATACACAAAAGAAAATGTATTCATACAAGTCCTTATAAAACCTATTTGATGTCCTTTTAAAACATATTTCTAATAATTACCTGAGAAACTTATGTTTTCATTTTATTTTTTCTCCAACTTAGAAATAGTAACATCCATAGGAAACTATAAATAATGGAAAAGTATAAGATGCAAAAAAACAAAAACCAACAACCTAGAACCCTAACAATTACAGGAAGTTTATGGGGTTTTTTTGTTTTTTTTGTTTTGTTTTTTTTTTAGATGGAGTCTCGCTCTGTCGCCCAGGCTGGAGTGCAGTGGCGCGATCTCGGCTCACTGCAAGCTCCGCCTCCCGGGTTCACGCCATTCTCCTGCCTCAGCCTCCTGAGTAGCTGGGACTACAGGTGCCCGCCACCATGCCTGGCTAATTTTTTGTATTTTTGATAGAGACAGGTTTTCACCGTGTTAGCCAGGATGGTCTCGATCTCCTGACCTCGTGATCCACCCTCCTCTGCCTCCCAAAGTGCTGGGATTACAGGCGTGAGCCACCACGCCCGGCAGGAAGTTTCTGGTTTTAAAAATAAACATTGTATCATTTGGACACTTTGGAGTCTTTATTTCCCCCACCACCCCCTTCTGGGCCCTTTAGAAAACATTGTTGAGATAGTATTCTAAAAATAATCTGTATCTTATTTTTGTGACTTTGTAAGCTTTTCCCATATCATTAATAGCTTTTCATAAAAGTAATTTTTATTGGCTGTATCATAGGCCATCGTATGTGTGTCCTATGCTTGAGTTAATCATTCCTGTACTGTTAAACATTTGGGAGGAAAAATTTGTTGTAATGTTATAAGGACAGATATGTGATTTCAGTCTTTAAATATGTCAACTTGCTCTTAAGCATATCTGCATTTATATTCTTTTGAATTGCAGTCTTATGATTGCCACATATCTGAAGGGGTAAAGGTACATTGTGGGAACTTGCATCTGGCCTTTGGCAGTTTGAACCATGAGCTCTTTCTTAATATTGGCTGTAAATATATTTGTCCTACTGCAAGAAATTGTTAGTCTTAAATACCAGAATTTTTGTTTAGAAAAAGAA
This sequence comes from Homo sapiens, assembly GCF_000001405.40. Classification (NCBI taxonomy): domain Eukaryota; kingdom Metazoa; phylum Chordata; class Mammalia; order Primates; family Hominidae; genus Homo; species Homo sapiens. The sequence goes on from NC_000009.12 coordinate 111,928,293, forward strand.
ACTGAGTAGCCACTTTAAAATAAAATACAATGTGTTCTAGTATACCAAATTGTATTTTTGTCTTAGAAATATCCAAATTGATACAGATGTCAATAACATCTCTGTGATGTGTATGTCAATAAACATCTCCCAGAATACACCCATTGCCTTAGTGTAGGTTTAATCTCTGGAAGTCACTCTGCCATACTTAGAATTAATCATTCTCAACTGTAAAGAGCACATTCAGCTCAGTGACTAACATCTCATTCCTAAGACCTCAATAACTACTAAGGAATTAAGATATGTGCCTCTGTTCTTAGAAGTCAGGTTCAGTTCAGTCCCACAAACACTAGGGCTTCACTGGAGTCTGGGTTCAGGGTAGGTAGCAAGAATCATAATCATAATTGCCCCTTAGAATTCTCTTGCTCTGCACTGTGTGTGTAACTCCTAAGAAAGATGACTACTCTTTATTTCAGGCTAATTAGAAAAGGCAACATATCTGAGGTGTAAATAATAAATAGGATTTTATGTCTACTAAGTAGGGTAATAACAGTCCTTTTCTACCATTGATTTATCAGCGTATATATCTTATGACTTCAGAGTATATGCAGAGAAATGGCAGTAGCGGATGAGAGAATTTTAGTATCCCCGTTATGAAAAATACATTGAAAAAAATGGAGAAATTGGGAAGAATCTTAGTGACTAAGGGAGAGGGAGCAGCTAGCTACAAAAGGATGCAAGAAAAGGAATTAAGAAATAGGATTGTGTCCCCTCCCCACCCCCCACCCCCCAAAAAAATAGGATTGTCCCGAAGGTTGATATACCTATGGGTGGTGTGTGTATGCATGCATGTATATATACACACATATACGTAACATACAAATATGTATATTGATCCCAGTAAAGTAGATGTGTGTGTATATTTACATGAACACCCTAAAAACAAGATACATTGAATATTTGTTAATATTTTATATATCAATGAGTGATATTTTTACCTTATTTTGTATCTAAATTAAGTTTTATTTGGATGCATTTTTAGCTTACTAACTGTGCTTGCTCTATGAAAGCAATATTGTCTACCACTTTTTATTCAGGTAGTCTACGTAAGAATAATAAGATATTCACTCAATCATACTTATAAAAAAACCATTGGGAAAAACAGTTCGTGAACACCATGCTTTTAACATGAAATTCTAATCATACACGTTTGTGGTTTTTTGGGCAGGTATATTTTGGAACTTCACATCCAAGATACTATATCTCTGCCAATGTAACTGGTTTCAAATGTGTGACAGGAATGTCTTGTTTAATGAGAAAAGATGTGTTGGATCAAGCAGGAGGACTTATAGCTTTTGCTCAGTACATTGCCGAAGATTACTTTATGGCCAAAGCGATAGCTGACCGGTAAGACAACTAAATGAAGCCATAGTATTTTTATTACCTAACTTCTGTTGGTTTATTCTTTTTGTTCAACCTATAGATTAGGGCTTTTTAATTTAATTTTATTTTTTTTGCTAGTAAGTACAGAATAGGTCAATAATTTTATTATTTTGTTTGTTTTTGAGACAGAGTCTTGCTCTGTCACCTAGGCTGGAGTGCAGTGGCGCGATCTTGGCTCACTGTAGCCTCTGCCTCCCGGGTTCAGGTGATTCTCATGCCTCAGCCACCAGAGCACCTGGGACTACAGGCATGTACCACCATGCACACTAATTTTTGTATTTTTAGTAGAGATGGGGTTTCTTCATGTTGGCCAGGCTGGTCTTGAACTCCTGAACTCAAGTGATCTGCCCACCTCGGCCTCCTAAAGTGCTGGGATTACAGGTATGAGCCACCACACCCAGCAGATCAATAATTTTATAGAGTAATTCATATTCTAATTATAGAATTGTAGATATGTACTAATGAAGAAGGTAAATGTTCTGATTCCTCTACATTTTTCAAATTAATGTGTTTTAAAGCGATTAAAAGTAAGTTTCTCTGTGTTTAGAATTTTTACTATATAGATACAAATTTCTGTGTTTTAGAAGAATTAAAACTATCAGTGCAGTCATAAACTAGTAGGTGAAAATTTAAAGACTATCATTTCAAAATTTGAAATTTGTCAGTGAATTATATGATACTTTGCTAAGAAGCCACTGAAAGATTCATATGACTGACTTAGCATTTCTCTATCACAAAATACTTGTTTTGTTTTGGTTTTTTTTTTTTTTTTTGAGACAGTCTCGCCCTGACATCCAGGCTGGAGTGCAGTGGCGCAATCTCGGCTCACTGCAGTCTCCGCCTCCTGGGTTCAAACGATTCTCCTGCCTCAGCCTCCCAAGTAGCTGGGATTATAGGCACCCGCCGCCACACTCAGCTACTTTTTTTTGTATGTTAGTAGAGGCGGGGTTTCACCATGTTGGCCAGGCTAGTCTTGAACTCCTGACCTCGTGATCCGCCCGCCTCAGCCTCCCAAAGTGCTGGGATTACAGGCATGAGCCACTGCATCCAGCCTAAAATACTTGTTTTTAAAGGAGATCACTGCCTTGTGTGAGAATTCTTTTAAATTTTTTAAAAACTGAAGTGTGTTTTAAATACAAATTCTGTCATGATTGTGTTCATGTGGTTCATGGTTTCCTAGTGTCTCCCATGAGATCCATAATGCCACTTTCTGTTTACATGTCTTGTTGTTTGGTTAGTAGTCATCAGAGACTAATCTATTAAATATGGAGCCCTCTCCATTTTTTTTCAAAATGACTGCATTTTAAGTTTCTTAAATTGTAAAGTAAGGTGGGTACAGTTTCTTCTAGTTCTTAGATGGTGCTGTCACGGGCCAGCATAATTGCTAAAACATCCATACGTATGGTAGACCTTAAGTCATGTGCTAATCATGAAAGCTGGGCTCACCCTGAATACCGGCAGTTGCCTGGTCTTTATAATGATTACTGAATGCATAACCAGTTACGCTTGCATGTGTTCATCATCATAACTTATTTTCTAATTATCTTAATTTTCAGAGGTTGGAGGTTTGCAATGTCCACTCAAGTTGCAATGCAAAACTCTGGCTCATATTCAATTTCTCAGTTTCAATCCAGAATGATCAGGTAAATCAACTGTTTTCTTTTTATACTTCGTTAAAAGGAAAGTGGGGAGGGGGGTGGTAATTTTTACAGGTTTAATGTAGTTAAATGAATGTACCTAAAGGTTGAAGATTTTTGTTTAGTTGCAGAAAATAGAGTTTAACGTCTGTGTTTAAGATAAATTTAATGTCTAAATGTATTTTATTTGCTGTATAACACTGAAAGCACTCATTAGAGAAATGTTGAGACTGAATTTTTTAATATGCTGATCTTTATTTTCTAACTTTCTGTGCTGATTAAATTTTATTATCTGTATTCATCAGAGCGTAGGCCATACAAATGAATTTAAAGACATTTTTCTTTGACATCCTAGACAAAAATAGAAAAGAGAGTCATTAAAAAAAATTTTTAGGTTGTGTGTGGTGGCTCACACCTGTAATCCCAGCGCTTTGGGAGGCCAAGGCGAGAGGACTGCTTGAGCCCAGGAGTTTGAGACCAGCCTGGGCAAAATGGTGAAACCCTGTCTCTACAAAAAATGCAAAAATTAGCCAGGTGTGGTGGCGTGTACACCTGTGGTCCCAGCTACTTGGTGGGATGAGGTGGGAAGATCGCTTGAGCCTGGGAGATTGAAGCTACAGTGAGTGCCACTGCACTCCAGCCTGGGTGACAGAGCAGAACCCCGTCTCAAGTAAAAAAAAAAAAACAAAACAAAAAAAGTTTAAAGAGAATGGTCTTTCTATCACAGGGTAAAAAAATTGATTATTTGAGGGAAAAAAAAAAGGATTTGTCTTGTAGCCAGGATATTGTTTTAAAGAAAATCCTTTTTGTTTTTCCAGGTGGACCAAACTACGAATTAACATGCTTCCTGCTACAATAATTTGTGAGCCAATTTCAGAATGCTTTGTTGCCAGTTTAATTATTGGATGGGCAGCCCACCATGTGTTCAGATGGGATATTATGGTATTTTTCATGTGTCATTGCCTGGCATGGTTTATATTTGACTACATTCAACTCAGGGGTGTCCAGGTATGTGGATAGGCATGAAAAGGTTGGCAGTCCCTTGGTGGAACTAGAACTATTTCAATTTAGAAAAAGTTGAAGGAAATGTATCTGAGCCATTCTTCAGCTTCCCATTGTAGGTTAGTCTCGGGTTTGAACATGACTTTCTCTAGTGGAATGTTGATGCAAAACTTAAGTCGATTTGCAACTTTCTATTGGTTATATAATCGCTTTTATTAAGTTTCCAAAAACATGAAGTTAATTAAATCAGTGAGTATTGAAACTAATAAGACATTAAGATAGCAGTTATTTTAATGCTTCATTAACAATTAGCATTTTCTTGAACGGTATAACATGGCAGTTAAATTACATAAGGAAGCAGACTTGATTTTACATAGTATACTTAGAAAAGTGAAATCCAAGAATTTAATTTTTTAACCTTGTCTTTAGTTTGACAGTGAGTGAAATTAAAAAATTTTTTTTTCCATTCCTAGGGTGGCACACTGTGTTTTTCAAAACTTGATTATGCAGTCGCCTGGTTCATCCGCGAATCCATGACAATATACATTTTTTTGTCTGCATTATGGGACCCAACTATAAGCTGGAGAACTGGTCGCTACAGATTACGCTGTGGGGGTACAGCAGAGGAAATCCTAGATGTATAACTACAGCTTTGTGACTGTATATAAAGGAAAAAAGAGAAGTATTATAAATTATGTTTATATAAATGCTTTTAAAAATCTACCTTCTGTAGTTTTATCACATGTATGTTTTGGTATCTGTTCTTTAATTTATTTTTGCATGGCACTTGCATCTGTGAAAAAAAAAAAAAACACATCTGTAGTCTTGGCCAAATGATACACTTTATTTTGTGGAAGTAGAGAATCAAGAGAATTGGTTCTAGGAACCTGGGTTCGTTCATCATTGTTGTTTATTTTTTTAAAATAAATAAATAAATATATATATAGATGCTCTGCAACAAACTCTGTGACAGTATCCTTCAGTAGAGAAAGTTTCTTACTTGTGAGTACACTCTTTTAGAACATTTACGGGTGGCAGCAGCTTTGCTTTAGAGTTTAGAAGATAATAGAAGGAATGACTATTCATGTCCAAAGTGAATGGTTTTGTGCAGTGAACAACACATGGCGAGGTACTAACTGAGAAACTTTTTCATGCTTTATGCCTACCTCTTGTAGTTGTTGCAGAGCAAATATAAATTGTAATAAGATAGCTAGGCCTTGCAGAAACAAACAGAAAAACTTAAAAAAAAATGATATAAGAGCTGGAGTCTAGTATTTATATGAATCTGTGAGAGATAATTTTTTTGGTCTCACTGCAATGAACCAAAAGCGGCTGAGTTTGGTTTTTAATTGTAGCCATGTATTGAAGGCATCTTTTTGACCAACTCTTGTTGGTTCTGTCTTGAACCATTGTTAATCACTGTGCTGTAATTAGTATAGCTAAATCTTTTCCTTCCTTGCTCCTCCCCCAGCCCACCCCGTCTTCCCTTAACATTTTTTCAGGGGGGGTTGGGAGTGGTTTCATTTTAGTGTGAGTGGATGTTTTGATAGTTGTAAGGAAAAAATGCATTTCAGACACATTTCACACATGAGCTATTTTCTTACACAGTATGTCTTATTGTTAATAAGAATGTAATTTCATGATACAAGTATTTAATACCTTTTTTAAGTCAGTAAATATTCTAGCCATCAATAAATTGCAGTAGAGTATTAAGAGGGGACAGGATGAGTTTACTCTTAAAATTAATCAGTATCAAACTAAGTCTACTGTGTGTGTTTTTTTTTTTTGTTTTTTGTTTTTGTTTGTTTACTATTATAGTAAGTCTAGTCTTATTTAAATTGGATTTTTGTATTCAAGTTTATATGACAAAATAGACTAGATCAGCGCTGGTTGTAAATGCATGCTGTACCTCACTGTTTTCTCCCCATCATGCCGCTAAACTTGCTCGCCAGGTTGTGCTTAACTTGTGGTGAACTGGACTTGATTCTGTTTTGTTTTGTTTTTTTAAAAAAAAAAAACAAAAATGTAAGGGACAGTGCATAAGCCTTTTCTTTGTTAAGTAGTGGTGTTTTGCTTTTTCTTCAGGATTGGATGGCATGTTGTCCACAGGAATGCCTACTGCAGGGCTAACACTGGCAATATGGCAGCTTTAAATTCTGAGTTACTACAGTCTCCATGTCAAAGCATAATGTGTAGCATATCAGCAATAACTACATATTTATAGAAAACACTTTTTCACTTTACTGAGCCAATTCATTTAATTGTCAAATGTCTATATCCATGGTTTAAATGGCAACATATCTATAAGTATGTATACACATTATATTTAAGCTTTTCTCTGGGCCAAACTGCTTCATCCTTTTTTCTTTCTTTTTTTTTTTTTTTAGCCTTATGATGAATTTGTTTGAAGGGCATTTTCTTTATGAACAAAGGCTTGGATGCATATTCCTTTCTTTCTGTGAATGGGTATTATTCCCTGAGGAAAGTTGCACAGTGAAAACCAGTCTGGTTGTGACCCACTACATGTTTTGTTTTTAATCACTATTACCTGAGTTGAACTTTGCTCACCATGTTTGTACTTGTTGGTCTGTTTAATGAAGTTTGGTTGATGCCATCCTTTGCACTGCCGAAGCGTAATCTTGTGTATTACTTAGCTCTCTGCTGATCTCAGTATGGACAGTGTAACAACAAAACCAAAATGGCTGGACAGACTTCTTGTGTTTTGTAAATATAAACTAGGACAGTTCTGTAGGTTTGTTCAGTGTGCTAGTGGAGTATTTCCTTAATGTAAAACTTCACTTAACAGAGAGATTCTTTGTTTAGCAAGCTTGGAGTGATGATAAAATGGTAAGAAATAATATAAATGTTGAAGAAAGCATCACAACAGAACTATAGGAGTCTAAATTTAATAAATCTTTAAAAAAAACCAGTGTCTAGAATATATACCATGTTTTATTATTTAAAATCATTGTCTTAAATTTTTGTTCAAAAAATAAAAATTTGAATACAATCAAAACGTTAGCAATAGTGTATTTTTTGTTCTTCTGTATTTTTATAAGTAGCATGTTCCACCATTCACATCAGAATTATTAGAAGAGTTCTGTCAAGTATTCCTTTTGAAATCTTCCTTTTACCTGAGCCATAGGTAAAATAAATAAGGACATAGGCAGTCCTGTGACTTAAGTATGGCTTTTCTACATTGGTTGCCTGTTAAAATCACCTGGAGAACTTGTAAAAAAAAAAAAAAATACACAACACACACCCTGGGCCCTGTACACAACACACACACACACCCTGGGCCCTGTACACAACACACACACACACCCTGGGCCCTGCCCACATAGATTTTGGTGTAATTATTTTGGGTGAGGCCTGAGCTCTTCTACCCGTGATTCTACTGTGAGAATGACTGGCTCGTAATGACCTTTAGAAAAGAGCCAGTGGTCCTTTGGGCCCCTCTCCCCCCGGGCTCACAGCTTGAACTCAGCCTTTTAGATCTTACCACTCTAATGGCTAGAAAATGTAAATCCAAAGGAAGGAATGGAGTGGCATTATTACTTGAGACCCAGATGGGAGATGCACCTTACATACTTTCCAAGGCCAGGTCCCTCCCAAGCTGGAAGCCTTTACAGGCCTGTTTTACCACCATCCCATGAGAAAAGAATGTTCTTAACTGGAGAACAAATCCGGGGTAGAAAGAATCCGCTCTCAGCTGATATTTTTGTCTCTCCGTAGTTCCTGTGTTGAAACCTAATGCCCAATGTGAGGAGGGTCTTTCAAGGTGAGGCCTTTGGTAGGTGATCAGAGCCGTCAGGATGGGATTGATGCTTATAAAGGAAACCCCAGAGAGCTTTCTTGCCTCTTCCGCCATGTGAGGATACGGCAAAAAGGTGACCAGCTATGAACCAGAAAGTCAGCTTTTACTAGCCACTAAATCTGCCAGGGCCTTGATCTTAAACATTCCAGCCTCCAAAACTGAGAAAGTTTTGTTGTTTATAACCCACCCAGTCTATGGTATTCTGTTATCGGAGCCGTAAGACACAGTCTAAAAGGGATCTGGCCCAGTAAACAAACATTCCTTCTCATTTGTGTACTTCTAACCCTACAGTTTAAGAAATGATCAACACAAAGTTGAGTATGTCTTAGAATTTCATAGCTAGGTGGATCTTGAGGATCCCTCACCCTTATTTTAGAATGAAGAAGCTGAGACACCCACGGTGAGAGCTGTGATCATAGGGTTAGGTAGGCATGGTGCTGGTGGCAGAGCTGGGAGTAGCCCCTCTATCTGGTCCCAGTGTGGTATATTTCTCCGCTGGACCACATTTAAATTTATGCTTACACTGGCTTGAAAATTTACCTAGACCTTAAGGGGGAAAAATATCACAGTTTTAATAACCATCTGTATCCTAACTCAAAAATTGTTCTAGAGAACCAGATTCAAACCTGTAGAACAAGAATGTAAATTACTATAAAGCTCATTTAAAGTGAAATGCTTTACATACATGATTGATAAGATTGATGCATACCACAAGACTGTGTTCATGAGAATGGAAATAGTTCAGACCTTTCCTTCTGAAGTTTATCAGGATCTAGTGCTTGAGTTATTTATTTATTCATTTCAAGTTATAGTTTACGACCATATCAAGTTCATTTCGGTGAAAAGAAAGCAAACCGCAAAATGGTGAGTACCTGTCTCTGCAGAGCTGCAAGGATATGTGTTTAGTTGGGTAATTTGCTTTAAAAATATTGATACCTAGAAAAAAGTTTAAAATCACTATCCTAGTATTTTCTAAAAACAAAAATACATATCTTTAAGAGATCCCTAAGCAGCTAGTTTCCTAAGAACCAAAATGTGCTAAGCCTTTCACATGGCCCCTCCTCAGTTCCGAGAGAAATTGGCAGAGACTGTGGGTGTCTGGAATGGTTTCATGTGGTTGTGCTGTTTAGACTAATCATCATTAAGACATCCATGCTAATAGCATGGACTTGTAATTATCTAATTTAAGCAATTTAGGGATATCATTTATTCTTCTACAGGACTGAGAGTATCTGCACCCCTCCTCTGCTGCCTGCACACCCCATTGCGGTCATGCCACCTTTGTTTCCCAACCCTTGTCACCAGATGTGAAACCTCTATCATTTCCCCTCATGACTGACGGACACCAGGCCAGCCTAAGGAACATGCTGGAGAAATCCAGCAGACTATTTATTGTGCAGCTCTGGAGCAGGGGAAAGGAATGGGTTAGAAGTGGTGACTTGGGAGTAATTTCCCTAGAGGTGATGGCTGAGACAGTGACTATAACTAAAGTCAAAGTGCCATTTAGAGAGACAATGGAAGAAAAACATCTAGGAAAAGAGGCTGCCAAACCTGGGGTCCAAATGGGCTTTTTGGTAGCTATGGGACTTTAGGAAGCTTCCTTCATCTTTCTGAGCCAAGCTTTCTTAACCATGTAGAATGGAGATACTAAAGCACCTGAGGTGGTAGAGATGATTCGATGAGGTCATGTACATGAGCATAGGGACAGTTAGTGCCTTTTTCCTCCCAAAGAAGAAAGAAATAGTAAAAGGAGTGCCACAGTAGCCTTGGAAAGAGAGATTTCAAGAAGGAAGTGGTCACGGGAGGGGCCGTTGACCGTAAAGGATGAGAAGAGGCTGGTGAACTCTGGGGCAGGAAACTCCCTGTAGAGTTGCCAGCGTGGGTCTCCGCCATAGTGAATTGTCTCAGACGTTGATAGATGAAGTGTCTGCGTGGGAGTAATACAGCTTCTTTATGAACGATTTTTCTTGTTTTACACAGTGATATATTTTCTACAGTGAGAGACAAAGGGGTGGGACTTTCAAAGACAGAAATTGCTCCTGACCCTGAGAGCACCCATATGACTCTGATGCCAAGGAAACAGTTTAAGAAAGGCAGCTCCCAGGAAGCCAGTTCATCAGAGTGGAAGAAGCAGAAGTCAGATGCTTTAGGTTTGGCTGCGTGTGAAAAAGACATGAAAGCGATGGGCACAGATATTTGGAAACTGCAACAACGATGCATTTCCACCCAAGGTCCCAGTAATACTAAGCCAAAAAACTAAGCCTGACTTGAATTTGTGAGAAATGTCCTAAGAAGTTGGGTCATTAAGAGACGATGAAGGGGAATTGTCCATCCCCATCTTCCAGTCTCCTGACTTTATCCTAGACTGTCTCCCAACAGCATAATCGGCATCCCGGAAGCAGCTGTGGGCACCCTAGCCCTGCCCACAGTCTGCCCTTTTTCATTTTGTTCTGATTCGCTTATTTTTGGTTATATTGCTTGTTTTACTTCCTGCTTTGTCTCTACATTGACTTGGAGCTTGACTTCTGACTTCAGCTTCTTCCTCTGACCCCATGTTCCTCAGCCTTACTCCAAGCCCAGGAAAAGGTGGTCCTTAATTTTCTATTCTCATTTCACATCACCATCTCTCCAGCCTGAGCTCTCCACCCCCAACCCAATGGCTCACTCTCACCAGCCGACCCTTTTCCGTGTGGAACCAGAGCTTCCTTGCTCCCATGCTGTTTCCTTGCCCTGAAAGTTTCTCTCCCTTCATCCTCACTTTCCCTGTCTATGGGGATACTCTCCTTCTTTATTGTTGGTTTTTTTGTTTTATTGTTTTTTGAGACAGAGTGTCACTCTGTCACCCACCTGGAGTGCAGTGGCGCAATCTCTGCTCACTGCAGCCTCCACCTCCTGTGTTCAAGCGATTCTTGTGCCTCCGACTCCTGAGTAGCTGGGATTACAGGCGTGCACCACTACATCCAGCTAATTTTTGTATTTTTAAGGGGTTTCACCATGTTAGCCAGGCTGGTCTCAAACTCCTGTCCTCAAGTGATTCGCTTGCCTCGGCCTCCCAAAGTGCTGGGATTACAGGCGTGAACCACCGCACCTGGTCAACATACTCTCCTTTAAACCTCAACTCACATTCAATTCAGGACCTTTCCAGAGTTGTGTGTGCCCACATTTTGTCCCTTTCATTTTGTCAGGCATTTCACTTACGTGTCTGCAGGTCATTTCCAGTTTTCAGGGGCCTGGACTTTGCATATCTTAGTAGTCCTTTTTTGTGCTTTTTTCTCTTTGTACCCTTCCCTCCAGTGCATTCATGTAATAGTCACTCGGGAAAGGTCTATTGTTGACAGTCAAGCCAGAATCAAAACATTAATTCTGGCACATATGTCATTTAATACCTTTCCACCCTCTCATTGTGTTAGTAAGGTGTTTGCTATTTCATGCTCCCAACCCCCCCACCCTCACCCTACTAAAACAAAAGATTTCTCTACACATGAGTAAAATACTAAAATTTTATTTTCCCCTTCTAGAATCTTCTAGTTCTGGTTTTGGGTTTTTGTTGTTGTTTTTGTTTGCTTTTTGTTTTTTGAGACAGAACCTGCCTCTGTCGCCCAGGCTGGAGTGCAGTGATGTGATCTTGGCTCACTGCAACCTCCGCCTACCGGGTTCAAGCGATTCTCCTGCCTCAGCCTCCTGAGTAGCTGGGATTACAGGTGCACATCACCACGCTTGGCTAATTTTTGTATTTTTAGTAGAGACGGGGATCACCATGTTGGTCAGGCTGGTCTCGAACTCGTGATCTTGTGATCCGCCCTCCTCGGCCTCCCAAAGTGCTGGGATTACAGGCCTAAGCCCCTGCGCCCGGCCTGTTTTTTTCCTTAAACTTTGAGAAGCTAGCAGTTTTTGGAAGGAATCAAGAGGTGACCCTGTCAAGTCTATCTTATCAACATCCTACAAGCCCATTGATTCTTGTTGTGTTTTATTTTCTTTAAGTTACACATTGGTTTTGGATCATAAAAATAGTACATATTTACTATAAACCTGAAACATAAGAAATGAACAAAAGCCCTTCTAGGTAGATACTCAAGAGAACTGGAAACAAAACGTCCACATAAAAACTTGAATGTTCATAGCAGCATTATTCATAATAGCCAAAAGGTGGAAACAACCCAAATGTCCATCAACTGATGAATGTACAGACAAAACTTGATCATATACAGACAATGGGATATTATTTATCCCTAAAAAACAAAGGAACAGCCGGACCCAGTGGCTCACGCATGTAATCCCAACACTTTGGGAGGCCTAGGCGGGCAGATCACTTGAGGTCAGGAGTTTGAGACCAGCCTGGCCAACATGGTAAAACCCTGTCTCTACTAAAAACACAAAAATTAGATGGATGTAGTGCCACGCGCCTGTGATCCCAGCTACTCAGGAGGCTGAGGCACGAGAATCGCTTGAACCCAGGAGGAGGTGGAGGTTGCAGTGAGCCGAGATCACACCACTGCACTCCAGCCTGGGCAACAGAGTGAGACTCTTGTCTCAAAAAAAAAAAAAAGAAAAGAAAAAAGAAAAAGAAATGAAGTATTGGTGCATGCCACAACATGGACGAACCTTGGAAATGTTAAGTGAAAGAAGTTGGATACAAAAGGCCTCATAGTGTATGATTGCGTTTGTATGAAATGTCTAGACCAGGCAAATCCATAGAGACAGGAAGTAGATTAGTGGTTGCCATGGGCTAGGGGATGGGAGGAATGAGGCATGGCTACTAACAGTGGTCATTACTAACAGGGTTTCTTTTGGGGTGATAAGAATGTTTGCAAAGGAAAAATAAATATCACTCTCAATGTATTATTTCCTTCCCACATTCTGGCACATACTGCTGAAGTGCTTTCCAGAGAAGGTGTGTGCGTTTCTCATTACTTGTCATCCTTGTTAGGAGTCAGAATAGCTATTTTCTAAATCTTTCTAAATTTGACAGATGAAAATGTACATCATTCTTTAAATATATGGCTTTTTAATGGCTGGTAAGATCGAGTATTTTTGTATGTATGATTTTTATCATTTATTCATTGGATTTTCTTCCACTTCTTAATCTTATTTATTTATTTATTTATTTATTTATATTTATTTATTTATTTAGAGACCGAGTCTCGCTCTGTTGCCCAATGTGGAGTGCAGTGGTGCGATCTCGGCTGACTGCAACCTCCACCTCCCAGGTTCAAGTGATTCTCCTGCCTCAGTCTCCCAAGTAGCTGGGATTACAGGCACCCACCACCATGCCCGTCTAATTTTTTTATTTTTAGAGGAGTTGGGGTTTCACCATGTTGGCCAGGCTGTTCTTGAACTCCAGACCTCAGGTGATCCGCCTGCCTTGGCCTCCCAAAGTGCTGGGATTACAGGCTTTAATCTTATTTAAATGAGGATCCAAATGTTTTCTTATTGCCTGTTCCACATCTTTTCCTTTTAGCAATATAAAATAGCTTTTATATTGCCAAGCTGAGCCCTTCCCTCTTCTAGAACCTTTGCATTTAGGAAGGTGTTTCCTCAAGGTAAGATAGAGTAGGCATGGAAATAATCGATTAGCATTTGTGCAACTAAATGGCCCATGGAAGTTGTCCAGATCAAAGATTAGTCTTCCCAAATTTGCTTTCCCTCCCTCTTTTCAAATAAAACCATTTTCAGCTTTGAAGTAACAATATTTTCAGAGTCTGTATATATCTGCATTTGTGAAATAAAGCTGACTTGGCCTTTGGGTACTGTTTTTTAGATACATTCCTGAACTTCATTTGTTATTATTTTATAATATATTTCCTAGTCTTCAGAGTTAGAATATGCTAACCGTGCAAAGTCAGTTGGGCTATTTTTATTCCTATGCTCCAGAAAAAAATTACTTAGCTAGGAATTATCTGTTCCTTAAAAGTTTGAAAGAGGCTGGGCGCAGTGGCTCATGCCTGTAATCCCAGCACTTTGGGAGACCGAGGCAGGCAGTTCATTTGAGGTCAAGAGTTCAAAACCAGCCTGGCCAACATGGTGAAACCCTGTCTCTACTAAAAATACAAAAATTAGTGGGCATGGTGTTGAGTGCCTGTAATCCCAGCTACTCAGAAGGCTGAGGCAGGAGAATTGCTTGAGCCCAGGAGGCAGAGGTTTCAGTGAGCAGAGATCACACCATTGCACTCCAGCCTGGGCAACAGAGTGAGACACTGTCTCCAAAAAAAAAAAAAAAAAAAGTTTAAAAGAATGTATCCATAAAACTTTATGGGCCTGGCATTTTGATAATATTTTCAATTTATTTCATTGATAATATTCAGTTCTGTGTTTGTAAAGTCAGTTTTAGTCATTTATACTTTAGAGACGCATATAGCATGTTCATAATTCTCTTCAGATGTTTTCTTTTTCTGGTCATATATGCTGTTGAGCAGGAGGTTTGCAGCCTCCGTGCCAGTTGAACTTGGGCCTCTGTCATCTAAGAACAGAGCTGCAGGCAAGTTCATCCCTCCCATGTCTATCAGCAGCTTCCCCCTGTGAAGAAAAGCTGAGCCTGTTACTCCTCCTCTTAAAACACTGTAATGGCTTGATGTTGCCATCAGGATAAAGCCCAAGCTTTTCTCACAGCAGAGAGGCCATTTTAGGTTAGGCCCCAGCCAACCCCTCCTGCTTGTCTCTCAACTCTTTTCCTAACCTGTTCATATAAATCCTCCTCAAAGTAAACTTCCTCCAGGTTCCTGATGCCTGGCCTTTCCCGCGCTGGACCTTGGTGCATGTTGCTTTCACCTGGGTCCCCCAATTCCTCTAATTAAGCCCTGCTCGGCCCTTGGGACTCGACTCAGAAGCCAACTCCCCCAGGAGGGCTTTTCTGACTGACACTCACATGGTTATGTACCCTGTGTCTGTGCCTCCCCAGCCTCACCCTTCTTCTGCTCTAGCACTTACACTAATTATTTTAATTGCCCCTTTAGTTCTTTGTGTTTGTCATTAGATTGGAAATGGCAAGGGCAGGGAGGGTTCATAAATTACTTGACTTTGTGTCCCAAGCACCACATGTAGAACCTTACACAAAGTCCTTTTTATTGAACAAATTAATGAACAAATACAGGTAAGCATCCCTGTCTCACTAGTATTAAGCCTATAGCTGATCACACAGTGGTGAGGTGTGTAGATTGTACAGACAGACTTAGGTTCACTTTCCAGCATCACCATTTGTATCCTGTACCGTGTCTCTACGCCTCAGTGGACACCAATGTGAGAAGTGAAGGGAATGATGCATATGAAAAGCTACATCCTCAATAGAAGTTTTGTGTTGCTATGATATGGATCTTAAGTACTAGACTCCGTCACTGAGCAAAATGAAAGCTTGGCTACCCAATGGACAAAGTCACTTTTCTTTTTTTTTTCTTTTCTTTTTTTTTTTTGAGATGGAGTCTCGCTCTGTCACCCAGGCTGGAGTGCAATAGTGCAATCGTGGCTCACTGCAACCTCCACCTCCCGGGTTCAAGTGATTCTACTGCCTCAGCCTCCCAAATAGCTGGGATTACAGGCTCCTGCCACCATGCCCAGCTAATTTTTGTGTTTTTAGTAGAGATGGGGTTTCACCATATTACCGAGGCTGGTCTCGAACTCCTGACCTCAAGTGAGGTCTCCCTCCTCGGCCTCCCAAAGTGCTGGGATTATAGGTGTGAGCCACCATGCCTGGCCCAAAGTCATTTTTCTTTCCTCAATACTTGAAGAATTGTTTATCCTCTGATAGAGAGGGTTGCATGATCTTTTTGAGGGGAATTGACCTTTTGCCCTTGATGATTCAGAGTAAATATTCTAGTGTTCAAGGAGAAAATCAATCTGATTCATTTGAACTATTATAAATAGTACTATTGTAGCCAGCAATAATATTGTCCAGAATGTTAGAGCTGATGGATTGATGTGCAAAGCTTAGGAAGCAGCTACAAGACCTCATTGCATAGACCTGTGTTCCTGTAACAATATTCCACAAAATCTGAAAGCTAAAGTGTCTGCAGCAGAGCATTGCACATATGACCTGGAATCAGATGCACCCACATCATAGGCAACACTCAAGGGGCTTTACCAGGTTGGAATGCTTCCAGATGTTATTCATTTAGTGGACAACTTGTTCTATATAATTCAAAGACAATTTCCCAGGTGTTCTCTTCTCTGAGCACTGAGAGCAGTGAGCACGTGGATGCTTAGGTCTCTCCAGGCCATGTGGAAGAGAGTTTTCTTCCATGCAGCTTTGTAGGTTGTCAGACTGTAGCATGAATCAGAATCATCTTAAATGCCAGCAGCAGCACCCCCTCCCAAGTGAGGAAAGCAAGGACTCTTCAACTTTATCAGCTTTCCTGAGGTTCTGATGCAGGCACTTGCAGCCACTCTTACAAGAACATCTTGGTAGAGGTTTATCCCCAGGAGGATGCATGTTCCACAAGTCAAGGTTGGTGGAGTGGAAGTGGGAGGCTTGCGGCCTGGAGGGTTGAGGCTCAGACCCTAGGATGTCACTCTGTTGATCTCTAAGCAAAGCGCAATAGACCTGTAATCACCAGAGGTTACAACACACAGGACTCTACAAGCCAGGCCACATGGAACAGCAGATGTTGACTCACAAGTAAGAGGTCTAGTACCAGATAGAGAAAGTAAGGCAGAGGAAAACTTGTTGAAAAGTTAACAAAAGGTTTTCTTTTCATAATTTTTCTCCTAAAAACTGGGATTTTGAATTTTGTCACTAGGGTGGCTGGAACTTAAAATTTTTACTTTATTTTCATGGATTAGCCCAAGGGGCAAAAAATGAATGGAGGAGTACCATTGCTGTGACTACTGAGACTGAGCCAAAGCTGCCGAGTGGAGCTAGGAAACACTGTCCTGCAGAGTCCCACTGATTTGGGCCAACAGTGCTGTATTTGCCTATCCTTGGGAAATTCAGGGAAAATGACAACCTGTATTGGCTGATCACTTTTGATTTTCAGTCCCTCCCAGCTAGGACAATTCAGTCACCAAATGAAGAGTCCAGACACAGCTCAGAGCTCATAGTTTGGTATCTAGAGATGAGGATCCAAATCTGGCTGCCCTAATGCCTTGCTATGACCATCATCTGGGAGAAACTGATCAATTCCATTGATTTCAGTGGCACTAGAAAAAAAGGTTTCACTTCTTGCATCTGAGAACAGATACCACGCCCCCAAAAACCTCAACAGAAAGTCCCAGCTGCCTGTCTCATTACTGCTGGCCCATCCAGTGGCAGTCAGTTCACTACGGCTTGAAGAATTCCAACAGCTGACTTGCAAAGGAAACATGCAATTTCCCGGAGATAGACCAAATTGCATGACCAGAAAATATGGCTAACATAGAGGCAGAATTAATAAGAGAAAGAGAAGTAAACTTTAGTTAAAACCTAATGAGGAGGAGAAACATAATGAGGACATTTAAGAAGATACAATTAGAGCATAAAAAAATGAAATTATGGTACTGAAAAGTATGATTTCTAAATTTAGAAATTCAATGTAGAAATTAAAGAGAATGATTACTTCTGAAAATCAAAATAGCGTTTAGTGGGATCCCTATAACCCAGAGCAAAACAAAACAAAATATACTAAATACTAAGAGAAATACGCAGATACAAGACAGAGAGGACCGTTTAGGTGGAGACTTAAATTGTCTAATAAATTTCCAGAAGGAAAAAGGAAGAGACAGAAGAAAACCAAAGACTTGCTTCTTTAGATTTAAATGACTTCCTAGTCCCAGGTGGGTAGAATGAGAAGACATATTTGCAGACAAAGAAGTGTCCTAAAAGAAGAAAATGGGGAAAAATTAAATAGGGTTAAATTTTTTAACCCGAAGGATAAATTTAACGGTCATCAGCCAGAAAGAACAAGTTATTGACAAAAGAAAGGGAGTTAGACCATCGCTGGACTATCGGCAATACTGAAGGTTACTGGGGGGATTGTGATAGGAAAATCTTATAACCAGCCAAAATCTTATTATATAAGGGCAAAAATAAGGTATTTAGGGGCTTGTAGGACCTCAGAAAGTATACTACCCATGTACTCAACCTGAGGAAATTAGTCAAGGAAGTACTTAAGAAAATAAGGATGCAAGGAGGCCAGGTGCAGTGGCTCACGCCTGTAATCCCAGCACTTTGGGAGGCCAAGGCAGGCGGATCACCTGAGGTCAGGAGTTCTAGACCAGCCTAGCCAACATGGTGAAACCCTGTCTCTACAAAAGTACAAAAAAAAAAAAAATTAGCCGAGCATGATGGCGGGTGACTGTAATCCCAGCTATTCAGGAGGCTGAGGCAGGAGAATCGCTTGAACCTGGGAGGCAGAGGTTGCAGTGAGCCGAAATTGTGCCATTGCACTCCAGCCTCAGCAACAAGGGCGAAACTCCACCTCAAAAAAAAAAAAAAAAAAAAAAAAGGATGCAAAATTATAGCCGGATAAGAGGAATAAGTTCTAGTGTTCTATAGAATTCATAGTTCCTATAGTTCTAGTATTCTATAGGATCCCTATAGTTAACAATAATATATTACACAGTTTCAAATAGAAGGAGGATATTAAATGTTTCCAACATGAAGAAATGATAAATGTTTGAGAGGATGGATATGCTAATTATCCTGATCTGATCACTTTAAATTATATATATTAAAACATCACTTTGTACCCCATGAATATGTACAATTATTATTTGTCAATTTAAAATAATAATTTTTTTTTTTAGATGGAGTCTTGCTCTGTCACCCAGGCTGGAGTGCACTGGCACAATCTTGGCTCACTTAAACCTACACGTCCCAAGATCAAGCAATTCTCCTGCCGCAGCCTCCCAAGTAGCTGGGATTACCGGCATACACCACCACACCTGGCTCATTTTTGTATTTTTAGTAGAGACAGGTTTTCGCCATGTTGGCCAGGCTGGTTTTGATCTTCTGACCTCAGGTGATCCGCCCGCCTTGGCCTCCCAAGGTGCTGGGATTACAGGCGTGAGTTACTGTGCCCAGCCTAAAACAATCGTTTTTTAAAAAAAATTCAGCAACAGGGAAAGACAAAGAATACAAGAAGACAATGGTGAATAATGAACCTTGTAATTGTCATACTCTAAATAGATGCTAACGTGACATGGAATAATGAGAATTTTAAATCAGATGAGACTTATTATGGAGGAAAATTTAATAGCCTTGGCTAAAATTTTAAATTATCTCAAAACACAGGAGTAGGGGTGTGAAAGAAGAAAGTGGGGAAGTAAAAGTGCTTTCAAGCTTTGTTGAGGTTTATGAATTGTGAGGGAGGGGCTGCAACGCCATTCTACAGTGCACAACAAACAACTTTACAGTTGCTCCTGGCTGGGGCCGGTGGCTCACACCCGTAATCCCAGCACTTTGGGAGGCCGGCGGGCGTGTGGCTTAAAGCCCACAGCTCGAGACCAGACTGGACAACATGGTGAAATGCCATCTCTACTGAAAAAAAAAAATACAAAAATTAGCCAGGCGTTGTGGTGTGTGCCTGTAATCCCAGCTACTTGGGAGGCTGAGGCAGGAGAATCGCTTGAACCCAAAGGCAGAGGTTGCAGTGAGCCTAGATCGCACCCCTGCACTCCAGCCTGGGCGACAGAGTGAGAGTCTGTCTCAAAAAAAAAAAAAAAAAAAAAAAAAAAAGTTGCTCCTTAGACGTGGCTGTTCTAAAAATCCTTGATCTGTTCTTCCATCAAGGATTTCTTATTGGCAGTAGTATCCTTTCTCTCTCTCTCTTTGGCCTTGAAGTTTCCTTTCCCTACCTTCCAAGCTCCTCCCCCTTTTTCTGTTCCTACCCATATTCGTCTCACTTTTTACACAGGGAAAATTAACTACAGATTGCAAATTTAGGTTCTGTGCAGCTCTGCGGCATTCAGAGCCTTCAAAGTCCAGTTCCAGAATGTGGGCTTTGTCGTGAAGGCAGTAGGAAGTAATTGAAAGTTTTGTGTGTTAGAAAGATTTCTCTGAGCCGGGCGCGGTGGCTCACGCCTGTAATCCTAGCACTTAGGCCGAGGCGGGCGGATCAGCTGAAGTCAGGAGTGCGAGACCAACCTGACCAACATGGAGAAACCCCGTCTCTACTAAAAATACAAAATTAGCCGGGCGTGGAGGCGCATGCCTGTAATCCCAGTTACGCGGGAGGCTGAGGCAGGAGAATCGCTTGAACCTAGGAGGCGGAGGTTGTGTGAGCCGAGATCGCTCCATTGTACTCCAGCCTGGGCGAAAAGAGCGAAAACTCCATCTCAAAAAAAAAAAGATTTCTCTGGCTGCTGTGTGGAGGATGGATTAGAGAGAATGAGCTTGAAGGCATAGACACCCAGCAGGAAGGTTGTCGCTCTAATCCTAGTGAGGAATTCTGTTTCTCCCCCATTCCTAAGACCTAAATGTGGCTGAAACATTTTCTTTTTAGTTTTGTACAGGTCAGATGGGAAAGTACCACTCTCACTTTCTACAATGGGAACTCTTTAATGTTTCATACCAACCCTAAGCCTTCCTTAGGAGGGGCAGGCTGCCCAAAGTCACAGAAGGCTGACACCTAAGAAAAGTCCGGTCCTGGCGTAGTGGCTCACGCCTGTAATCTCAGCACTTCAGGAAGCTGAGGCAGGTGGATCACTTGCGGTCAGGAGTTCAAGACCAGCCTGGCCAATATGGTGAAACTCCATCTCTACTAAAAATACAAAAAATTAGCTGGGTGTGGTGGTGCATGCCTGTAATCATAGCTGAGGAGGCTGAGGCAGGAGAATCACTTGAACCCAGGAGGTAGAGGTTGCAGTGAGCTGAGATCGTGCCACTGTACTCTAGTCTGGGTAACAGAGCAATACTCTGTCTCAAAAAAAAAAAAAAAAGTCCATGTCAGGATCACAGCCCACTTCATTTGACTTCCTGCCTCCACTTGACTTCTCCAGAACGTTACTCTCCAATCTGTTCCTGCATATGACTGGCTCTCAGCCCTGCTGACTTCATCTCCCTGCTCCAGTTTCCCACTCACTCAGATTTGATGACCAGCTTGGTATTCCCTGCTGCTTCCTAACACTCAAAGTTTCATTCTGTAGGATGTTGAATTAAAACATTAGTTGAGTTCATAGCCTCATCAGGTCTATTGCAAAAGTTATGGCATTGATCAGAAAGAAGTAGTTGGCCTAGAAGAATTGGTTTGGGGAAATTCATGTGATTCAGAGTATCCCAAGTCCCAGTGAGCCTCTCTTACCAGCAAATGCAGCTCTCCCTCCTTTTCCTCTTCTGTCAGGGAACCCACCTTGCTACAGGGAGTTACCGTTGCCAATTCTCTTTATACCGGGCATTCTTACCATCTCTGATTGCCTCCAGATGACAGCCAGCATGCCCTTGGGGATCCAGAACGAAGGAGGAAGTTAAAACATCAAAAGGATGTTAAGCATTTGCTCATTTTTGTTAGCAAAACACTGGAGAATGCCTGTGAGCATAAGGACTGGACCAAGGAAAGAGGGACATAGATAAAGCTGAGGCAAATTTTTTTTGTTTTGAGAGGGAATCTTGCTTTGTCACCCCGGCTGGAGTGCAGTTGCTCGATCTCAGCTCACTGCAACCTCCGCCTCCCAGGTTCAAGCGATTCTCCTGCCTCAGCCTCCCGAGTAGCTGGGACTATAGGTGCATGGCGCCACACCAGACTAATTTTTGTATTTTTAGTAGAGACGGGGTTTTGCCATCTTGGCCAGGCTGGTCTTGAACTCCTGACCTCTGGTGATCCACCTGTCTCGGCCTCCCAAAGTGCTAGGATTACAGGCGTGAGCCACCGCACCTGGCAGGTTAGGCTAAATTTTTTAATATGGTATTCTTTCCAGAGATTTTGGATGAAAATGCCAGCTCCAGCAGCTAGGAGTGATTCTAATTGTTTTTCTCAGTTGGCTGACAGGAAACTGTGATTCAAAGATAGACCACACCAAATGAAGCCAAGAGGCCAGAAATTTCTGCCTATGATGTAGAGGAAGGAATGCAAAGACAGGAAGATGGGGACTTGGGAATGGATTTATCATATGTGATTCACCCACCTCAAAATTATGCCCCTCTAGGCCGGGCATGGTGGCTCATGCCTGTAATCCCAGCACTTTGGGAGACTGAGGTGGGTGGATCACCTGAAGTTGGGAGTTGGAGACCAGCCTGGCCAACATGGCAAAACCCCGTCTCTACTAAAATTACAAAAATTAGCCAGGCATGGTGGCAGGCACCTGTAATCCCAGCTACTCAAGAGGCTGAGGCAGGAGAATTGCTTGAACCCGGGAGGCAGAGGTTGTAGTGAGCCAAGATTATGCCACTGCACTCCAGCCTGGGCGACAGAGCAAGACTCCATCTCAAAAAAAAAAAAAAATCATGCCCCTCCAGTAAAGACTAACAATATATTCATATCACCAAACCACTGAGAAATGCATTGGTGCAAGGAGAGCTAGAATCTCTGTAAAGCAGTTGTAGGCCATGGATGCAAATGGGATGAACTGCACTCCTTATGGGATGACATAGTCTCCCTAATTCCAATAAGGGTGATGGAATTGGGAGTAGAACACACAAGCAAGGCCAAACATCAGCACTTCATTTCGAAGGCATGGAATCTACAGTTGTCATAACTGCCAGACATACTTACGTAGTCATCTGAATAGTCTGACTATTTGGTGGTACCTAATTACCTAAACAGAAGATCCAGAATTGAAACAGATGGGTAGCCCACCATAAGGTTTTATTTGATGTATGAAACCAAAAAACTCCAAGTTTGGTGATAAGAGGCCTTACTTGAACCACCACCGTAGAATCCTGCCTCCTCACTCAATTCCCAGGTCTGATTAATTTCAGAGATTCTGAGCCCCTTAAATAAAAGGAAAGGTGCATATCCTCAAAAAAAAAGGCTGTGGTAACATGACAGGTATATACTCAACCTCCTCCCCCTCAACTTCTCCAAATAGACAGCTATTCATAGGGGTAGATGTACACATAGGGAAGGAAAGTATCTAAACCTTCGGCTTTGAAATAATGGGAGACTAGAACGCTGTCATGGATTACCAGTCAGTGGCAGCCTCATGATAAGATTATAAAGCTTTGATTCCAATTAGTCTCACATTGGGCTCTAATAAGACCCCAAACTCATCTTGTGGTTGAGTGTACAATTGGAATAAATAAGTTCAACAATTGGGATAATTTCCAAATTGACTCTCTAACCCAAGTCATGAGGGCTATTATGGTAAGAAAAGCAAATTAAGCCTTTAGAGCAGCACTGTCCAACAGAAAAATAATGTGAGCCACATGTCTAACTTTTTTTTTTTTTGAGATGGAGTCTCGCTCTGTCGCCCAGGCTGGAGTGCAGTGGCACGATCTCGGCTCACTGCAAGCTCCGCCTCTCGGGTTCACGCCATTCTCCTGCCTCAGCCTCCCGAGTACCTGGGACTACAGCCCACCACCATGCCCAGCTAATTTTTTGTATTTTTAGTAGAGATGGGGTTTCACCGTGTTAGCCAAGATGGTCTTGATCTCCTGACCTCGTGATCCACCTGCCTCAGCCTCCCAAAGTGCTGGGATTACAGGCTTGAGCCACCGCGCCCGGCAGTAGCTGCATTTTTTAAAAGTAAAAAGAAACAGGTGAAATTAATTTTAAAAGCACAGTTTACTGAATCCATGATATCTAAAATAGTATCATTTCAATATGTAGTCAATATAAAACTTATTGAGATACTTATTTTTATATGAAGTCTTCAAAATATCATCCAGGCGTGGTGGCTCACACCAGTAATCCCAGCACTTTGGGAGGCCGAGGCAGGCAGATCACTTGAGGCCAGGAGTTTGAGACCAGTCTGGCCAACATGGCAGAACCCCATCTCTACTAAAACTATAAAAATTAGCCAGGTGTGGTGGCACGTGCCTGTAGTCCCAGCTACCAGGGAGGCTCAGGCATGAGAATTGCTTGAACCTGGAAGTTGGAGGCTGCAGTGAGCCAAGATCACACCACTGCACTCCAGCCTGGGTGACAGAGCAAGACTCTGTCTCAAAAACAAAAAACAAAAAAAAAGCTAACAGGACTTGGAGGCCAGACATACCAGGTATTTTCGATGCCTTGGGTGAGACACGTACGTGCCTGAAGTGAGAGTTGAGCCCAGGAGTCGAGGCTGCAGTGAGCTATGATTACACCATTGCACTCCAGCTTGGGTGACAGAGAAAGACCCTGTTTCAAAAAAGAAAAGAAATGAGTGTTAACATCGTTCATTATTACATCTAATAACCCACTTAGATAGTTTTTCATTCTCATTTCCTCAACTATGGGCTCTGCTGGTTTAGAGGTCTTAGTAACCAATCAAAGAATATTTCCATCAGGAGACACGAAAATGATAACACTGACATCTGGGCAGATTTGAATTTGATAATTCAGTCAAACCTCAGAAATTGACTAGTAGCCATAGAGGAAAATGAGGAATGGAGAATCTTTCTGGAAAGAGTCATGGGCCTGGGACTCCCTTGTAGGAGGCTGATAACCCTGCAGGGTATCTTGCATTGTTCCTCAGGTTGCTTTAGGACTCTTAAAGCAAACCACCCTATTTTGTACTTAAAGCTTGCCCTGGGTACTTTCCCAAGCATCCAGGCCCGGGAATGACACTGTATTGGGAAATGAGCTAATTAACCACATCCCTTCTTCCTAAGCCAACTCCAGGGCAACTGCAACATCATCATAGAAGTTGCACAGGTCAATGCACAGGTGCAGTGGCTCATGCCTGTAATCCCAGCACTTTGGGAGGACAAGGCAGGCAGATCACGGGGTCAGGAGTTCGAGACCAGCCTGGCCAACATGGTGAAACCCCATCTGTACTAAAAATACAAAAAATTAGCCAGGCGTGGTGGCAGGCGCCTATAGGCCCAGCTACTCGGGAGGCTGAGGCAGGAGAATGGCCTGAACCCCGGAGGCAGAGCTTGCAGTGATCCGAGATCGTGCCACTGCACTCCAGCCTGGGCAACAGAGCGAGACTCCATCTAAAAAAAAAAAAAAATTAGCTGGGCATGGTGGTGTGTGCCTGTAATCCCAGCTACTCAGGAAGCTGAGGCAGGAGAATCGCTTGAACCCAGGAGGTGGAGGTTGCAGTGAGCCGAGATCGCGCCACTGCACTCCAGCCTGGGCGACAGAGCAAGACTCCGTCTCAAGATCAAAAGACTAGCTTTCCAACTGAGAAAAGAGACCATGGCTTGATCTCCCCAGGCTTCCTACTGTTTATTGCCAAAATCGTAGTCCTCCTTTTCTGAGAGTGAGACCATGTTCTGGTAAGTTCTCTGCGTGGAGGAGCACAGAATCTGAGTTTGCCGAGAGTAGGCTGAGAATGCCCATCCTCACTCTTCCAGTTAGTCACTCTTCCTCCCTCTGGAGGACTGTGTGAAGGAAAAGAGGAAAATGGGGGTGAACATGTCTGCCCATACTTTCTCCCCTTCTCCATGACAGTATGAAGAATGGGGAACAAGCTTTCTTCCCTCTCCACACTGCCTTTCACATTGCAACATCCTCTGAGTCTATCAGGGGCCATCAGCTGATCTGGCAATGCAATCCATTCTGATGGGAAATGGGATAGAAGGGACCGTTTTTTCCCTTTAAACATTGACAGACAATGGTCTTTGCTGTCTTCTCTAGAATAGTAGGTAACATGGCAATCACATAGGAGGGAAGACAAGTAGCCTGAAAGCGCAGATATGGTATTTGGGGACTGGCAGAATGAAATTAGATCAGCAGAGCCACAAAGGACCCCAGGGATCATTTGAGAATTTTAAAATAGGAGATATTGGGCATTGAACAATTGGTAAGAGGAACAAAAGGTGAAAGACACACAGAAGAGGCAGTAAGACGACCTGAAGCTATGAGTGAGCAGACACTATAGGGTCAGATGGAGATAAAGAGCATATTGCAGCTGGGCACAGTGGCTCACGCCTATAATCCCAGCAATTTGGGAGGCTGAGACAGGCAGATGGCTTGAGCTCAGGAGTTTGAGATCAGTGTGGGCAACATAGCAAAACCCTGTCTCTACAAAAAATACACAAAATTAGCCAGGCATGGTGGTGTGTGCCTGTGGTCCCAGCTATACATGAGGCCGAGGTGGGAGGATCACTTGAGCCAGGGATGTGGAGCCAAGATCACTCCACCACACTCCAGCCTGAGTGACAGAGTAAGACTATCTCAAAAAAAAAAAAAAAGAGAACATTTTTCAGGTAAAGAAGTGAATAGCAGAGGAAAAGACGGAGAAGCTGAATCAAAAGGATGGTGAGGCGCTAAAGCAGCCATTGGCTCCTCCTGCTGCTGAGGGAAGGGGAGTGATCACCCAATTGCTAGACCCACCCTGAATCTTGTATAACAGCCATCTTCAACCTTGTTGGCACCAGGGACCAGTTTCATGGAAGACAATTTTTCCACAGATGGGATGGTGAGTTGGGGCATGGTTTCAGGGAGATTCAAGGCGTTCTGTTTATTGTGCATTTTCTTTTTTTTTCCTTTTTTTTTTTAGTGAAATGGAGTCTCTGCCATCCACGCTGGAGTGCAGTGGCATGATCTCGGCTCACTGCAACCTCCACCTCCCGGGTTCAAGTGATTCTCCTGCCTCAGACTCCCAAGTAGCTGGGATTACAGGAACCTGCCACCACGCCCGACTAATTTATGTATTTTTAGTAGAAACGGGTTTTGACCATGTTGGTCAGGCTGGTCTCGAACTCCTGACCTCAGGTGATCCACCTGCCTTGGCCTCCCAAAGTGCTGGGATTACAAGTGTGAACCACTGTGCCCAGCCTTTATTTCTATTATTCTGACATTGTCATATATAATGAAATAATTATACAACTCACCATAATATGGACTCAGTGGGATCCCTGAGCTTGTTTTCCTACGACTAGACGGTCCCATCTGGGGGTGATGGGAAAGAGTGGCAGATCATCAGGCATTAGATTCCCATGAGGAGCTCAACTTAGATCTCTCCCACGCGCAGTTCACAATAGGGTTTGCGCTCCTATGAGAATCTAATGCTGCCGCTGAGCTGACAGAAGGCAGAGCTCAGGTGGTAATGTGAGTGATGGAGCAGGGCTGTAAATGCAGATGGAGCTTTGTTTGCTCACCTGCTGCTCACCTCCTCCTGTGCTGCCCAGCTCCTAACAGGCCACAGACGGGTACTGGTTGGGGATCCCTGCTGTGTAATCTTCCCATTATCAAACTATGTTCTAGGCCCGGGGGATGGGGGAGGATAGTTGTTGAGCTGCATAAAGGTTCATTAGAGACCTGGCTGTATGGCCAGCACTCTGCCTTATACGTGTACCTTCATAAACCATCAATGTTCAAAGCAATCTGGATAAACCTCTCTGTACCTTACAACCCAAAGATCCTAACAGATTAGCTTTTCCTCTGGCAATTGCACTCTGCACAAACTGTGTAAATTAGTACTAAAACTTTTGATCCACTAGTTTTTATCTCCCAGTTGTAAGACCTGAGGTCTTTTTGATTAGCCCAGAATTCACTGTGGTCATTTCTCCCATCCCAAATAATCAGTGTTGCAGCGTTAGAAGCCTCACTGTTTACCCTAACAACTCCCTCCACTTTTTTCCCCCCGGCCCTCCTAGAAAGGACTCCTTGGGCAGTAGGTACATCCATGTCTAGTGTCTGTCTTGAGATCTGAGAATGTCATGAGCGGTCAAGATGACTGAGCACCTACAACACAACTCTCTGCTCACAGGAAGTAAAGCACCTGGGTAGAAAATAGGTGTGTTGATGGGTGGAGATAAGTCAAATGGAGAGAAAACAAGAACATACCTGATTAGCTGGGAACTATAACCTCTAGTTACACTCTGATTGCCCCAACCTACTTCTACTCTACTTCCTCACCCTCCTCACCCCTTTTCTTTTCTTTCCTTCTTTCTTTTTTTCTTTTCTTTTTTTTTTTTTTTTTTTTTTTTTTTTTTTTGAGATGGAGTCTCTCGCTCTGTCACCCAGGCTGGATTACAGTTGTGCAATCTCAGCTTACTGCAACCTCTGCCTCCCAGGTTCAAGCAATTCTCCTGCCTCAGCCTACTGAGTAGCTGGGATTACAGGCTCATGCCACCATGCCTGGCTAATTTTTGTACTTTTAGTAGAGACGGGGTTTCCCCATATTGGTCAGGCTGGTCTCGAACTCGTGACCTCGTGATCCACCCACCTCAGCCTCCCAAAGTGCTGAGATTACAGGCATGAGCCACCGTGCCCAGCTCCTCACCCCTTTTCTGCTCTCTGCTACTCCTCTCCTCTCTCCTTCTCCCTGATCTCCTTGCTCTCTTCTACCCCCATTTTTCTTTTCTTTTCTTTGCTTTTTCTTTTGGAGAAAAATAAAAGAAGGCTTTTCGCTCTGTCACCCAGGCTGGAGTACAGTGGCACAATCTTAGCTCACCGCAACCTCTACCTCCCAGGTTCAAGCAATTCTCATGCCTCAGCCTCCCCAGTAGCTGGGATTACAGGCACCCACCACCATGCCCGACTAATATATGTATTTTTAGTAGAGACGGGGTTTTGCCATGTTTGCCAGACTGGTCTCGAACTCCTTACCTCGAGTGATCCGCCCACCTTGGCCTCCCAAAGTGCTGGGATTACAGGCATGAGCCACTGCTCCTGGCCTACCCCCATTTTTCTTCAGGACCCTGGGAGGTACAAGTAAACCACAAGGAAACATTGGCAGGACCCAATCCTCTCTTCCAAAAAGTCTCCAGTGACAAAAGGATGAATTTTTCACAGTTAGGCACAAACGTATTTTTTCACCTATAAAGTTGGCAAAGTTTGAAAGCCCATTTTATTTACAAAAGTGTGGGAAAGTGAGCACTCTCCTACATTTGCTGGTGGAAGCAGAAATTGGCACAAACTCTGTATGAAAATTATAAATACACATGCCCACTTTGGGAGGCCAAGGCGGGCAGATCACGAGGTCAGGAGATCGAGACCATCCCGGCTAACACGGTGAAACCCTGTCTCTACTAAAAATACAAAAAAAAACAAAAATTAGCCAGGCGTGGTGGCGGGCGCCTGTAGTCCCAGCTACTTGGGAGGCTGAGGCAGGAGAATGGCGTGAACCCGGGAGGCGGAGCTTGCAGTGAGCCGAGATCGTGCCACTGCACTCCAGCCTGGGTGACAGAGCCAGACTCTGTCTCAAAAAAAAAAAAAATAAATAAAAAATAAATAAATAAATACACATGCCTTTTGACCTAACAGTTCTACTTCTAGGAATTCATTCTACAGATGTACATGTAGCAAACTGAACTTTAATCTTTTTCTTTCAGGGAATATCCATTAAAGATGGCTCTAATGAGGAAGTAGCATTCTTTGGAATTCTCTGCAGCCCACGATATGAGATGTCTCCTGCTGTAGTCAATGACTGAGCACGGTGGCTCACGCCTGTAATCCAGCATTTTGGGAGGCCGAGGTGCGTGGATCACTTAAAGCCAGGAGTTCAAGACCAGCCTGGCCAACAGGGTGAAACCCTGTCTCTACTAAAAATATAAAAATTAGCTGGATGTGGTGGCATATGCCTGTAATCCCAGCTACCTGGGAGGCTGAGTCAGGAAAATCACTTGAACCTGGTAGGTAGAGGTTGCAGTGAGCTGAGATTGTGCCACTGCACTCCAGCCTGAGCAACAGAGTGAGACTCAGTCTTAACAAAAAAAAAAAAAAGGAAGGAAGGAAGAAAAAGAAAGAAAGAAAGAGAGAAAGGAAGGAAGGAAGGAAAGAAGAAAAGAAAGGAAGAAAGGAAGAAAAAAGAAAGAAAGAAAGAAAGAAGAAAGAAAGAAAGAAAGAAAGAAAAGAAAGAAAGAAAGAAAGAAAGAAAATGATGTAGGTAGGTGATATCTCCCCAGTCAAACCTTCCCCTGATTTCTCCAATAAAACGACACAAATACCACCTCACTATATCCCTTACAGATTGCAGTTGAAGAACTCAAGCTATTCACCAACTGTTCTGCTTTCTGATGAATGAGTATGAGAGGATTATGACTGTGTAATATGAGATATTGGGCAAGAAGTGATTAAAAAGCAGTATCTCAAGTTACTCTTGCTGCAGAAGCATGTAACACTGTTGCCCAGGAAATACCAGAGCATTGTGCACATGGAGGAGTCATTTTCAGTTCCGATCTCAAGCAGGAAGGAACTCCTCCAGACAGAGGGGCTTTAAACCTCCTTTTCTTGGCCACCACATATATGAATACAGTCACTAGAGGAGAAAAATCCCAGCAGATTACATGCTCACAGCCCTCGGGTTGGAGATTCAGAGCATTCAGCCTCACTCAGCTATTCTCAGACTCAGCATCCAAACACTGCAGCTTCAGCTTGTGCAGAAAGATGATGCTGAGTAATAAGATCCTATAGAAACAGGCAGACATCCCAGTGCAGGGCATCCTGTGTGAGACCAGGAGACATGGGCTGCCCACAAACAATTAGACCCAACCTGCCCCACTGGTTTAGGGTAATCACTGGCATCATCTGAAGAGGAGCAGGAGTTGGAGATCAGAACCCACTGTGGGTTTTTTGTTTTTTTTTTTTGCTTTTTGAGACAGAATGTCACTCTTGTCGCTCAGGCTGGAGTGCAGTGTCACAATCTTGGCTCACTGTAACCTCTGCTTCCTGGGTTCAAGTGATTCTCCCACCTCAGCCTTCTAAGTAACTGGGATTACAGGCTCCTGCCATCATGCCAGGCTAATTTTTGTATTTTTAGTAGAAACGGGGTTTCACCATGTTGGCCAGGCTGGTCTCCAACTCCTTACCTCAGGTGATCCGCCCGCCTCAGCCTCCCAAAGTGCTGGGATTACAGACGTAAGCCACTGCTCCCGGCCTCACTGTGGGTTTTTTTTAACTAGTGTGTAGTACAGCCCTTTTTCAGTCACTTTCAGCATTTCATTATGATGTCTTTACAAAGTTTTGAGGTTGGTGAATTCCAAGACAATGTTAGAATCTTCTAGAAAAATAAAGATAAGTACCGCCTTTTACCAATTTCTTACCATTGTTTGTGCCACACATTACAACAGCTCTTCATTTAAGGTGGGGGAGGATACGATATTGAGTTGAAACATCATGGCAGTTTCTGTTTTATGTTGGACAAGCCTTCTGTGCATTGTCTTGTCTGTAGTGCCAATTTTTATGGTTCGATGGTGTATTTACAGACATGACAATAATGGTGGTGGTGGGATGGAACAGAATAATGTTGGGTTCTGGAGTGCCTGGATAGCAGGGAAATAATTCAGACAGAAAAATAGCAAGGCCAAAAATAAATTGTGCACTTGAGAGGCTGAAAGAGAATGAGATATGAATCCCTGACTGTAATTGTAGTTGTGTTCACTGTGAGGACAGGTGTTTGCCCTCTGATAATAAGTAGACTTTAATCCTAGGTGTGAGTGCTAGCCACTGTCAACAGGGGTGGCTCCAGATAAATCCAAAGTAATTGCCCAAGACACAACATCAGCCCACAACCAAATTCTCACACTGGAGAGTTACATGACTGGTGGATACAGCTCATTAGGTAATAGTCAAGGCACTGGTTCTTCCCAGTCAACAAACATCCTCTAAATGCTTCAGGAGCCAGCAAGGCAAGCTGTTCCAGCCATGGAGAGGTGTGGCTCTGGTGTGCGGTGACACACTGTGAACACCCAAGCTATGCAGTGCTGATTAGTTGGGTAATGGATGAATGAGTCAAAGATCACGCTTCCCAGTTTGTCAGCTGCTTGGTAGCTCCCAGGGACTGGCTCCAGTCTGTCACTGGCTCCATGCAAGCAAGCAATCCTGGGGCTGATTGTGAGCCACAGAGTCACTGTCAAGACCGGAGTTTCAGTGTAGTAGGTGGAGAGGAAGGATAAAGAACCATCTGACTCGCAACCTTCAGTCTAGAGAGGAGGATTCGGTCAGAGGCTACGTTTTCCTGAGCATCTTCCTTTTCTTCAGGGCATTGTGAATATGTGATGACAGCCCAAGGCAAGAAGCAAAGCAAGAGTCTGATCCCATGCACTAGGTATCCCAAGGCTAGAGGGGGAGGTCTTCAGCCTGAGTCATCAGCTCAGGCAATGTATGAAGTCTTGCCTATAAGACATGACCACCACTGTTGAGACTTGTCACATTGCCAATCAAAAGTTCTGGGATGGGGGGTTGGCAGGTGGCGAGCTTTCCTTCCAATCCCCAGTGTTCCAGGAAGAACAAAGGAATCATATACTCTCAGCTTTAAATCCTGGCTAAATTTCTCAATAATTGAATGACTACAGACAAAGAATTAATATGTGAGTCTCAATTTCTTATCTGTAAATATAATATCCACATTGTAGGGCTGTTCTGAATATTACATTAAATTAGATACATAAAGCTCCCAACACAGTAGCTAGTACAAGTAGAAGCTCCATAAATGACAATTTCTATCTCTGGGACTAGTGAATCTCAGAGTTAGAAAAATGTAAAAAGTCATCCAAGAAAACCTTCCTTCAATTAGCCGGGCATGGTGGCACGTGTCTGTAGTCCCAGCTACTCAGGAGGCTGAGGCAAGAGAATGGCTTGAACCTGGGAGACAGAGGTTGCAGTGAGCCAAGATTGCGTCACTGCACTCCAGCCTGTGCGACAGAGTGAGACTCTGTCTCAAAAAAAACAAACAAACAAGCAAACAAAAAAAACAAACAAAAAAAAAAAAATACAAACCCCAAACCAAACCAAACAAAAAACCCTCCTTCAGAATTTCTGTTGTCAGAATTTCCTATGCCACCTCTAAGACATGGGCCATTCAGCCTCTGTTTTGAATCCATCGAAGGCAAGAGGGATCTTCTTCAGCAGTTCTGAGGGTCTTGCCGAAATTGAGCTGAAACATAATTCTCAGGGGCTTCTACTATTTGAAATAGTGATACCTTGCCATATGCA
Organism: Homo sapiens; assembly: GCF_000001405.40. Lineage (NCBI taxonomy): Eukaryota > Metazoa > Chordata > Mammalia > Primates > Hominidae > Homo > Homo sapiens. The sequence continues at coordinate 111,961,040 of NC_000009.12, forward strand.
GGACAAGTGCTTTCAGTTGTACAGACTGCACATTGCTCAGCTGTGGGCGTCTGCTGCTTTTCACGTAGACTACTGTGTAAACAGTGTCCCTGGAGTTGGGCAGTGTGATGGCCCTATCAATGTGATAATCATTCAAATATTTGGGGTCAACCTCACACTCATTTGAGTCTTCTCCAATGAAAACACTCATAATTCCTCTGTCAAGCCTCATCTGGCAAGTTTTGGTTTTCCATCACTCTAGTGACTCTTCTTTGAATGCTCAACTGTGTGACACCTGGATCTGGGCACAATGCATTAATCATCTTCTGGCCAGTTTGGAATAGTGAGATTCACTTTTCACACCTCATGCTGCTATGTTCTCCTACCTCCACCCCACCCTGCATTTTATAATTTGCTTTGTTACTTTAGTTCTCATTTAATCCAAGAACAGGACTTTACATTGGCAAAGATTACTCAAGACTCACAGGACCAAGGGCAGAGTTTTTTTTTTTTTTTTCCAGTCTTAGAAAATTCCCTCCAACTTGACATTGATTCTTTTTTCTTTATTTCTTTTCTTTTCTTTTTGTTTGTTTGTTTTTAAAATTTTCATTGCGCTAGCATGCAGCTAAGATGTCTCTATCTTGACCCCAATTTTATTACGGGAGACTCTGTTTAGTTTTTTGGTCAAGTTATTTATTTCTTCAGCCAACATTCATTGAGCACCTGCTGTGTCTTGGCACTGTACCAGATACTTGCCGTAGATGCCGTGTTGTGGCGGTAAGTGTTTTAACAGCTGACTACCCAGAAGAAAAAAAAACCCTAGTTTGTTTGTAATGTTTGCTGATTTCCATGGCATAACTACTTCCTACCATGGCAGATTTCAAACTACCAAGGTGATGTCATTGAACACAGAGTTGGAAAGAGATGTATATGCATAAACAGCTCTTGTGAGCCAGCATGAGGCGACCCCAGCACACCACTGATAATTTACAGATGAGCCACATAATTCTGCCTTAGGAAAGCTCCATGAGGTTCTTATAATCTGGTGATGCACAGAGTCCATCTCTCCTCTAAATCTACCATGGAGAAACCATGTCAAAGGAGGAAATAACATTTGTCTGACATGATTTGTTCTCAGAGCACCTGTACTGTTTCATAATTGCAAAGGATTCTTTTACGTGCTTGGGAACCATTCCTTTCATATTTCATTTGAAATTATTTTCAGGCCGGGCACGGTGGCTCATGCCTGTCATACCATCACTTTGGGAGGCTGAGGTGGCTGGATCACCTGATGTCAGGAGTTCGAGGCCAGCCTGGCCAACATGGCAAAACCCCTTCTGTACTAAATATACAAAAATTAGCCAGGCGTGGTGGTGGACGCCTGTAATCCCAGCTACTTGGGTGGCTGAGGCAGGAGAATCGCTTGAACCTGGGAGACAGAGGTTGCAGTGAGCCAAGATCATGCCACTGCACCCCAGCCTGGGAGACTGGAAGCAATGTCAATCTCATTCACCTATAGTTTAGGGGATCTACCTTCTCCCTTCAAAAAACTGTACACTGTTTGCCCATTTCTAGTCTTCTAACACTTTGACTATTCTCCATACATCCTCAAAGCTCTCTTTGAGCAACCTGGAAATCTCATTCCTAAATTCTTTCAGTATCTTGCGGCAAATTCTGTTCCAAAACTGGAGCCCAGCACTCATTCACGTGGAGAGTTAATGTACTTCCCTCTTCACCTATCTTGAGCTTTGAGTCTAACCAATGTAGAGTCTTCTCTTTTGGATCCAAAGATCTTTCTACCTGATGAGAAAGACAGAAGGAAAATAAGGATAAGGGTTTTTTTCTTCATGTTTCCATGGCACAAAATCTTTGTTAACTGTAACAGTCAGATGATGGCACCCTGAAGATGTCCATGTCCTGATCTCCTGGTCAGGAGTGATGTGTTATGTGACATGAGAATATGTTATGTTACACAGTGAGAAGGAATTAAGGTTGTACGTGGTATTAAGCTTGCTAAACAGCAGACCTTAAGATAAGGAGGTCACACTGGACTCTCCAAGTGAGCCCAATTTAATCACAAAGATCCCTTGAATGTAGAAGACAGAGGAAGAAAAGATGTAAAGATGCTATGCTGCTGACTTTGAAGATGGAAGAAGGGGCCAAGACACAAGGAATGCAGGCAGCCCCTAGAAGCTAAAAAGGGAAGAACATGACTTCTCTTCTAGAGCCCCCGGAAGGAATGCAAGGCCAGGCATGGTGGCTGATGTCTGTAATCCAGCACTTTGGGGGGCCAAGGCAGGCGGATCGCTTGAGCCTAGGAATTTGAGACCAGCCTGGGCAACATGGCAAAACCCCATCTCTACAAAAAACACAAAAATTAGCCAGGCATGGTGGCACGTGCTGGCAGTCCCAGCTACTCAGGAGGCTGAGGCATGAGAATAACCTGAGCCCAGAGAGATGGAGGCTGCCGTGAGCAGTGATCGTACCACTGCACCCCAGTCTGGGCAACAGAGTGACACCCTGTCTCAAAAAACAAAACAAAACAAGCCGGGCGCGGTGGCTCACGCCTGTAATCCCAGCACTCTGGGAGGCCGAGATGGGTGGATCATGAAGTCAGGAGTTCAAGACCAAGCCTGGTCAACATGGTGAAACCCTGTCTTGACTGAAAATATAAAAAATTAGCCAGGTATGATAGCGGGTGCCTGTAATAACAGCTACTCAGGAGGCCGAGGCAGGAGAATCGCTTGAACCTGGGAGGCAGAGTTTGCAGTGAGTGGAGATTGCACTATTGCACTCCAGCCTGGGCGACAGTGCGAGACTCCATCTCAAAAAAAAAAACAAAAACAAAAACAAAAAAACCAAATAAACAAAAAACAGAAGGAAGGCAGTCCTGTTGACTCCTTGATTTTAACCTAGTGAGGCCCATTTTAGACTTCTGACCTCCAGAATTGTAGATCACACATTTGTATTGTTAAGCTACCAAGTTTGTGGTGATTTGATACAGCAGCAGTAGAAAACTCATACACAAACCCATTCCTGATCTCCTTCTCCCTTGCTGTCTTCCACTCTAGAAGCTGGAGAACCTAATGCTTGCTGTGTCAGCAGGTCTGTGCTTTCCGAGTCCACATGATGGTCACCCAGATACCACTTTCACCAACATATGGTGTGCTGGAGATCCAGAGGACCTTGACTATGGAAGAAAGTGCTTTGGCTGTCAAGACACACCCAGTGGCAGAGGAGAAGATAATGCTTCTCCTCTATAGTGTTGTGCTCAGCTGCAGCCACATCTAGTGTGGGAAATTTCTGCCACACAGCTCTATCTGTAGGTGACACATGGACACAGCCTCTTCCCAAGGTGTCTTCGTATAGGGCTAGAGTGCTACATGCGGAGATATTTCTAAACATAGTCACACATTTTACCTGTAACTCCCTTTCCCTACCATCTCAGTGTCCTAGCCCCTGAGAGCAGAAGTCCCATCGTATCCCAATTCTAAGATCCACCACGTTTTCTAGCTCAAAATTAGTGTTTCTGCTGGGTGCGGTGGCTCACGCCTGTAATCCCAGCACTTTGGGAGGCTGAGGCGGGTGGATCACCTGAGGTCAGGAATTCGAGACCAGCCTGACTAACATGGTGAAACCCCATCTCTACCAAAATTACAAAATTAGCAGGGCGTGGTGGCACATGCCTGCAATCCCAGCTACTTGGGTAACTGAGGCAGGAGAATTGCTTGAACTTGGGAGGTGGAGGTTGCAGTGAGCCGAGATTGTGCCATTGCACTCCAACTTGGGCAGCAAGAGTGAAACTCCCTCTCAAAAATAAATAAATAAATAAAAATACATTAGTGTTGTTTTCAGAGGAAAAAAACCCACCTTATTACAGCAAAAGTGCATTTTTGTTTCCTAATCCCCATAAAGAAATTAACCCCTCAGTACCTCAAGCCATAGTTTCTTTCTCTTATGATTCTTATGCATTTAACTTCCTTTTTTGATCAGTATTGCTTCTCTACCTTTCCTCTCACAACCACCATAAAGCTGTCGGCAAAGCAAAGCGAGGAGTTTGCCACAGGCTCTGGTTTTATGTGTATGAAAATTTCAGTGGAGTGTGGACTGTTTATGTACTTCCATATCATTCTTTACTTCCCTCCAGCTAGGAGTGTAGTGGCGTGATCTCGGCTCACCACAACCTCTGCCTTGCAGGTTCAATCTATTCTCCTGCCCCAGCCTCCCGAGTAGCTGGGATTAGAGGCATGCACCATCATGCCCGGCTACTTTTTGTATTTTTAGCAGAGACGGAGTTTCACTATGTTGGCGAGGCTGGTCTCGAACTCCTGACCTCATGATCCGCCCACCTCGGCCTCCCAAAGTGCTGGGATTACAGGCATGAGCCACCGCGCCTGGCCAAGACTGCATTTCTTGTCCACCAGGACAGTACTTGTGTTGTTCTTCCTTTTAGCCTTACTATATGCCCTCTGTATCTCTGGCCTAAGGTGATTGATTTCCATCCACCATAAATATTCCCTTGAAGGGTTCTGTTCTCTTCCATCTCTGTGTTCCATTCTTAAGTTTCATGCCTCAGAGTCTCAGCAACTGAGGTCACTCAGTTTCTTACTCATGCTCTGAACTTAGGTACACACTCTTTGTTACTCATTAATATGTTCTAGGTGCCATGGGGAAATCCAAGATGCTTCATGTGACAGGAATCCTGCCTTGTGGTTCACAGTCCAGTTGAGAGATGATTATTTAACCACTAGGAGAAAAAGAAGTAGTGCCTGCTCAAAGAAAGGGATTGATAAAATGCAATGGGTGGTCAGAGGGGGACAGAGGGCACTTCTAATTTAAAGACAGACCTCAAGGAGGAGGGACTTCTAAGCCAGACCCGGAGAAGTATAAACAACTTAAAGGTGGCCGGGCGTGGTGGCTCACGCTGTAATCCCAGCACTTTGGGAGGTGGAGGGGGGCGGATCACTTGAGGTCAGGAGTTTGAGACCATCCTGGCCAACAATGGTGAAACCCCGTCTCTACTAAAAATACAAAAATTAGCTGGGTGTGGTGGCACGTGCCTGTAATCCCAGCTACTCAGGAGGCTGAGGCAGGAGAATAGCTTGAACCAGGGAGTCAAAGGTTGAGGTGAGCCGAGATCGCGCCACTGCACTCCAGCCTGGTGACAGAACAAGACTCTGTCTCAAAAAAAAAAAAAAGAAAGAAAGAAAATTAGCCAGCATGGTTGTGCGCACCTGTAATCCCAGCTACTCAGTTGGTTGAGCCAGGAGAATTGCTTGAACCCGGGAGGCAGAGGTTGTAGTGAACCGAGATCGCACCACCGCACTCCCGCCTGGGTGACAGAGCGAGACTCGTCTCAAAACAACAAACAAAAAACTTAAAGATATGAAGAAAGGGGTGGGTGTCATTGCAGGCAGAGGAGACTGTCATGTGTATGAAACGTGCAGAGGTGTGATAAGGCTGGTGTGTCCATGGAGAAGAATGAAGTTCAGCTTGAACAGGCACAGGCTGGTGTGCAGGGGTGGTGGTGGCGGGAACACCTTGATCTTGGACTGCCAGACTGGGCGACATAGTGAGACCCCATCTCTACCAAAACATTTTTTAAACTGCCAGCAGCAGCTGGATGTGGTAGCTCAAGCCTGAAATCCCAGCACTTTGGGAGGCCGGGGTGGGTGGATCACTTGGGGTCAGGAGTTCAAGACCAGCCTGGCCAACATGATGAAACCCCATCTCTACTAAAAATACAAAAAATAGCTGGGTGTGGTGGCTCATGCCTGTAGCCCCAGCTACTGGGAGGCTGAGGCAGGAGAATCACTTGGACCCAGGAGGCAGAGGTTGCAGTGAGCCAGGATCGTGCCACTGCACTCCAGCCTGGGCAACTGGCAATACTCCATCTCAAACAAACAAACAAAAAAACTGCCAGCAGCTTGATCTTGGCATCACTTATCACCACTGATGGGCAACACAGAGCTGAGAAAATGGCAGTGGAGCTGAGAAAATGGCAGTGGAGCCAAGAATAAAGGCAAGAGTAAGGCTCAGAAGGAAGGGGAGGTAGGGAGCTCCCCAAGGTCTTGCAACACAGCCTGGCTATGAGTGAGTCCCCCTCCCTCCCCCAGCAGATCCTGCAGAGAAGACATCATCTCTTTCCTGGTGACAGTGCCTATCTTCCAGGACACAGCTGCCTCTTCAAAGCTAAGGCAAATCTTGTGCTGGAACCAAAGCCCCATCTGTTGGACTCCTCTACCCAGACCATTTGCCAAAATGATGGAATAGGGCCAGGCCTGCCAAGAGGTCCTCAGAGGGTATCTAGGTGAAGCCCCTCTCTCTACCAAAGAGGGAAGTTAGGCCTATGGATAGGGAGGGATTTGCCCAAGGTCATTTATCTAGCAAGTAGCTGCAGTAAAACTTGATGCCAGCCCTTCTTACACAAGATGTAGGTTAAGAGAGCATTAGCCTTAAGCCAGACTACACGGGTCCAAATCCTGGCTGCTTCTGTGTCGGCTGAGAGGTTTGACCAACTTCGTTAAACTCTTTCAGATTCAGCTGCCCTTTTACTTTTTAATCTTTATTTTATTTTGTTTGTTTGTTTGTTTGTTTTTTGAGACAGGGTCTTGCTCTGTCACCCAGGCTGGAATGCAATGGCACGACCATGGCTGACTGCAGCCTTGACCCCCTGGGCTCAAGTAATCCTCCTACCTCAGCCTCCAGAGTAGCTAGGACTACAGGCACATGCCACCATGCCCGACTAATTTTTAAAAAATTTTGGTAGAGATGGGGTCTCACTATGTTGCCCAGTCTGGTCTTGAACTCCTGGGCTCAAGTGATCCTCCAGCCTCAACCTCCCAAAGCACTGTTTCCCAATTAAATGAAATAATAAATGAAAATCACTTAACATAATGACTGCATATAATAAGGGCTCAACACGTTAGTGAAAAAAAATGCCTGATTACTTTTCTCTACCTTCTGCAATAAAGACCTCCCAGTCCCAGTTCTTTCCCCTAGAACAAACTACTAAGTAGATATTAGATTTCCCTAGAGCTGGTCATAGGTATCACTCCTTTGGTTTTGCTCAAAGCAGAGAGCATTCTTGTTTGATACCATTATTAACACTAGGTGGGTATCTTTTTTTTTTTTTTTGAGACGGAGTCTCACTCTGTCACCTAGGCTGGAGTGCAGTGGTACTGTATCAGCTCACTGTAACCTCTGTCTCCTGGGTTCAAGCAGTTCTCCTGCCTCAGCCTCCCAAGTAGGTGGGATTACAGGCACCCACCACCAGGCCTGGCTAATTTTTTTAAAAAATATTTTGGGTAGAGACAGGGTTTCACCATGTTGGCCAGGCTGGTCTCGAACTTCTGACCTCAGGTTATCTGCCTGCCTCGGCCTCCCAAAGTGTTGGGATTACAGGCGTGAGCAACTGCGCCCAGCCATGGGTATCTTTTAATAGTGGTCCAGGCCGTCTTCCCACAGACACAGTGAACTGTAACTAACAGGATGTGCTTGTGTAAGTTGCATTATTGGCAGCAGAGGCAAAATTGTGGCCACACGAGAGAGGCGTCAGTTACTCTGCATTTTAACTTTCTTTTATCTTAGCTAATTTTAAAAGATTCCTTATTTCCATTAAGAAAGAAATTATGCTTATTATAATATGTTCAAACAAAAATGCATAATTTAAAAGTTAAGCTGGGCGTGGTGGCTCGTGCCTGTAATCCCAGCACTTTGGGAGGCCAAGGTGGGCAGATCACCTGAGGTCAGGAGTTTGAAACAATCCTGGCCAACATGGCGTAATCCTGTCTCTACTAAAAATACAAAAATTAGCCAGGTGTGGTGGTGTGTGCCTGTAATCCCAGCTACTCGGGAGGCCGAGGCAGGAGAAACACTTGAACCTGGGAGGTGGAGGCTGCAGTGAGCCGAAATTTTGCCACTGCACTCCAGCCTTAGCGACAGAGCGAGATATGATCTCTAAACAAACAAACGAGCAAACAAAAAACAAAAACAAAAAATAAAAGTTAAGGCTGGGCATGGTGGTTTATGCCTGTAATCCTAGCATTTTGGGAGGCCGAGGCCGGCAAATCACTTGAGCCCAGGAGTTTGAGACCAGCCTGGGGAAGATGGCAAGACCTCATCTCTACGAAAAACACAAAAATTAGTCAGACATGGTAGCACATGCCTGTAGTCCCTTAGGAGGCTGAGATGGGAAAATCCCTTGAGTCCAGGAGGCGGAGGTTATAGTGAGCTTTGATTGTGCCACTGCACTTCAGCCTGGGAACAGAGAGAGACTCTGACTTAAAAAAATTTAAAAAAAGTTAAAAGTCCCTTATATAGCCACCCATTCAGAAGTAACCTCAGCTAGAGTATGATGGATTTTCTTCCAGTTTTGAGCTGGGCCAGGTGGCTCACGCCTGCAGTCTCAGCTATTAAGGAGGCTGAGGCAGGAGGACTGCTTGAGCCCAGGAGTTCCAGACCCGTCTGAGCAATACGGTGAGACCCCCATCTCTTAAAAAAATTTAAAAATTACATATTTTCTTCAAGTTTTATTTTATTACATCCTATTTGCTAGGGCTGCCTTAATAAAATACCCCAGACCAGTTACTCCAAAAACAGGATTTATTTTCTCACAGTTGTGGAGGCTGGCAGTGCAAGATCACGGTGTTGAGAGGGCTGGTTTCTTCTCAGGCCTCTCTCCTTGGCTTTTGGGTGGCCGCGTCCTCTCCCTGTGTCCTCACATGGTCTTCCCTCTGTGTGAGTCTGTGTCCTAATCTCCTTTTCTTATAAAGACACCAGTCCTGTTAGATTACGGCCCACTCTAATGACCTCATTTACCCTTAATTACCTCTTTGAAGGCTCTGTTTCCAAATACAGTCACATCCTGAGAGGCTGAGGATTAGGGCTTCAACGTACAAATTGGTCGGGGGTGAGCCAAGGCACAATTCAGCCTCTCTTTCACACACACACACACACACGCACACACACACACGCACACACACACACAATTTTTTCTATACATCTTTGCAACTTGATTTTTCTTAAAGTAATTTCAACATGTTTTCATGTGAGAAGAAGACCTGTATCCTTCTGAGGAAGCTGAGGTATTGAATCTTTAGCTTTTTATCCTCCGTAGGAAATGCAGGCCCACTGGGTCATGACCAAGTCTCAGTTAGCAGGGCACATGGGCCTTTCACAGCCTCTCATCCTTCTTTTGATTGCTTTTATTTCTCCATCTTTTCCTCTGACATTTATGTGATATTTTATTTTATTTTATTTTATTTTGAGACAGAGTCTCACTCTGTTGCCCAGGCTGGAGTGCAGTGGCGCCATTTTGGCTCACTGCACCTTCCACCTCCCTGGTTCAAGTGATTCTTCTGCCTCAGCCTCCCAAGTAGCTGGGATCACAGGCGCCCGCCACCACACCCAGTTAATTTTTGTCTTTTTAGTAGAGATGGGGTTTTGCCAATGTTGGCCAGGTCTGGAACTCCTGACCTCGGGTGATCCACCCGCCTCGGCCTCCCAAAGTGCTGGGATTACAGGCATGAGCCA